>NC_000005.10:104484807-105109807 GCF_000001405.40 Homo sapiens | reverse complement strand
GAGGATTCAGATAATAGTACATTCGGTTAGTCAACAAGTATGTTTATAGGTTATGTAACCAATTACCAATGTAGAAAATATAGTGTGACATTCTGTGATATGAAAATTTTAAATGAGAAAAAAATTTAAATAGGGGCAAGTATTTGAACAACTATGGAAAGAACCAATACAGAAACAGCTTGTAAGCATTATTCCATACAAGACAAGTGCAGAGGATGAATATTTTTGCTCAATTCAGTCAACTGTATAGTTCTCAAACTACAGAAAACTCATACTAAATGCAATTCCGTCTTTTTTGTCTTGAAAAAATATGTGAGCTTGACTCACCTCCTCTGAGATTGCATCTCTGGTTTCTGAGAGTACAGGTGATGTCAGAATCACTGAGCTTGACCTCTATAACTTTCAACTTTATCAGAAGGAAGCAGAGTAGAGTTTACTAGGAAATATACAGAAGGAACAATGAGAGAAATGATGGTTTTTCAAAATTTAAAGAATTTCATAGATATAGTGCTGTTTTAACTTCAGTTAATTCTTGCAGTATGCATGTCATAAGCTGTACATCTATTTCATCTTGGGTATGGAAATCTGAGAAGAGATTTATAAGCCTCCATTTATATGGAAAATACATTTTTAAAATGTAGTGCTTATTTAGACATGGATGCTTCTTGAGCTCTATCATTAAAAATGAAGATTTTCTTATAATGTGCTGTCTGGGAAACAGCAAATTAGAACAGAGAACTGATTGTAAACTGAATTGCACTGTTTAAATATAATATCCATTTTGCTTGTTTCTTTTATTTTTTAAATTTTGTTTTTGTTTGTTTCATTTTCTTCCCTTTGAAAAAAGAAAATCATGTCAATCAATAAATGTATTATCGGGACTCTTAAAAACAGGTTAAAGCTACTTGCAACAGTTTGTGATAGCCAACATTTTATAACCATATTTTCCTTTTTTTTTCTTGAATATGAAGTAACAATAATAACAAACAATAACAATTATAGCTAGTGCTTATTATTCCAGGCTTATGCGGAGTAATTTATTTAATTCCTTTGAGGTGTGTTTTTATTCCCATTTCATGGATGAGAAATATGAAGTACGGAGAGGTTATTTAACTTACCTATGGTTCTATGGGCAGTAATGACAGTAATTGAAAATAGGAGGATTCAAGACCAAGCAGTTTAGTTCTAGAGCCAACATACTTATCTCTATAACATTTGTATGAGAATGCAAATAATTACTTGAGTATGCAAATAATTACTCTAATATGACATAACGTAAAATAGAAAAACATACTGACTGGGAAACTTTTATAACCTAAGCTTCAGTCTTCAAAATTACCAACTAATTTGATTAAATGTTAGTGTTACAGTTTACTGAATATCTAAACTCCTCCAAATTTAACCTCTAGCTTCATCAAAGAAGTTTCTTACTTTCTTAATAAGGCATATTATTTTTAATTGTTCTACCTCGAGGCTATAAAATTATTATGACTTTTATGGTTTTATTAAAATCTGTGATTAAAAACGCCAAAGTATTTTGAAACATCTCATTTATATTATTATTAGCAAAGCTCACTGAGACATAAAATGACATGTTGGTAACAAACAGAAGATGAAACTGTAAAATCCTGACCAGTTCTCTTCAATAAGGTTCTTACAAGGCTCCTGCTGTGCACCTGTGTCAAGAAGTCTGATTCTGCCAAGTTGATTGCGTGCTAAAATGTTAAACCAGGCTATTGGCAATTTAAAATTATACACCAATTCCCTCTGTGAATATTTGCAGCTTCAACTTCCAGTTTTAATTTACTCCAGTGAGCAATTCTCCCATTAAAGACTCAATATTTGTTAGACCACTGTAATAAAACCTTCAAACTTTTTGCCTCCAAATACAATATTTGCTTCAAATAAACTTTTGGTATTAATTCATCACTCATGTGTTATAAAATATGTTAGCTAGGTAATTAGGGTTTTCTTTTAACTCCCTGTGAGCCTCCAGTAGCATAAACGAAGTACAAAGTAAGGACAAAAAAATGCCTAATTAATTAAACAGATGTGGGAAGAGATTGCTACATAAACACACACTCACATATACCTATACACACACAAGTTAATATACTTTGGGTTGACAAAATACATTTTCTTTGGCAAACTAACTTATCAAAATGTAACATGTGACAAAAAAATTAAGACATATTCTGACTATGAATATACTACCATAGCATGTAATTTTAATTTCCTCAGAAGAAAGTTATTGCAATGCATCCTTGTCCATAAGTAAAGAACAGTAACTCAGGCCATTTTTCTTTCTCTCAATTTCAGCCACTGTTACCTAGGAAGAAATAAATGGTTCTTGAATCTAATTTTCAACTTTTCTAAGCATTTTTCTTGTTCTTCCTGGAGAGCTTTAGGAACATTTTTTAGTGAATAGCTTACTAAATGGCAAATTTACATGACCAGTTTTAATTACATATTGAAATGAAATGTAAAGATACATGATTAAGTTGATAAAAAAATTAAATTTAACCACCATTTTCTCAGCTTTTTTCAGTTTCCAAATTGTGTATCTCATCACTGGTTGATTTTTCTAATCTTCTTATATACTAATGCTTTTCAAAAATATACTCTACATTTCTACTTTTGATTTTTCTGAAGGATTATATTCAATTATTTTCATTTCCTTGTTATTTTTGTGCTTTCCTTTTTATTTATTTATAATTTTCCTTTTATATCACTGATAAATATATTTTTAAAAAATCTCTGAATTATCATTTGGATTTGAATATATTAAGTAATGATTATAAAGTACAAATAGCCGACTGATATATTTAATATTTTCCATTTTTAGAACTAAAGTGTATTTTTAGTCACTTTTACAGGCTTTCTCATTGTTCCTTTCATTCTGCTTTGAGAATTTTCTTAATTCTAATTCTTCTTTAATTTTCAGTGGAAGGACACAGGAGCTGATAGATTCTCCACATGTAGAGATAGTTGATTTGAGGAGTTTTTTTTTTCTTTAAATTGTGCTTTCCTTGTATACATTCTAATAGATTTGCAAAATTCCAACCTGCCATTTATTGCCTATGATACTATTCTAAATGGGGCTCAAATATTCTTCAAGATAATTCAAGAATATTAGCTTATTGCTATTTTATACATATGCCTAAGATTATAATATCACACTTTAGCCATTATTTTTACTATCATTGGAAAATAGATTTTGGAGCTATTTCCAAGTTTTTTTTACCTCTTCAGTGAAAGGTTTATTATATCAATAATGAAATAACCTCGTAGAGCAGGAGTTCAGAACATCAAGTTTAAATTCTGCTTTATGATATACATTTTTACCATTTCCTAGTAATATTTGCTAAAGAAATCTTTTTTCTGACCTTTATTGATTTCACTGTATCTACTACTATTGAAATCCTACTATCAAAGAATTCACATAAAAGGTTAACTCCTATATATATATATATATATATTAATATTGAAAAGTTTCTTTTTCCTTGACAGATCGTATAAGGCCTTCATGTGTTTGAAATAAATTTAATACCACTGAATTAAGTGAAGTAGCTATGGAAACATAGGGAAACATAAAGTGAATTCCATGATTTAGAAGAAAGAAAAAGTAATCTATGCCTAAAATATCAGTGGTGTAATTTTCAGATTTGAAAATAATCCTTTGCCTAGTACATGTTATGCTGTGCTTCATGCATGAACCATTTAAAAGATTAATAATAAGCTTCACAAATTCCACATGCCAAAGTTCAGATAAATCCAGTGTGATAGTGATATGAACAGAAACAGTGGCTATACATAAATAATTATTATATATATATATACACCTATAAAATGTATCTACATAGATATACAAAAGTCTGCAGATAAGACAAATTGTATAAATATATGGAGAGATTTACATGTTTTAATCCACTGAAATTAGGAAAGTTCTAGTGTATACCTATACTTTTATTACTGCCTCCAAATTTTGGGAGCACCAACTAATCCTGCCTTTTGGCTATTGACTTCATTTCACAATACACACAAGTTGATGTTCTAGTCTGGAGTCAAAAAGAAAAGATTACTTCTGATATACAGATGGAGCTTAGGCTTGTACTTCATTTTAAGATACCCCATGAACAAAGCATCTCTCCTCTTTATCTGTTTAGACTCAACACTTTATAAATTAACTCTCTAAAGATTATTTGACAGCGATTGCTTCCCAAATGAAGTCAACAAGCTCCTCAGTATCTTCACAGTGCTGTAGTAGCCACTTTATTTGCTCTTACCAAAGCCAACACAACCCTTTCAAAACAAACAACATATCCACCTTAAGCTGCAATAGCTCCAATTATTTGCACTTAAGACTCATGGCATCTATCTCTCTTGTTTTTTCTTTGGTAATATTCTGGTTAGATTTTCTCATTTAATGAGCTCATCACCTAAAAATAAGATCTGCTTTACTAGACCAATAGTTGGTATCAACCTGGGTGAATCCAAATCTCCATGCAGACAAATATCCCTATATCGTAGCCTCTTGAGTGATTTGATCTGATCCTTCATTTCCCACAGCCATATCTGAATTTTAACATTATTGGCAACTGTTCTATCTCTGGTGTCTTAAATTCAAAAATTTTACGATCTAAGTACAATTATGCATCCTATTCTCACTCTTTTATTTCTACTCTACTCTAGTTACTAACCTCATTAAATCTTATTCATTTTCTTGGGCTCCTCACTTCTAATCTGTCTATCAGTATCAACCAGTCTTTACTGATGTTTTTCTTTGTTTACATTCCATAGTCTGTCATATTTATAATAACTTAATATTTCAACGACAAACTTTGTTGACTCATAGTCAATGTCTGATATGGCAAAACTCAACCTTGAAGTAACTTAACTAGCCAAAATATTAACTATAACCTTAGGATTCTTAGCAAGGCTGGAGAAGATAACAATCATACATTATTAATTTTTAGTTTTAAACTCCACTGCTATCTTAGCTTTGCCACACAATTCATAATTCCTAGTCAGCACTAACTCTCATTTTGCTCAGCAACTTTTATAACCTTGTGCACCCTCTTAAATATAAGTAACTTCATTTACATCATGTTCCTTCGAGGTGTATATGAGCATAAACACATCTTAAAGGAATTAAATGTCTGCCTCTGGCTTTCTAAAAGATTTTAACACTAATATAAAACTGTGCAAATTTTTTTTTTGTAGATCACTTGAAGGGTGACACTCTTCTGTCAGGAGAACTAAGTTCTATTTTTATTGAATATTACAATATTAGATAGCCCAATTATAAATAATGTAAATATTTTTGAGCACTAAAATAAGAATATTCAAAATGTATTAATCACTTTCAGTCAACAAATTATGAAAGGACTTTAAATATTTTGGCTTTAGTGACTTAACATTTTTAAAGAAGTCAAAACCATCAAAAGAAGAACATAATTGAAAACATTTATGTAGAGTTAATTTTAAATTTTTTTAGTAATAGAAATAAAGCTTGGAATGGAAATTTGATGAAATTAAATATGTTAGGGGTTGAGTTAAAGTTCATCAAGAAATGACAAATTAAGTTAAAATTTTGATAGATCAGTATCAGGTCCTATTGATGTATCTACTCTTTTTTTATTCATCATACCAACAAATTTAATAGCTAAGTTAAGAAACAAGCTACGTTTACTATAGCTGGGCTTGTTTGTAGTGGACAAAATGAAAATACTGAGAAGGCACACTTCACCTCTGATGATGTTTTTAAAATGTATATTTTTATTTTTACTAAACAAGTAAGTGTACTTATGGGGTATGATGTGATGTTTTGATATACGTGTATATTGTGGAATTTTTAAGAGGTAAAATGGTAGTTATCAGAGGCGGGGAAGGTAATGGGGAGATCAAAGGGTACAAAGATTCATTTCGACTGGAGAAAGAAGTGTTTGAAATCTACTGCATAATACGGTGACTATAGTTAATGACATAATGTATACCTCTCAGGATCTGATATCTAAGTTGGTAGCAACTCTTTTCTGTAGTTCTTGAATTTAGTCCTTTAATTATTGCTAGTTATAACATCTAGAATACAAATGTTTATGCATTCTACCCGTCCTCTCCCCCTATTATTTCTTGAATCCAGAAAGACAAACCTCAAAAAATGTACACTACAATAGCCCCTGTTCATTTATTTCAAGTGAGGACACTTTTCATCTCTATAAAATTAAAATGACTGCTCACAAAAGATAACAAATCTCAAATAATTTAACGACTTTAAAGGTAGAATTTCTTTCTGCACTATTGATTTTTGAAGAAATTTAACTAAATTAGATGTAAAGCATAATATTAATTGATAACTTTGGGGAGTGACTAATCTACTCCTGTTACCAAGTCATTTAAGCCTATTGGGTATTAACACTGGTTTATATAACTGTGTTGCTAACACAGCAAGTCAAAACTGAACAAATTGAAAAAGAGCTTTAATAGTAAGTTAGACTATTTGCCATTTTGTACTAAAGAAGTTTTGGGAAGTATACAATTTATAAAGTGATTGGAGAACTTGACATTTTCTGTAATATGTTACTATTACTTAGTTTTGAGGTACAGGACTTTCATTAGATACAGGGAAGAAATTTGTGATTTTCTATAATAGTGATTACAATTTATTGAGGCTTATCAAATATTAATTACTGTTCTAAGCTCACACACATGCTCTTACTTGAACATTACACAAATATTCTTAGGTAGTACATCTCTATAATTCAAATAAATTTAGGCTTGAGGCATTTAAGCAATTTGACAAAAGTTAAACTCCAAGCAAAATGAGCACTAATATATGATCTCATACTTGTGCTAATAAATTATTATAGTTTTTCTACTGTGTTAACTAGTTTTTACATAGCTATGTGTATACTATTCATTCGTATATATACTAAAATGTATAATATTCATTTTCACAAAAAATATATTTCACCTGCTGAAACTCCCTCCTGTGAAAACTATAACTTTTACTTTTTTTATGTGAATATGCAAGATCTGTGAGAAAACAAAGATGTACAATATTGGGATTGGTAGTCAAGCCTAAGTGTTAAAGGTTGAGGAGCTGAAGGGGAAGCATAAAATTATGCACATGAAAGGGACAAACACTTGTAGTAAATTGTTTTATTTTGCCGAATATTCTGATTCAGAGACAAATCTTGAAGTTTATATCACCAGATGTGAAGGTATGAATGCAATATTTAAAGCTGTAGCAGTTATTGGTTGTCAAACTTAAGTGTCATTAAAGATATATTATTTTAGAAATCTCATTTATTGATTTACAAATTTTAGAAAACACTGTTGCTAAATACAATGTCAAGTAATTTTTAAATCAAAAGTACAACTTCTAGTCTTACTGGGGCAGTAAGTATACTGACCAGCTACTGTTACAAAATTCTATACAACATTGCATAGAATAATATCCTTCTAAAATTGCACCCCTCCTAATTCCATAAATCTGTAAATACGTTAACTCACACAGCAAAAAGGCCTTGGTCTAGGGGATTAAGGTAAGCATCCTGAGATGTGGTTATTGACTTGGCTTATTCAGATAGGACTAATGTAATCATGAAAGTTCATATAAGATGCCAGCAAGAAGGTCAAAGAGAAGGAGAAGTAACAATGGATGCAAAGATTGTAGATATGCAAGGAAGTGACCACTCGCCAAGTAATGCAGACAGCCTCTGGAAACCAGAAAAGACAGAAAAATTCACTTTCTCTTAGAGTTTCCAAAAGAAACTCAGACCTCTTGGCACCTTGATTTGAAAACTTCTGACCTTCGAAAGTATAAGGTAATAAACTTGTATTTTTTAAAACCACCAAGTTTGTGGTAATTTGTTACAGCATCAATAGGAAACTAATAAAAATCCAAAAGTATTTTCTAACCCTATAAAGAATCTCCAGTTTTTTGCAGTCAGTAAGAATACTGCTGAGATCTTATTGTGCAATTCTGTCAGGACTTGCTTCTTGACATAGCAATGAAGTGCACATGATGGCAAGAGTCCAAGTCTTGGAAAGTAGTAAGCTATGGTTAGCCCTTTTTGTCAGGATTCTCCGAGTCTCTTTTCTGTCTGTTCTTGGTTTTTGCTCGTTGTAAAACTTGTCTGATCTAATTATCTTCAGGTTACAAGGCTGAATCTGTTACTTCTAAACAGTCTTTAGTCTTGGTTAAGATAGCACACCAAGGGAAGGTCAAAACAATATCTTGGTAAAGTGTTAAAAAGTTCTAACTTTTATTTTTCCAGACTATTCAAAAAGTATAAATGTTGTTTTGATAGTATACTTAATAACATCTCAGTCTTGTCCTGCAAGTTATCTCTCCTCTCCTTGGAGTTCCTGAGAAATGGGAAATCAATTAATGCCTTATTAAAAATGAGCCTAATGCCCATAACCAAATGTCATATAGTAGGATCAACATCAGTGATTAAGACCGAAAACTTAGGCAAGACTTCCCAGATTTTTAAGGCCTGTATTCAAAGTACATTTATAACTACATTCTCAGCAGCCACCTAAAGAAAGGAAAAGAAACAAAGGGTTCTAATAGATTACAGCCTATTTTCTCTAAAAATACAGTGTGGCAACAAAATAAAGAGTAGGATAAAAAAAAGGATAATGTATCTGATCTACCTTGAAGAAACAGTTCTGCCTTAATTTAGTCATCCTGCATGTCAGAGAGGAATGTAAATTAAGAAATACTATATAGATTTATGCTTAGTAATAATAGCACCCTAGCCAACTAGTCACATGTCCAAATTAATGTTCTTGAACTTTGAATTATCAGATTCACACTTCCTTCTTTTGGCAAAAGAGAAAACAGGTGAGCAAAGACAGACCTTCAGGAAATAAAGATCTGGAAAAACTTCTATTATATATATCAGTTGATATATCAACTGTAAAACAGAGGAAAACATTATGTTGAATATAATGATCAACTTAGAATTTTACATAATACCTATTGTATTAGACCATTCTTGCAATGCTATAAAGAAATACTAAGACTGGGCAATTTATAAAGAACAGAAGTTTATTTGGCTTACAGTTCTGCAGGCTGTACAGAAAACGTAGGTGTATCTGCTTCTGGGGAGGCCTCAGGAAGCTTACACTCATGGCAGAATGTAAAGGGAGAGGAGGTACATCAACATAGTGAAAGCAGGAACAAGAGAGGGAGGAGGTGTCCCACACTTTTTTTTTTCAAATACATTAGATTTTAATATTTAATATCTAATACTATTGCTTTTGGATATATTTTCCCTGAACTAAGAATACAATGCTAATTGCATAAAAAGATACACATATAAAAAGTAGTTCTCTGTTTTCCCAGGAAAAAATCCAAGCATAATTTCTAGAATAGTCAAGTTTCTTGTTTTAATTGTAATTAAAGTCTTGATCATCTTATTTATTAGCTGTGTGACTTACATGTTTAAATTAAAGAAATGTTGTTAAACAACTGTTGCAATTTATAAATGTAAGGTGCCATTATTCAGTAAACAGACTCCTCCATGAGTGGATGTGTTCCTTCTCCTACCAACTATTGAAAAGCAGCACTATACATTAGTTTAATTTTATTAGTAGATGATACACTGCTGCAAATGCTAATTCTCTTCTCCATCCCCATGTTGATTTTGTGTGTACCTGTGAGTTGTTTAGAATGCATCAACAATGTCTTTAACAATCAACATTAAGATGAGCTAGGCTTGGGCTTTCAATGAAGATTGACCAATGGTTTCGATGAAGTCAGACCATCACTCTCTGAGTCAAGTGATCTGACCTATCCCTGGTAGTAAGAACTCTTGGAACCCCCTTTTCAAATGCTACTGCCACATTTGTGGCATCTTTTGCACTTGTTTCAAATTAAGGATAGTCGCTGCCGTCCCTGCACCAGGCTTGGGCTTCTTCTGCAGACACCTGCTGTTCACTGTCAGTCTTGTTACCCAAAATTACAAAAGGAAAGCTTTTGGGTTCTTTCACATCAGCGAAATATAAGAATTCTTTCTTCCAGTTACTTAAGTTCTGGAAGCTTTGGAATTGTCAACACTAAAAGTAAGCAGGCAGCAGTCAGAACCTCTGTAAAATGGCATCCTCAGGCTTCAGAATCACTCCTGACCTGCTGTGTCCCAATTCTACTTGGTACCAAAATGTCCATCCACTTCCAAATCTTTACTTAAAAATTCCACACCTATTGTATGAAAGAGCTGGGTATCAAACTTATTAATTACATATCTGTGCATAAGATAACTCTTTCCAACTCCACCATCTCCAAAGAGAATTACTTTAAAAAGTGATGATTTTCCTGCCGTTAAGAGCTTTGGCTTCAGAACTCTTAGTTGTTCAATTCAATCATCATTATCTCCTAGTGTTGTTGAGAAGATTCACTCAAATGACAGGGAGAAAGTATTCCATCACAATGCCGGCTTATTATAGGAGTGCAAGAAATTTCTCATGGCCATACAGAGCTCTGGGCTGGCCCATCTGAGTGCAATGAGAACAGAGAGAGGGTTGGGACCTGCATAGCAGAAGGCGGAAGTGGTGGAGATGCCAGGCTCTGACTCCAGCGGCTGCCATCAGGCGCAGAGGAAATAACATGGCCCCTGGCTTGGATGGGCTGCCGCACACTTTTAAACAACAATAACTTGCAAGAACTTGCGAACAATGGGGAAGACAGTCCCAAGGGGATGATGCTAAACCATTCATAAGAAACCCACCCCCATGAGCTAATCACCTCCTACCAGGCCCACTTCCAGCACTGGGGATTACAATTTAACATGAGATGTGGTCAGGGACACATACCCAAACTATATAAACTACTATGGGTATATTAATTATAATAAAAATAAACTACATCCTTGGATAAAGAAAATGGAAGAAGTTACATTATAAAAAAAATTTCAACATCTTTTTGAAAATCAGAAATTGAATAGAAAATAGATACAGTGTAGCTAATTTTTCGAACAAGAGTGTCAAGTGAAAGGGCTAACAATGAAGAACTCTCATAAAAAACTTTCTAATTACTTCCATAGAATTCTGAGTCTTGGATTTTGCTGGTGGGTTCTAGAATAGAAAACATGAACTAACTTTCTTTCTTTCTTTCTTTCTTTCTTTCTTTCTTTCTTTCTTTCTTTCTTTCTTTCTTTCCCTTTCTCTCTCTCTCTCTCTCTCTCTCTTTCTTTCTCTTTCTTTCTTTTTTTCTTCTGAGACAGAGTCTCACTCTGTTGCCCAGGCTGGAGTGCAGTGGCATGATCTCAGCTCACTGCAACCTCCGCCCCCCCGGGTTCAAGTGATTCTCCTGCCTCAGCCTCTTGAGTAGCTGGGATTACAGGCGTGTGATGCCATGCCCGGCTAATTTTGTATTTTTAGTAGAGACGGAGTTTCACCATGTTGGCCAGGCTGGTATCGAATTCCTGACCTGGTGATTCTCCCACCTCGGCCTCCCAAAGTGCTGGGATTACAGGTGTGAGCCACCATGCCCTGCCACAAAAGCTTATTTTCAAATTTATATAGAGTACAGTTGGCCTCCTCTCCTCCCTCACCATTCTCCCAAAATAAAAATCAGAATACAGTGGTTAGGAACCTAAAGCCTAGGCAAAAAAAAAAAAAAAAAAAGTTTAATCTCTAGTGAGACAGCGGAATCCTGGGATTACCTCTTACAAAGGAAGATGATAATCATTTATGGAATTGGAAACCAGGTGAGAAGGGGTCATAGAAATAATTGCATGCCTACATATAGCCTATTATTTTGCAAGCCTATTCCATAGGACCCCTAGGACAGGGGCACCCAGTAGTGCTTTCTGGTAAGTAGTTTAAAGTATTGTCATTTGGAGAAATAAAGGGCTCAAGAGAGAAGATAAAAGAGAAAAAGATACCCACTTACTGAAATTTGGATAACTAGCTGCCTTAACATCCTGAAATAAAACAGCATGGTTAACAAGGCCCATATGCACTTATATTGCCCTAACTCTAAATCAGATCAGTTAGTATGTCATTAATCCTATGATGAAAGCTCCCAACATAAGACAACATTAATGTTATTATTACTGTTAGAAAGTGTGAGGTCTTCTACTCTGACCCTACCTAAACTTGTTTATTTCAATGAGCAATTTTATTAATTTGCACTATATATACATTGACTCTCTATTGTTTCCTGCATATTCTTTTTAAAACTTTTTATTTTTAATTTTTGTGGGTACACAGTAGGTGTGTATATTTATGGGGTACATGAAATATTTTTATATAGGCATGTAATGCATAATAATAATGTCATGAAAATGGGCTATCCATCCCCCTCAAGCATTTATCCTTTGTGTTACAATCCAATCATACTCTTCTAGTTATTTTTAAATGTACAGTTAAATTATTATTGACTATGGTAACCTTGTTGTGCTATCAAATACTAGATCTTATTCATTCTATTTTATTGTACCCATTAACCATCCCAATCTCCCCAACAGCCCCCTACTGCCCTTCTCAGCTTCTGAAAATCATTCTTATACAATGTCCATGATTTCAATTATTTTGATTTTTAGATCTCACAAGTAAGTGAGAATGTATGATGTTATGCCTAGCTTGTTTCACTTAAAATCACTACCTCCAGTTTCATCCATGTTGTTGCAAGTGACTGAATCTCATTCTTTCTTATGGCTGAATAGTATTCTATTGTGAATATGTACCACTTTTCTTTATCCACTCATCTGTCGATGGATACTTAGGTTGCTTCCAAGTTTTGACTATTATAAACAGTGCTGCAACAAACATGGGAGTACAGATATCTCTTTGATATACTGATTTCCTTTCTTTTGGTTATATACCGAGCAGTGGGATTGCTGGATCACATGGTAGCTCAATTTTTAGGTTTTTGAGGAACCTCCGAACTGTTCTCCATAGTGGTTATGCTAATTTACATTCCCACCAGCAGTATATGAGGATTCCTTTTTCTCCAAATCCTCACCAGCATTTGTTATTGCCTGTCTTTGGGGTATGACCCATTTTAGCTGGGGTGAGGTGATGTCTCATGGTAGGTTTTGATTTGCATTTCTCTGATGAACAATGATGCTGAGCACCTTTTTGTATGTCTGCCATTTCTATGTCTTCTTTCGAATGTCTATTCAAATCTTTTGCCCATTTATAAATCAGATAATATTTTTTCTGTAGAGTTATTTAAGCTCCTTTTATATTATCATTATTACTCCCTTGTCAAATGAGTACTTTGCAAATATTTTCTCCCATTCCGTGGATTGTCTCTTCAATTTGTTGATTGTTTCCTTTGCTGTTCGAAGCTTTTTAACTTGATGTGATCCCATTTCTCCATCTTTGCTTTGGTTGCCTGTTCTTGTGAAATACTACTCAGAAAATTTTTCTCTAGATCAGTATCTTGGAGAGTTTTCCCAGTGCTTCTTTGTAGTAATTTTATAGTTTGAGGTCTTAAATTTAAGGCTTTAATCCATTTTGATTTAATTTTTGTATATGGTGAGAGATAGAGGTCTAATTTTTTTCATCTGCATATAGATAGCATGTTTCCCAGTACGATTTTTAAAAGTTTTTTCTGCAATGTATCTTCTTAGGACCTTTGTCAAAAATGAGTTCACCGTAGGGGTGAGGATTTGTTTCTGGGTTCTCTATTGTGTTCCATTGGTCTATGTGTCTGTTTTTGTGCCAGTACTATGCTGTTTTGAATAAAATAGTTCTGTAGTAATTTAAAGTCAGGTAATATGATTCCTCCAGTTTTGTTCTTTTTGCTTAGGATAGCTTCAGCTATTATGGGTCTTTTGTGGTTTCGTATGACTTTTAGTACTTTTTTTATTTCTGTGAAGAATGTCATTGGTATTTTGATAGGAATTGCATTGAGTCTGTAGATGACTTTGGGTATTATGGACATTTTTAAAATATGGATTCTTGTGATCTGTGAACATGGAATATCTTTCTTATTTTTGGTGTCTTATTCAATTTCTTTCATCAGTGTTTTATAGTTTTCATTAAAGAAATCTTTCACTTCTTTGGTTAGGTTAATTCTCAGATATTTAATTATATGTGTGGCTGTTGTAAATAGGATTACTTTTTTATTTTGTTTTCATATTGTTCATTGTTGGCATATAGAAATGTTACTGATGTTTGTATGTTGGTTTCATAACCTAAAACGTTACTGAATTTTTTTGTCAATTGTCCATTCTACTAGTTTTCTTTTGGAGTTTTTAGGTTTTTCAAAATATAATATCATCAGCAACCAAAGGTAACTGGACTTTTTCTTTTTCAATTTGGATGTCCTTTATATCTTTCTCTTGTCTGATTGCTCTAGGTAAGACTTCCAGTACTATTTTAAATATCAGCGGTAAAAAGGGCATCGTTTTCATGTTCCACATCTTAGAGCAAAGGTTTTCAGTGTTTCCCCACTCAGTATGATACTAGCTGTGGGTGAGTCATACATGGCTTTTATTTTGTGGAGGTATGCTGCTTATATACCCAGTTTTTTTTAAGGCTTTTATCCTGAAGGGATGTTAAATTTTATCAGATGCTCTTTCAGCATTAAGTAAAATTATCATATGGTTGTTTGTCCCTTTCATTCTGTTGATATGATGGTTTCCATATGTTGAACCATCCTTGCATCCCAAGGATAAATCCCACTTGTTATGATGAATGATCTTTTAATTGTATTGTTGAATTTTGTTTGCTGGTATTTTGTTGAGAATTTTTGCATCAATATTCATTAGAGATATTGGCTTGTAGTTTTGTTTCTTTGAAGTGTCTTTGCCTGGTTTTAGTATCAGGGTAATTCTGGCTTCATAGAATGATTTTGGAAGTATTATCTCCTTCTCAATATTTTAGAACTGTTTGAGTAGGATTGGTATTAATTTTTCTTTAAATGTTTGGTAAAACTTAGCATCCCACAATCGGGTCCCAGACTTTTATTTTACTGGAGATTATTTTTTATGGCTTTAATCTCATTACTTGTCATTGGCCTGTTCAGACACTGGATTTCTTTGTGGCTCAGTCTTGGTAGGTTTTATGTGCCTAGGAATTTGCCCATTTCCTCTAGATTTTCTAATTTATTGACATATAGTTACTAATAGTAGACATTAATGACCCTTGGACTTTCTCTGGTATCAGCTGTAATGCCTTTTTTTCATCTCTGATTTTATTTATTTAGATCTTCTCCCTTTTTTTCTTAGTTGGTCTGGCTAGAGGTTTTCAGTCTAGTTTTAACTTAAAAAAATCAACTTATTGTTTCCCTGATTTTCTGTATTGCTTTATAGACTTTGATTTTATTTATTTCTGCTATAATATTTATTATTTCTTTTCTTCTACTAATTTTGGTCTGATATGCTCTGGCTTTTCTAATACTTTAAGATGCATCATTAGGTTGTTTATGTGAAATTTTTTTTTCTCTTTTTTGATGTAGGTACTTATAGCTATAATATTCCCTTTAGCACTTCTTTCTCTGTATCCCATAGGTTTTGGTATGTTGTGTTTCCATTATCATTTGTTTGAAGTAATTTTTAAATTTCCTTCTGAATTTCATTAAATCACTTGTCATTCAAGAGTATATATTGTTTAATATCCATGTGTTTATGTAGCTTCCAAAATTTTTCTTTTTATTGATTTCTAGTTTTATTTTACTGTAGTCAGAGAAGATGCTTGAAATGATTAAAAAAAATTTTGGAATGTTTTCAGACTTGTTTTGTTACCTAACATCTGGTCTATCCTTGAAAATGATCCATGTGCTGAGGAGAAGAATGTATATTTGGCATCCTTGAATGAAATGTTCTGTAAACTTCTGTTAGGTCCATTTGATCTATAGTGCAGATTAAGTCTGTTGTTTCTTTGTTGATTTTCTTTCTGAAAGATGTGTTCAAAGCTGACAGTGGGGTGCTAAAGTCTCCAACTAGTATTGCTTTGGTGACTATCTCTCTCTTTAGTAATATTTGCTTTACAAATCTGGTTGCTCTAGTGGTGGGTGCATATATATTTCAAATTGTTATATCCTCTTGCTGAACTGACAACTTTCTTCTTATAGTTTTTGTCTTGAAATCTACTTTTTCTGATATCAGTATAGCTACTCCTGCTCTTTTTTGGTTCCTATTTGCATGGAATATCTTTTGCTATCCTTTTATTTTTAGTCTTTGAGTGTCTTTATAGGTGAAGTGTGTTTCTTGTAAACAACAGATCATTGGGTTTTGCTTTTTCATTCATTCAGCTAGTCTATGTCTTTTGATTGCAGAGTTTAGTCTATTTACATTCAATGTTGCCATTGATGAGTAAGGACTTACTCCTGCCATTTTGTTACTTATTTTATACTTATTTTGTTATCTTTTCTTCCTTTGTTCTTTCTTTCCTGTCTTCCTTTTAGAGAAGATGATTTTAGAAAAGGTTTTTTGGTTTGAGGTTACTGTGAGGCTTGAAAACACTATCTTATAAACCATTATTTTAGAGTGATACCAACTTAACAACTTAATATTGTTTGCCTAAACAAATAAGCCAACAAATAAGCAAAAATAAAACAAGCATAAACAAGCCAACAAACAAGCACAAAGAAAAACAAACATGCAACAAATGAACAAAAAGAAAACTAATAACAACTACCTACCTTAACTTTGTCCATCAGCTTTTTACCTTTTTGTTGTTTTTATTTATATCTAATTGTATTGTGTATGTCTTGAAAATTTATTGTAGCTATTATTTTTTATTGTTTCATTGTTTAGTCATTCTACTTAAGATAAGAGAGTGTATACACCACAAGTTACCACGCTTTTCTGTGTATTTTTTATTGTCAATGAGTTTTGTACCTTCAGATGATTTCTTATTGCTCATTAGCATACTTTGAAGTACTCTCTAGCATTTTCTGCAGGACAGTCTGGTGTTGATGAAATCTCTCAGCTTTTGTTGTCTGTGAAAGTCTTTATTTGACCTTTATGTTTGAAGGATACTTTTGTTGGATCTACTATTTTAGAGTAAACATTTATTTCCTTCAGCACTTTATATATGTCATACCACTCTCTTCTGACCTGTAATGTTTCTACTGAATAGTCTGCTGTCAAACATATTGGAGTGTCATTGTATGTTATTTGTTTATTTTCTTTTGCTGCTTTTAGGATCCTTTCTTTATTTTTGATGTTTGGAAGTTTGATTATTAAATGCCTTGAGGTAGTCTTCTTTGGGTTAAATCTCTTGGTGTTCTATAACCTTCTTATACTTGGATATTGATATCTTTCTCTAGATTTAGGAAGTTTTATTATTATCCCTATCAATAAATTTTCTACCCCTATCTATTTCTCTTCCTCCTCTTTAAGTCCAATTACTTAGCTCTGCCTTCATGTGGCTGTTTTCTGTATTCTCTAGGCATATTTTATTGTGTTTTATTCATTTTCCTTTTGTTTCTCCTGGCTGTGTATTTTCTAATAGTCTGTTTTTAAGCTCACAAATTCTTCTGGTTGATCAATTCTTCTATTAAAAGACTCTGATGCATTCTTCTGTATGACAATTGCAGATCCCACCTCCAAAATTTCTGCTTGATTCTTTTTAACTATTTCAATATCTTTGTTATATTTGTCTGACAGATTCTGTGTTATCTTGAATTTGAGTTTCCTCACAACAGCTCTTTTGAATTCTGTATGAAAAGTCACATGTCTCTTTTTGTTCAGGATAGGTCCCTGGTGCCTTATTTAGTTCATTTGGTGAGGTTATATTTTCCTGGATGGTGTTGATGGTGGTAGATATTCTTTGGTGTCTAGGAATTGAAGAGTTAGGTATTTATTGTAGTCTTTACTGTCTGGGCTTATTTGTAGCCATCTTTCTTGGAAAGACTTTTCAGATATTTGAAACACTTGGGTGTTATGATCTAAGCTGTATATCCTTTAGGGGGGTACCCCAAGCCTGGTAATGCTGTGGTTCTTGCAGACTCATAGAGATTCCACCTCGTTAGTTTAGGCAAGATCCAGAAAAATTCTTTGGATTACTAGGCAGAGACTGTGTTCTCTTCTCTACTTTCTCTCAAACATACGTAGTTTCTCTCTCTGTTCTGAGCTACTTAAAGTTGGGGGGGGGTGGAGTGACACAAGCACCCCTGTGGCCACCAGCCCTATGATTGCACTGGGTTCGACCTGAAGCCAACACAGCACTGGGTCTCGCCCAAGGCCTGCTATAATTACTTCCTGGCTACTTCCAGGGGCTGCTGGCCCTGGAGCTCTGCAATCAACCTGTGGTAAAGTCAGCTAGGCCTGTGTTCTTCCCTTCAGGGCAATGAGTTACCCTAGGTCTTGGGTAGGTCCAGATGTGCCATCTAGGAATCAGGGACTAGAATCAAAAACCTTAGAAGTCTACCTGGTGTTTTATTGTATTGTGGCTCAGCTGGTAATCAAACCACAAAACAGTCCTTTCACTCTTTCCTCCTCTTTCCAAAGGCAGAGGAGCCTCAACCTGTGGACAATATCACCCCAGCCAGGAGTACTTCAAGACTACTGCTGATGTTCCCTTAATGCCAAAGGGCTCTTCAGTCAGTTTGTGGTGAATGCTTCCTAGCCTGGGTCTCACCCTCCTAGGTAGTGGACTCTCCTCTGGCCTAGCACAGGTCCAGAAATGCCATCCGAGACAAGTCCTGGAATCAGGGGCCCCAAGAGCCTGTTTGGTGCTCTACCCACCTGTGGCCAAGTTGGTATCTAAGATGTAAGACAAAGTCCCCTTTACTTTTCCCTCTACTTCTCTCAAGTTAAAAGAGTCTTGCCCCATCACAGCTGAGAATGTGCTGGGTGTCACTTGAAGAGTCATCTCTAAGATGTCTCATCTAAGGCCATTGACATAGGACTTGGGTTTTGCTGGTTATTATTCAGGAGCCAAGGGTTCTTCAGTTACAAAATGATAAATTCTGTCAGAACTTGGTCCTTCCCTTCAAGGCAACAAGTTTCCCTGTGGTGTAGGGTGTCGCTAGAAATATTTCAGAGCTAAAGCCTGAAAAATGGGCCTCAAAACTCTGACTGGTGCTGTACCCTGCTGTGGCCAAGCTGGTACCCAAGATGCAAGAGAAAGTCTCCCCACTCTTCTCTCTCCTCTCCTCAAATGGAGGACCTGTAAGCTGTGCAGCCTTTTGGACTTGTTAGCTATGCAGCCTGGATTTAGGAGGTGGATAATGCCAGCCCTCCTTAGCCACCATGGCTGGTGTCTCATTAGGTCATATGTTTCCCCAGTCTACTGGCTCTGGGCCCACTTCAGCCCTAGGACTCTCCTAGGAGTTGCAGTTCTTGTGGCCTAGATTGTCTTTTAAGTTTATTTATGGCTCCACAGCACTTTAGCCCACGGTGGCTAGGCTTACAGAAACTGATTAGGACCACTGGGATTGGCAGTTCCCTTCTGTCTAGGGTTGGTTTTAATGCTTTATACACAGGAGGGCATCAGCTGGTTTTGTTTTCTGCTATAACAGTGCAGAACTGAGTTCAGTGTCTCGATGAGGGGGTGGCATCGATGATTCAAGACTGTTTTTCCTATCTCTTCAGTGTGCCTTTCAGTGACATGAAGTGAAAACCAGGTACCATTAGTGGTCACCTGATTTTTGGTTCTTATGAATGTTCTTTTTTGTGTAGATAGTTGTTAAATTGTCGTCCTTTTAGGAGGGACGATCAGTGGAGCATTTTATTTCACCATCTTTGCTTTCCCCCTCACTTGGTGCATAAGGATTTAATTACCTCTTTCTGATTCTCTGTACCTTTTTTCACTCAGTTATAGTCAATTATATTCTTATTTTTAAAGAAATATTAATATTGCTAAGGTATAATGTTGGCATTAATTGTATACACATAAAATATTATGTTAATATAATGTCTTAAAGCATTGTTTCCATTCCTTTACTCACATACTCACTATATCATTAGGTTAAGTGCATGTATCTAATAAATATCATGCAACATGTTTATAAATCCAATGTGTGACACTGTTCTTTTACAGGCAAGTTGAAGTTACATATGTATTGTACTTTCAGATTTCTTTGGGCTTTTTTCATGTCATTTTGTTTCCTTTGTGTACCGTTTTGGTTTGTATTTTTTTTCTCTCTTCCCTTCCTCTGAATACATCAAGTTTTCTTTATTATTTTACTTTTTGAATACATTATATTTTAATTTTTAGTTGTCTCTTTTAAATTACTAATGTGCATGCTCAACTATGATAAAATGAAAGTTACTCTATATGCTTATCACTTTCTGAACAATACAAGAACCATTACGCATTTTATCTCAGATCTTTTTTGTTTTTTATATTAATTTTTATATTATATATTTTGTTGACTCTAATTTCTAAATTCTCTGAAATTAACCAATATTATTTTTCAGCAAATGATTACTGACTTGTGCTAGTTCTCCTGTTTTTGGCAAATGACTTTAGTCATGATAGTTTATTTCTTTATTAAGTGGGATTTTTATTTTTGAGCTAAGTTTTAAGTGGCAGTATTCTTTGGTGGTTGTTGTTTCCCTCTGTAGAGAGTTCCATATGCTTTGGCTCCAGAAACATTCCTTCACAACTTGCAGCTCAGGCTTGCATGATTCCAATGTAGCAAGTGAGTTTGGACATGCTCTAGGCTATTCTTTAATTTTGGGGTTGAAAACCTACCACCAAGTAGAAATGCAATTCCAAGCCTCACAACCACGAGTTGTACAGGCTCCAAGTTTCTATTTCCACTGATTAACTCTCCTATCATGCTTTAAATAGGAATCTAGTGGTTTCAGTTTTCTAGTCTTTGAGTAAAGCAGGCCTTTGTTTTGACTGCCTTCTTCTGCTAGAGTGAATGCTATATCTTCCCCTCCAGGTAGCACGTAAAACCTTTAGTCTGCAAGTTTTCAGTCATATTGCTATTAACCAAAAGGGTTTAACGTCTGTATATAATTCTAGTGTTTTCTTTTCTCTTGGTTTCTGGCATCAATGGGTTTCTTTTTTCTTTAAAATGCTATTTTATATTGTTTCATATTATATGTCATGTTAAATGGAATTATCTTCATTATATGAAAATTGCTACTAGGACTTATAACTGGGAACAAATAGGTAATAATTATCCTGTATTTTATAAAAGGACTGGAACAATTATGTAGACTAACATTTCTTTCACTGATTGGATGTCTACTAATACACTACACTGACTACCTATCCTCTAGGCTGACTATTTGAACTTGGAAAAGAGTATTATTGAAAAGAACAGTATAGATACAAGAAAACCGTGCAGTAGCCATCAAAACAATTGTTTACAATGCTAAGGATGAGGAAATCTCCCAGCGGTCAAGTGGATGCTGTAAAGGAAGTCTACTTTGAAATAACTTATGCTGCACCACTAAGGAGGCTGGCTGCTGAACAAAGATGTAGTGTAGACAGTTGTGGAATTAAAGAGGCCATGCTGGATTACATTTCTCACATCAGAAAATTGTGCAGAGGGTTTTTAGCCTTCATGACCCATGAAATATTTACACATGTCATCCATTTGATAAACAGCTTCCGTTCCCTGTCTTACATAAAGGCAAGCCTGTCTTAAAGGAGAAACGGCAGCAGACAGGGGTCTACAACAGTGGACAAATACATATGTAAAAAGTACCTGCCTCTCACATCTATTCCTCCTTCCCGCATGAATATGCCAGAGAGGAAACACAAGAAAGAGGAAGAAAAGGAGCAGATGGAAGAGTCATCTCAGCAAAAGAACATAGTTTACTTGTCCTCCCCAAGTCCTTCCTGCTAAAGCCTGGCTGGTGTTGATGGGAAGAATAACTAATGTTAATTGAACATAGAATAGAATTTTAAACTTGAATAGGCTTCTTATATATTTGAACATGAACATATAGTAATGGAAGCTGCCCACAATTTGGTTAAGGAAAAGGGAGATTTAGAAAAACATGATAGAAGTCAGTGATTGCAGAAAAAAATTAAAATCAATTCGTTTTGATGAATTGTGCAATAAAGCAGTTACACATATGTTTTTGTACTGGGAGTGAGGCTTGTCTTTGTCAGCTCAGTCCTCCTTATTGATGGCATGTCATTTATTTAAAAATGAAATCATCTTCAATGTGGTGAGAAAAGCATTTTGCAGATTTTTTCTAGTCAAAACGTTGATTTATGTTAAGGAGAACATTTCTGAAATTTATAAATTTAAAATATTGAAATTGTAAAGGGGAGTAAATGTATGATAAAACATTCATTACTTGGAATATATGTGTGTGTGTTCTTAAGCTGTAAGAACCACCTACAGAGACATGGGCGTTCCTGCCAGTTAGACCAGCAGGCTCACATTTTCACATTGAGTTGGTTCCTTATCCACTCTTTCTTTTCTTCTAGTGGACCCAGACACTTGGACATTTTGCCTTTCTAACTGATTCATGCTAATTTTCTGCTGGATTCTATTCATAAATCCCTTTTTTTCCTTCTCAGCTTTTTCCAAATACATGCGTATGGATCTATTTTATTTATTTTTTAAATGAAGAATGTAATGAAAGCACCTATGTAAATACAGATGAGCCAAATCTAGAATAAGAAAATTATATGAACTGATAAACGTATTACAAAAGCGGATTATTAAAATTAAAATCACCTTTTAGTAGATTAAGAGTATGTGATTTGTATCCTTATTTTTCTAGTGTGTTGTGGAAGAACTTGAGTTCAAATCTTTGCTTTATGTTTACTTGTTAGGCAACTTTAGATAAATCACCATGCTTTTGAATTATGCACAGATTTGTGGTAAAGAGTAAAATGTACATGTGTGTCTGTGAATGAGAGAAGGAGAAAGGAGAGGCAAGAAAGTATATGTGTGCCTTTACATATACAGATATGCATTTAGACAGTACTTCTAGCACAGTGCAGAGCATGTGGTAAACACACAATAAAGGATAGATTATTTTCCACCAATACCTCTCTTCTCCTTGAGTCAAGAACCATGAAATTCAAATTAGCAGCACACAAACTTGGGCAGGCCCTTGGAAACAGAATGACCTGTTATGAAGCTCCATGTCCTCTAATAGGCAAAATAAACAATAGACTAGCAAAAACCTCAGTCATTTTTTAAAAATAACTGAGGATGGAATCTTTTCCCCACTTTCATGCAAGAAATAGACCAGCCACTGGCACGTGAAACTGAAAACAATAAAGAAACTGGATATGAGAACAGGTTTTCTGAATATTTTACCCTTCATGTTTTCTGTAATGGAACCATAATGGTTATAGCTTGAATGTTATAGGGTGTCTGGACTGAGCCGAGGAGCCTCGAAAGATGGCCCACCCCAGGTTATATACCTCAGGATTTCCATTCCTCTCTGGCTAAAGCATTGGAAAACATCACATTTCTAGGGAAAAGAGGAACAGAACCTGAGCTGTTTCAACTCCTCTCTTCCCTATCTCAGGATGTTACATTCTGGCACATTCTACGGTTATCCTTGAGAACTACAAGCAAAAAAATGGAGAGAACTGGGTCCATCCAGGGCAACCACTTGGTTCCTCCAAGGCCACTGAGCCATTACAGTTTGGCTACAGCACTCTACACTATGCACCTTTTATTTAATTCAGACCCAAGGCCTGAAATTTCCATAGACCATGGGTTTATGTCTTCAGAAAATTACTGTTGAAAGGTCAACACGTTATTGAAGTGGGGATTAAAATTTATCAACAGTATCTTTAAAACAAATATACCCTTATTAAGATAATTTTGTTATAGGTCAAACTGCAGAAATATATTCTTAAATTTTGAATAAAAAGTGATGAGATTGACACATATTAGTAAGATAAACAACTTGAGCTAGAAAAGTAAAAAAGAAAAAGTATGAGTTTCTAATTTGCCCAGGTTGTACCAGAGCCACTTGTGCTGAGCAAATTTTCTTGCTTTGTGATCTACCTTATCTCTGTTATCTGAGGCCATCAAGCCTAGAATTCTGACTTCTGATTTCTCCATGTTCCATGGTCTCTTTTTTGCATGTTTCTCCCTAGATTTCTTCCTTTCCCTCTCCCCAACCCCTGCAGACACACACACTGTGTGTGGATAATACAATGTCATAGGACTACTAAGAATGGGAAATTTGGTATCTTAAGCCTGAATGAAGTTATGGGAGGGGGAATAATTTTTTGCACCCAGGGAGAGAAAGCTGAGTCAGGGTCACCCTAAGATAAAGGCTGCCAGTTTGTAGTAATTCTTCACAGAATGAGTCAAATAAATAATTACTTTGACCTTGTCTTTCTATCTAATTCTCATTTCTTGCCTATGCTCCCCATTAGCTAGTCCCCATCGCCCAGAAGCCGTTGTGCAACAGACCCCAAGGGCTGCTCACATAGTCACAAAGCAGCTAGAGGATCTTGGAGATAGATCTAGAGAGGTGAGTGAGAGATAACCAGTAGAGTAAAAAATTTTCAGATAAATAAATGTTTGCAACAGTTACTTCACAGTATTTAGACAATTGATGAAACAAATTCATATTAAAATTATAGTAGATATATTCTTTATCCCAATTACCTAAAATACTTGTTCATAGATGTATTAGTTTGTTTCCATGGTGCTGATAAAGACCTGACTGAGACTGGGTAATTTATACAAGAAAAAGGGTTTAATTGACCGACAGTTCTGCATGGCTGGGGAGGCTTCACAATCATGGTGGAAAGCAAGGAGGAGCAAATCACATATTACACAGAGGGCAGCAGGCAAATAGAGAGCTTGTGCAGGGAAACTCCCCCTTATAAAAACGTCACATCTCTTGAGACTTACTCACTATCACAAGAACAGCATGGGAAAACTTGCCCCCATGATTCAGTTAACTCCCACTGGGCGCCTCTCACAATATGTGGGAATTCAAGATGAGATATGGGTAGGGACACAGCCAAAACATATCAATATCAATAGAACAAATTATATATGTATATATTTAATATATATCATAGATAGATAGATAGATAGATAGATAGATAGATAGATAGATAGAACTGGGCAAGAGTACTCAGGATTTATATTCAGTGATGAACTGATGAATTTTACGTAGTAGAGGAAAACAATTCCGTACAGAACAACAGCTTTTTCATTGCTTTATTTTATTTTATTTTATTTTATTTTTTTATTTTGAGATGGAGTCTCGCTCTGTCACCCAGGCTGGAGTGCAGTGATGCAATCTCGGCTCACTCAACCTCTGCCTCCAAGTTCAAGTGATTCTCCTGCCTTAGCCTCCTGAGTAGCTGGGATTACAGGTGCCCACCACCATGCCTGGCTAATTTTTGTATTTTTGGTAGAGATGGGGTTTCACCATGTTGGTCAGGCTGGTCTCAAACTCCTGACATCATGATCCACTGCCTCAGCCTCCCAAAGTGCTGGGATTACAGGTGTGAGCCACCGCACCCGGCCTCATTGCTGTAAAGATACTGATTGTGGTCATCTATTTTTGAGACTTCATTAGGTAAAATCCTCAAAAGATATCTATTCCACAGAAGTCAAGTGATCAAAAGAGAAGAAAATCTAAATTAGTCCCTCATTCATACTATGGAAAACATTTTAGTAGAATGTTAAAATTAAAATTACTATAGTATTTGAAATAAATATTTAATCTTAAGCACAAAATATTATTATTCTGTCCCCCATCAGATCCTATGATCTAAATAAATTAGTTGTAAACCAAATTTTAAAAGAAAACCACAACCAAAGTAACAACTTGATTTAAACTGCATTATTTCTCTGATATTATACATGATAATATTCAAGATGTATTATCCACTTAAATTTAGACTAACCGTGTTTCCATATCACCAAGAGAAGCAAATTTCTGGGTTATGGTCATTGTACTATGGCTATGTTAAGTTATTAACATTAGTGACTGGGTAGAGTTACGCTACCTTAACTCTCTTTACAATTTTTGCAACACTTCTTTAAGTCTAAAATTATATAATAATACAAAGCTTTAAAAAAGCATATCAAAACCAAGTGTCTTAATACTGAATTACCTTTGATGATATATGTTTAAACAGTATTTGCAAAACTACAAATCTTCTGAATATAATACGTGCATTTGGGAAAAGGACAAGCAGAAAAGTAGCAGTTGGAAGTCCATTAATAAAAATTTTCTGGCAACCATATTTACTCTAGAAGTCTAAAGAAAAATAAGAACAAAAAGTATTAAACTTGTGACTTACAAATTTTAAAAATATTGCTGCATATTTGGTATGAGGTTCTGGGATTTTATTTTTCAGTCTTTTGAGAAGAGAAATATGTTTGTGTCAAATTTTGATATGGAATTTTTATTGCACGAAACAAAAGAGTGGAATTATATTGGAAACCTATTTTAGGAAATAATTTTAATAATAATTGCCCATGAAATATAATAAAGCAAAAACATCAACTTAGTTGTCAGTAACCTAAATGACTGCCATC
The DNA here is from genome assembly GCF_000001405.40 of Homo sapiens. Taxonomy (NCBI): domain Eukaryota; kingdom Metazoa; phylum Chordata; class Mammalia; order Primates; family Hominidae; genus Homo; species Homo sapiens. The sequence continues at coordinate 105,083,436 of NC_000005.10, read as the reverse complement.
AAGAGAGTCATTTTTTGACAGCAGAGCGAAAATACAAATTATGTATTTACACCCACAATATATATATTTTTAGAATAAAAAAATCTTTCAGTTTATACCTTTTCATAGCCCAGAAAAATGAGTCACTTAGAGAACTATAGTAAGATAGCATTTTAAAATATTCTACTATTTAGTTTTTAAAACTGAGGCATGTAGTTTAACAACTAAGAGACTGTGTCATCATTTTGCAATTAAAATAATTAGATATAATTTAATTACAAAATTGTCAAATGACTCAGAAAAAAATAGGTGTTTGACTTACAAACTGAAAAGTACAATACCAGCTGATATGGTTTGGCTGTGGCCCCACCTAAAACCTCATCTTGAATTGTAATCCCCATAATCCTTAAGTGTCAAGGGTGGGACCAGGTGGAGGTAATTGGATCATGGTGGTGGTTCCTTCATTCTGTTCTCCTGATAGTAAGTGAGTTCTCACAAGATCTGATGGTTTTATAAGCATCTGGCATTTCCCATGCTTGCACTTCTCCTTCTAGCCACCTTGTGACGAAGGTGCTTGTTTCCTCTTCACCTTCTGCCATGATTGTAAGTTTTCTGAGGCCTCCCGAACCATGCTGAACTGTGAGTTAATTAAACCTCCTTCCTTTATAAATTATCCACTCTCAGGCAGTTCTTTATAGCAGTATGAAAACAAACTCATACACCAGCATTCATTTTACTGCTTAAACATCTATAATAATTTATAAGAATAATGGTGATAACCTTTATTCTAAGTAACAGAGTGCAGAGTAGAAAAAAAAATGTACTGTTGCTGGCACTTGACAAGTTTCAAGATTAGCATGAAGAGATGTAGCCAAGAAATTTATGAGATGTTCACCTCAAAAATCTAGGTAAAATTGACCTGAAACTTTAAATTCTTGACCTGAAGAACTCCAAAGCATTCTCCTTAATGTTTGCAAATTCCCAGGGACATGTATTCATCCGCTCCTGGCATCTGTGTTCTCACACACCAGCAATTGTTTGCCTGCATCAGTACAGAAGCCAAATTTACTCCTTTTATTGGACACACACACACACACACTCATGCACACAAATGCAATTCAATCACACAAAGTATTCAGGTATAAAATAACATGAATTTTTATGGGTCCCAAGGATAATTCATTTTGTACACAGCTGGTATCTTCCTCTCTTTTTCTGCTTTGTTATCTCCATATTCTTCCCTTGGTTTCTTTCTCTAAAAGGCCATCATTTTGTTGGTTATGGTCTGACTCTGAAAACTTAGGGCTTCCATATTCAATATACAGTCAAGCATCAATTAATGGCAAGAATACATTTTCTGAGGAAAGCATTGTTAGCTGATTTTGACATTGTGCCAGCAACACAGAGTGTAGTTACAAAACCCTAGGTGGTATAGCCTACTACACACCTAGGCCATATGGTAAAGCCTATTGCTCCTAGGTTACAAAGCTGCATAGCGTGTTACTATACTGAATACTTTAAGAAATTGTAACACAGTTGTGTAAGTGTTAGTGTATCTAAACATAGAAAGGGTATAGTGAAAATGCAATATTATAAATTTATAGGACCACCATCTTATATGCAATCCATCATTGACCAAAACCTCACTATGAGTCACATGAGACATATTGTACATATAATTTATATATACAATTTATTTCTCCTTAGATGAATTATACTGCCACTAGTTGAGGGAAAATATATTCTTCACATTATTATCTATGTTCCACTAGTGTTTTGGTCACTTGATGAGCATTTAGACTAATGGGAGAAGGCTGGATACTATCCTTTTTAAAATTTATTTATTTGTTACCCTTCATATTTCATTTTAGTTAGTTTCTATTGGTATGCCTTTATGTTCATTTTTTAAAATTGCGATTTATTTTAGATAACAGGTGGTATATGTGCAGGTTTGCTACCTGGATATATTTTACCCGGGTTATGAGCATAGTATCCAATAGGTAGCTTTTCAACTCATGGCTCCCTCTCTCCTTCCTCCATTTAATAGTTCACAGTGTTTATTATTCTCATGTTTATGTCCGTGTGAGCTCAATGTTTAGCTCTTACTTACAAGTGAGAACATGTCATATTTGGTTTTTAGTTCCTGTGTTAATTTTCTTAGGATTCTGGCCTCCAACTCCCCCCATGTTGCTACAAAGGACATGGGTCCATTTTTTTATGGCTATGTAGTATTCCATGGTATATGTGTACCACATTTTCTTTATCCGTTCCATCACTGATGGGCACCTAGGTTCATTCTATGTCTCTCCTATTTTGAATAGTGTGGCAATGATGAAAATATGATATAAATTATTATTGGCTATAGAAGAATGTAATTTCTAATCTCATCTTAGGTATCAATTTTTTGATATCATAAAATAGTGGATAGAAATATCAATAAAAAATCTTTTCTTGGTGGGGGGAAATGCTTTTTAGAGTATTATTTGACTTTAAAAATGTCAATTACATTGTTTAAATTTCAGATGTCTCAAACACACTATAGTATTTTATCTCCATATATTTTTCCCTATGCTCAGCATTGTACATTGTGGTTTTCCAGTGTGAATTCAGTTGTTTTTCAAAAAGGGAGCCATTCTAGGTACTTCAAAGAGGAAGAATTTTTTATTTAGAAAAATAAAGTTTTAAAACTTATTGGCAGGATTAGGAAAGTAACTATCCTAGAACACACCACTGAATATTCAAGAAATCAGGCAGTGCCAGAATCACAGGAACCGATGTTTATATTGTCAGCGGTCTGCATCATCAGAGTGGTTGATCTTTCAGAGAACAGCCAGAATCTTCTTGGCAAATCTCATGCTGATCACCTGCTAAAATCCAGGCATTTGGCTGCTACTGCTGAAAATGCAATTACTGCTGAATCTCTCTAGCTGACCAAATCTCATATAAAGAGCTCTCATTGGTGAAATCTAACCTGGAAGTGAAGAATCCTAATATGCTGTGAAAAAGTCTGGGAAATATGCTTTTCTGGCTTTCAGTTCCTGCAATGTAAAAAGAGTATAGAAAGATAACAACGTCATAGTTACCGACATGATTAGCAAACTAAGTTTCGTAAATTTTGTCCAATTGAAAATGACTACTAGGTTCCCATCAAGCAGTGCTTGACCATAAATATTATAGGAAAGAAAATACAGAAGCAGTGGAGAACATTCTTACATACATTGATGGGTTTCAATAGTCTTGAAAAGTAGCTACTGAACAATGAAGCTAAATATATTTTTTAGCAGCAGAGAAACATATGACTCAATACAAAAAGGTGAAATACAGAGAGGGGGTCAGATTAAAAATACAATTGCTTTTGAAATAGGTCATTTATTATTAATGAACATAAATCCTCTCATTGTATAATTTTAAATTTCTATAATAATAAAACTGCATGATGAATATATGATGCATAAATAACTCTCCTGTAAGATAGATTTTTTTAAACAATGAAGTTTCTTATAGTAATGCTAATTTACTAATCTTTTTTGTGATCCTTAATCTTCCAGCAAAATATTTCCATATGCTTTTTCTTGAACAGTGATTACACCTCATTTTGGTCCAAAAAATAAATTATCAAATATATTAAGAATGTATATGAGCCAAAATCTTATTTAACTTCTAAATATATTTTTATTTAATGCATAGTCAACAAAGATCATTTCCCTGACTAACAGATAACAAAATGCATTTTTTAAAATACCACATTGTTCTACTGTTTGTTTTAGGCAAATACTGGATGGTAATAACAATAATAGCAATAATAGTTAATACTTGCTGATTATTTATTAAGGACCAGGTAGTCTGCTAAGTATTTTATATGTATTATCTAATTTAATCTCCACAAAAGTGCTATGAAGACTGGCATTGTATTTATCCTCGTTTCATAATTTATGAAGTTTTACACAACGAATTTGCCTGTAGCTGAGTTTCAGACACAGGCAATCTGGATCTAGAGCTCACACTTTTATGTACTAATCCTTCCTGATGAACATTAATATGGTAACACATTAGACACTGAGGACTACTAAGTAGGGGAAGGGGAGCAACGATTTGTGGGTTGAAAAACTACTTCTTGGATACTATTCTAACTAAATGGGTCCAATTTACCAGTGTAACAATCCTATACATGTACTCTGTATATCTAAAATAAAAGCTGAAATTAAAAAAAAAAAACTGCTCTCTCCAAATACAGGATATTATGCTTATAGAATAATAAAAGGGCATTAATTAAATCCTCCAGAGAAATGTATGACTTGATGACATCTCTTCTTTGATGAGTTCCAAAGCAATGAAGGACTATTTGAGCTGCAACCATTCATGGAAATTGTCATGTACAACTTATTTAAGTCAGCTCCCAATGCATTAACATATACAAAGATGCTCTAAATGAGCAAATTTCATAAACCACCCGAAGAAGCAAACTTTAGGAATACTGCAGAGAGATCAAGCTTTCCTTGAGATCAAAAAGAGAGGAAATTCTTAGAATCCTGGATGACTGTGAGGCATGTTAGAGCCATTCTGACATAGAGTATTGTGTGAATATACCCTTTTCCAAATGCATGAATCTGTTTAAAATACGTAATACCTATAATGTGATCATTAAAAGTTATACAATAAGTATTGAAGAAAAAACAATCAATATTTGAATTGCTGAACAAATAAAGTGCAACAAAGGAAAAGAAACCATATGTTTATTTCAAAAGAGAAAACAGTAAGGAAACCATTGCACATTGGAGCTACAGATAGATACTGATTTCTTTTCTTTTTTTTTCTTTTTTTTTTTTTTTTTTTTTGAGATGGAGTCTCCCTCTGTAGCCAGGCTGGAGTGCAGTGGCACAATCTTGGCTCACTGCAACCTCCACCTCCTGGATTCAAGCCATTCTCATGCCTCAGCCTCCCAAGTAGCTGGGATTACAGGCACTGACCACCACACCCAGCTATTTTTTGTATTTTCAGCAGAGACGGGGTTTCACCATGTTGGCCTGGATGGTCTCAATCTCCTGACCTGGTGATCTGCCCGCCTCGGTCTCCTAAAGTGCTGGTATTACAGGCATGAGCCACCGCGCCCGGCCTAGATACTGATTTTTAATTGTATATCATTAATTGATTGCTGGTTGCTATGGAGTCCCAAATCATCAGAATAGGGAAAATTCTAATGTTAGAAATAAGTTTTGATGTTATAAACTCAATTTTGTAATCATGTTTTTTTCTCACCTCTATTTTATTTTGGTCATGTTGCCATTAAACATAAAAAGAAGAAAGAACATTACTTCTTAATGATAAAATAGTTGCTTTAAGTAGAGACTTGCCAACTGTGTATTTTAAAATGCTTGCAATAAAAAAAAATAATTCTTTGTTTCATTGTTTTTCATTTTTTATTTTTCACACATTTTACAAGTTTAAAGAACTGCCTTTTTATAGTTTCCCTCGTTTAAATTTGCACACATTAATGGAAATACTAAAACAAAATATGATGATAAAAATGATTCTTAAATAATGCCCAGGAGAGCTCCTAAGACTGCCTTTATCTATTCCTTGCAGGCACAGCCTTAACATATCGTAAGATGTGAACTCTATTTAGCTGACACTTTGGTGGTGTAAGTGTTTTTTACAACTAATCAGCACCTGAATAATCAAAGGTGTGTACCATCCGTCAGCTTTAATGAAGCATTAAAATACTTTAATGGAATTTAGGGTAATAAGAAAGTCTCTTATGCAGTTCATCTACTAACAAGAACATTGTCGGGATTAATAATAATGGAGTAAATTCTCCAACAAAGAATGGGCCCTTACTTTGCCTCAGTCTCTCATTTATAAAAGTAGAATTGTTTTGTGTGTTTCAAGGAGGTGTTGGGTATAATTAATGATTAAACTATCATGAAGTATTAATATGTCTTTAGTTGAAATTATGGCTATAGTTCTTCCTTAAGGATCATTCATAAGAGAGAAAAAGAGGGGAAAAAAGCAAGCTATATAGTTTCCAAAGAGTCAAAATTACATTTTAGAGAATCTACTGCCTCATTGAAGATATTTTACTTTGTAGAATAATATTTCTCTAATAATGCCCTTAAGACTATTGGAACATAAAAGTTATGTATTAACAGGTAGATTGTGTATTATATTTCAAGAAATTAAGATTGTATAACTGATATTCAACATTATTTTTATTACATTAGAAAACCAACTACTTTCTCCAACAATAAATATTAACTCAGCTGATAAGCAGGAGAATTTTTAAATGACCATAGAACTTGATGCATTGACAGTGTCTCTGCAATTAATTTTCTCCTGATTATTTATTCGCTCTTCCTACTTACAGAACCTTTTGGACTATATAAGTTGTATTATATTTTGGTGACAAACTACTTATTTAAATATCTAGATTTCCCAGCCTGATTTGTGGGCAATGAGATGATAGTATGTGAAAAATTTTTCAGTGAGAACTATATTTTGCCCTCCACCCGTTCTCCTTCCTGAAATTTAGAACCCATGATTGGGTAGCTATTTTTCATAGTGAGTTGACCCCTGTGCTCCAGGATGTTGGATCAGAAAGAGGAAAGGAGTTTAAGTCTCTGAATAAACATGAAACTTCTCATAAGTCCTAGACTACTTACTTCAACTTATTTTATGAATGCCTCTCTTGCTTAAGCAATTCTGAGAGTTTTCTTTACTGTATAAATTACTAGATAATATGATATAAGAAAGTTAAAAATGTGGCATACAACAGTTTTTAAAAAGGGAAGATATGTATTTAAATTATAAAAATAATCTAATACTATATAAAACAAAGACTGCAAATTAACAGAAAATATAATCCTGAAATCAATATATATAATAAATTTGAAAAATAATTAAGTGTATTTCCAGGATCTAATCTGTGTTGGTTTGAAACCCCACTCCACCACTTACTGGCTGAAAAACTTGGGAAGTTTATTGAACCCTCTACTTCAGTTACCTAACTTGTAAAATGATGATAAATAGAGTGCACATTTTAATAGTATTGTTGTGAAGATTAAATTGGATGACACATATAAAAATAACTTGGCCCTTAGAATAATTCAAGTAGCCCTTAGTAAACATTCAATAATAAATTTCATTTATAAAATGGGGTTAAATTACAAAATTATGTTGTCATGTTTTTATTATAATTTATCGTTGTAGCTTTAAAAAATTTTTTTAACCTGTTACCTAGCCTGGAATTAAAATTATTTTTTACCCTTGTTTGTTTTACTATTTTTATATGTCAGGCTCGTGTCATCTTTTTAAATTTTTTTTCTTATTCTTGATTTTTAAAATGGTAAGTAGGAAACATGTTGAGGTAAAAATATCTTCTAAAACCAACAATAGATCATTTTTGTCTTATAGTTCTTTATTAATAGAACTTTAAATACATGTTATTGTTGAAAAATATTAGTTTATCTTTTTTTTCTAGTGCATTGATATTCTGGGTTAGGCAAAGAGAAGTAGTTTATGACAGACCTTCTTAGGGGAAGGTGGAATTGAGACACCCAAGTATAAAGGGATCCCCAAAGAACCTCCTACTGGCCTGGAGAACCTCTGACCTGCGCATTGGGAGAACAGAGGAGAGCCACTGAAGTTGGTGCCCTTTGCCTGGGGAAGGAGCCTGGCCCCTCCTGTTCCTGTGTGGGATCCTGGGATTCAATCTGTGAGGTAGAGAGCCTGTTAGCAGGACCCCATCTCATTTTGCTGTGCTGTTTTTCCTTTTTCATTTTTTGCCCAATAAATTCCATCCCCCTCGCCCTTCAAAGTGTCTATGAGCCTAATCTTTCCTGGTCGTGTGATGAGAACCCGGTTTCTAGCTGAACTAAGGAGAAAGTCCTACAATAGAATCAGGGCTGTGTAGGCTTATAAAGGGAAACCACCAAAGAATTTTGAGGAGATAGATGATATGATCAGATTTCCTTATATATGTGTGTGCATATATATATTTATGTATTCTGCTGCTATTTGGGAAATTAATTACTGATGAATAATAGTGCAAAAAGGCAGAGGAGTTAGGTGGCAATTTGAGAATTTCAGGAAAAAGATAAATATTGTCTGACAGAACATGGTTCAGTGGATATGGCAAGACCTAGAGCAGTAGAGTATATAGTCTGGGGTTAGAACTAAGAGCACGTGCTTAGAAATGTGGAGAAGGGCACATCCAATAGTCATTCAACCAAATAGGAATTTGTAGAAGTGTAGACAGCATTTTGGATTCATCACTCTAGCGTCGAGACTTAATACCACTAGAATGGGTGAAGGAGAATACAGAAAGGAGAAAGTAGCAAGGCTCCCTAAGCTATTCCACATATAGTGGTTAGGTTTTGGGAATGCGCTTACAACAATCAGTCATGTGAGGAAGTACATTGTAAAGGAAACTCAGTGAAGAGAAAATTTCAAGAACAAATGAGTGGCCAACTGGGTCAAATTCTCTCTCTCAATCAACTAAACTGATAGAAGTGAAGGCTCCTATGGATTTGGGGATATGAGGTTTTTGTGACGTTAATAAGAGCAATTATGGGGAAGTGCTGGAGAGGAAGATAGGCTAGATTGGTGGAGTGGTTTGAAGAGCAAATGGGAAGTGAAGTGGTGGATCCATAAGGTACAGAGATACTTTCGAGCAGCTTTACTATGAAGTGGGTGACAGGGATGTTGGGCAAAAATGCAATATAGTATAAAATTGTTGGAGTTAATAGGACATATCATTATGCTGATCTGAATGAAAAGAGAGAAGGACTTGAATAAACAAAAGAAAATAAGATATTTGAGGAGTAGCAGAGTCACAGATTTATTTACCCTATACTTAGATGGGTAGGGAAAACATAGTTTCTTTGTCTCTAACTGATGTGATTTTTTTTCTTAAGTTCTTAGCATCTGAGGTGGCTAATACACAAGCTTTTTTTCCAATTAATTTTACCCTTTCCTTAAGATGTAAAAAGCTTCCTCTCAATCTAAAGCTTTTGTCAATTCACATCTCAACTTCCTATCAGAGTTGGTTTAGGTTTCTTTGGATGGTTTAATATAGCAGATCTTTAACCTTCTCTTCTTTTTCACTAAAGTGGTACCTGAATATGGGGAAAAGGGACAAGCTTACTTTATCTTTAAGAAGAGATGGGAGAGGGAACCATATCATTCTACACTCTTGCATTTTAGCTCATCTCAGCTACTGGTGTTTGCTCAGCTGTAACTGGTCTCATTACTAGACCATGTGTTCTGTACAATGTGAGACCATGTGTACCTGGTCTCAATGTTCCTGACTGTGGCATTTGCTTTTTCCTGTAGGCATTTAGTTTCACTAGCATGCTCAGTATGTCTGTGTCCTTACACTGGATCATGCAGAACATTCATAGTATTCTGAGTAAGACACTGAGGGTCCTCATTTTTTTTTCTTTCTACCTGCCTCCTGCCATTGGTGTTATGCAAAATCTATTGCGTTACCTGGGACATAAAGCAAATCTATGTTCAAATTCTTCTAAGCCTGAGTCTTCCAAGGTCCAAGGAAGAAAGCCACTAGGTTAAAGTTATCATTTTCTCCTTGTATATCCAAATATATCTAAAGTACTTTTATCATATTGGGCCCTGTTATCAGATTGCATAATTTCCTCCCTCACACTATCATTCTTCGTAGTCTTTTGGGAACAGCAGGAACTGAATTAGTATCTTTTATGCCATATACACCTACTTGAAGGTTGTATATTTCATGACCTAGATTATAGGTTTCCTTGTTGTTTCCACCCCATGAACTAGAAAAGTTGAATGTTTGTTTTCGTAGCCATCTTTGTGGTTATGAGTTAACATGTGACAGAATACTAATCAAAAGCATGGAAGTACAAGTCTGCTGGAGCCATGTACACATAAAAGAGACAAAGATACTATGACTTTCCTTCCCTCAGCCCGCTGTTATGCTTGAGGTATGGAAAATGATAGTGATCACCATGAGGAAAAGACAGAATCTAACATACATAAGTTTCACGCAGTTTTTGGATCAATCTATATGAAGAACATATGCCAACTAATTCCTACTTAAAAACTAGTATCTAAGAAAAAGATAGACTTGCATTTATAGTATAAGTATTTAAGTATTTTAGTACTCGTACCCAATAGCAATTCTGACTGATACACTCCTCCTTTTTCATCTACGTAAAATATTCTTTTCTAATTCTCTCCTGTGTATGAGAGCTCTAGTTTAATGTCCCTTCTTAGAGAGGAGTTGATATAAAGTAGGTCCCCAACTTATATTTATCATAAATGTCAATATTTTATGATAAATATTATTATAATTCCATAGTGAAAATTGTCACCTAGCATAGGGCTATTTCATGCAAGATGATTACTGTAGAGTAGATTTTCAACAATTTGAATATATTCTGAAAATTTTGTGGACTTCAAAATTCAAATCTCTACCATCAAATACCATTTATTTCATAAATAAAAATTGTTGTTGGCATTATTCTTCATGTTTTTGTTGTAGCTGTTTTTAGCCAAGTCCTAGAAACTCCAGCTGTGGGTTGGTGGTTAGTGACCAAGGTTAAGTAGGTATAGGTACAGGTGCTAGAATGCTGGGCAGACACTTTTAGTAATCAGTGAAATGCTGCCCTTCAGGAAGCTTAGAGCTCAAGAATAGTAAACTTATTTCTTGGTAGTATTTTATAATAACAAACATAATGGATTGAAGTGATAATTCACATATAAATACAAATAATAAATAAGTTAATGACATAAATCTGCTTTACTTGTGTTTGAATTATTCTACTTCCATAAAATTTTCTCCATCCAAATGAAATAAAGTCACTTTTGTCAACTACTGCAACAACCTTAAATCAATAGTTATTTATCACTGATAACCATGACAATTTACCTCCTATCTGTATTACCATAAACAGCTGTAATCTCAATCAAGCTGGATGTTTGGAGGGGTGATACTGCCAGGCAAGCCTTAATGTGCTCTGTGGGAGGGATAAGAGGATGACAGGTTTGAGAGCACTTTTAATCCTGGGTAATTTCTTTTGATCTTTACATTATTTCATTGTCATGTTCAATGTCAACTTTAATGGATGTATATCTTTATCACTAATACATGAACATGGATTCATGGATAACAACCAAACTGGCTACCTGGCTACATTATAATAACTCGAAAGTTTTATAAATTAGGTATTTCATATATCATTCCCAGGTAGTCTAATTCAATAGGTCTTTAGTGGGACCATAGAATGTGTGTGTGTATGTCTCTCTTTCTCGCTCTCTTTCTTTCCATTTCCTCCTTCCCTTTCTCTCTCTGTTCTGCAGGTGGGTCTGTAAAATGTTCTCTGCATTATCTTTTAGAGAAATTGTGTACCTAGCTTTTGGACCTGGTTTTCATTTTAATATACTTTCCAAAATTGACTTCACTTGAAATACTAATCCATACGGTCCTAAGTAAATTGCTTTACTGTTAACTTTAAATAAGTCTAGATAAACTGATATTTATATAAAAAGTAAGTTTGTGGCCAGGCACGGTGGCTCACGCCTGTAATCCCAGCACTTTGGGAGGCCAAGGGGGGCAGATCACGAGCTCAGGAGATCCAGACTATCTTGGCTAACATGGTGAAACCCCGTCTCTACAAAAAACTAGCCGGGCGTGGTGGCGGGCACCTGTAGTCCCAGCTACTCGGGAGACTGAGGCAGGAGAATGGCGTGAACCCGGGAGGCGGAGCTTGCAGTGAGCCGAGATCGTGCCACTGCACTCCAGCCTGGATGACAGAGCGAGACTCCCTCTCAAAAAAAAAAAAAAAAAAAAGTAAGTTTGTGAAGATGTATCCTTGACTTATAGAATGTCTAGATCAATATGAGGGGTGTCTACCTCACATAGTGACTGTTTCTAGAAACTGTCAAGAATATAATTATGTCCCAAGTCAACAGAGTGTTATTTCCAGTACATCATTCATGTGGTAAACAAAACTTAAGTAAACCTTTATTATAAGGAGAGCACTATAAGAATTATGTACTTGGGCTTCTGAGAATTCCTCCCCAACAAGGAAAAGAGTTGTGATATCAGCTCAGCTGATGTGCACACAGGACTCACTATTAAGAAATGTACCTCTAAGTTACTCTGAAGTATAGCTGCAACACCAGGTACCTATAAAAAATAAATCTGTGCTGCCTTTAAAGACTGGCCAAGCTGTAACCCTCACACGAAATCAAAAGTGTACTCAATATACAAGAAAGAGCTGCTCTCAATGAAGACCATTTTTGAAGTTTTGAGGTACTCTGCACTTTAACGGTTGGGCGGTCTGATCAATATCATCCAGTTGTCTTCCTCTACCATTCTTCAGGCATGTTGTTTATTTTTTTATGAAGGCAGTCTGTAATCAAAGACTCATATATATATATATATATATATAGAGAGAGAGAGAGAGAGAGAGACAGAGAGAGAGAGAGAGAGAGAGAGAGGGAGACAGATTGTTAAAAGAAATAGTACAAAATATATTAAACAAAAACAGGAAGGGTTTAGGGTTGTCAAAAATTATCACTTTTTTAAGGGTGATATATAAGCTGATCGCTGGAAAGAAAGTCATGCGACACATCTACAAAGAAGGCATTTCCTGCCATTCTAGGTTATTCATGGTTGCGGAGGAAACAGTACCTAAAATCATCTGTCTCTAAGGCCCCTTTCTCTTAGATTAGAAGCTTTAAACCATATTTCCCTTCTGGAGGGTATCCATTAAAGTGTTCAAGGCATGCTTCTACTTCAAAACTGCCTGCCAATCACAAAACAATGAGCAGGTCTTATAATGTCATTCTACTTTTACCTTATTGAAAATTAATTCCTGTGATTAGCTGTTTGTTTTATTGCTTCATTAAAAAAAATCTCAAACGTACCCGTTATCCACCCTTTATTTTGGTAATAAAGGATACCTTTTTCCCAGAGGGAATAATTAGATATAGTTTGAGTGGGTTTGGTCTCTCTCCACAAAGTCAGGTATATGGGTAGAAGCCTTGGGTCCACATAAGTATAGTAACCATCCCCTTGGCTAGGTGAGTGGTTCAGTGGTTCAGTGATGTCCCCATGATCCAGTGCATGTCTATCATGAGTTACCATGCAGCATTTTACTGGCCTTTTCTAGTAGGCTGATGAAAGTATATTTCCTGCCACATGAAAGTGCACTGTCTAATCAACAAAGAAAGAGGAATCTCCTGGATTCCTAGTTACATAAGGTAATACATTTGCTTTTGAATTTTATTTTATTTAATTTCTTTTGAGACGCAGTCTCACTCTGTCACCCAGGCTGGAGTACAGTGGCAGGATCTCAGTTCACTGCAATGTCCACTTCCCGGGTTCAAGCTATTCTCCAGCCTCAGCCTCCTAAGTAGCTGGGACCAACACGCCCAGCTAATTTTTTTGTATTTTTAGTAGAGATAGGATTTCACCATGTTGGCCAAGATGGTCTCGACTCCTGACCTCAGGTGATCCGCCTGCCTTAGCATCCCAAAGTGCTGCGATTAGAGGCATGAGCCTCCATGCCTGGCCTAAATTGTTACTTAAACTGATTTGATTTGTTTCTATCACTTGCAACAAAAATAGTTCTAACACACTAATTTTCTCACAGCCAAGCAGCACAAAATGAGCCAGTATACACTTTTATAAATGCATGCACTTCCCACACTTATATAAATGCATGCATTTTCTACATCCCAAATTTTACACTAGCCCATTTGACATGTCTATTCAGAATATGTTATTATATAAAAATGTATGTTTTCATTTTATTTTACATCTCTTCTTGCTGCAATTTAATAAGGCTATAAAGTGGAGAGTGCTAAACACCAACTTCACAATTATACTGGATTTGGAAATACTGCATTCTAATCTTTGACTCAGGTTTATATAAATAAAATACACATTATTTTAATTAACTTTGTTAGTTGCATTTTTGTATTAAAACTTATAAAACTCAATATTTCAAAATATGTTTCTCATGTTTATTCTTGTTTTCCCTGTTCGATATTTACTCCATCGTCTAAATAATTCTTTACAATGTTGAATCAGATTTGCCAAATAATTTTTCAACTTTGTTTCTTGTCTCTCAGCTAGCCTGCCATCTATGAGAAGTTAGTCACCTTCAATTTTACAGTTACTATAAATTTTTCATTATGTGTAGCTATAGAAACTTGTGCAAGGATTTTTAAACATTTAAAAAGATTGTATTCTCTATTTTCCTCATTATTCAAGCATATTTACCCTTCAAAGAATGTCAATTGATTATTCAAGTACAAGTTTCTCTTATAAGGATCCTATAAGCTGTTGTGGTCGCTAAAATTCTTGCTGAGATGTCTGTAATTATTAATAGTTTTGGGATTTACCCTCCCCCTTTTACTCTCTTCTGAGCAACATTCATATTTAAAATAAAATTATCCAACTTCCATTGTAAAGCTTGATTTTGTTAGATGGTACAATTAATATGAGGCACTCATACATTTTTCCTGTAAACCTATTTAACATTCCATATGTTATAGATTGAATGGTTATATAATCCCACAATTCATATCTTAAAGCCCTAACAACCTATGCAACTTCATTTGGAGTAATTAAAGTTAAATGAAGTTATTAAAGTTAAATGAGGCCATAATGGTAGAACCCTGATCCAACAGAATTGATGGATTTATAAGAAAAATAAACCAGAGCTCTCTCTTTCTCTTTGCATACACAAACGAGAAAAAACCCATGTAGAGGCTGTGTATGAAAAGAGGAGAGAGCTCTGGAGCCATGTGGAGGCCAAGAAGAGGTCCCTTACCAGGGACTGACCATGCTTCCATCCTGATCTCAGACTTCCAGACTCTAGAACTGTGAGAAAATAAATCTCTGTTGTTTAAGCCAACCTGTCTATGGTATTTTGTTGTGCAGCCCAAGAAAACTAAAATACCATATTCATGTAACAAATAAAGTATTCAGGGCAGAGCAATGCCTATTACAGCTCTAAGTTTTATTCTACAGATTACCTTGTTCATTGTATTGATTTGAGAAGTGTTTATTGAGTATCTATTAAGTACTGGAATCCTTCTGAGGAACTTGGAGATAAATCAGTGATTAAAACTAAGACCTGTATTACTGGAGGGCTTCCATTTCAGTGGGAGTTGAAGTGGATGAGGGCTGGGCAGATACGTAATAATTAATAAGGATAATATATAAGTGAATCAAATAATAAGCTAGAAGGTGATACATGGTATGCAAAAAATGAGAACGTAGTAAAACTTGGGTGCATATTGGCAGTATTATCAAAAAAAGACAACAAGAGAAGTTGAGGTCAAAGAGGTATTAGTAGAAAAGTCCTTATAAGGCAAAAGTTTTTAACTCTGGTATAGAATAAAATGCAAGATGTTCATGAAATTTTATGGATTTTTTTTCAGTCATGCTGTGGAAAGCTAAATAATGAGCTTCCAAAGATACCGAAATCCTTATTCCTAGAAACTGAAGCTATATTACTTTATGTCATAAGAGGAACTTTACATATGTTATTAAGGATTTTGAGATGGAGATTATCCTGAGTTATCTGGTGGGCTCAATGTACTTACAGGGATCATTATAAGAGGGAGGCAGGAAGATCAAAGTTAGAGAAAGAAGATGAAAAGAACAAAACCAGAGACAGAAGCTTTGTGCTTTGAAAATGAGGAGGGGTCTACCTTTCAAGGAATGTAGGTGGCCTTTAGGAGCTGGAAAAGGCAAGAAAATAGATTCTTCCCAGAGCCTTGAGAAAGTAAAGCCCTATTGACACCTTATTTATTTATATTTATATGTTTTTTGTTTTTATGTTTCATCATTTCAACTTTTATTTTAGATTGAAGTGGTACATGTGCAGGTTTTTTAATCTGTAGGTTGCCCTTCTCCCCCTCTACCCGCTCTGTTAGTCCCCAGAGTCTGTTGTTCCCAACTTTCTGTTTATATGCACCCAATGTTTAGCTCCCACTTGTAAGTGAGAACATGCAGTATTGGCTTTCCATTCCTGTGTTAGTTCATCTAAGATGATGGCCTCTAGCTGCATTCATTATGCTCCGAAAGGTATGATTTTATTACTTTTTATGGCTGCATAGTATTCCATGATGTGTATGTACCACATTTTCTTTATCCCATCCACCACTGTTGGACACCTAGGTTGATTTCATGTCTTTGCTATTGTGAATAGGGCTGTTATCATGTGTCTTTTTTTGCATCTGTCTTTTTTTGTAAAATTATTTATTTTCCTTGGATATATAACCCAGTAATGGGATTGCTGAGTTGAATGGTAGTTCTACTTTTAGTTCTTTGAGAAATCTCCAAACTGCTTTCCATAGTGACAGAACTAATTTACATTCCCACCAACAGTGTATAAACTTTCTCTTTCTTCCATAGCCTCACCAGCATCTGAAATTTCTTGACTTTTTAATACTATCCCTTCTGACTAGGGTGAGATGGTATCTCGTTATGGTTTTGATTTGCATTTCTCTGATTAGTGATGTTGAATATTTTTTTCATAAATTTGTTGGCCACTTATATTACTTCTCTTGGGAAATGTTTGTTCATGCCCTTTGCCCTCTTTTTCACTTGTTGAGCTGTTTACATTTCTTATGGATTCTGGATATTAGACTTTTGTCAGATGCATAGTTTGCAAATATTTTCTCCCATTCTGCAGAGTGTCTGTTTTCTCTGTTGATAGTTTCTTTTTTTGTTTTTTATTTGTTTGTTTGTTTTGCTGCACAGAAGCTCCTTAGTTTAACTGACAAATTTCCCGTTTGTTAATTTTTTTTTGGTATTAATTGCTTTCGAGGACTTAGTCGTCAATTCTTTGCCAAAGCCAATGTCCAGAATGGTATTTTCTGGGTTTTCTTCTAAGATTTTATAATTTTAGGTTTTACGTTTAAATCTTTAATTCATCTTGAGTTAATTTTTGCATATAGGGAAAGTTAGTGGTCCAGTTTCATTCTTCTGAATATGGCTAGCCAGTTATTCTAGCACTATTTATTGAATAGGGAGTTGTTACCCCATTGCTTATTTTTGTCAATTTTGTCAAAGATCAGATGGTGTGGCTGTATACCTTTGTTTCCGAGATCTCTATTTTGTTCCACCAGTCTACCTGTCTGTTTTTGTACCAGTATCATGTTGTTTTGGTTACTGTAGTCTTATAGTATATGATGCCTCTGGCTTTGTTATTTTTGCTTAAGATTGCTTTGACTATCTGGGCTCTTTTGTTTTTTGGGTTCCATCTGAATTTTAGAGTAGTTTTTTTTTCCTAATTTTGTGAAAAACGATATCAGTAGTTTGATAGAAATAGTGTTAAATCTGTAGGTTGCTTTGGGCAGTATGGTCATTTTAATGATATGACTACTCCCAATCCATGAGCATGGAATGTTTTTCCATTTGTTTGTGTCGTGTCTGACTTCTTTCAGCAGTGTTTTGTAATTTTCCTTATAGAGACTTTTCATTTCCTTGATTAGATGTATTCCTGGGTATTTCAATTTTTTGTGGCTGTTGTAAATAGGATTTCACTTTTTATATGACTCTCAGCCTGAATCTCACTGGTGTATAGCAATGCTATTGATTTTTGTACATTGATTTTGTATTCTGAAATTTTACTGAAATCATTTATCAGGTCTAGGAGCCGTTTGGAGGAGTCTAGGACGTTCTATGTATAGAATCATATCATCAGCAAAGAGAGATAATTTTACTTCTTTTCCTATTTGTATACCTGTTATTTATTTCTCTTGCTTGATTACTCTGGCTAGGATTTCCAGTAATGTGTTGAAGAGGAGTGGTGAGAATGGACATCTTGTCTTGTTCCTGTTCTTAAGGGCAATGCTTCTAGCTTTTACCCATTCAGTATGTTTCCTTTGGGTTTGTTATAGACAGCTCTTATTATTTTGACGTATCTTCCTTCAACATCTAGTTTGTTGAGGACACCTTGATTTTAGCACAGTGAAAATAATTTTGGGCTTCTGACTTCCAGAACTGCAAGATAATACATTTGTGTTTTTTTAAGCCACTTAATTTGTGGTAATTTTAATAGCAATGACAGGAAACTAATACATATGTCTAACTAGTATGTGTAATCTCAATATAGTGGTATTAACAATATATAACTTTGTTATGAAAGTAAATGACAAACATTTTATGTCATATAGAGTTCATAAAAGTATCTAAAACTACTGTTTAGGGTTATGATTATGTTAAAAGTATAGTAGTTATTAGATCTAGTGCTAGGAAAATCAAGTGCTAACTTTTATTTAATACATTCATGAACAAAAGTACATATATTTCTAAAACATACATTTCTTCAATGTCAATAAAATTGAGTTCCTTTAGAATTTTAGGATTTTCATTTATTTGGAAACATTAACTTTACAGAAAATGTCCTTAGGCTTAAACAGATTGTCAGGAAAGCCCTTGGTAGCAAAAGTTAACAATACCAACTACAGGGCTTCATCAACTACTGTAAAGGCTTGGCTTTCATCCAGACGGAAGGGGAATCTATGGTGGGAGAGTAACATGGTTTCATGTAAACTTTAAAAGGATGTCTTCGGCAACCATTTTGAGAAAGTATCACTGAAGGTAAATATCCCGGAAAAAGAAAATGGGTGCTCAGAGCAGCATGGAAATGGTAACGGTAATAGTGTAGGTGCTAAGCAATGGTCTGATTTAGAGTATATTTTGAAGTTTGAGCCAGTGTACTGTCTTGATGGAATGGATGCATAGAATTAGCAAAAGTAGATCTGTGTTGTTGTTTGTTTGTTCAATGGTTCTAAAGGTTTGTAAAGTGAATTCATTAGAGATCTTCATGATGTAGGAAAGTGAGAAGAGAATTGCTAGAGGGAGTTCTTGAGTACATAAGAGGGATGAGATACAATGCATAATTGGAAGCCTGACTTTCCACAGTAGAATGGATAATGCATTTTTATGTCTAGAAATAGGCTGGACGAATTTATTTTGTGGCTCCTATTTCTCAATTACTGAACTTCAGGCTTTCAAAACTGAATTATTACCCCTTAAAGTTACAAAGAGCCAAAGGTATTGCTCAGTAATAGTAGGTGAAAATAATAGACACCAACACACTGAGAATGACTGCTGTAAAAATATTCTTCACTATGTAAATAAAAGCTTAAAATTACTTATTAATAATAGCAAATTAACTCATTTCAGTACTTTATTTATTCAAAACATTATTTTACATGCTCTGGGCAAATATAAATAAGATATGGTCATTTCCTTCAAGAATCCATACTGTTTGAGAGCAAATAATATATACTTATAAGAAATTAAATAAAAACAAAACATTTGTATAACCATTTTTGGAAATAAAAGAAGCCACAAGAAAGGTTAAGATGAATTTCTAGATACATTATAATGAAAATAAGCGCTATGAACTTTGAGGAAGAAGTCACTTTATGGCACAAAAATGAATGTATTCTTGGATCCTTGGACCCTCTGTTAATGTTTCCCAACTAATATACTTATATAATGAGATGGAAACAGCCCTGCAGATAATCTCTGGACATACAAACTTCTGAATTTACTAAGTAGTTTTTTAGTGTATATATGTATGTATACACACACACACAGAAGAGGTTATTTTCCTGTGTGCCAGTGGGTCACTCTTTACAACACCAACCGTCGTCATGTGGACATGAACTTTATAGGATGGAGCCAAAGAAGTTTCTTCTTTCCTGCAACAGATGGATGTAGCAGTTTTGACTTTCACATTATTGTGGAGGATGCTTGTCTTTGGTCTCACTTAAGTTACTTTTGTTCAATAGCAAAATAGTCAATTTTTTATATTGACATTTAGAAAAAGGAATCAAATCAGCATTTTAGAGTTTTCACTTATGGAGAAGTATTTTACTATTACTGAAAAAAGTGACCTCCCTATAAAAAAGATGAAAAAGGTTTGTATTCATTTTCTGAAGCTGTTATAATAAATTATCACCAACTTGATGGCTTAAAGCAATAGAAATGTATTTTTCTATTTCTGGAAGCCAGAAGTTCAAAGTCGAAGTGTCATGCATGGTTGATTCCTTCTGGAGGCTGCAAGGGAGACATTATAGCATGTCATTCTTCTATAGCATGGCTACCTAGGCCAGTGCTTCTCTGAGGGGACTGTGACATGAATATGAACACATTTGAACATTTCTTACCTGGTATGTTGAGTTGCATAAATGGTGCTAAAGACTATATATTGATATGGGCCACTATTTATTTATCTTGTTTTCGTACACCCACCCCAACTCCTTCATGGCATTTCATTTTTTGATTATTCTATTTATCTTTAAATGTATTAATAATTCTCCACTTGCCAATGTTTTCAAATTTATTTTTATTTTCTTGATTTAAGAATTCAGCAAACTCTACCTACTTTTGCCCACCTGCCAGCTTCTAAACACCAGTTTCTTAATAGTATAAAGTAGATAATTTTTAAATTTTACTCATGAGTTTTCATAAGAGCTGTCTATATCTGTATTGCCTCAGGATGATATTTACAATGATTTAAACACTGTGTTTAACTGCTCTGATTGCCAAACAGCAATATTTTAAAACTATAAGTTTTCTGTACTTAGGATACATATTTATATTTAGAAGGAATATAAGCTCAAAACCACTTTTTCTTTTCTCTAAAAAGTGGTTGTGGAGGATATGTGTCTGAGTCCTTGCTTATTTAATAATAATGCTTTTCTAAATTTAGCTGGACAGAAAAACTCCTGTGTCACAAAACGTTTTACACACAACTTG
Organism: Homo sapiens; assembly: GCF_000001405.40. NCBI lineage: Eukaryota > Metazoa > Chordata > Mammalia > Primates > Hominidae > Homo > Homo sapiens. The sequence continues at coordinate 105,062,681 of NC_000005.10, read as the reverse complement.
GTACATTTGGATTTATTATCTTTGGGACATTAATGTTGTAAAAGGAAGTCTGAGACTGGCTTAATTTTTGTAAATTTAGAGATAAACCTTTCATTTTTGCTGTGAAGATAATTTTTTTAGAGCTAATTCTTTATACTTGAAATAGAGAACATTTACCAAGGTATAACTAATTGACTAAGTGTTGAATTTTCTCTTTCCCTTTCTCATTATCTCTCTTTTCACAATCCTGCACACATGTGCACACACACACATTGTTTACTTTTAAGAAGTTCTTTCTACAATTGGGAAAAAATTTCTGTACATATAATTATTTACTTGTACTTAATCTTCTCTGTTTGTAATTTTATTATGTGTCTATATAACCCAAGGGTTACAGCTCCTTCATCTAAGTGTTTCTTCTTCTTAATAAATTTGACTGTTAATAACCCTGTTATATAATTCTCTTACGGTCTTTGCTTGTGTAGGACACAGTTTATTTATTGTTAGTCCTGAACTGGGGGTATGAATTTATTATGTATGTGTGTATGTATACACACACACACACACGATTGCTAATTTTATCTTACAACCTTACTATAATATTTCTATAAATTACTAATGAATATGGCGCATATTACAAACACCTGTAGTGTTTGTTTGCTTTGTCAGAGCATATTTCATGATGAGAAACAATTTTATGCTATGGCAACAGTGAATGTGTTGATAATACTTGGTCATGAGAAGTTTCTAAATGTGAAAATATCTTAATGAACTCTGTTCTCGAAATAACAGTATAGAAGAATATTATATCACCATCTGAAACAGATCATCCATTTTAAAGCTCACTTTTCAGCATAGGTCTAAAATGTATTTACTTGAGTTATTTATTGAGCATTTAGCAAATTCCAGGCATTTTTCTTAGTCCAAACAATATAGCAGTGAACAACAGAGACACACAGCTTACATTCCAGTTGTGGAGGACAGATAAAAAACAAAGTACATGCACAAACACACACACACAAATGCTAAGGAGAAAACGTACACTGGGAAGACAGTTAAGGAGTATTGGCATAGAGGAACATAGAAATTTTTAATACAGTGATTAGGGAAGACCTCACCAAGGTGATCTTTGAGAAAACACCAGAAGGAGGTGCTCAAAATTGTAAAATAATTAGCATTCTCTTCAAGGTATAATGCTGGGTATTCCATATTAAGTGTATGTGGTGAAAATGTGTGGTTTGCTCTCCGAACACTATTTTTGTCTATAATCAAATTTTATAAATATGTTAGTTTTCTACAGTTGGTAAATACATTTAGGGAACATTTATTTCAATGATATTATTGCAATTTTATTTAACAGTAACAGCTATTTATTTGTCGTTCATATAATTCTTTAGACTGTTCATGCTATGAGCCACTTTAGGCATTTAAGTGCACTCCTGAAAACTGTAAACTATGATTCAGTGGATGACTCTGGTATTGGGCTAAAACTGCTTTAGTCACAGTTACAGACTATCTTAAACTTTTCTTCCCCAAATATCATTTACAAGAATGAAAAGATTATAATGTTAAATTCAGTCAGTGCTGGAATGGACTTTTTAATGCTTCCCTATTCCTCCAAATAATATTTTTCAAACACTTAGGCACTTTATGTTCAGAATCACACTGATACAGTAAGAAAAAGGCAGTTATTAATTCCAGAAGAAAAGTGACTGCCATTGTATTTTAGATATCACACAAAAGTTGCCCAACATGTTTATTTTCTGTGTATTATACTTTCCATCAAAATCTACAAGCATTTTATGTGGATCTGTTTTAGATATAGATAAAACAATTCCCTCTAAGGAGAGGGAAAAGAAATAAGAAAGTGAAAGAAGATAGAAAGCCCTCCATTACAGTGTTCTGCTCCATATAGAGAGCAATGTCTTTAATTACCAATCAGTGTTTTTGAATTAAATCTTATCAAGTGAAACCAAATCTAAACTACATCTCATGGAAAATTAGTACACTCTTAATGAGAAGTGCAATTTAATAATTACAATTTAACCAATCGTGGAACTTAATTGCAAAAATGCTATCTACTTGAGAGCCTAAGAACTTAAAATAGTATACAGACATACCTCCAAGATATTGCAGGTTGGGTTCCATGTCTGCCTCCCACTGCTGTTCTTGATGCCCAGGCCGTTCATGTCAAGGGGCACTTGCAGGCCAGCACCAAACTGCCCTCAGCTCCCACTCGGCTTCCCTCCCGTGTTCCAGTGCACATAGAAGTCATGTGCAAACTGTATGTGCAACAGCATTATGTCTTTAAAAATGTACATACCTTATTATAAATACTTTATTGCTAAAAAATGCTAATGATAATCTGAGCCTTCCACGACTAGTAATTTTTCTTGCTAATGTAGGGTGTTGCCTTGCTGTTGATGCATGCTGAATGATCAGAGTAGTGGTTGCTGAAGATGTTGAGTAGCTGTGGTAATTTCTCAAAATAAAACAATAGAGTTTGTACCATTGATTGATTCTTCCTTTCATAAAAGATTTTTCTGTAGCATCTAATACTCTTTGATAGCATTTTACCACAGTATTATTTCTTTTCAAAATGAAAGTCAATCCTCTCCAACCCTGCTGCTTCTTTATCAATGAAGTTTTGAAATATCCTAAAACCTTTGTTGTCATTTCAGCAACGTTAACCATCTTCACCAGAAGTAGATTTCATCTCCAAAAACCACTTTCTTTGTTCATCCTTAATAATTAAGTACTCATCTGTTCAAGTTTTATCATGAGATTGCAGCAATTCAGGCACATCTTCAGGCTCCACTTCTAATTCTAGTTCTCTTCCTACTTCCACCAATCTGTAGTTACTCCTTCCACTGAAGTCATGAAGCCCTCAAAGTAACACATGAGAGTTGGAATCAACTTCTTCCTAACTCCTATTAATGTTGGTGTTTTAACCTTCTCTCATGAATCACAAATGTTCTTCAAGGTATCTGGAATGATATATTCTTTCCAGAAGGTTTTCAATTTACTTTGCTCAGATCCATTAGAGGAATTACTATATATGGTAGCTATAGCCTCATGAAAGGTAGTTTTTAAATAATAAAACCTGAAAGCCAAAATGTCTTTTTAATCCATGGACTGCAGAATGAATTAGTGTTAGTAGGCAAAAAAACAACATTAAACTCTTTGTACATCCCCATTAGAGTTCTTGGGTGACCAGGTACATTGTCAATAAGCAGTAATATTTTGAAAAGATTTTTTTTCTTTTTTTCTGAGCAGTAGGTCTCAACAATGTGCTTAAAATATTCAGTAAACCATGCCATAAACAAATGTGGTGTCATACAGCCTTTGTTGTTCCATTAATAAAGGACAGACAGAGCAGATTTAGTATACTATTTAAAGGCTCTACAATTTCTGAAATGGTAAGTGAGCATTGGCTTCAACTTAACCACCAACTGCATAAGCCTCTAACAAGATAGTCAGCCTGTCCTTTGAAGTTTTGAAACTTCAAAGGACCGGCATTAACCTCCTCTCTAGCTATGAAAGTCCTACTTGTCATTTTCTTCCAAGAGAAGGCTATTTCATCTTCGTTGAAGATGCGCTGTTTAGTGTAGCCACCTTCATCAATGATCTTAGCTATATATTCTGGATAACTTGCCACAGCTTCTCCATCAACACTTGCTGCTTCAATTTGTGCCTTTATGCTATAAAGACGGCTTCTTTCCTTAAACCTCATGAACCAACCTCCACTAGCTTCAAACTTTCCTTCTGCAGTTTCCTCACCTCTCTGAGCCTTTATGGAATTGAAGAGAGCTAAAGATTAAGCTTTGGCTTAGACGAATGTTATGTCTGGTTTGATCTTCTATCCAGACCACTCAAGCTTTCTCCATATCAGCAATAAGGCTCTTTCACTTTCTTATCATTTGTGTTTACTGGAGTAGCAATTTTAATTTTCTTTAGAAACTTTATTTGCATTCACAACTTGCCTAACTGTTTGGTGCAAGAGGCCTAGCTTTTGGCTTATCTAGGCATTCAACATGCCTTCCTCACTAAGCCTAATTATTTCTAGTTTTTGATTTACAGTGAGAGATGCATGACTTCCTTTCACTTGAAAACGTAGAGGCCACTGGAAGGTTATTAAGTGGCCTAATTTCAATATTGTTGTTTCTCAGAAAATAGGGAAGCTCAAGGAAATGGAGAGAAATGGGAAGGGCTGGTAGGTAGAACAGTCAGCAAACATATTTATAGACTAATTTCACTGTCTTATATTAACACAGTTTGTGCTACCCCAAAACAATTACAATAGTAACATTTAATATAATTGATCAGAGCTAACCATAATGTTATGGAATCTTTGGAATGTCGCTTTTCTGGCTGGAAACCTGTGGCCAGAAACTCCTTTGCCTGAGTTTTGCTTGGGTCTGCTGGGCTCATTCTGTGTACTCTGCCTGGCAGGTTGCACTTGGCTCATGCTACTGGCCTGGATCCCATGACTCTGTGGAAAACTGCAACCCAGGTGTGGAGTGGCAAGAGGCATAAGTGTGGGGTCTGGTGACTGCACCATCAGACACACTGGCTGCTGCCAAGGGGCGGCCAGCTCCAGGTGCTGGCATGGGCACCAGCTCTCTGCAAGGCTGGAACCATGTGTGCCACAAGCAGCTTCCCCACTGGCACCAGGGAATGCAGTGGCACCCAGAAGCTTGGAAACACCAGGAACCATAGGGCCACAAAGAAAGAGTCACAGCCCTGGCTTGGGGAATTCCCAGGTCTGGACTCCCCAAAGGGCCATGGCTTTTCTTTCCTTCCTTTGCCTGCAATGTGGAGAGCAAGGGGCATGTAGCACTATTTGTGTTACAGCTCATTTACCCCTGCCAATCAACTGGTCCCGAGTTCTTGTACTGTGACCAGGAAGAAAGAGGTATTCAGACAAGTGGAGGGTGAGCAAGATAAAGAAGAGCTTTACTGAGTGATACAACAGCTCAGTCTCCCACAGGGGGCAGCTCCTTCCCACAGCCAGGGTGTCCTGACAAGTGTTCAGCTATTAGCAGAGAGGAGACCCTGGAGTGGGAAGCTCCTCTCTGTAGGAAGGTCATCTCATCCTCTCTATAGCTCTCAGCAGAGAGGAGGCCCTGGAGTGGGTAGCTCCTCTCTGCAACTGGTTGTCTCATATGTCTGTCCTGCTCTGGCTGAGCCTGGGGCTTTTATGGACCTCAGAGGGAAGGAAGTGCATGTCCATTGGTCAGTGGGCAGCTACAGGTGGGCCTGGAAAAGGCAGCACAAGCTCCCATTCCATTTGCCAGACTGGCATTCCAGCCCCCAGCCTTCAGGCCCTCCCTGGCCTGAAGGTGAGGCCTCACCAGGGACCCACTCCCTTCCACCCAGGAACATCCTTGCCTCCCACTGCTGTTCATGATGTCCAGGCTGTCCATGCCAAGGGCACCTGCAGGCCAGTGCCAAGCTGTCGTCACCTCCCACTTGGCTTCCCTCCCATGCTCATTGGCACTCAAAGTCTGGAGGGGACTGAGGCAGCAGGGGGCTGGCATGTCAGCACTGCCCCAGCATGCGCATACCTGGCCTGGCTGCAACAGCACCTGGGCTCAGCCCCACCTTTGCTCCCAGATTTGCAGGGAGAAGCCAGGTACTGGGAGAGGGCGTTTCCAAGCCTACAAGGGCAGGACACTTTTCCAGGCCCCCAAGAGTGCAGGGATGGCTGGGTCCACAGCCATGGTTTGGGCAACTACAGCTGCACCCAGGGGGGTGGAGCTCCTCTCTGCTCCATGGAGTGGGAGGCCCAGGTATGCAGCCCTGGTTTGGGTGGGTGCAGCTATGCGAAGGAGGGCAGGGCTCCTGCCTGGTACCTGTCCCCCAAAGCACAGGGATGCCTGGGTCTGCAGCTGTGGTTTGGGCAGCTGCAGTGGCACCTGAGAAGCTCCCTCCTCAACTTGGAAGAAGCAGGCTTCCACTTGTCCCTGGCTCCCATCAGCTCCATGGAATGTTTAGCCCCAGCTGTGCCACCCAGCTGCAGCTGGCATGATGGCATTGGCCACTCCAGATGGCCTGTCGCTGCCATCAATAACAGGTATAATAATAATGAAAAAGTTTAAAATATTGTGAGAAGTACCAAAATGTGACACAGAGACACAAAGTGAGCACATGCTGTTGAGAAACGGCCCCAATAGACTTGCTGTATGCAGTGTTGCCAAACAAGTTCAACTTGGAAAAAAATTTTATATCTGTGAAGTGCAATAAAGTAAAGCTCGATACAGCAATGTATGTCTGTATAGTATAATACTGAGAGTCTTATATGCTGATGTTCATGGTGCAGTTTTTAATAGATCAGGTCCATTTGTGTGATGAAATACACACAACTTATGTATTTCATTACACAATACACAGACTTGTATACAATATCTTATAATACTTGCATATAATTACCCTTTGCTGACTACAGAATTAGCATCTTCATATCTTTCTCTATTTTATACATTAATTGCTACTCTTGTGCATTATAAAGATTTTGATGGATTTTATTGCAGTACCATTAAGTTATCTATGATACAGTGAAAAGTTTAGTTCCTTTGCATGTTAACTTTCTACTAATTTAGTACACGAAATACTCTTAGTATAATTTTATCAGTGCATAAATTTCCTCCTGCCATCAGAAGTGAAAATAGGTTCTACAGCAACTGGCAGGAAAGAACATAAAAATCAGAATATATGCCTTGTAATCTTCACCTAGTTGTTTGGGATCCAGCACAATATCAGCTTAGAGCAAATACCCAATAACTACTTGCGATTAATTGATTGTACATGTTATGAGAGCCTCACGGAAATGGTAAAGAAGTTTATACCACTGTAGTTAAAATATTAAAATTTGATATAAAATTGTTGATAATGTTCTGATTTCATCTTTCATAGTAGCTTTTTATAATCTTGAAATAATTATTACAGGTAAAGACATAAAATATAGATAAATGAATACATGCATCACATTTTCCTAATGTTGAAACACTCATTAGCTGTAAGTATAGGTTTAGTATCCCCTATCTGAAATGCTTGGGACCAGAAGTGTTTTGCATATGGATTTTTTAGGATTTTGGAATATTTGAATACACATAAGGAGATAGCTTGGAGATGGCACCCAAATGTAAACACAAAATTCATTTATATTTTATATATACCTTATATACATGGCCTAAAGGAAACTTTATACAATATTTTAATAATTTTGTGCACGAAACAAAGTTTTGACTGCAGCCTGTCACTGAGGCCAGGTGTAGAATTTTCCACTTGTGGCATCATGACAGTTGCTAAAAAATTTTGGAGTTTGAAGCATTTCAGATTTTGGGTTTTCAAATTAGAGATGCTCAACTAGTATTTACAAAGTCAAAATAAGTATCAGTATAGATCCGCAAAATTTCAGTTTTCACTTCCTTGGTAATACTACGCTAGATTTATCAGTAACTCAATTTTAATATCTTCCTCCTTCTTTCACTTTGCTTAATTTTCTTCAATGTATCTTGAACTTACATAGTTAAATAGTAGGTGTCATAGATGAGGCACACTTTGCCAGGTATTTGTAGAGCAAACAAATAGAGCATCTTCTTTCTTGGTGCTCAGAAACTAGATAACATAAAGTAACTACGTTGTATATCTGGCAAATCAGAAAACAAAGTGCAATACAACAATAGGTACCAAAAGATATTTTAAGCATTTTAAATAGAACTATTTCAAGATTTTAATACACATTTTAAATAGCCTATGCTGATTGTAATGTGAAGACTTACTCATGTGACTGAACATAAATAGTCTCTGTGACCTTGGTTGTGTGGCTATGTTTTCATAAGTTGATACTCCTTGAATTATAAAAACTATGTGCTTCTGTTCTGAAACACACAGTGTAAAGCTGTTCTCAGTAGTCCCGAAGTTCTCAAAGAAGCCTCATTTTCCTCTTGGGAAAATGCTGAAATAAACAGTGGCCTTTCATCAAGCAGCCACAACATTCATATGTCACTTTTTGGAACAGTCTCTAATGTTAATGCACATAATAAATCAGCTGGTGGTCTTGTTAAAATATTGTTAAATGATTCTGATTTAGGAGATTTGAACTATGATGTGAGATTCTGCATTGCAAGCAAACTCTCGGGTGCAATTCATGTACAATTCATGCTACTGGCAGAAGGATCACAACTTTATGTAGCAAGAGTTTACCAAGACAATATAAACCCATTGCAACAATCCAAAAGTGGCTGTTGAATTATGTGTAATGTTGCTACCACAGAAAAGAAAGAAATCTGCATGTGGACTCTGACTCAGATTAGGTAAAAATGTATTTTTTTATAAATATGATCCATTATTTCTGTACCAGATATGGCTATAAAAGGAATGGGCCTCCATCCTGTCGAGGTAGTGTTCTGGTTGTGGGCAAAACCCTGTGTCTGTTCCAGCTGCCACCCTTAAAATGGATGCTTCAAGTCCGATCAGGTTTTTGTAAAATATTATCTCACCAGCAGCTATCTCAGTGTGAAAACTGCCTAAATGTTAGTTAATATGATTAGGTCTAAAATATATAGTGAATATAAAATGCTTTGACTCTTGCTGTCATGAAACGTCTACTTTGATTAATTGGGACCTGCAGCCTCCCCTGATGTTAGCAAAGTCTGAAAACTACCTGTTCAATAAATACCCTAGAATGTCATGCTCTGATATCTTGCTTCAGCTGTAAGCAGTATTTCTCTCTTACTGTTTCTTCTCATTTTACACCTGCCATAACTTGCAACTGTTGATTTGCCAGATTCTTGCAAAATCATTCTCTAATTTGTTGTCTTTATTGTGGCTTAAGAAGTTAATTGGAGATTCCTGGGCAAGATGGCTGACTAGAAACAGCTTCAGTCTGCAGCTCCCAGTGAGACCAACAGAGAGGAGGGTGATTTCTGCATTTCCAACTGAGGTACACAGTTCATCTCATTGGGACTGGTTAGACAGTGGTTGCAGCCCACAGAGGGTCAGCAGAAGCAGAGTGGGGCATCACCTCACCTGGGAAGTGCAAAGAGTTGGGGAACTATCTCCCTTAGCCAAGCGAAGCTGTGAGGGACTGTGCCTTGAGGGACTGTGCCTTGAGGGACGGTGCCGTCCAGCCCAGATACTATGTTTTTCCCATGGTCTTCGTAACCCACAGACCAGGAGATTCCCTCAGGTGCCTATACCACAAGGATAAAGAATCAAGACCCATCAGTGTGCTGTATTTAGGAGACCCATCTCACTTGCAAAGACACACATAGGCTCAAAATAAAGGGATGGAGGAAGATTTACCAAGCAAATGGAAAGCAAAAAGAAGCAGGGTTTGCAATCCTAGTCTTTGATAAAACAGACATTAAATGAACAAAGATCAAAAGAGACGGCCGGGCGCGGTGGCTCACGCCTGTAATCCCAGCACTTTGGGAGGCCGAGGCGGGCGGATCACGAGGTCAGGAGATCGAGACCATCCTGGCTAACACGGTGAAACCCCGTCTCTACTAAAAATACAAAAAATTAGCCGGGCGTGGTAGCGGGCGCCTGTAGTCCCAGCTACTCGGGAGGCTGAGGCAGGAGAATGGCGTGAACCCGGGAGGCGGAGCTTGCAGTGAGCCGAGATCGCGCCACTGCACTCCAGCCTGGGCGACAGAGCGAGACTCCGTCTCAAAAAAAAAAAAAAAAAGATCAAAAGAGACAAAGAAGGACATTACATAATGGTAAAGGGATCAATGCAACAAGAAGAGCTAACTATATTAAATATATATGCATCCAATACAGGAGCATCCAGATTCATAAAGCTAGTTCTTAGAGACCTACAAAGAGACCTAAACTCCCACACAATAATAGTGGGAGACTTTAAAACCCCACTGTCAATATTAGGTAGATCAATGAGACAGAAAATTAACAAGGATATTCAGGACTTGAACTCAGCTCTCGACCAAGTTGACCTAATAGACATCCACAGAACTCTCCACCCCAAATCAACAGAATATACATTATTCTCAGCACCACATAGCACTTATTCTAAAATTGACCACATAATTGGAAGTAAAACACTCCTCAGCAAATGTAAAGGAATTAAAGTCATAGCAAACAGTCTCTCAGACTACAGTGCAATCAAATTAGAACTCAGGATTAAGAAACTCACTCAAAACCACACAACTTCATGGAAACTGAACAGTCTGCTCCTGAATAACTACTGGGCAAATAATGAAATTAAGGCAGAAATAAATAAGTTATTTGAAAGCAATGAGAACAAAGACACAGTGTACCAGAATCTCTGTGACACAGCTAAAGCAGTGTTTAGAGGGAAATCTATAGCACTAAATTCCCACAGGAGAAAGAGGGAAAGATCTAAAATTGACACCCTAACATCACAATTAAAAGAACTAGAGAAGCAAGAGCAAACAAATTAAAAGGCTAGCAGGAGACAAGAAATAGCTAAGATCAGAGTTGGACTGAATGAGATAGAATGAGATGAGAAAAAATTCTTCAAAAAATCAGTGAATCCAGGAGATGGTTTTTTGAAAAGATTAACAAAATAGACCACTAGCCAAACTAATAAACAAGAGAAGAGTGAAGAATCAAAAAGACACAATAAAAAATGATAAAGGAGATATCACCACTGATCCCACAGAAATACAGACTCCCGCCAGAGCATACTATCAACACCTCTACACAAATAAACTAGAAAATCTAAAAGAAATGGATATGTTTCTGGACATATACACCTCCCAAGACTAAACCAGGAAGAAGTCGAATCCCTGAATGGACCAATAACAAGTCCTGAAATTGAGGCAGTAATTAATAGCCTACCAACCAAAAAAAGCCGAGAACCAGACAGATTCACAGCTGAATTTTATCAGAGGTACAAAGAGGAGCTGGTACCATTCCTTCTGAAACTACTCCAAACAATAGAAAAAGAGGGATTCTTCCCTAACTCATTTTATGAAGCCAGCATCATCCTGATACCAAAACCTGGCAGATACAAAACAAAAAAAGAAAATTTCTGGCCAATATCCCTGGTGACTATTGATGTGAAAATCCTCAATAAAATACTGGTAAACTGAATCCAGCAGCCCATTAAAAAGCTTCTCCACCACGATCAAGTTGGCTTCATCCCTGGGATGCAAGGCTGGTTCAGCATACGCAAATCAGTAAACATAATTCGTCACATAAACAGAACCAATGACAAAAACCTCGTGATTATCTCAATAGATGCAGAAAAGGCCTTCGATAAAATTCAACACTGCTTCATGCTAAAAACACTCAATAAACTAGGTATTGATGGAACGTTTCTCAAAGTAATAAGAGCTATTTATGACAGGCCCACAGCCAATATCATACTGATTGGGCAAAAACTGGAAGCATTCCCTTTGAAAACTGGCATGAGACAAGGATACCCTCTGTCACCACTTCTATTCAATATAGTATCAGAAGTTCTGGCCAGGGCAATTAGGTAAGAGAAAGAAATAAAGGGTATTCAAATAAAAAAGAGGAAGTTAAATTATGTCTGTTTGCAGATAACATGATTGTGTATTTAGAATACCCCATCGTCTCAGCCCCAAAACTGTTTAGGCTGATAAGCAAATTCAGCAGTCTCAGGATACAAAATCAATGTGCAAAAATCACAAGCATTCTTATACACCAGTATCAGACAGAGAGTTCATTCATGAGTGAACTCCCATTCACAATTGCTACAAAGAATAAAATACCTAGGAATACAACTTACAAAGAATGTGAAGGACCTCTTCAAGGAGAATTACAAACCACTGCTCAAGGAAATAAGAGAGAACACAAACAAATGGGAAAGCATTCCATACTCATGGAAAGGAAGAATCAATATTGTGAAAATTACCATACTCCCCAAAGTAATTTATAGATTCAATGCTATTCCCATCAAGCTACCATTGACTTTCTTCACAGAATTAGAAAAAACTACTTTAAATTTCATATGGAACAAAAAAAAAAAAAAAAGCCCATATTGCCAAGACAATCCTATGCAAAAAGAACAAAGCTGGAGACATCAGTCTACCTGACTTCAAACTATACTACAAGGCTACGGTAACCAAAACAACATGGTACTGATACCAAAACAGATATATAGACCAATGGAACAGAACAGAGGCCTCAGAAATAACACTATGCGTCTACAACCATCTGATCTTCGACAAACCTAACAAAAACAAGCAATGTGGAAAGGATTCCCCATTTAATAAATGGTGTTGGGAAAACTGGCTGTCCATATGCAGAAAACTGAAACTGGACCCCTTCCTTACACCTTGTACAAAAAATAACTCAAGATGGATTAAAGATTTAAACATAAGACCTAAAACCATAAAAACCCTAGAAGAAAACCTAGGCAATACCATTCAGGACATAATTGTGGGCAAAGATTTCATGACCAAAACACCAAAAGCAGTTGCAATAAAAGCCAAAATTGACAAATAGGATCCAATTAAACTAAAGAGCTTCTTCACAGCAAAAGAAACTATCATCAGAGTGAACAGGCAACCTACAAAAGGGGAGAAAATTTTTGCAATCTAATCATCTGACAAAGGGCTAATATCCAGAATCTACAAGGAATTTAAACAAATTGACAAGAAAAAAACAACCCCATCAAAAAGCGGAGGAAGGATATGAACAGACACTTCTCAAAAGAAGACATTTTTGCGGCCAACAAACATATGTAAAAAAAGCTCATCACCACTGCTCGTTAGAGAAATGCAAATCAAAACCACAATGAGATACCATCTCACGCCAGTTAGAATGGCGATCATTAAAAAGTTAGGAAACAACAGATGCTCTTGAGGATGTGGAGAAATTGGAGGTTTTTACACTGTTGGTGGGACTGTAAATTAGTTCAACCATTGTGGAAGACAGTGTGGTGATCCCTCAAGGATGTGGAACCAGAAATACCATTTGACCCAGCAATCCCATTACTGGGTATATACCCAAAGGATTATAAATCATTCTACTATAAATACACATGCACAAGTATATTTATTGCAGCACTATTCGCAATAGCAAAGACTTGCAAACAATCCAAATGTCCATCAATGATAGACTGGATTAAGAAAATGTGGCACATATACACCATGGAATACTATGCAGCCACAAAAAGGATGAGTTCATGTTTTTTGCAGAGACATGGATGAAGCTGGAAACCATCATTCTTAGCAAACTAACACAAGAACAGAAAACCAAACACTGCATGTTCTCACTCATAAGTGGGAGTTGAACAATGAGAACACATGGACACAAGGAGGGGAACATCACACACTGGGGTCTGTCACAGGGTGGGGCCTAGGGGAAGGATAGCACTAGGAGAAATATCTAATGTAGATGATGGGTTGATGGGTATAGTAAATCACCATGGCACGTGTATATCCATGTAACAAACCTGTATATTCTGCACATGTATCCCAGAACTTAAAGTATAATAATAATAAAAAAATTTCAAACCCACAGATAAGTAAAAATATATGACAAACCACCCTTTTGTAAACCATCTACCTAGAAATTCCTACAAGTTGTTACACATTTCTAAAAAAAAATCACTGAGTTGTATAGTTTCAAATGGTTCCTTATATCTCTATATAACAAACATGCACATTCTGCATATGTATCCCAGAACTTAAAAGTATAATAAAATAAAAATTAAAATAAAAAATAAATAGCAATGGTAAAATGCAAAAATTGAGCTAATTGAAGTCTTATTAGATTTATGTCTAAAATTTAAGAATAATAGACTGTAAAGGAAAGAGAAATTTAAGGTATTTTTGAATAATGTAAAGGCTTTTAATAATTTAATTTCATACTTCCTTTTTATTTATAAAATATTTAATTTCTTATCCCCAAGTTTTTGTTTAAATTCTAGATATGATGGTGGGCAAGCAATAGCTAGAAAAATCACTTTGCTAGTTTTAAAGCAATAATAATTAGTAAAACTTTGCAAGAAATCTAAGTTAATTAGAATATCAAGAGAATATTTTATGCCTGGATCTAATGCTTCATGATTTAGAGATAAAGAAACCTCACGGTCTCCCTTCCTTACTCAATATGTAAACCTTTACAGGTAATGTCATCTTATATTGTTAAAACACTTTTTAAAAATTTATAAAGTATTCAGATAAAAAGCAATGTTGGGATTCCAAAGCTCATCTTTATTATAATTTCTTGCTCTTGGATCAAATAGCCTTGCACTGAATTGGGGTTAGTCTATTCACAGAGATCTTTATCTATAATCATGTCAATACAAATGAAGCCAAAATGTAATGAAAAATAAAATTCCATCAATTTATTTTAGTGTTTGGCTATGATCCAGAAACCCTATTTCCATTGTTGTTACAGCATCCTTATTCCAGGCAAATTAAATCAACCTCATTTCATGCTCATGTTCACAATTTACCCACAATGTATAAATCCAAAGTATAATTTAGTTCAATATAAGGTTAACGCTGGACATATAATCCAAAGTAAAATTTTCTTGTAGATCGCCGATTTGTGCATGATCTTCAATACTATCCAGAATTCTTGCCCTGTATTACTGATAAAAAGAACTCCCCTTGGCTTGGCAGACCCAATGCTTGTGGAAAAGATGTAGAGAGTCTTGGCAAGCTCATCATCTAAAGCCTTAGCATCCTTACCTTAGTCCAAATGTTATTACAACTACTTCTGGGCTCTAAATATTCTAACATTACTTGTATAGTTCATGCTATGTTTTCCTTATCTGTTTAGCACTTTGTTGTAGGTTCATTTCGTTTTTTTGACTCTTTCCTTTCTACCTACTGCTCTCTTACTATGTATCATACATTATGCTTGGCATCAGGTATATAGCAATCCTGGTGCCTTTTACATGTCCCTAAAACACTTTTTAACAAATTAATTCTAAGGTCATTTGAGAACATCCTCATAAATTTATTACTAAATTACTTAATAATAATTTATAATAAAATGTAATTTTTCTCTGCAAATTATATTTTTCAGACTCCACTCATTTTTTAAATTTTATTTTAATTTATACTATAGTCTCTCTCAATATTTCTCCCCACTAACTTCCCTCCTATGGAATTGCAACATCGATTAGTCTTCTTTTCTTTGTTTATAATATAGATTATAATAGCACCTATTTTATAAACTTATGAGGTTTAAATGGTAAAAACATATGAAGTGCTTTGACTATTATCTGGCACATAATAAGAGCTCAACACATTTAGCTAAATAATTATCACTACTAACATCATTATAATTAGCACACCTAAAATTTCCCGGCAATTACAAATCCTAGGAGCATTGGCCATCAGAGAGAGCAAACATTGAGAAATCACTGAACCAGGTGAGATGCTTGCCCCTGACAGACACTGTATTAAATAAATGCCAATGAAGAAGATATTTCCCTTCTAACTCCCTTTTGAGTAGTATTTGGATTATGTTTAGTAAATAGATAATTTAATTCAAGTTGTCTTTGACACTGCTCTAACAGAACTAATATCCGTTTTCCCCAAAGAGAGATCAAACAACAGAATGAGTCTTGCCTGTGCAAGACAATCCAGCTCTATTTTAATTATGATTTTATGGTTGTCTTCTATTAATAAAAAGTAGTGCTGGCTTTCCATTTATGGTAGAATGTTATAGTTTGTATTAAAAGATATGTAATCAAACAGTAAATTAACTAAAATATTAAGTAAATAAACTAACAAATGATTATGGATGTCTCAACTATTACAAGGGTGACACACACACAAATTAAAGTTGGGATACACCAGTCTAGTTCAACTATTTTATTTTATCTAGGAGAAATCTGAGTCTTTGAAAGAGTTAGTATCTTACCCAAGATTAGGATCCAGGCCCAATTACTTTAAAAACTTACTGATGTGCAGCCGTCTGCGGTGGCTCACGCCTGTAATCCTAGCACTTTGCGAGGCCGAGGTGGGTGGATCACAAGTTCAGGAGTATGAGACCAGCTTGTCCAAGATGGTGAAACCCCATCTCTACTAAAAGTAAGACAATTAGCTGGACGTGGTGGCGCACGCCTGTAGTCCCAGCTACTCGAGAGCCTGAGGCAGGAGAATGGTTGGAACCTGGGAGGCCGAGGTTGCAGTAAGCCCAGATCGCACCACTGCACTCCAGCCTGGGTGACAGAACGAGACTCTGTTTCAAAACAACAACAACAATAAAAACTTACCGATATACATCAACATTATATCAGGTTTTATTATAAAGATAATGTTCCATTGGTTGTCATTGGAACCCTATTAGACAATTTAGATTTTTATGGAGCAGGAATGCCTATCATTATATAGGACTCATGTGTCTTATTTTCATAAAACACCTCAATAATATTTAACCTGTCGAGGAGGAGGAGGAGGAGGGGGAGGGAGGGAGGGAGGACGAGGAGGAGGGAAATGTATAGCAAAAGAAAAGATTTTTAATGAGATGAATTTAAGAAATCTGAAAACTAGATTACATGTAGCCAAAGATGTAACGCAGAAATGTGTTGTTCACAAACATACTGGATTATAAAACCGATGGTTATTGATGGCACTATCATTTTTGAACTTTCTCTGTAGAGTACATGCAATATACTGCAAAAGGTTAAAGGAAAGGGGTTTTGTATTCATGAAAGTTATTTAGAGAAATGGTATGTCTTTAAACTTCACTAGTTAAAATATCATAAATATCACAACTGTGGCCTGAAATTTTTGCTCACATTTTAGATAGCCTAGTTCAATATAAAATTGCCTCCTAATTTATATTATAGTGTAGAAACTTAGGGTTAATCTGGCACCTGATGAGTAAGTGTTAGGGAGGGACAGAATTTCTTAAAGAAAGAAATCTCAGTCCTAGGAATCTTGAAGCACAGTTTTATAACTGTTTACAATAAAACTGAAGAAAAAAGAGAGTGTTGAGAAACTAATTTTTAAGAAAGGTCAATTAATAATAAATTTTCCATAAATTTTCAATGGTAAGACACAGAATCAATTAATTGGAATTGATATCCACAGGCCGTATAACTTTGAGATATGTCTTTGTGAGGGCATGCATGTAAATGAATTTATAATAATGTCATTAATTATTAATTGCTTGCTTGGGAAGCACTGGGTTTAGTACTTTGAAAATATCTCATGTAGTCATTACAAAGTCCTACAATACTCTTATAGAGGAGAAAACAAAGGTATAGACTAGCTAGAGCTGAGGCAATATTTGAACCTGGGTTTCACTACAAAGCCATGATTCTCAACTATGCTGCTCTTTCCTGACTTAACATTTATGTTCATGCTTTGCATTTTGTCTTTATCCTAAAAATAAGATTTCATAAATCCTTGAGTCTCCTTGACTGTAATTTTTGAATTTTTGGCTTTAATTCAAGACAAAAACCACTTTGGTATGTTTTAAAATGATATTTTTTTCTTTGTAATTGGAAAAGAAACTATAAATGCGTTTGTCCTTTTATGATTGATTATCATAGTTTTAAAGTTAGTTATTCATACTATGTTGCTTTTTTTCTGTCCTTGAATTCTTTCGAGTTTGTATTTTAAGTAGTATTAAAGACAGCCCTTTGCTCAGCATATTCAGGGGAGAAAGATCATGATGGTGAAAGGATATTAAAGCAGCTCTTATGCTGAATGGCTAGCAAAAGGGAGTTTGGAGTAAAATGAGATGATAAAAGCAAGGGAGCATGGCTACTGTCTTTAAAAGTACTGTTTGTTACAGCACTTTAACACTTACAAAGAGTCATCATGCAAATGAACTCAATCCCCCCCACCCCCCCAAAAAAAAAAGTTCTAAAAGGCAGGTATTATACCAGAATTATAATTGAGGCAAATACATGTCACCAGAGTTCTTATCCTTAGACTACATTATACAATTAACAAATGGCAACTTCTGCACTTGAACTGACATTTTCCAACTTCTGATACTCCGTGTGTGTGTGTGTGTGTGTGTGTGTGTGTGTGTCTGCGTGTGCGCCTGCCTGCACAATACCACAGGTGTAAAAAAAAGGTATAAGGTGTTGACTACATAAACCCAGGAATAAAATAATGTCACATGGATGGGAGCTACAAGACAGAGTTGTGGGTAAAAATAAAGAGGGTCTTTCTAATAATGACTATTGTCTAAAGATAAAATGGCCTTTTTTTGGGAGGGAGTTTTTTTTTTTAATTCTAGTTTCATTTTATGTTTGATAAGCCTTTGAAAGGTCTATCTTAAAAACAGAGTAAGATAATGAATTAATGCAACACTAGGTGACTGGAGCCATCTGCTCAACAACAGAATTAAATTATATGTGATTTAATCATATTTCAGAATTTTAATTATGAAATGTTAAAAATGTATGCAAAGGCATAGAAAACAATAAAACAACCATTAGTCCAACACTCAAATTAGTAATTTACCATTTTATTCAGATTTTAAAAAGATAAGCCATTATAGACACTATTGAACAGCCTTTTTATAATTTCCCTTGATCCCATTCTCCTTTGTCACTCCTGCCCTCCCCTGAATATTCACATAATCTCTGGAACCACTTCAAACATGCTATGTGTCTTTTTGTGTGTATATATGTGTATATAAACTTATCAACATAGATTATCAAGAACTATGAAGGGTCTGAATCATTACCCTACTTGCAAGCTAACAAGTTGGCCAACCATGTTTCATGGATGCTGGCAGAATACTAGCCCCACCTTGATCAGAGAACAAAGGATTTCATTATCTACAGTAATAACAATAGATAGAAAAATAAGGCCAAGGCAGGCAGATCACGAGGTCAGGTGTTCAAGACCAGCCTGGCCAAGATGGTGAAACCCCATCTCTACTAAAAATGTAAAAATTAGCCAGGTGTGGTGGTGGGTGCCTTTAATCCCAGCTACTTGGGAGGCTGAGGCAGGAGAATCGCTTGAACCCAGAAGGCAGAGGTTGCAGTGAGCCAAGATCATGCCACTGCATTCCAGCCTGGGCAACAAGAGTGAAACTCCGTCTCAAAAAAAAACCAAACCAAAACAAAACAACAACAACAACAACAACAACAAAAATATATATATATATATATATAGCATTTTCATGTGTGACTGTCTCATACTCCAGTTCTCACAGTGTAATGGAGAGAAGGACATGTGACGCTTGCACATCTAGTGGATAACATCACAGGAGGGAAGCCATGAGCTTAGAGATCCCAGAGCTTTTATAATGTACAGGAAACATGTCTGTCCTTCGCTCTAGAGGGAAAGTTTATATCTATTTCTGAAGGAGGTTTCTTATTTAAGAAATCCTTGAAAGGAAGGTTTGGTATAATTTGGGATGACTTATACTATATTTTTTGCTATATCTTATATTGTGTCATAGGAAGAAAATGTTATGTTTTAATATCAGACATAGATTTGGGCACCACTTTTGAATTACCCTTTTCCTTTAAGGTATATTTAATTCTGTAATGATTCAAATTATTTTAGGTTTCAGTTTGAAATCTTGTAATTTTACACATATACATAGAAAATATATTTCTGTAAGTATTACATGTATAGTGACTTAAATATGTGATAGTCTCTTTGATTAATTATTTAATTTGCTGAGAAACAGGATGGATTATTAGCCCTAAAAGAAGCCATTATAATAATTGTAACAAATTTGAAATTTGTTACCCTATTTTGCTATATATTGTCCAAGTGCTATTTAGTATGCCAAAAGGTATGATTAAGATTGCCCATTTTTTCCTAAGTTGGCATTAAGCGATGCAATATGAGTCCAAAAAATGAATGTTTGTAATCAAGGTTTAATATGTTACTGAATAAGTGAAATGAAACATGAAATGTATATTTTCTTCCTTATTGCCTAGGAAGTTTGTTCCCCTAAGTGAGTAATGCTTTTACAAATAAGGAAACACAATCAGTTTGGGAACTTAGTTTGATATAATAAAAACTGGACAAGTGTCACAGTACCTTCTGGTATGGGAATATCTAATACGCTGGAATTGGAAATCATAAATATAACCACCTCTGAGAAAAGCACTGTCTGTTCTTTTCATCTTATTTAGAAAGGTAAAGAAAAATATCAGTTCCAGGAAAAGAGCATTCAAGTGTAACTTCAAAGAGGCAGAAAAGAAATAACTAGAGAGCTTCACATTACTAGATTATCAGAAAATATTCTAAGATAAATTCCAAATTTTATCCAACCTGTATTCAAAAAGTTACTTAGAAAGAATTTATTCTTTTGTAATTACCAGAAGAAAGGCTGATATTTAGTAAGATTTTAATACTAACAAGAATATATTGCACAAATTCATGTACATCATGATGACTTTCTGTAGATATTTAAATTTTTCAGATATTTGTCTTAGTCTCTTTGTGCTGCTATAACAGAATACCTGAAGCTGGGTAATTTAAAATAACAGAAATTTCTTTCTTATAATTCTGGAGGCTGAATGTCCAAGGTCAAGTCACTTGCCTTTGGTGAGGGCCTTCTGGCTGTGTCCTCACATAGCAGAAGGCAGAAGGGCAAGCTAGTCGGTTAGCCGCATGAAGCTTGCTGTACTCTTTTACAGGGATGTTAATCCTACTGATGAAGGAGCAGCCATCATGGCCTATTCACCTCTCACAAGCCCCATCTCTTAATACCACCATATTAGCAACACCTGACTTTCGGAAGGGACACATTCACACCATAGCAGTATTTATATGCTGCACCAGAACAGCGTTCAGTAAAAATAATCACAAATACCATCAGAGTGTCTTTATCTATAGAATAAGTATTTTGGCTCTGTAACTATATTAATGCACAATTTGTCACTTTCAAACTGTAATACCAATTGTTTAAAGTAATACATTAAATAATAGGAGTGGCATAGTGCTAAGCACTATACTTGTGTTGTCTCTTTTATTTCTATTAAAATTGTAATAAACATATATATTATTTAGCCTAATTTACAAATATTTTTTAATTATGGGCACTTCTGTCCATCTCCTCTAGCACCTTCAGAGTCTTAAGGGACAATTATGTTTGCTTAGACTAGCTTATTAGGCTATCATTAATAAACTTATTTCCTTACATAAAATATAAAGAAAAAAACTAGATTATTTCTAAGATTCTTCTATTTCCAGATACTCTGCTAGGCAGAAACAAACAGTTGTTGAACAGAAGAGAATAGTGAGAAAACCCAAGAATTTGAATTTACTAATTATTTTTATCAAGATAGAGTAACATGTTCATGTTTGCATTTATAAAATGAAAATTTATAAAATTATAAATTGTTAAATTATTGATAATTACTTGCTCAAATTGCCTCATGCATCTCTGCCTGTTTCCTCACTTGCAAATAAAGAATAAGAACATACTGAAGAAGGTAAAAGTGATTATTATTATTATGCAGTATTTAGCATTTTCTCTGGCATATGTAGTAAAACCATAAAGTAGCAGTTATTTTAATTAGTGTCATTATTAGATACTTGATAATTAGACATATATAAAATAAAAAGTAGGCAAGGGCTAGCTTTGCTAAGATATTTGGACATAAATCTTTAAAGAAATGTGTAGATATTGACAGGATTTAAGAAGAAGAGTGACATGTTCATATTTGTATTTTATAGATATCACTGGGGAAACAAGAAGGTAAATGAATAAAGAAGCTACATTGGGCATTTCTGCTCCATTTACTGTTTTGAAAAATACCCCATATTCCATGATTTGTCTTCCATTGGTCCTGTCCTTGAATAAGGGTTGAATTTAAACCAATCATCATATCCCATCTTCCTGGACCGTAGAATTTAAACTAGTTATCATATCTCACCTTCCTGAACAGTACAACTCCACAAGTAGGCACATGGCTCAATTCAGGGCGGTCAAATAAAGGAGATTGTACTTCGGAACTTTTTAATTTAAGACGTATTCTATTTCTTTCTCTTTCTCTCTCACTCTTCCTCTTTCTTGCTGGAGTTTACCATAGAAGTTTGTAGCTTCAGGAACTTCAGACAACCATCTGGTGGCAACAAAAAGGAAAACAAAGATCAGGAATGGAGTTAATCCATGCAAAATGATAAAGGCGTAGACCATATGATAACGTGGCTTAATGTTTTCTCATGAATGTTAGAGAAGACAATGATAAAAACTTAGTAGTGTTTAGTACACATGGAGATGGTGATAAAAAGGAAAGAATGCATGATTCCTGGGTTGCTAACTTATGCAGCTACATGGGTGGTTTGCCGCCCATTTGCTGAAGCAGGAAACACTGAAGGAGCATTGAATTAGCAATAGATAAGTAAATAGACATAAATTCATTGTAGAATCCTCTATCAGCCAGGGTTTATTTCAGAAAATAGCAAACAGAAACCACTCCAGGTGGTTCAAATGAAAAGAAATATATTTTAGAGTTAAATGCTTATAAGTCATGAAAAGTCATGTAAAGGACCAAATATGCCTAAAATCGTAAGATCATTGCTCTGTTGGTTGCAGGGGCATTTTTCTGTAGCTGTGATCTGGGGATCAGAAAGCTACCACAGCTGCTACCTCCAATGTCCATACCACAATCTCTCACATCCATGTAGCCTGTCACCAAGTAATGAAATGTTGATGCCCACTGCTACATTCATTTATGTATAATCTGGGTTTCCAGAAACCACAAGAGGGAAAACAATCTTCATTATATCTATGACTTTCAAATATTCAGCCAGGCCATTTCATTAGCAGAGCTAACATTAAATATACACCCTTATTTGCAAAAGGTTTTTACTTCGTAGTCCTTGTGTTATAGGCAGAAACATAGACAGGCTTTGGAGAGATATGTTTTTATGCCAACAGATTTTGTTTAATCAAAGTAATCATGAGTCTCCCAGATATAAATGACTAATGAGCCATTGGATATATAGGTCTGAAATCTACATATATGAGTTTTGTAGTACATAGAATTTGTAAGATGGAATTCTGAATTGTGTATTCTGATTTGTTACAAATCAGAATAGTCTCTTCACACTAAAGACTTTAGGCTGAATTTCCAAGAAAAAAGCATCTTTTTATACAAAGCTATGTATTTGCTTTCCACAGAGGACTTAATTATTACTATGTGGGAGCTGGAAGACTTAATTCAAGCTTCATATCGAGAAGCCTTAAATTGTCGAATTGTAACAACATATATAATGTGCATTCATATGTGCTTTTTTTCTTGGAGTAGAGAACTAATAGCTATAGTCAGATTATTCAATATAGCAAATAGAAAGAACCATTTTTTAGAATTTCTGTCAATTCAGCACAAGGGATATTTCTAATAAACTAACTTCTAATTGGGTCCGAAGAGGGCTCTTCAAGGACTTGATTTTAAATAGGAAGCACAATCTACTTGAACAAGAAACTGTAAAACACACTTTGCCAATGAGAAAAGCAAAGGTGAGTGTATTAGTCCATTCTCACACTGCTACAAGGAAATGTCTGACACTGGGAAATTTATAAAGAAAAGAGGTTTAATTGGCTCATGGTTCTGCAGGCTGTACAGGAAGCAAGGCTGGGGTGTCTTAGGAAACTTACAACTGTGGTGGAAGGCAAAGAAGAAGTAGGCACGTCTTCACATGACCAGAGCAGAAGGAAGAGAGAGAGGAGGGAGGTGCTCCACATATTTAAACAACCAGGTGTTGTGAGAACTCTATCACGAGAACAGCACTCAAGGGGGAAATCTGCCCTCATGATCCAATCACCTCCCACCAGGCCCCACCTCCAACATTGAGGATTACAATTTGACATGAGATTTGAGTGGGAACACAGACCCAAACCATATCAGTGAGGCACAAAACTCCTGCCTCAGTATAATTTTTATCAACAGGAAATTGGGTCAGCCTCACAACATTGAGTCTGAGAAAGGACTGACTGAGAAGGCACCCATGGAGATTACTGTAAGAATCAAAAATGACAAGGGGATATTATAATTCATTGAAACTTCAGGACTTTATGCTACTTCTATAAAATTTAATGCTGTTTGACTGTTTCTTAATTAGGTTCCAAATGCCAACTTTGTCAGTGAGAATACAGTCTTGATTACCTCATGTTTCCCACCAAGGACTAAGAGTTTGTTACACTCAGAAAGGTAACCTAACACGGAGTACTTTCATTCTCTATAGCACGTGGTCTGTGAGTTAATATAGTGTAACCTACTTGGTAAAGTTTCTTTATCTTGGCATTAAATATTGGACATTAATTATGACTAACTATAATCAACATGCACTTATGCACACCTTCATCCATTAAAAAAATAAAAGGAAATGAAGAATGTTTTAGGTCTCCAAATATTTGGCAATGAAAACATATAGGTTGCAAGCTATGGAAAGCTGTACAAATATGCTGTCAAGTTTACTTTTCAAATGAGTGGAAAGAGTGAGGAGGACAGAGGGAGTAAAATAAGTTAAGGCAGAGGTGAGAGAAAGTAGTGCAAAGGAAAGGAGAAAAAGGTTTAAGAAACAATGTTCAGTAAGAGTATACATTACAGCTTATAATGATGATTACATCACATTACCAGGAATGCTCCCCAACAGAAAATGCATTTTGTGTTCTTTATGAAATTAGTTGCCTTGTCTCTTCCCCAAAATGCTTCTGGGAAGCAGTCATCCTGAAATATAATTAATGCAAAACATAAGATAGTGTAGGAAACTGTGGCATGTTATCAAAACATGATAAAAAGGGGAAGTAGTAATGTTAAATACTAAACAGTGATGGATGTCACAAAATGGAGCACTCTGTAAACCATTAATTCTGAATAAATGGAAAAACCAATATGCTGTTATGGTGTCTTTAACATATTTTAAAGGAGAGTATTTATCATACTGGTGAGCATAAATCTTCCTGTTGCCCTGGTAAGCATACTCCTTTAGAGAAGGATGACTGAGGAAGCTACCATGACTTGTTAAAATGTATTGTTGAATTACTTAATGCTGATAACATATTCACCAAGTGATTTTTTTAAAAAGCTTGATTTTGAAGTGATTTGTAAGGAGCTTTCCAACTGCGGATGATCACATCGTGATCAAATAACATATTTCTATATGCCTAGCAATAATATTTTTGTATGAGTTAGTCAGTGTTTTCTTCAAAGGTAAAATTTTACGTAAGCTTGAATTACAAAGCTTAAGAATTCCAGAATACCATGAACCCAGGAAAAGCTGATTTTGAAAGATGAGGGACTTACATGTATGGTAAACATACTAAAGTGCAGTAACTGGTTAAATTCAATTTATATAATAAAGTTACTAACTTACAACAAACATTTAATTTTCAAGAGACTGAATCTGTCCCACTAGGACTCTAATAAAACAAATTAAAAATAATTATTTTTTTTTTACCAAAAATAGCATATATAATAACACAATGCTTAAAATTAATGGGAAAAGATTGTGGCTTTTCAGCAGTAAAGGAGAATAATCAATGTCTTTCTGCAAACTCACTGTACATTGATCTGATTTAAAGGACTCTTTTTCTCAAACAGTATGGTTTATACACCTCACTGACATGGTTTGGCTGTGTCCCCACCTAAATCTCATCTTGAATTCCCATGTGTTGTAGGAGGCACCTGGTGGGAGGTAACTGAATCATGGGACAGGTCTTTCCCATGCTGTTCTCATGATAGTGAATAAGTCTCATGAGATCTGATGGTTATTATAAGGGGGAGTTTTACTGCACAAGCTCTCTCTTTGTCTGCTGCCAGCCATGTAAGATGTGACTTGCTCTTCCTTGCCTGCCACCATGATTGTGAATCTTCCCCAGCTATGTGGAACTGTAAGTCCAATAAATCTCTTTCTTTTGTAAATCCCCCAGTTTCGGTTATGTCTCTATTAGCAGCATGAAAACGAACTAATGCAGTAAATTGGTACCAGTAGAGTGGAGCGTTGCTGAAAAGATAACCAAAAATGTGGAAGTGACTTTGGAAAAGGGTAACAGGCAGAGGTTGGAACACTTTGGAGGGTTCAGTAGAAGACAGGAAAATGTGGGAAAGTTTGGAACTTCCTAGAGACTTATTGAATGGATTTGACCAAAACCCTGATAGTGATATGGGCAATAAGATTCAAGCTGAGGTGGTCTCAGATGGAAATGAGGAATTTGTTGGGAACTGGAGCAAAGGTGACTCTTGTTATGTTTTAGCAAAAAGACTGGTGACATGTTGCCCCTGACCTAGAGATCTGTGGAACTTTGAGCTAGAGAGAGATGATTTAGGGTATCTGGTGGAAGAAATTTCTAAGCAGCAAAGCATTCAAGAGGTGACTTGGGTGCTGTTAAAGGCACTTAGTTTCATAAGGAAAGCAAAGCATGAAAGTTAAGAAAATTTACAGCCTGACAATATGATAGGAAAAAAAAAAATTTCTGAGGAGAAATTGAAGCCGGCTGCAGAAATTTTGCAAAAGTAATCAGGAGCCAAACGTTAATCCCAACACAATGGGGAAAATGTCTTCAGGGCATGTCAGATGTCTTCACAGCAGCCCCTCCCATCACAGGCCTGAAGGCCTAGAAGAAAATGGTTTCGTGGGCCAGGCCAAGGGTCCCCTTGCTGTGTGCAGTCTAGGGACTTAGTGTCCTGCATCTCAGCCACTCCAGTCATGACTAAAAGGGGCCAAGGTGAAGCTCTGTCTCTTGCTTCAGGGGGTGGAAGCCCCAAGCCTTGGCAGCTTCCACATGGCATTAAAACTGCAGATGCAAAGAAGTCAAGACTTGAGATTTGGGAATCTCTGCCTAGATTTCAGAGGATGTATGGAAATGCCTGGATACCCAGGCAAAAGTTTCCTGCAGTGGTAGTGTCCTCAATGGAGAACCTCTGCTAGGGCAGTGCAGAAGGGAAATGTGGGGTCGGAGCCTCCACACAGAGTCCCTACTGGGGTACTACCTAGTGGAGCTGTGAGAAGGGAGCCTCCACCCTACAGACCCCAGAATGGTAGATCCAATGACAGCTTGCACCTTGTTCCTGGAAAAGTCACAGACACTCAATGCTAGCCCATGAAAGAAGCCAAGAGGGAGGCTGTACCCTGCAAAGCCACAGGGACAGAGCTGCCTAAAACCATGGGGACCCACCTCTTGCATCAGCGCGAACTTGAATGTAAGACACAGAGTCAAAGGAAATCATTTTGGAGCTTTAAGACTTGACTGCCCTGCTGGATTTCAGACTTGCATGGGGCCTTTAGCCCCTTTGTTTTGGCCAATGTCTCCCATTTGGAATGGCTTTATTTATTCAATGCCTCTACCCCATTGTATGTAGGAAGTATCTAACTTGCTTTTGATTTTACAGGCTCATAGGCGGAAGGGACTTGCCTTGTCTCAGATGAGATTTTGGACTGTGGACTTTTGAGTTAATGCTGAAATGAGTTAAGACTTTGGGAGACTGTTGAGAAGGCATGATTGATTTTGAAATGTGAGAACATGAGACTTTGTGGGGGCCAAGGGTGGAATGATATGGTTTGGCTGTTTCCCTACACAAATCTTGTCTTGAATTCCCATGTGTTGTGGGAGGGACTGGTGGGAAGTAAGTGAATCACGGGGGCAGGTCTTTTCTGTGATGTTCTCATGATAGTGAGTAAGTCTCATGAGATCTGATGGTTATTATAAGGGGAAGTTTTCCTGCACAAGCTCTCTCTTTGTCTACTGCCATCCATGTAAGATGTGACTTGCTGCTTCTTGCCTTCCACCATGATTGTGAAGCCCCCACAGTGATGTGGAACTGTAAGTCCAATAAACCTCTTTCTGTTGTAAATTGCCCAGTCTCAGGTACGTCATTATCAGCAGGCAGCATGAAAACGGACTAATACACTCACCTAACAAAAGTACATAACTGATGTAAACATTCACAGGTTAATTGAACTATTGTAGGAGTTCGTTCAGCTACTTTGAATTTGAATTTGTCATGTATGATGTATTATTTTTGCCTACTTTAATGTAATGGGTGTACTTGGAAGGGATCAGAGTGAGTGATGACTTACAGTATGAAGATTTTCTTAACACAAGAGTGGTTGTACTGAAACAGGAGTGAGAAGTAAACAGTTGAGGTGGAAATAAGTAAGCCTTTAGCTGAAAATGTGCATTATGCAATACCAATCCATGAACAGACTGTAGACAGACACCAATATCAGGTTTCTAGTGCTTTCTGGCTTAAGGTTCATTTTCTGCCAAGGAATGAAATTCATTCTGAAATGTCCCCAGAAATTAATCTTCTGCTATGTGTTAAATCATATGTATGAACTAGGCTCAGGAGGCTGATGCAATAGTTTGTTCCTTGAAGTAAGGAAATTTACCAATGTGCATGCTTTCTATACTTGGTTTAACAGAAAGCAGGCTTTTGGCTCCACATAAGAAATACATTAATAGGCTGTCCTAAACATTATGCATTCTTTACTTCCCTTTCACTCTCTGTCCACGGTCATCATTTTCTTTATCTTACTGTTTCAGTACCCAATATCTACACTACAGGTTGGGTCTCCAGACAAACCGTCTTCACAATCATTTGTGTGGTGATCTAATCCTCTTGTTTAGAGGGCTCACAAGCCTGGATCAATAGTCCATTTCTTTCTGTTATGGGCATACAGCCCCACTGTCACTTTGTTCTATATAGGGGAAATGCTATAAGTTGTTATCATTTTTCCTTTTCAAGGTAACAACTCCAAGTTTAGTAATGATTCTTTGTATTTCTCTTTTTATAGTTTTAGTTCCAGTTTTCTTTTGGGGCTCAGGAGTATTGAAGAAAGAAACACTCTAGGTGTCATTTTAGCTGCTGGTCTAAAGATTTATTTTACTTCAATTTCCACAGCATACGCTGTGTTCTGACTCCACATTCTGCACAAATTTTCACTCTGTCAGTGTCTCGTCTCTTATCTTTCCACTACACCTATCTGTAACTCTCCCTGTACTCTTGCAGTACATCCCATGCCACTGCCTATGCGCAAGCGCAAATGTAATCAGTGCTTTATCACTAGAGGAGGTTATTTCAGGTAAGGGTTTATGATCCAGAGAGTCTGCTAGAATGGAATCATTTACTCTTCAAAATTCCCTCCTTCCCATTAAGAATAACTATTGGATAGACTCCTGATTTCACAAAGTTTTATTTCCATTTTTCATCAAAAGACTGTCAAATGCAAAGAATTATAATATTGTGAAATGGAGAGAGATAAGAATTTATAGATTTGTCACATTAACATTCTTGGAGAGTAGCAAATGAGTCTACACAGTACTTCTCATAGCTAAAGAATATAGAAGGTTTGTAACATTTTCTCCTTGTACAGTCTAGATATGGGACAAATAGACATTTAACTCACTTTATTCCTGGAAAGAAGGAGTATAACAAAGAGAACTTGAATAACTTTACATTTTAAAATTATAGTCAACAATTATCTATGATTTTGAAAATAGTCATAATCTAAAAAAATCTCATTTCTTTGTAGTCAGAAATGAATTTTTTTTAAAAAAACAGTTGATTCTAAATGTTTCATATACTTTAATTTATTCTCTTTATAAGCATGGTACACATGGGCTTATATTTGCTTGCTTTCCTTACCTCTCAACGTGACAGATTATAAATAAAACTTCAACAGATCCCTAAACAATCTCTGAACCTACTAAAACACGTGTACTAAGCTTGTAAAAGAGAAACAAGAAAACTCTTGAACAGTCTGTTTATTTTTTTAACTTCCTCATCCATTAAATTTTCCCCTAAGCTTGATCTGTTTTTTATAAGCTTATGTTTTTCCTCTAACTCCAAAGATCAGCAAAGACAATACAAAAGAATACACACACGTACACACACACACATACGCACACAGAGAGAGAGAGAGAGAGACAGAGAGCATGAGCTACTGAAAATATTACAAAATAGTTCTATAAATAATAGATTGAAATAGAATGAAACAATCACTATAAAGGAATAATCATATATCTTAAATAACTTTTTGAGATTTTCCTTTAAGTCAGGCACTCTATTAACTCTTTTATCTATATTCTTTCTGTTATATTCTCTCTTTTCATCTCCACAATTACCCCCTTTTCATAAATGAAGAATATTAAGCTTAGAGAGCTTAATTAACTTTGTCTAAACACACCATTTGAATTATTGGCAGGGCCAGAATTTCAACTCACAATTGTCTGACTCCAAATCATTTGTTCTTTGCATTTAAAATCCTGTCTCTTATTACACTTGGAAGGGTACCTTACTTGAGATGTCTTTAAGAGCATTAACTAATGGTTTACAGGACCTATTTGGAACATCACAAAAAGGATAGTCTTATTTTAAAGTAATTTTTATCCTTCACATTTTTTTAATTTAAGACATGATGGTGGTGGAATTTTTGTGAAGTACAAATGAGAGGCATTTTACATGGACTTGGTGATTGGGAACAAATGTAGTAAATCTACTTCAATACTTTCTGCCTTACCTTTCACTTGATTCTTCCACATTTCTTCAAATCCCACATTCAAAAGAAATTTACTGAGCAGAGCCCATATCAAATTGTGGGTGGCTTAGCTGTTCATTTTGCCAAACTGGTTCTGAATTATCTCCTATTTTCGTTGTCTGGCCCTCTGTGAGCAATGTAGCAAAATTATTCCAAAAGAATAGGAATGGCTTGAAATTTTTTATTAACCTGGAAATTATTTCTGATAAGCCAGAAACTAGGATGCACTGATCCTAGTACTCTCCCTGCTTCAGCCACTATCTTTAGTGGATTTGCTATCCAAACATGTTACATTTCTCACTGCTTATTGCCTTCTGTCTTAGGCTTACTTGCATTACTGGGAGAATTTTCTAATTGCATATGGCATGAAAGGTACTGAAAAAAGTGCTGATATTGGGGAATTAAATAATATGTATTCACAAATTTTTTTCCTTTTGTGTATTTTCACTTGGGTGTGAGCACACAGGAGATTGAGAGGTTTTTTGTTTGTTTTGTTTTGTTTTTTAAAAACAAATTGTCAGGGCTTCTACTCTTGGGTAGCCTCTGTTAGCACTTCTGTCTTCTTCCTATGTGGCTGAGTAGATCTTAATAAATGTTAGTTACTGCTGCACTGACACATAGTAATGTGAGATAATTTGTCAGACTTGCCATAATTAGAAATAATTCTTCTTAAATAATTCTTCTCAGAAGTATTGATTATCATGTTCATGTCTGAGAGCATTTGCAACCACATCTTTCCTAAAAGAAGGCAAGAAAGCCTTAGAAGGCATAATTATTACCACAATTGAGAGAACTTCCGAGGCACTTTTTAGTTTTTATAATCCCCTTCCTAATATGTTGTTATTCTTACAAATCAATAGAAAGAATGTATATTTTTGCTAAATTTAGCTATATGTAAAACATAAAATCTTCTGAGTTTCTAATTATTTAAATAAATTTATTAATTACATGCTCAAGGGCTTTTGTAAGGATTGTAATTTATAAACATAATTAATGAAGAAGTTACCAAGACTCTACTGAATTTACAAAATGTACTATAGGGCATTTACTAAATCCATTCAGTCTGCAACTATAAATAATTTAAACTGCTACACTTGTCAGAATAAATGAGCACAATCTATTTTGATGTAATGGTCTTGTTTACTCACTAATTTGATGGTGCTACTATATTCCCATAGATTTTCCATCAAGAAAAATGAAGGCATAGCTGATGAGAAACACATATGAGTTATGTTTATACTACATAATGAAAGAATATCCCAATAATTTGCATTTCTTCTGCTGTTAAGTCACCTAACATTGATTCTTGGTCAATGTGAGTGAGAAGCAGGTATTATTCTGGTTTGACATTATAATAGACATTTTTTTCAGAGTCTAAAATATTACATTTAATTTTTAGTTCTAGTACATTTTATGTATATTTCCTAGAAATATACATTACCAAAATTTTGAACAAAAAATAAAAATGTATTGATCATTTTTTAATAGCATGAAATGATTATTTTTTCTAAATGTTTTCTAACATAGCGTGTGATATTCTATTATCCTCTTTTAGGGTAAAATCTCATTCTTCAGGGAAACATGGTGATAAAGGCTATGAGTGAAGATTATCTCCAAAGTAAAAATCTTTAATTGCCTGCTCACAACTTACTAGAATGAAAATACTAAGACACCTCTTGACACTGTCCATTCTCTTACCCCTCATGTGTGAAAAAGCTGCTTCAGTTTCACTGGAAAATCAACAAAAGAGATTACTGTGTCATCACGTACTGTAGACAGCAAGGGTGGACTACATACATGTATTTAACTCCTCTATTCAAAGAAAGATTTTTTTTTTCTTTTCAGAGCTTCTCTTTCTATTTAATGAAGCATTTTGTTGCTTGACATTGCGATTTTTACAACCCCAAGTGAATTACCTCACTTACTAACATCAGAGGAAGTGAAACACCATTGAAACTGCTTCCAGTTTTTGAGACTCCATTATACAAATACAGACACACTAGCACACACATGTGCACACAGGTGGGCATACTCAATTTTAAAAATTCATTCATAATGATTGTAATGACAAAATTGACCAAAGAAAAATTAAAAAAAAAATTAACTATTAGGAGAAGAAAGAAGGAGGGAAAGGGAATTTACTATATGTTTGTAAATCTTCAACTTCACAATGAGAAATTTATTTGACACATTCTGTAATCTTATAGCTTACAATGGGGTATGAGACAGAGTAAGTACGGATACCACCAGATGAAAACTAGAAAGGGCTATCTCTTAGACCTAGGCCTGAGTTCACTTTGAACATTGAGAGACTATGCTTTGATAATCTCTGTAGGTGTTATAAACTCTTTACATGATTAGATCATGTACAAAATTTGGATCAAAGATGACTATAACCATATTAAAATACAAGATTGAGAAATATAAACCCATTCACTGGCCCCTGAAAATGAGCAAATTTTAAAAATAATTAAATAAAATAAAAAATAGTCATCTCAGATTTCAATACAGCTACACAGAGGTTTATGTATAATTTCTGAACAACTTGTTTGTTGTATTTATTGTTGCCTTATGACTTGAGTAAACCTTATAGTTTTGTGGGACAAAAAGTAACATCAAGAAATAACCATGTTCTCTTGTTTTCAGAAATAATAAGTACCTGAGTTTAAAGTTACAATAATAAGCAAAATTATATACATTACTGAAAGGAGGTGAATAAAGAAGTAATATGAGATTGAAGAACTATTTCTATCCAATATTTTATATAATCTTCAAAATATTATTATAATTCTCTTACATATAAGATTAATTTTATTTCAGAGTACATACTACAAATAGCATGTGCCAACACCATATGAGTAATTGAAAAGTATATGCCATCTTTTCCATAAGTTAATAAATTATCAGGGAAAAAATAATCTTTCCGATCTTTAATGACCTGAAATCATTTGCATGCTGTCAGAAATAATTGAAAGCTTAAACATTGTTTTATATTGCATAGAAGCAAATTAAAATCTAATCATATTACCCAGCTTAATTTTTTAATGTTAATTTGTGAAGTTTTGCTTATGTTAATTTTATAAACAGATTTTTTTTCAAATCATTGATAGGAGGACACAAGGGGAATCAATCTTACATTCTCCCTTTACTTGCTCATTCTTTTACTTGTTTCATCTGTTCCTTTTCCCCTATCCTATCTTCACTAGTTTCTCTTTAATTCCTAACAGTTGGGGGGTGGGGAGATAAATATAGTTTCATCATTTGGGCAAATACAGAGTTTGGAAATTAAGACAAAACATCTGATAATGGTATTAATCTTCTAATCCTAAAAAATAAAATTTATGACATATGTACACAGAGTTGTAAATATGAAAATACAAAGTAAATTGAATGTGACACGGTAGACATAGTGTATTTTTCTTAGGCAAATCCTTTTCACATATGAACTTGGCTGAAAGTAAATTAACATTGAAGATTGTTATTTCTTACATTTGCTAGTTATAAATGATGCTGACTAGCACAGCAGCATCCGAGATCTGACATATACATACATGAATTATTTGATAAACAACAATTTGATTAATGTATATTTATTTCCATGATATAAATAGAAAATTATTATTACAGATAGAATAATGACTATATATTTCCAAAATTTTAGTATGTACCAAAAATTACTCTAATGTTATGATTGAGGAAACTAAGTACATATGAATATGTATGAATATTAACTTTTTTCAACACAAAAAAATCAATACTATTGATTTAATTAACTTACTTTATGGCTTTCTGTCTTAGAAAATACATGAGATTAAAAAAGGTTTATTTGGAATATTTAAAATATCCTTCAGAAGATGAAGCCGTTTTTTAAAAATTAAATGTAATTATTAGGAATTATATACAAATTTAGAATAAATAGGAATATTTTAAAATAACAAGGGTAACCTAAAACACTTTGTTCTCTCTGTATTTGCCAATTGAGATTATAGATTTATTAAAAATTAATGTTTTTATATATACAATTGTTTTAGACAACAATCTGAATTTATTAACTAGTTATCTGGAAGAGCTGAATAATGTAACCATTAGAGTATTGTATTAGTCTTTTTTCACACTGCTATAAAGATACTACCTGAGACTGGGTAATTTATAAAGGAAAGTAGTTTAATTGACTCACAGTTCCAAGTGGCTGGGGAGGCCTCAACAAACTTATAATCATAATGGAAGGTGATGAGGAATCAAGGCACCTCTTCACAAAGTGGCAGGAGGAGTGAGAGAGCGAGGAAGTACCACAATTTAAAACCATCAATCCTTGTGAGAACTCACTCACTGTCAAGAGAAAAGCACAGGGGAAACTGCCCCATAATCCAATCGTTTTTCACCAAGTTCCTCCCTTGACAAGTGGGGATTACAGTTCGAGATGAGATTTGGCTGAGGACACAGAGCCAAACCATATCAAGTATTTAATACATTTTTCAGGTACTCCACCTTCAAGGATTGCCTTCTTGGCTTCTGTTGTTTGAGTGGGGAGTTGTGACTAGTTATAAACCAAGAGTTGGGAATAAGAGTTCTCTATGTTACTTGTAGGCATATACAAATCACAAATAGAATGTAATTCCAATGCTTACTCCAGAGGCCTTCTATTCTTCTGGCATAAGTATGGATGACAGTTGAAATGTAAGCTACTCCATCAGTTTGGTTTCTGGAGCAAATATAATCATCAGGGACTTCAACAATGACTCATAATAGACATATAAGATGAGTTAGAATTAAGCCTTGTCCTTTGAAGTAAATGAAATTTGGAGCTTGGTTATTGCTGCAGCATAATCTAACCTATCCTCTCTGAAACATTTCATAAATCACTACTCAACTACAGATTTGTAAGCCATTAAAAATGGACATAATGGGGCATGGATAGCACTATATGTATTGAAGGAATGGTTAAATTTAAGAAAGCTGATTAGACGTATAACTAGAACAAAACATTTCTACCCTTTTCTCTTGCATTATTGCACTTACTGAGGCCACCAGATCATTGGTTGAATAAAAGTGACAAGATAAAATATATTTATCTTGCTTCCAATTTCAGTGGGGAAACAGGCACCCTTTCACATTCAAGTAGATTGTCCCACTCTAAATTTTTCATATATCCCTTTATAAGGATAAGTTAGTATCCATGCTTAAGTATCCGAGAATTTTTATCATGAAGGAATGCTGAATTTTATCGCATTAGTTTTTTGCATCTGATCATAATGTCATGTGATTTTTTTTTTTTTCGTTTGTCATCTAAAATGGCGTGTATTTATTTTTCAAATGTTTAAGCAACTTTTCATTCTGGGATGAAAGAAACCTAGCCATGAAGTCTTACTAGTTTTACATATTAGTGCATTTGATTTGGTAAAACTTTGTTAAACATAATTACAATTCTGATTATGAGGGAAAATTGTCTGTTGCATTTTATTTTGTTTTCCTGTTAACGTCTTTGTGGGGTTTCAGTTTTGGTGTTGGCCTCATAATATGAGTAGGAAAGTCTTTTGATTTCTTACACTTTCCAGAAGAGTTTCTGTAGAAATCGTATTATTATTATTATGTGTTTAAAATTAGATTAATTCACTAGTGAAACCATCTAGGCCTGAAAGTTTTTTATTGTGAGATGGCATTACTTAAAAATTCAGTTTCTTCAGTGGATATAAGATTATTTAATATATCTAGTTTTATTTGAATAAGTTTTGTAGTCTCTGTCTTTCAATAAATTGTTCTATTTTATGTGAATTGTTGAGCCTGTTGCCCAAATTTTTTAACAATACCCTTTTGTAATACTTTGATGTCTATACAATCTGTAGTGATACTATGCTTTTATTCTTGTTTGTTTTTGTTTTGTTTGTTTGTTCATTTTGAGATGGAGTCTTGCTGTGTTGCTGTGGCTGGACTGCAGTGGTACCATCTTGGCTCACTACAACATCCATCTCCTGGGTTCAAGCGATTCTTGTGCCTCAGCCTCTGGAGTAGCTGGGATCACAGGTGTGCACCACCACAGCTGGCTAATTTTTGTATTTTTAGTAAAGATGGGGTTTCACGATGTTGGCCAGGCTGGTAAACTCCTGGCCTCAAGTGATCGGCCCACCTCAGCCTACCAATGTGCTGGATTACAGGCATGAACCACCACTCCTGGCCTATTCTTTTATTCTTAACACCAGGAAGCCTGCCACAGTTTCATAAATACTGGCATAAGAATAGGAATTCCTACATCAGAGACGGAGTTCTTTATTCCTCATGGGACCTGAGGTAGAATTAGGTTCATGAGTCCATCAGTTTTTCTTGTTGCTGTGAAAGTAGTCAGAATAACAAGAGTAATTTTGTAAAACACCCTGACATGTAAAGTCCAAAAAGGCCATGAAGCAGGTTCTCATGCATAAATGCCTGGAAAAAAAAAAAAAAACAACTAACTCTGCAAAACCACAACCTTGCACAAAGGCCATTATGAGCTTACACAGGAAATACTTCTATAAGGACATCTGCCCAGCAACTACCTGTCCAAACTCAGACTGGTGTCACCCTTGTTATTGATGCTTGTAGCCAAGGATAATTATCACAAAATAAGTATGTAATTGTTCTCATTTTTTCCTTAGAAATCTTTGTCTTCCTTTACTTCTGCACACAGTTTACTACGGTATGTGTATTCCCATTGCAATGGCCTATTATTTTCTGTTAGACAGCCTCTCTCTGTGTTTGTTATTTATTGATATAAATGGTGTCAGAAGTCAGATCTGGAGCAAGATCACTTTCAGAAGGAACTCATGATTCTTGGAACCAGTGTGCTATACTCACTTGAGACTTTTGAGCTCTCTATTTCCACACCTTCTCTTTTTTTGCCATCGTGAGTCTTCTTTCAGAATGAGCCTCCCTCTTTTTGGTAGAAGATCTTTATTCAGCATCTGATTTAGATAAGGCTGCCTTAATAAGGGACCTTATATCACTCCTGGGATAATAAAGATTTTTTGTCTTTTCTGGCAAGTCCTTTCTTGTGTAAGTACAAGTATCTTTCTGGTTTGAGTATCCTGATTTCCACAGAATTTATATTCTGTCTATGAGGCATTTCTTTTTATTTATTTATTTATTTTTATTTTTATTATTATTATACTTTAAGTTTTAGGGTACATGTGCACAATGTGCAGGTTAGTTACATATGTATACATGTGCCATGCTGGTGTGCTGCACCCATTAACTCGTCATTTAGCATTAGATATATCTCCTAATGCTCTCCCTCCCCCCTCCCCCCAAGGCATTTCTTTTCTTTTGTTCGGTTCTTTCTGCACACCTAATTTAATGTTTTGTTTGACGTGTACACCAGGGTTAAAATTTTTGCAAAATCTGGGCTTTTTTAATAAACCAAATGTATTGGTATTTTTTGTATCTTTTGTATCTCACTTTTTATGATTTATGTTTTATTCTACATTTTTAATTATATGAAGCATTTTATAATGGCTATTTAAACTCCTTGTGATTATTCCATTTTCTCTGTCTTTTCTAGGTATTTTTCTATTGATTAATTTTTCTTGGACTTATGTGTTATATTTTCTGTTTTATAAAATGCCTGGATATTTTCTTAAATGCTGAGCATTATAAAGTTTCCATGTTGCATGCTGGATTTTATTGTCTTTTTTTGAAAAATGTTTACTTTTATCCTGCTGCACAGTGAAGTCACACTATCAACTTGATTATTTTGAGTATCATTTTTGAATGTATTAAACTACAACAAGAGGAGCCTTTAGTTTGAATGCAGCCACTACTCAGGCTAGAACTCCTTGAGGACTCTTTCTGCTCTTCCATATATTCGGAGATCTTTCATTTCTAGGAATGAGAATGTAAATTCTTTTTAGGGCTTGTGATTTCTGGGAATCCTTTGGTCTGCTGCTTTCTTGTGGCCCTTTAACAGCTTTTTGGAGTTTTACTCCACACATGCATAGATCAATCTTCAGCCAAAGATTTGAAGAGAATCATCTTCAGATTTTCAGAGATGTCTCTAGGAGACACCATGCCTCATAGATTCTAAGTTTCTTAGCCATTCTGCATTGCAATATCTGTCTCTTCAACTTAAGACCACCAGGCAATGCTTATGTTACCCTTGCTACGTTAAAACCTAGAAACAGTCTCCAGACAATAAACTGGAGTTATTATAGGATTCATATCAATTGTTTTCCTTCTTTCAGGGTTCAGTCATGAGCTACTTTTTTTCCAATGAAAGAAAATAGTTGTTTCACATATTTCTTCTGGTGTTCTGGTTGTTATACTGAGAGGGTAATTATAGTCCCCATTACACCATCATGAAGAAATTCTAAAAGCAGAATTTTACTTATCTTGAATTTAAGACCATGGGTATACATGTATACATACTTTTCTTGATATGGCCAAGAAAGTCAATGCAACAAAGCATGGCTTGGATTAGATTTGAGGGTTAGGTAGAGAGGGAGAGAGGCATGATAGCCAAGAGCTGAGACACTGATGGTAAATGATTTTTAACACTTTCTGCCACCTCGAAAGTTATCCTGTACATGTCAAACTTCTACCAGCTATCCTTATTACTAAGTTTGCTGGGAAGTTGTGTTAAGTTAGGAGGTAGAGAAAATGGCAGGAACTTTTTTTCAGTGTACTTATTAAGGAGGTTGGATAGTTCACAGCACTTCCTAAGAGTCTGAGATAATCAGTGTAAAAATTTTTTTTCATTACTTGAGTCAGAAATATAACTAGAGGAAGATAAAGAGTAGAAATGTTAAATTCAGGAATTGTTGCTCTTTTGCTGTTAATTATTATTAAAAGTATAAATTTACTTCAATATATCCATGAAGATATTGAAATAAGCCTTTAAAAAAAACCTACCTGGAGCAAAATTTAAAAATCCATATGATTTCTCATAGCGAGAAATGTGTTTTGAAGAATACAATATTTAATTCAGTGTCAAACTCAAGGACACTTTATTCCACAACTGTTAGTGTGGTGTTAAGATGACCTTCAGATGCAACAGAGAGTTCATCAATAACATCTACCAATATAGTATCTATAGAAAAATGTAAAAACTGAGCTTCAAAATTAGAATCATTGTGGATGTAAATGCCACATTCTAATAAATGTGATTACCTGTTTTTTATTCTGGTTCTGTAAATCAAATTTAACTCAAATAAATGAAAAAGCAAGAAACCTCATATTTGAGCACCCTTGCCTTATAAGTTGAGTCTTTTTTGAGTGAAACAAGCAGGTTTTGAAAATGTTAGTGTGTTTATGCCTTAACTCCTGCCTTAGTCTTGCTTGACAGAGCAGGTAACTCTCTATAGCTAGAGAAAGCTTCTAATACAGCCTGGTTTACTGAGATCCACACATATGGAATTAAATTTAGATTGTTGATACTGTTTTTGCTGCTGCAAAACTTCGTTTCAGTCAAACTTACCATGACACAGATGCTCCACTGCCCCAGATGTTGCCCCAGATGCTGTACTATTAAATATATCATCATGTTTGTGTGAGGTCATGATTTCAATAGCGATTACTGAGAAATTATTGTGGATGGCATGAATATTTAGGCAGGTATTTTCTTGAGAGATGTGTGACCCTTTTGATGTCTCACTTTGGTTTGAGGACTCCGCTTGAACCTTGACAAAACTATCTTAGAACTGTACTGCTTTTCCAGTGTCTTCTTTCTGTGTTTTCTTCTCTCCTTCACAAAGGTAAGTTCTGCATGATGAAAAGTCTGGAACCCTAAAGCATGACATGAAGAAATTTGGATTAATGAGGATGTTGGCTCTGCTATTCTCATTAAAACTTCTAGGATGACAGAAGTGGCCTATCATTCCCCAGTAAGAATTAGCACATTTTCCAAGATAGTAGATGCTGCAGAACTATTATTTATGTAACTCAATAGGTCTCTTCCCCCTCAGGAACGATCCTCACCACTGTTCCTGGATATTCAGGCTAGGTAAATATCTCAACATAACCTACTTGAGAAGTCCAGACCTAGCAAGAAAACAGAGAGTCTATAGATTGAAAGAGTTACAATAATTATCTGGCATTTACTAGCGGGGAATAGAGAAGTACTGTGGGAATGTGTTGTGAGAATTCTTCATTCAGAAAACTAAATATAAGATAGGCTAAGCAAGAAATTATTGACTTAGGGGGTACTTTCTCAGGACAGGCAATTATTTCTTAGTGAGTGGGGCAAAGTCATTGTTGGTATGACTGTTAGATACCAGAAATATGATATGGCCTTTAATTAACAATATGGAAATGTCTGAGTTGCTTTGACCGATGGTAAAGGTAGGAATAGAAAGCTGCAGAAAGTGAGAATGAATAAATTTATGTATTATGTGAGGTTCATGGTCCCACCCAAAGGTTATTCCTATCAGAGGGGCCAGAACACACATTTTTAACTGACACCTCTAAGAATACACAGGTGAGATGATCACCAGGTTTACTAAGAAATTCACTGATGGATCTCCTTTGCAGGCCAGTGTTGATGGCAGGGGAAGTGGTCATTTAGATGGCTCATTAATATACAGATGAATAACCTGATCCTGGAGTAACAGAACCTCAACAGTCAGAAGTCAGTAGTCTTCAATTCAATTAACATGTTGACCTGCAAAATTGGAGTGGCAGCCAGTGGAACTTGTGAAGATGGTTAATAAACTATGGTATGCCTAGAGGCAGCCAACAAGGGTATCTATTAACATTGACAGCAATAACATGATAATATTGGGAGAGAAAACAGGAGGTTTATGGGAGTTACTACAATAAAAAGTCACATTTTTTTTTTGCTCAATCCACAGGCCCAAAGATACTGTCATGTCCTAAGTGAGAAGGACTCTGCAACACTGTGGCAAGAATCTGCCATCATGATTTGCCTAATTCTTTTTAAAATGAGCATATACCCACTTACTCAAGTGCTTGTACACTGGAGAAAGAGGAGAACAGACTCAGACATTATAAGGACCATTGAGCTCAGGGCCTGAGTTCACATTAATACCTGAAGACCCAAAGCATCATCATAGTCTTTGTTAGAGTAGCTTGCAAAGACCACATGTCCAGTCAAGGCATTGCATTCCACTTAAATTAACTATACTTAGAACAGATAAGAAACAGTCAAAATAGGCCAGGCACAGTGGCTCACACCTCTAATCCCAGCACTTTGGGAGGCT
This sequence comes from Homo sapiens, assembly GCF_000001405.40. Taxonomy (NCBI): domain Eukaryota; kingdom Metazoa; phylum Chordata; class Mammalia; order Primates; family Hominidae; genus Homo; species Homo sapiens. The sequence continues at coordinate 105,021,118 of NC_000005.10, read as the reverse complement.
GAGGCGGGCGGATCACGAGGTCAGGAATTCAAGACCAGCCTGGCCAATATGGTGAAACCCCGTCTCTACTAAAAATACAAAAATTAGCCTGGCATGGTGGTGCACGTCTGTAGTCCCAGCTACTCGGGAGGCTGAGGCAGAAGAATCACTTGAACCTGGGAGATGGAGGTTGCAGTGAGCCGAGATCTTGCCACTGAACTCCAGCCTGGGTGATAGAGCAAGACTCTGTCTCAAAAAAAAAAAAGAGAGTCAAAATAACAAATATACAGCTTTCAAAAGCCTTCCGCCAAATGCACTGCTCCTCATGCATGCATTACACATTTGGTTACTGGTACCCCTGTCAGTTGTCCAAACCATCAACCCAAGTACGATCCTTGGCTCCACATCCTTTACCCTCTACCTTCAATTGGTCACTGAGTTATATTGATTCTACTGTTTTGTGGGGTTTTGGGTTGTTTATTTTTGTTTTGTTGGTTGGTTTGGTTGGTTTTGGGGATTTTTATTTTTGTATCTTGATATGCCAAAGCTGCATAATTCCATGATTGACCACCTTCCAATCTCAGGTCTTCAAAATATAGTCTAAAGAACTGATGTATAAATCTATCTAAAATTCAAATTTTGACAGTACTTTTCCCTGCCAAAAATCTTTCAGTGGCTCCAATGGTATTCAGGAAGAATTCCAAACTCCTTACTGTTACAAACAAACCATTCCTAGACCAGCCCCACCTAACTTTCAAACTTGATACCTCAACACCTTGATCCCCACCTGAAAACCCCAACTCCCAACTGAAAACCCATGCTCCAGCCTTGTTAGAGTGCTTTCAGTTCTTCAGATTTCTCCCGGAAGCTTTCCATAATCCTGACAGCTAGATTAAGTGTACTCATATGTGTCCTCATAACATCCAGGGCTTATCCTATCTCAGGAATCATTATGCTTAAATATTAGAATATTTATTTTTCTCTCCCATTAAACTATTTTATCTAGTGTCTAGTATTTTCCTTGGTATACCTATGTTAGACATTTAGCAAATGGTTTTTCAAGTGAAGCAGCATTTTAAAACACTCTCAAAAAACTTGAAAGTAAGATGAAGCTAACCTTGGAAGATTTATTACCTCCTATCACCTCAAGTAAAGGATGTATCACATACAAATAAATCAAGAATCACAATTTAAATTTATTTTAAATGTAAATATGGAATCAATGGAAGTAATGATCCCATGTAAACCAGTAAGAAATTTTTTCTTTCATCTTTTCTCCAGACTATGGAAATGGATGTTTAAGACGTAACAATATCTATGTGAAGTCACGAATGGTACAGTTCTTTATCAAAAGTATTTGCAATTGTTTGTTTTGTGTCAGATTGTCAGACATACACATAATCTCCATATTAAAGATCAGCACTATATTTTAGTTTGAGTTATCTTTGCCAGCTCATATAAAATCCATGAGGTTTGAGAATGGGAAGAGCAACTCTATCCCATAAAAATGTTCAGTTACTTAATTAACGTAAGAGTCATTATCCTATACTCAGAACTATGAACCCAATGACTACTCCAATTTTGGACATTTAATAAACTTCTTTTTTTAGGATAATATTTGTAATCTGGTCATATTTGTATTCATGCAGTTCCATCCAGTTTTACAGCTGGATGGGCTTCTTGGTAATGGTCATGACATTTTAATTCATGGGCATGGAGGAGGCAGAAGAGAAAAGAGATCATTAGCTTGGCCAGTTTTTGAAGAGGAAAGTCATTTTAAAAAGTCGTATCTTTCACTATAACCTTCCTATTAGAATATCTCTTAAGCATTACTATGCTGTCTTTTCCACTTCCCCTTCTCTCCCTTTTCTTCTTCTCCTTTCCCATCCCCTCCTCTTTTCTTTCTTTTTGTTTCTCCTCTCCTTTCCCCTATGCGTTGTATAATCAATGTTCTACATCTGTATTGCTAACTTCCTGCAAGAGCCTATGGAGAAAGCAAAAGAATAAATCATTTTCTGGTTGTAAGTTATACAAATTCCCATAAATAGAATATTGAAAGTATAGCTTAAATGATGAAAAGACTTAAGTAGGAATTAAGAAACATTTTAACATTTATAATTACATTCTATGCTCCATTTCTGTCTAGTGAAAAAAATCAATAAAACTAGGAGATTTTTTCATATTTATTATCAAATTATTGATATTGAAGAAAATGTCAAGGGGTTTTTAAAAAAACAAATAATCCACCTTAGACAAATTAAACTGTCGAATGAATTATTTTGTCTTATTTTTCTTCTAGTTTTATTTAAGATAGTATTAATTAGGAAGTATACCAATATATGTTCCTTTTATCTGTGTAATACTTGTGTTCTCTTATTCTTAATACATTTCAGAAATGAAATGATATGGAAGTTTTGGTAGTTAATTTGATACCTGCAAGTTTTCTTGGATACTAAAATAAGATTTTAAAATTTAGTGAGAAATTTTTTATGATATGTTGTAAAAGTTACTTTAGATTAATTCTGAGAAGTTTAAATATTAAAACTATAGTATCTGTTGTCTCTAGTTATCAAAATTAAAATTATTTTTAAGATTTCTTTCTTAATTCTTGGTAAAATGTAGCATGTAAAAAAATTAACAGTACAGATTCTTAGAGATTCTCATGAATGATAAAACTATGGTTAAGAAGTATTGAAAATTCAGCGAGGACTATGTGGGAGGGAGATTTTAAAGACATGATAGAAATCTGCTACTTCTAATTTTTATAGGTTTTTGATGATATAACTCACATCATTACCTCAATTTTTGCAAAAAAATCTGCAACTTCTAATTTTCCTAGGTTTTTGATGATACAACTCACATCATTACCTGAGTTTTTGCAAAAGTACTCTAGTCTTTCCAAAACACAATTCTGGCAAAATCCCAGCTCCGGATCAAGGCAAAGACATCTTTCCTGATCCTTTAGCAGAATAGCTGTGCTATTCCATGAAGATAACTCCCATTGCCTAACTGATAAGACTCAGAATTCATGATAAAACACCTCAAATGCACACTCAATAATGCTGAGCAATACTATCACTTTTCTCAACTAAACTCACTCTCCAATATTTGCAGTGGTTATTTCATACCTTTGCAATTTTACTCAACTCTAATCCTTCATTCTCATAAACACACTTACTCTCTCTCAGAATATGGTCTTGTATACCTTCATCCTCCTCATTTTCCCTTAGCTTGTCCGCACTTCCTTGGCTTTCTCTTTCCTATCACTGAAACTAATGTTTTTGAAAATATTCTCAGCATTCATTTTTCTATAAACAATGGATAATCTTTTTGTTTTTTAAATTCCTAATACATATGAGCAAGTGTCAGTGCTCCAAAGCTAGATCTTCTGGATTTAAATTCCAGCTCTGTCATTCATGCTTCATGATCTTTGGCAAGTTACTCAATCTGCTCATGTTTCAGTTTAACCAACTATTTTTTAAAATGGAGATAAAAATACCTGCTTAAAAGGTTACTCAAGCATTATATAAGTTAATGTAAGTAAAATACATATAATAAAGCACATATTAAATGTGTTTTAGGTCTTAATAGTACTATTATTATTATTGCCCTCCTTCCTTCTTGAGGCGTTTTATTCTTTTTATAACTTAAAACAAAGTCTTAATTTTCTTTCATCCTCTTTTGCTACATTTTCGTATCTCCTTTAATTCGTCAACAGTATCTATCTGATCTTTAAATATTGGAATTCTCCAAAGTTTCTTCTTAGGCTTTTGCTGTTTTCATTCTAAATCAGTGGTTCTAAGTTGGTTGCACATTAGAATTATCTATGAAGCTTTATTTTTTTAATTATGAAATTTTTTTTTTATTTTCAGGGGCACATGTGCAGGTTTGTTATATAGGTAAAGTGCATGTTGCAGGGTGTCGTAGGGTGTCATTGGCGTAAAGATTATTTTATTACCGAGGTAATAAGTATGGCTGGTACATGATAGGTAGTTTTTTGATACTTACCCTCCTCACACCCTCCACCTTCATGTAGGCCCTGGTGTCTATTGTTCCCTTCTTTGTGTCCCTATGTACTCAAAGTTTAGTTCCCACTTATACATGAGAACGTGCAGTAATTTTTTTTTTTTTAAATCAGTTCCTGTGTTGTTAGTTTGCTTAGGATAATGGCCTCCAGCTCCATCAGTTTTCCTGCAAGGGACATAATCTTGTTCTTTATGGCTAAGTATTCTATAGTGTATATGTATTTCTTGAGTCTACCATTGATGGGTATCTAGGTTTTTTCCATGTTTTTGCTATTGTCAATAGTGCTACAATGAACATATGCATGCATGTGTCTTTGTAATAGAATGATTTATATTCCTTATATTTAATAATGGGGTTGCTGGGTCAAATGTTAATTCTGCTTTGAGTTATTTGAGAAACTGCCAAACTGCTTTCCAGAGTGGTTGAACTAGTTTACATTCCCACCAGCAATGTGTAAGTGTCCTCTTTTCCCCGCAACCTCTCCAGCATGTTATTTTTTGACTTTTTAATAATAGCTATTCTGACTCAGAGGGTATCTCATTGTGGCTTACATTTTCATTTCTCTGATAATTAGCAATGTTGAGCATTTTTTCATATGCTTGTTAGCCATGTGTATTTCTTTTGAGAAGTCTATTTGTGTCTTTTGCCCATTTTTAGTGGGTTTCTTTATTTTTAGTTGTTAAATTATTTAAATTCCTATAGATTCTGAATATTAGACCTTTGTCAGATGCATGATTTGCAAATATTTTCTCCCATTATGTAGGCTGTTTACTCTATTGATAGTTTATTTTGCTGTGCAGAAGTTCTTTAGTTTAATTACGTTCCATTGTTGATTTTTATTTTTGTTGCAATTGCTATTGGAGTCTTCATCATGAAATCTTTGCCAGGGCCTATGTCCAGAATGGTATTTCCTTGGTTATCTTCCAAAGCTTTTATAATTTTAGGTTTTTCATGTAAGTCTTTAATCCATCTTGAGTTGATTTTTATAGAGGGTATAAGAAAGGCATCCAGTTTCAATCTTCTGCATATGGCTAGCCAATTATCACAGCACCATTTATTGAATAGGGAATCCTTTCCCCATTGATTGTTATCATCAATTTTATCAAAGACCAGATAGTTGTAGGTGTACAGCATTGTTTCTGGACTCTCTATTCTGTTCCATCGGTCTATGTATCTGTTTTTGTACCAGTATCATGATAGTTTGGTTACTGTAGCTTTTTAGTATACTTTGAAGTTGGGTAATGTGATGCCTCTGGCTTTGTTCTTTTTGCTTAGGAATTCCTTGGCTATTCAGGCTCTTCTTTTTTTTTTTTTTTTTTTTTTTGGTTCTATATGAATTTTAGAATAGTGTTTTCTAACTCTACGAAGAATGTCACTGACAGTTTGAGAAATTGCGGCCTTCAGTTGGTATTCCAGACCAATGTCCGCTTGATAACTCAGACAAAATAACTAACATTCTATGGACATGGGTCCCAGGCATTGGTATTTCTTTTTTTCCTTTTTCTCTCTCTCTAACAATTTCTGTCGTTATTCCAATGTTTTAAAACAAAAGTCAGAAAACTATAGCCCACAGGCCAAAACAGGCCTGTGGCCTGTTTTTGTAAATAAAGTTTTGAGGGAACATAGCTACCCACATTTTCTTAGTATTGTGTCTGGCCACTTTCACGCTAGAGAGACAGCATTTGGTTGTTGCAATAGACAATGTATGCCCCCACATAATTTAAAATATTTACAGTATATACATTTATAGAAAAAAAAATGTTTGCTGACCTCTGCTTTAAGTTCTTGTTTGGGTAGCCACACCCACTTGAGTGACTAAATGTTATTCATGTACTAAAATTGTACCTTGATCACAGACCTTTCTTCTAAGCCCTAGTTCATATAAACAAGTAGCTATTTAATATTGATACTTAGGAGTCTCACCGATCTTGTATTTTTATACGGCAAACTGGTTTTTTACTGTGTTTCACTCCCCAAAGCAGTCTTCTTTTGTATGCCATAGCCCACTAAACTAAACTTTCAACCACTCAGCTAATCAAATCAAAGCCTTGCTCTTGAAATTCCTCCAAAATGCTTCCTGATTCTTTCCATCCTCTTCATCTCCATTACCACAAAATTCAAGCTTCATCCACCATCATCTTTTCTCTATAGAGCTTCTAAATTGACCTTCTGCCCTTCGTTTTTCCCCATCTAATATATTCTTCATAACACAACCAAAAATGGTAACCTTTACATAATGCAAATTTAGTTTCTATTTAAATTTTAGCGTATGTGCTGCTGAGGCAAGCACAATATCTTCTTAAATTAAAAATAATTTTATATTACATATATAAGAAATTCCATAATTCTGAAGTTGAACTTCAATGTCCTGTATGAACTATTTATTGCCTACTTCTACAACCTCAATTTGAGTCACACTGCTCTCATCAAATAACCATTGCCATACCAGATTTCTTTTGAACCTTTCTTATATTTAATTATTTTTGTCCCCTAGACATAGTATAGTCTTGTCATAATTATTTGTCTGGTTAAATCACGCTGATCATTCCATTTTCAGCTTATATGACCCATTATCAAAAAATGTTTCTCTAATCTTCCTTGAGCTAAATGATATCATCCTGTTATACTCTCATAACTTCCTTTAATTTAGATTTATGTAACTTACTACGGATTGTGATTTTATGTTTATTAATATAATTAATTGCTTCATGTGTGTCTTTTTCCCTGGATGGTATGATTATGAGGACAAGAACCTTGTCTACTTTGTTCATCACTGTGTTCCTAGATCCTTGCATAGGTTCAAGCTTAGAACATGGTAGTGCTTAATGAGGGTTTGATCAAAAAATAATTATCTACTTGAGGATATTCTGCAAGTATATTTTGAGTGTGAACCTTATTGCCTATAATCTTAAGGTAGCAATGCATATCGTATTATTCTACATTTAAATTCAAGCAAGACTAGAAATGTGTCCTTTAATGGGGTGTTTTCAAAAAGACACATATATACAAGCTATAAATAAAACAAAAATAAACAACATTGTTTTCCTCCAGAGATTTTTGACAAAAGAAAAGAGAAAATCTCTAGTAAATGAGAGGAGTTAAAATTTACAGTTTCTAACCACTCTAAGTAGAGTTTGTACATGCTTACAATGGAGATGGGAGGCTATTGTTGTTTTTATATTCAATGTATCTTGAAGGAAATCCCTGTTTTCTCCTTTGAGGATAGGGTGGAATAGCTACCTGTACCCCAATAGGATTAATCATAGTGGTATGATTTGACATGGATTCTGTTGCCTGATCGTATCACACCCTTGCATTTCAAATGTAGTATTGGTTTTTAGATTTAGATTGTTTAATTATAATGCAGTTTAATCAGTCTGCTTTTTATGTAAAGGCCATACATTTCATATACTTTTCAGGATTGTCTGGTAATTGCCAAAAAAGTGGCTTGTTACAAAGGACATTCACTGGAGTTGTCTCAGTTCCAATAAAGTTTCTTTCCCCAGGAACCCCAATGAAGTTATCTATGTAGATATTTTCGTTTAATAAAATAAACTTTACATGATCTGTCCCTTGCATAAACCATTCGTATTTTTTTAAAAAAATACAATTTTTGTTTCCCTGAATTAGGTTATATATTGTACAAAAAGTTTTCTCAAATGCTTTTAATTTGGGAGTTTAATATTTTTAAATCATTGTATAAATTATTGTGTCTTATTATGGCTATTGCTTCAGGCCATAGGAAGCTTCACTTTAAATGACTTCAAAAATAAAGAAATGTATGAATTCCTGCAACTGACAAGTTCAGATGTAAACCTATATTTAGTAAAAGATTGACACCAAAGACCTGTTTGCTTTCCAGGCCTTTTCTCTACCTTCCATGTTGTTATTTTTATCCTAAGATGGCTCTTCTCAAGATAACAGGGTGATTACTGGACAATACTAGAGCTACATTCTATCTTATGTATAACTAGCAAGAGAAAACTTTTTTGCGAAATTATCAAATATTTGGGGAATTTGCTCCTCTTTAGGCAACTAAAGCTTCATGTCTTCCCTCAACCAATTACTATAGTCAAGAGATGGCTGGTGAGACAGCTAGTCTTGAATGATGACCCCAAGTCACCTTTGAGCCATACTTCACAAGGCTTTTTTCCTCTTTTGACTGTTTGCAGTCTGCAAACTACCACATTAGAAGTCTATTGATCCTGCTGGAGAGGCTACAAGAAGTGATCACTTGGAGAGGCAAGGAGTGAAGGCGAGGCTCTGGCGCTACATGGAAAGAGAGAAAGAGGGAGAGAGATACCTAGCCATGCCAGAATCCCACTGAATGCAGTCAACCCACAGAATCATAAGAGAAAACAAACTGGTTATTGTTTTAAGCCACTAAACTTTGGAGAGGTAGGATATACAGGATTAGGAAACAAACATAGATGAGTGTATACTCATCAAATTAGGTAGATCAGTGCCCATCCCTGGAGTTCGATGTGATTTTAATTCCTCCTAAAACACTGAAGGTCATAAGAGTGGTAAAGAGGATGTATTCTGAGAAAGGAAGTGATATTTACCATACTTATTAAGTGTTAGGAGAGACTGAGGAGTCAGAGTTAAAAATTATTTCAATTTTTTACTCAGTAGCTGTAAGATTTAATCTGGGTTAGTTGGTTTTCATAAGCCTCAGTTTCCACGTATATAAAATTGGTATAATAATACCAACCATCAGTTTTTATTTTGATTTTTAGTTAAAAATAAATGTGATGATCTATAGAATGTATTTAGCTTGGTACTTGGCACATAGTAAAAGGCCAATGAATGTAACATCAATCATGATTAATATTCTTGCTTCTCTGCTAGACATCCTGAAATACTGAGTTCTTGCCAGCATTGCTTATACTTCAGGATATTCCCATTATTAAAATATCTGCTAATTGTCATCCATTACAGATAACTTTGTAATTTAAAAAGTCTCAGTATATTCTGGGTTCTGCTTGCTGCTATCTATTCTAATCCAGTATATGTTCTTGGAGTTTGTGTTGCTAGGGCTGCTGCTGCTACTTGAAAGACAGATTTAGATAACTGTATTATTTGATATCACAGATGGAGGATGATTCACTTTCTAAATTGTGTCTGTATTGGTGGGAGGGCAGGGAACTAATTTGAAGGCAGCATTGGACGTAAGGACCAAAAAGAGTTCCAGAAGAGCAAAATACTTGAAAAGCTTGGAGAAGAGACTTGGACTGGATGTCTCTTTATGCATACATATTACTAGCAATATATAGAAGGAATAGATAGTTTCAAAATGGCATGATGTCACTAAAGGCAATATAAACTCAGGCTGTGTCTGCACATACCAAACTTCATGGGAAAATGTTTAGTCAACTTAATCAGTATATACAACAAAAGTAAAATATTAAGAACCCAAAGTAGTTTTCTTTAATTTAGCAATCAAGTCAGGCTATTGGGGAAAATGATAGTAGAATAACTAGGATTGTATTGTTTTTTCTCCAGAATAATACATTGTTTTTATTTTTCAATCCTAGCTGCTTGTCAAAATTTTGTTTATGACTGTCTTATATTGAAGCATACCCTGACTCTAGAGGGGCATGGGGAAGTATCTGGCTAGGTGTCTTTCTTGATAATTTACTAAGTTTCCCTGACACTAAAAGAGATTCAAAGCATTATTGGATGGAGGAAGGAGTGCAGAGTATCCGTTAGGGTTTGCTACTTGGTCACTTATTTGTGCTGCCTTAAGCTTTATTCTGGGACTGTACCAGTTAGAGAGAAAAGGGAAGGGAAGAATACAAAACTGTAACTTGAATGCTGCCCTAAAATCCCCCAAAATTCGGAAAGACGACCTTCCAAAGATTGAGAATATCTCATATTTCTTAGTTGTCAGTTTGGGAAAAAAGGGCCAAGTGGGCTGCTGTATTGTCCAATATAATATAAATTTTTAAATATGCCTATCAGGTCTGGGAAGAGGCACTGAGTACACACCAGCAGCATAATTCCTCTTAGTAGTTGACATCTTCATAGGACACCTAGGGTCCCATATGTAAAGCATTTCTTTACTTTTCCCATCCAGAACATATGGAAATTACCTTGGCTATGCACAGATTAATTTTTCTCTCTCTCTATTCTCTCAAACTGCTGTATTTTTCAGGAAACCCACTTTCTTTTTCTACCCTCACTGTCCTCTCACAGGACTTAGATGAAGGCAACATCATATCTTTAAGTCCCTGTGACCTGCTGGATGACAATTAAAGGACTTCAGAATCTTCAGTGCAAAACACCTCCAAGAAAATATTTGTATTTTTCTAGCCAACATTGTAAATTATTAGAGAATGACTTTGATTAATTAGTTTAACAGAATATGTGTCTCTTTACCTGTCTTATGAAAGACCCTGTCTCCATGTCTAGTAAGCGAACAGAAAGAAAAAAAAAAAAAAAGGATGACAGGGAAATAAAATCTTGTATTGCCTACATACATATTCTCTTTGTGACCCTCAAAGTTAATTATTTCACTCTAAATGCATTTGCAAAACCAATTTATCTGAGAAACCTTGATAAAAGACCTTCCGAATGATATGTTCTGATGACTGACTCTAAACTTTCTACCCCTACTCACAGTATTGATAATTTTGATGGATCAAGATGTGCGAGATAGAGGTCAAATTTAGGTGGCTTCAAACCTATAAAAAGAAGCCTAATTTCATTTTCAAGTAGATGGAATGGCCTGAGTGGCCTTAAAAGTCATTACAGTTTTATATGAGGCTTGGCAAATTCCCAGTCCTCTGATAGGAACTCATACATAGGCATAGAGTACAAAGGCCCTGGGCAGGTTGAGATGATCTCAGTATTTATGTTTTGGCACCAGCAGTCCATGAAAAATAAATGACTTATCTTAGCAGGTCCTTCATATTTTTAGGAAGTCATTTTACTTCAGCTATATTTCAGATTAAGAGCTGTTAAGATCTTTAGTATACTTAAGATGCCTGTATTCAGGATAATTTCTACATCATTAATTCACTGTCTGCCTCTTTTGTTTTAAATTACTGTATTTGTGGGTATTGATGTTTATTTTATTAGGAAATTAAAAACAGTTTTCCTATAAATGATTCTCTGAGCAGGGCTACTCAATATTCTTTCTTGAACAGAATCAATCACATCTGGTAGTTTTTATGAACATTTTCCCCCAGTTTTACAAAGGGTCTAGACATACCTAAACCAATGATTTTGTCATGTTTTTGCTTGTTCATTTCATTTTTATATGGTCACTTCGAATTGTAAAGCTATGCCTCTCCACATCCACTGGCTATTTTGCTTTTCATTGTTTGTCTTCCTCTCTGACACGCTATATTTACCTATTCACATTAAATTGTTTTCATTAACTTTTATTCCCTACAAACATAAATTGCTACTCTTCCCATCACAAAGATCCACATAAAACCTAAAATATGAGATGGTTTATTGCCTGTTTTGAGGCTTCCCCAATTATTCACACCACTGAAATATCCATTCGAGTTGTGAATGATATTTAGTGAGGAACTACTAAAATTAAAATACTTGCTAATAATTTTGTGGACAGAGAGGAAAGCACACACATGTGTGCACAAAAATGAATGCCTGTCTCACTCTCCTCAACAGGCGTGCAATCTAGTGGGATGGATAAAATTAACATACAAAGTATGAGGTGAGAAATTTCTTAAAAATGAATCTGACAGAATCTGCTAGACCCTGCTATTCAAAGTATGGTCTCCCAAGCAATAGTATTGCTATCCTTTGGTGACTTGTTAGAAATGAAGAACCTTGGGACTGATGTGCCAGATGTAGCAATTCAGAAGGTGCATTTCAAACAATATTCATAGTTATGTCCTGTGCACGTTAATGTTTGAGAAGCTTTGTGCTGGCGCTATCAGGTTGCGGGGGGAAATGAAATGTTTATGTGTGGAAATGAAAGTCCTATAGAGTTAGAGATATAGAGATTGCAGGAACATAATATCAGTCATGTCAATTGTACAAAGAAAGGTGCTGTCTTATGGATAGCTTACACCATTTGGGTGGAATATGAGAAGGTTATATGGAATGAAACCATAATAATAAGTTTGTCTTTGATGTTTTGTAGAGTCAGAAAATGACATGTATGGTTGCAGAAGGCTTTGGCTACTGTTGAGTTTTTTATTTATTTTATTTATTTATTTTTTTCAGGTAGTTGGGAGCCAGGGAAGGAGTGACACTATCCCTAGATGTAGTGATATGGTAAGAGCTTAATAACCAATAAATTTGGAAATCTAGAGTTACAAACAGATATATTCAGAAATATTAGTCAGATATATTCTTTACTTGTAGCCTTAATAATTCTATCTCAGACTAATGATCATGGAGATTTATATTTATGTTTGAAAAATGGTCATCTCTGAGTTCCTTTTCATCTGCCAGAATTAAGATGAACAATTTTATTCTTACTCTGCAATATTATACATTAGCAGTCTGGATTTTTTTCAGAAGTGTTCTTTTTGGCTACTTGACCAGAAAAATAAAAAGAAAGAAAGAAAAAATTGAGTACTGTGGGAAATTTAAAAAGTCTTCAATTAATACAAAGAAAGATATCTTACCTGCTGAAACTATGTGACCTGAAGGGAGCTCTGAGAATATGCTTGATATGGTTTGGTTGTGTCCCCCTCCAAATCTCGTCTTAAATTCTCACGTGTTGTAGGAGGGGCCAGGTGGAAGGTAATTGAATCATGGGGGCAAGTCTTTCCCGTGCTGTTCTCATGATAGTGAATAAGTCTCACAAGATCTGATGGTTTTAAAAAGTGGAGCTCCCCTGAACAAGCTCTCTCTCTTTGCCTGCTGCCATCCGGGTAAGACGTGACTTGCTCCTCCTTCCCTTCCACCATGATTGTGAGGCTTCCCCAGCCATGTGGAACTGTAAGTCCAATTAAACCTCTTCCTTTGTAAATTGCCCAGTCTCAGGTATGTCTTTATCAGCACCATGAAAGTGGACTAATACAATGCTTATATCATTTATGTTGTATTAAAATTTAAGTTTGTAATAGGCCACACTTATGTCATGATTTCCATATTTATGTGGCAATATATTCCTTCTTTACATGTGTGTACATATCTATGCATGTGTGTATATGTATTTTAAAGAAACTAAGCAGAGACAAGCTTTTAAACTAAAAAGTTTTTAATACTAAAGTTGAGAAAATCTTTGCCTGTTATCTTTAACAAATAAGTACTGATTCAAACTCTGCTTGAGGATGTGGCCCTGTCAATGACACAGTCACAAAGAGTCATGCTCATTTCCTTTTAAACCATTAGACTAACAATTTGGAGGACTAATAATGAATATGTCACCTTGTCTAACAAGACATCTTCTGCTCATCTGTTTGATCTGGATTTTGATCTAATATATATGTCTAGAAGTAAAGTTAATGAGGATATTTCATATATCTAGATTCTCTGTAGGAAGCTCTACAAAACAACAATGCTACTAGAAAATTTGTCATCTCACCATTCAATTCTAAATTCCATCCAAAACATACGCTAAGCACATAAATGAGCTACATCTTGGTCTAGCAAGTTAAAAAATTCCAAATTCATAACACAGTGGCTCTGTCCTCAGGAAACTCTCTTATCTATTAAAGGAAATATGTACATTCAAATTTATTGTTACATCAATAGGCTGTTACAAATATTTTAAGAGTGAAATGATTATTTTTTGGTGAGAAAACAGAAAAGTCTTTACAGACAAGGTTATGTTTAATGAGTATCTTGACTGTTTGGTGATATTTCAAAAGTCAGAGAAGATGGGAAAATAATATTCAGTTCTACTCATTAACTTGACCATAGCCTGAAAGTGGTGAGTAATCATGGCATATGTAGGAGACAGCAAAATCCTGATATAGCCAGTGGGAATGGTATGTTAAACAGAGTGCAGGGAGACCAGGAGAAGAAGAAATCTCTGTTGAAAATGAATAAATAGGTCTGGGAAAAAAGTCCTATGAATAAGCAACTACATAAAATTCTATTGTGATATTTGAGGCAAGCTATCATGAGGACCTTCTTTACTGAAAGGGGTTCAATGGAGAATGGAGAAGAGAAGTTGGAGACAGTGAGTATAAACATAACTTTTAGAGGAGTTTTGCTATCCAATGAAAGAGAAAAACAATGATAGCTGGAGGGTAAAAGGGTTTAATACATAGTTTGAGTGTAGTGAGAACTAATTACTTGTTTTGGCTGATGGGTCGATGCAATAAAAAGAAAAATACTGATAATGTCTTTGAGTGTATGATAAAGAATAAGGAGCATAGGTAGAAAGTATCTCCTTAGTAACATACACAAATCATAGTATACAGTTCTAAATGGATATTGTTAAGTAGATTATAGGAGGAAGAGCTAGAAGAAGTGAAAATTCTCTTACATACCAATTTTTTTTGGTAAAGTAGAATAAAATAGTATCAGCATATACTGAGGATGAGGAAGGAGATAGCAGCTTTTAGGAATGACAGAAAATATAAAATTATATTTTATATTTCATAGAAAATACAATGAACTAAGTATCAAAATTCTCATTTGGTGCTCAATTATTAATATAAAGTACCATTGCTAACATGATTGTGCATTATTCTGAGGGAAAGTTCAACTGACTAAAACATAAATGGAATGTCATGAGCTATAACTAGATTGAATGGCATAAACAAATACACCAAAGGGATAGAGAAGCAACAGAGCAAAGGCCGTATGCAGTAGAATGTTCAAAATGATTGACAAAGAAAGTTGGTTAACAGGGGAATAAAGTTTATGGGGAGGAGATGTGAGATGTATAAAAAGGTATTTGTTTCAGTGGGTTTAAACTTCCCTTTGAGTTAAGGAGTTGCTGTCAATGGAGTAATAGAGAATGTGATTGAAAAACATTGGTATGCTAATAAAGTGACTGAGGATGTAAAGGGCAAGATCATTGGAGAAAATTAGAACATGTAACAAAGTTTAAGATATCGGAAGGACAATTTGCGTGGATATTAAAATCACCAAGAATGATAACGCAGTACTATTGGAGAGAGGTAGAGTGATCCAGGTACACAAAATAGTCAAGAAAGGAAGAGAAGAGACTGGGTGGGTTACAGAAGACTACAACAAAGGGGGTGGATTATAGAAAGCTTATGAAATGAGAATGATGCTAGAGGAAGAAACTGAAGGAAATATTCACAGAAGAGTTTACAGATTAGGGAGGTTTTTATTATTGACTTTAAGTTTATCATAACACAATGAAACTTAAGAAAATGGAGAGGTGAGACTGATGTAGTATATAGCATCGTATGGGGATTATAGTCAAGGGGATAAAATATGACCTATGATGCTGGGCTTCCTGTTGTCTAAGGGAAAGAAGAATGACTGAGTAAATCCTGAGGTCCCATAGCTGCAGATGCTGAGAGAAGGCAGGGTTTCTGGAGCCCTTACCTAATATTATTGGATTGAGGTTTGTATTTCAATAGAGAGGTATTCCTATAACAAAGAAAACATCAAATTTGAAATTCTCAAAAGTTTAACTCCTCCATAAAAGAATACATATGTTCCGGAGATTCTGGTATGTTGTGTCTTTGTTCTCGTTGGTTTCAAAGAACATCTTTATTTCTGCCTTCTTTTCGTTATGTACCCAGTAGTCATTCTGGAGCAGGTTGTTCCATGTAGTAGAGTGGTTCTGAGTGAGTTTCTTAATCCTGAGTTCTAGTTTCATTGCACTGTGGTCTGAGAGACAGTTTGTTACAATTTCTGTTCTTTTACATTTGCTGAGGAGTGCTTTACTTCCAACTATGTGGTCAATTTTGGAATAAGTGTGATGTGGTGCTGAGAAGAATGTATATTCTGTTGATTTGGGGTGGAGAGTTCTGTAGATGTCTATTAAGTCTGCTTGGTGCAGAGCTGAGTTCAATTCCTGGATATCCTTGTTAACTTTCTGTCTCGTGGATCTGTCTGATGTTACAGTGGGGTGTTAAAGTCTCCCATTATTATTGTGTGGGAGTCTAAGTTTCTTTGTAGGTCTCGAAGGACTTGTTTTATGACTCTGGGTGCTCCTGTATTGGGTGCATATATATTTAGGATAGTTAGCTCTTCTTGTTGAATTGATCCCTTTACC
The DNA here is from genome assembly GCF_000001405.40 of Homo sapiens. NCBI lineage: Eukaryota > Metazoa > Chordata > Mammalia > Primates > Hominidae > Homo > Homo sapiens. The sequence continues at coordinate 105,004,977 of NC_000005.10, read as the reverse complement.
ATTATGTAATGGCCTTCTTTGTCTCTTTTGATCTTTGTTGGTTTAAAGTCTGTTTTATCAGAGACTAGGATTGCAACCCGTACCTTTTTTTGTTTTCCATTTGCTTGGTAGATCTTCCTCCCTCCCTTTATTTTGAGCCTATGTGTTTCTCTGCACGTGAGATAGGTTTCCTGAATACAGCACCCTGATGGGTCTTGACTCTTTATCCAATTTGCCAGTCTGTGTCTTTTAATTGGAGCATTTAGCCCATTTACATTTAAGGTTAATATTGTTATATGTGAATTTCATCCTGTCATTATGACGTTAGCTGGTTATTTTGCTCGTTCGTTGATGCAGTTTCTTCCTAGCATTGATGGTCTTACAATCTGTCATGTTTTTGCAGTGGCTGGTACTGGTTGTTCCTTTCCATGTTTAGTGCTTCCTTCAGGAGCTCTTGTAGGGCAGGCTTGGTAGTGACAAAATCTCTCAGCATTTGCGTCTCTGTAAAGGATTTTGTTTCTCCTTCACTTATGAAACTTACTTTGGCTGGATATGAAATTCTGGGTTGAAAATTATTTTCTTTAACATTGTTGAATATTGGCCCTCACTCTCTTCTGGCTTGTAGAGTTTCTGCCGAGAGATCAGGTGTTAGTCTGATGGGCTACCCTTTGTGGGTAACCCGACCTTTCTCTCTGGCTGCCCTTAACATTTTCTCCTTCATTTCAACTTTGGTGAATCTGACAATTATGTGTCTTGGAGTTGCTCTTCTCGAGGAGTATCTTTATGGCATTCTCTGTATTTCCTGAATTTGAATGTTGGCCCGCCTTGCTAGGTTGGGGAAGTTCTCCTGGATAATATCCTGCAGTGTTTTCCAACATGGTTCCATTCTCCCCGTCACTTTCAGGTACACCAATCAGACATAGATTTGGTCTTTTCACATAGTCCCATATTTCTTGGAGGCTTTGTTTGTTTCTTTTTATTCTTTTTTCTCTAAACTTCTCTTCTTGCGTTATTTCATTCATTTGATATTCAATCACTGATAACCTTTATTCCAGTTGATTGAATCCGTTACTGAAGCTTGTGCATTCGTCACATAGTTCTTGTGCCATGGTTTTCAGCTCCATCAAGTCATTTAAGGACTTCTATACATTGGTTATTCTAGTTAGCCATTCATCTAATCTTTTTTCAAGGTTTTTAACTTTTTTTTGTGATGGGTTCAAACTTCCTCCTTTAGCTTGGAGGAGTTTGATCTCTGGGACACATTTAAAGCATGTGTACAGGGAAATTTATAGCACTAAATGCCCGTAAGAGAAAGCAGGAAAGATCTAAAATTGACACCCTAACATCACAATTAAAGGAACTAGAGAAGCAAGAGCAAACACATTCAAAAGCTAGCAGAATGCAAGAAATAACTAAGATCAGAGCAGAACTGAAGGAGATAGAGACACAAAAAACCCTTCAAAAAATCCATGAATCCAGGAGCTGATTTTTTGAAAAGATCAACAATATTGATAGACTGCTATCAAGACTAATAAAGAAGAAAAGAGAGAAGAATCAAATAGATGCAATAAAAAATGATAAAGGGGATATCACCACTGATCCCACAGAAATAAAAACTACCATCAGAGAATACTATAAACACCTCTATGCAAATAAACTAGAAAATCTAGAAGAAAAGGGTAAATTCCTAGAGACATACACCCTCCCAAGACTAAACCAGGAGGAAGTTGGATCTCTGAATAGATCAATAACAGGCTCTGAAATTGAGGCAATAATTAAAAGCCTACCAACAGCAAAAAGTCCAGGACCAGACAGATTCCAAGCCAAATTCTACCAGAGGTACAAGGAGGAGCTGGTACCATTCCTTCTGAAACTATTCCAATAAATAGAAAAAGAAGGAATCCTCCCTAACTCATTTTATGAGGCCAGCGTTATCCTGATACCAAAGCCTGGCAGAGACACAATGAAAAAAGAGAATTTTACACCAATATCCCTGATGAACATTGATGCAAAAATCCTCAGTAAAATACTGGCAAACCGAATCCAGCAGCATATCAAAAAGCTCATCTGCCATGATCAAGTGGACTTCATCCCTGGGATGTAAGGCTGGTTCAACATACGCAAATCGATAAATGTAATCCAGCATATAAACAGAACCAAAGGCAAAAACCACATGATTATCTCAGTAGATGCAGAAAAGGCCTTTGACAAAATTCAACAGCCCTTCATGCTAAAAACTCTCAATAAATTAGGTATTGATGGGACATATCTCAGAGTAATAAGAGCTATTTATGAAAAATGCACAGCCAATATCATACTGAATGGGCAAAAACTGGAAGCATTCCCTTTTAAAACTGGCACAGTACAGGGATGCCCTCTCTCACCACTCCTATTCAACATAGTGTTGGAAGTTCTGGCTAGGGCAGTCAGGCAGGAGAAAGAAATAAAGGGTATTCAATTAGGAAAAGAAGAAGTCAAATTGTCCCTTTTTGCAGATGACATGATTGCATATCTAGAAAACCCCATCATCTCAGCCCAAAATCTCCTTAAGCTGATAAGCAACTTCACCAAAGCCTCAGGATACAAAATAAATGTGCAAAAATCACAAGCATTCTTATACACCAATAACAGACAAACAGAGAGCCAAATCATGAGGGAACTCCCATTCACAATTGCTTCAAAGAGAATAAAATACCTAGGAATCCAACTTACAAGGGATGTGAAGGACCTCTTCAAGGAGAACTACAAACCACTGCTCAATGAAATAAAAGAGGATACAAACAAATGGAAGAACATTCCATGCTCATGGATAAGAAGAATGAATATCATGAAAATGGCCATACTGCCCAAGGTAATTTATAGATTCAATGCCATTCCTATCAAGCTACCAACGACTTTCTTCACAGAATTGGAAAAAACTACTTTAAAGTTCGTATGGAACCAAAAAGGAGCCTGCATTGCCAAGTCAATCCTAAGCCAAAAGAACAAAGCTGGAGGCATCATGCTACCTGACTTCAAACTATACTACAAGGCTACAGTAACCAAAACAGCATGGTACTGGTACCAAAACAGAGATATAGACCAATGGAACAGAACAGAGGCGTCATAAATAATACCACATATCTACAACTATCTGATCTTTGACAAACCTGACAAAAACAAGAAATGGGGAAAGGATTCCCAATTCAACAAATGGTGCTGGGAAAACTGGCTAGCCATATGTAGAAAGCTGAAACTGGATCCCTTCCGTACACCTTATACAAAAATTAATTCAAGATAGATTAAAGACTTAAATGTTAGACCTAAAGCCATAAAAACCCTAGAAGAAAACCTAGGCAATACCATTCAGGACATAGGCATGGGCAAAGACTTAATGTGTAAAACACCAAAAGCAATGGCAACCAAAGCCAAAATTGGCAAATGGGATCTAATTAAACTAAAGAGCTTCTGCACAGCAAAAGAAACTACCATCAGAGTGAACAGGCAACCTACAGAATGGGAGGAAATTTTTGCAATCTACTCATCTGACCAAGGGCTAATATCCAGAATCTGCAAAGAGCTCAAACAAATTTCCAAGAAAAAAACAAACAACCCCATCAACAAGTGGGCGAAGGATATGAACAGACACTTCTCAAAAGAAGACATTTATGCAGCCAATGGACACATGAAAAAATGCTCATCATCACTGGCCATCAGAGAAATGCAAATCAAAACCATAATGAGATATCATCTCACACCAGTTAGAATGGTGATCATTAAAAAGTCAGGAAACAACAGGTGCTGGAGAGGATGTGGAGAAATAGGAACACTTTTACACTGTTGGTGGGACTGTAAACTAGTTCAACCATTGTGGAAGTCAGTGTGGCGATTCCTCAGGGATCTAGAACTAGAAATACCATTTGACCCAGCCATCCCATTACTGGGTATATACCCAAAGGATTATAAGTCATGCTGCTATAAAGACACATGCACACATATGTTTATTGCAGCACTATTCACAATAGCAAAGACTTGGAACCAACCCAAATGTCCAACAACGATAGACTGGATTAAGAAAATGTGGCACATATACACCATGGAATACTATGCCGCCATAAAAAATGATGAGTTCATGTCCTTTGTAGGGACATGGATGGAGCTGGAAACCATCATTCTCAGCAAACTATCGCAAGGACAAAAAACCAAACACTGCATGTTCTCACTCATAGGTGCTAATTGAACAATGAGAACACTTGGACCCAGGGTTGGGAACATCACACACTGGGGCCTGTTGTGGGGTGGGGGGAGGGGGGAGGGATAGCATTAGGAGATATACCTAATGTAAATGACAAGTTAATGGGTGCAGCGCACCAACATGACACATGTATACATATGTAACAAACCTGCACGTTGTGCACATATACCCTAGAACTTAAAGTATAATAAAAATATATATATAAAAAGATTAGATAAAATATTATTTTAAAATATTTCCCTCAATGTTATTCAATGCCATCAATCAGTTTTTAAAATACTTTCTCTCATAAAAATCCTAATAGTAAGTATTTTTGTACAATTTTCCAGTCTATCTTGATGATTTATGAAATCAGGACCATAAATATATCTAAAATTATTTTTTGGCAAAAATAACAAAAAGTAAAAGAAACAAACCTCAATCACCCATTACACTATTATGCAATTAAACTTTTCCTACATGTGAAACACGCACACGTACACACACACACACACACACACACACACACACACACACACACAGAGTGAATTTGTGCATTTTTTATTATGTAAAATTTAAGATATACTTGTTTATATGGGAGCTGTTTTTTTAAATAGACTTTTGAGACGATTAATTATAAAATAGAGTGTTTCTTCATGAAATCATATTAGAAAAGAATATAATTATAAATAGTATTTATCAACATGTGTGCTTATTAATCTTAATTACAAATATTTAACTGCATTTCATGACATTTGATAAAAAATAAGTTATAAAACTGAAAACCAAACTTCAGTATAATTTAAGAATTTGTTTATAAAAAAGGTATATTGTGATTGAAAAAAGCTTACCTTCTTTCTGAACTGAAGCAAGTTTAACTAAATTTAGCAGTATAATATGATGTTCTTTTTAACTTTTGTTATCTGGTGAGCATTTCCAATAAACCGTATGGCTATGAAATATTTGTTTCTTAGTCATCACTCATCATGCAAAACTGCTTTATCCTTTAAACTGAATTTATTCCCCATCTCAATCAAATAGTGTGTCAATTCACTAAATGGATAAATCAAACCATTACTGATTTAAAAGAGTATTGGCAAGGAACAGAAAATCACTACACAGTCCTTCAAGGAGAGACTACATTTAGGGACCTGTAGCATGTGAATGCCAACTGTTTGACTGAATTAACTGAAGAATTAAGTAAAAATTATTGAACTATATGTTCATCTAAAGTTAGTGTTGAAATTCTGCTTAGAATGGTCCGATTGAAATTTTGGATTTAATTTTGTCAATAAATTTTTATGTAATAAGATAGATTTATTAGCTTTATAACATTTGACTCATTATATTCCAGGAGTTCAAATAGAGAAATAAATGTGTTTATGATTTAGATTATAAAATTCTGGAAAAAATTTATCTCCTAAGTACTATATTTCATTCAAAACAATATGTGCTTAATATCTATTATACCATTACATATTTACAATGTAAACCTGTTCTCTGGTATTTGGAAGATTAGTAAAAACTTAAATTTTTTTCAACCAGTTTGAACTCACTTTTCTATTTCTAGAGAAAATAATCACATTCCTTTCCTTAGAGCTTTCATTTTACCTACGTTATTGCCTTTGTCTCTTTTTTCTCTCTTTTTTTAGTTCTTCTTAAAACTGGTTACAGCCAAATAAAGATTTGATTGTTTCCATTATAATTAAAATTAAACCTAATATCATAGAGAGATTAATGAATAATAGGACCATAAATATTTAGGAATTTTCCCATCACTCATTTCTTCTGTTCTTCACTTCCTTAAATAAATATCTTCTAGTGGCTCAAAACCCCTGATACACACACAATAATGTAACATTGAATAAGCATCAGTTGATGACCTCACTTGACTACACAGTTGGACTGATATAAAAAAAGTGTACCTGCAGCCACAGAGTTGAGTTATTATCTTGCTCAACTGTTTTGTCTACCAGGAGGCAGCTGTCCTGATGACTGATAATGAGACAGTTCCTAGTACATAAAAACTATGTATTCCTGCTGACACTTCACTTCTTCGGTAAAGACCAGATAGCCAAGAGAACTATGAATGTATAAACAAGAAGTTAGAGAAGAAAGTCAATCTATAAATGGAATAGCTTAGGTGTTAGAGGAGTCAATTTAACTCTTTGGCATAAATATGTATTATTTTCCTGTTATATATGCTTTTTTTAATTTGAAGAATGGTCTTACTGTTTTCAAAGCCATGATATTACAAATACAGTCATATGTCACTTAACAATAAAGATATGTTCTAAGAAATGTGTTGTCAGGTGATTTCATCTTTGTGTAAACATCATAGAGTGCTTGCACACAAACCTAGATGTCACAGCCTACTATCCTCCTAGGCTATATGGTATAGCCCATTGTTCCTAGTCTACAAACTTGTACAGCATGTTATTGTATTGAATACTGTAGGAGACTGTAACATGATAGTAAGGGTGTGTATATCTAAACACTTGTAAACATAGAAAACGTACAGTGAAATGTGTCATTCTAATCTTAGGAAATCACCATTGTTAATGTGGTCTGGAGCATTATGCAGGGCATAGCTGCACTGAAATTGGGAGATAGAAAATTGGGACAGATGACTACTCAATCTGTATGCAAAATTAGAAAAATTTAATGTAATAAGAGGAAGAGTCGCTGCCAATAACTCATACTCTAGCTTTCCTTAAGTTGACCGAATACGAAGAGTAATAAAAATAATAATTGCACTATAATACTGATCATAGTAATTAAAACAAAACAGCAATAGCAGCAACAACAAAAACAAAACATGCCCTGAATCTAATATTAAGAATGCTGATAAATGTGATTTAACATAGATTGTAAACTTGAAGTTATTTGGAGAGATGATGTGTGAAATGAGGGCTTAGGGGCAATGCTATTCTTACTCCTTTTTAAAAACCTGAATGATTTCATATCTTCAGGGCTGGACTAACTCCATAATTCAGGCCAAGTGGATTTCTCTAACAGCAGGTCAGTAAACAATGTTTCCAAGGGCAAGGCACCACTACCTCTATCCAAAGGGCATAAAATATGGATTAACCTATAATGTTACCAAATAATATCAGATGATCCTCCTGAGTGGAATATTGAAACATTTTCCAAATGTACAAATTATTCTCTTCATGAATTACATTTTTAAAAATTTATATTATTTCTTTATTCCTCCTGAGGTAACGCCAACATAAAAGCAGAATTAAGCTTCAAAAACAATGCAATACGCCAAAAGAGTTACAAATAGCATTCAAAGGAATCTTCTAACCACAAATATAAAACCAATGAACAGAACTAATTAAAGATAAGTACCCAGAATGGACCTCAAAACATGTTAATGATAATCACTTTATTAAGAAGCTACTAGTAAGTATATTTATGACTTTCCCTTATTTTTAACTCTAACAAAGCACTGATAATTTTAAAATAGAATAGCTTATAAGTTAATTAAATAAGAAAATACAAGTAAAAGAGAAGGACAAGAAGAAAAATTGTCTTAATACGCTGTGAGATTGACTACGGTTTTACCCTTGTGTTAGTGGAAAAAGTTATATATTTGCAAATTTTACAGCAAATTAAGTAAACCCTAGTCTATCTAAGGGTCTTTTAAATAATAATTGTATACGTAGCTGTAACAATAATTATCATAATGTGATTATTTCAATATTTACTATTCTATCTCAGTAAAATAATATATGGTCTAATACTTGTAAATGCCTTAGAAGGAATTGCAGAGGACATAGATAACCCACTTTTTAAACATACTTGGAGCAAGCTCTGTTCCTCAACTTGCAATGATGAGAGCCTAAAGAAGTTCTTCTTGCCTAAGTCTTCTGTTGCTTGACAGCAGTAGCATTCTAAGTGACTTTCAATGTTTATGAATAGAATCCTTTTTGTACTTTTGATAACTAACTAATAATGCATAATATACTATCTTACAATTACTTTAATAGTAGAGCTAATTTGTATAAAATAACCTGCTTGTTCGTTAAAAGACTTGTCAGAAAGTTGTAGTTGGAATTACTGCTATCATACTAAATGGACGCTAAAAGAGATGATTTGATGTACATGTGGAAGCGGGGTTACAAGAACAGATATGTGGGTGTTGAAAGTATTAAAAGTCAATTCATTGAACTGTTAAATATTAAAACTAATGTTAATTAAAAAACATTGGTGAGGAGAGGTAGGCCATATCCATTATTTTTTTTTTAATAGTAACCTCACAAATTGCCATCAGCCCAAACTTTTCGAACCTTTATGTATCTATCCATCAGTACACTTTTTGGGTAAATGGTGAGTCAACAGAATCACTCAGGACAATTATAAATGCAATAACACAATTCCCAAATCTCAGAGGCCTAAACAACAAGGATTAACATCTAGTTAATGCTACATGTCCATCATGAGTGGCTCTCACTTGAATATCATCTTGTTTTAGAGAACAGGCTGGCTGAGCAGCCTATCAGGGAAATCGCAGTATAGTAGTAGAAGTAAAAGGGACCTGGCAAGCCAAGAGTAACTATTAAAGGTTGTTTTAAGAATTGGCAGGCATCACTTCTGCTCACATTTCATTTACCAAAGAATGCATGTGATCACTTCTGAGATAAGCAAGGTGGGAATGTCACATCTTCCTACAAAGATGTGTGTGTGTGTGTGTGTGTGTGTGTGTGTGTGTGTGTCTCCAGGGTAATCGTGAGATATAAGTCATATGGTGAAGCCTAACATCAAAGGATCACAGATGTATATCCTCCTGCAAGAAGGAGAAATGAATGAATAGGATCATTTACAGTCTACCACAACCACACCCTTCTTACCCTGCTTCTAACACTCAGCCTTGCCACCTCTATTATCCCTAAGCAAAGGGGAAAGTACTCCCTAGTCATTAAATGATGCTGGAATAGCTAGCTAGCCATATGCAGAAGATTGAAATTGGACCCATAACTTTCACCATATACAAAAATTAACTCAAGGTGGATTAAAGATTTAAGTATAAGACAACAAACTATAAGAATCCCAGAAGAAAACCTAGGAAATACCATTCTGGACATTGGCCTTGGCAAAGAAGTTATGACCAGGTTCTTAAAAACAATTGCAACAAAAACAAAAATTAACAAGTAGGACATAGTTAAACTAAAGAGCTTCAGCACAGCAATAAATAAATTAATTAAAAAAGATCAAAAAAGTAAACAGCCTCCAGAATGGATAAAATATTCACAAGCTATGTATCCAATAAATGTCTAATATCCAGAATCTATAAGGAATTTAAACAATGCAACAAGAAAAAAGGCAAGTAACTCCATTAAAAAGTGGGCAAAAAACATGAACAGTTATTTCTCAAAAGAAGACATGCATGCAGCCCACAAGCATATGAAAAAATTCTCAACATCACTAATCATTAGAGAAATGCAAATGAAAACCACAATGAGATACCATCTCACACCAGCCAGATGGATATTATCAAAAATTCAAAAACTGACAGAGGCTGGTGAGGCTACAGAGGTGGGAATATAAATTAGTTCAGCCACTGTGGAAAGCGGTTTGGAGATTTCACCAAACTTAAAACAGAACTACCATTTGACCCAGCAATCCCATTACTGGGTATATATCCAAGAGAAAATAAATCATTCCACCAAAAAGATGCATAAACTTGTATCATCACAGCTATATTCACAGTGGCATAGACATGTACATAAATGCCCATCAATGGTGGATTGAATGAAAAAATTGTACATATACATGATGGAATACTATGCAGCCATAAAAAGAATGAAATTGTATCCTTTGCAGCAGCCTGGGTGCAGCTGGAGGCCATCATCCTAAGTGAATTGACACAGGAACAGAAAACCAAATACCACATGTTCTCACTTATAAGTAGGAGTTAAACATTGGGTACTCATGGACATAAAGTTGGGAACAATAGACACTGGGGACTACAAGAGGGGGAAGGAGGAAAGGAGGGAGATAAGCATCAAAAAACTAACTGTTGGGTACTGTGTGACTACTTAGGTGAAGGGATCATCTGTAGCCTAAACCTGAACATCACACACAATATACCCATGTAACAAACCTGCATATATACCCTTTGAATCTAAAATAGAAGTTGAAATTATTTTTATAAAAATCTAATACTTCATTTTTCTATTCACCTACGAATCTACTTCTTTTCTTCATGGTTCCAGTACCATTCACCAAAATTGTGCATATCAAGTACATCATTTCCTCTACAGTAATAAATCTAATGGTTAATTTCCACTCCTCATTTTCTTGAAACAATAATAACATTTGACAAAGCCAATAATTCTTTTGTCCTTTCCTTACTTTCCAGAATACAATATAACTTTTGTTTTTGTTCTACTTTTCTGGACACTTATTTTCAATCTGTTCTACTAGGTCCTCCTCATCTCATCCAGCCATTAATTTTGAAATTTCCCAGGGCTTAATACTCGGGATGCCTTTTTATGTATATGCCACCTCTGGATCAGTCTTGATTTTGGCAGGCATGCTCAAGTGTTCATTGAAGAGGACTATTTAGAGGCAGGGCTAAGGGGATTACCAATAGATAATGAAGCATGCAGATACCAGCACTAGCAGAAAAGCCTTCCTGGCCTGAAGGCAGGATATTGTGTGAATAGATTCCACAGAGTGCTGGAGCCATGGAAATGGTCAGTGGTGTGCTTAAGGTAGCTCATGCTGGTTAACAAAAGCTGACTGTTAAAATTTCAGGAATTTTGCAAGCTGGTAGATAAATCTAGCTATTATCAAAAATTGCAAAGGAATTATATTAAAAACAAAGGAACAAATATTAGTACTTTATAATTATTTTGCCACAACTTACTACTATCTATGCTATTATGATAATTTATGTCTGCATGGGTGAAATAATACTGTATAGAGAAATACAGCCACAACCAGAGCCATGGTGAGGTAGAGACAGAGCTAAGATGGTGAGATAATTATTACCCTAAACTTTCTCTCAAGTGTCTCTGTCCTACCAATTCTTCTCCATAACCAAATTCAACTGAAAGCCTCAAATGCGGTCCATAGGCTTTCGCCTCAGGGAGCACAAAGCGTAGGAGAGAAGATTGCAATATATCTAAAGAAACAAACAGAGAAGCTTGTTGGTGAGATCATCCTCTCTAGCCTCAAATATACTCTTCTTTAGAGACTCCCAAATTCATATTTTGGTTCTATATCATTCTCCTAAACTCCAGATACATATACCGATCTATTTGACATATACAGTTAGATGTCTAATAGAAGTCATGAAATTATTATATTCATAACTGAACTCTTGATCTTCCAGCCCCAGTCTACCTCCCATAGCCCCGTTCTCTACCCCAATCCCAGTCAATGAAATGTATCTTCCTCTTCCTTCTTTGGTCAAAACCCTTGGCGTCATTATTAACAACTGTCTTCTTTTTATACTACAGATCTATGCAAACAAATAATTTTATCCTTTATATTTTCAAAAATATATTAAGAATCTGACATTTGTGACCAAATCTATGGTTACAAACTACCATCACCCCTGTCCTAAACAATGGCAATAGCTTACTCTTCTTTCTTTTTCTTCACTAGCCCTCTTTTAGAGTAGTCTTAATTGAACAGCCAGAGTTAAAATATAAGTCAAATAATGTCACTCTATCTTTGGTAGGCAGAATTTGAAGATGGCCCCCAAGATTCCTAGCTCTTACCATATGCAGATCTTCTCCCAGTAACTCAATCAAAAACTAATCTAGGGGTTGCTTTGAAGGAGTTTGGCAGATGTGATTAAGGTCCCAAATCAGTTAAAATTAGATTATCAGGGGTGGGCCTGAATTAATTAGGTAAGCACTTAAAAGGGCCCAGGTTCTTCCTGTTAAAAGAAATTCGAAAAGTGAGAGGGATTTGATATGTGGGATATTATCCATTTTCGGCTTGGAAGATGAAGGAAGCCACATGGAAAGGAATGCAGGGAGCCTCTAACAGCTGGAAGCAGAGCCCAACTTACATCCAACAAGAGTATGGGACCTCAGTCTTACAACCACAGGGACTAAATTTGGGCAATAACCTGAAGAAGCTTATGAATGAATTCATTCCTAGAGCCTGGCCAAAGCCTTGATATTGGTCCTGTGATAACCTGAGCAGCAAACTCAGTCACACCATGCTTCAACTTCTGACCTACAGAATTGTGAAAAAATAAATGAATGATAAATAGGTGTCTCAAGCCTCTATGTGTGCAGTAATTTGTTAGGTAGCAAAAGAATACTAACATACTAACTTTTTTATTTCTTCTTACATTATTCAGAGTCAAACTCAGTCTTCCTAAAAACCTACAAGTTCCTTACTCACCTGTTCCTCCCATCCTTAAGGCTCTCATACCTAATCACCTCACCAGTCTTCCCCTTCCCCAAGTGCTTCCAACCAAAATTGACTTCTTGCCACTCTTTGATGTTCTATGAACATGCAAACTTGTTTTAAACATATACCTTTTTATTCACTTTTTATTGTCTGGAATATTCTTCCTGATACATTTGAATGCTTTATTTCTTTACTAACAGTAGGTCTTTTCTCAAGTGCAACCTCTCCAAGAGTCCTTCAGCAGCCTTTCTTGTGAAGTTATGACTCTTCCCACCTGCAACATTCCATATCCCCGTTCATTGCTCTATTTTTATAACATTGTCAACTATACAGTATTATGGTGATAATGTATTTACCGCTCATTGATTGGCTTTATGCACTAGAAAAATATTTCCCTGCTTCATCAGGGAAGGTATTAATTCCCTAAATGTAATTGTGTATTCTGAATTCCTAGGAAGTATGTGGCATATAGAAGGCTAAAGAGGTTATGGCAGTGCTAGCTGCACTGGGGATCTACCTTTTAGAATTTCAGTGCCAAATTTCCAAACGTCATCTATTGTTTGGGATCTGAGGTTCCTTAGGAAACCTTTAAAAATAAAGCTTATGAGTTATAATTATTGCTAATAAATAGAATTGATAAAAATGTAAATAAATTCAGAATTATGCAGATACAACTGTTTCTGTAGAGAATATGTCCAATTACTTAAAATATTTGAACTCTAATCAATGAACAACATCAGTTTAACAATTTCAAAGCACTAGGATTCACATATAATATGAGACTTGAAATTCATTACAACCAAAGCTAATTGTGGCATAAATTCTACCCTTTAGCACGTGCTTTACCACCTTGCTACCTCGCTTTATAGAGGTTTAAAAGCATACAGGGGATCTTTAGATGCATAAATCAATTGTTCAATTGTTTCTCACTTTTTCCAAATTCTTACACTTTTATTTATAGTAATTTTATATATGCACATATATGCATGTGTTTTTCTTAAAAATAATTTGACTTCTTTCCTTTATAATATCTTTGAGCTAAGTATATCTCATCCCTACACATAAAGTGCCCTCTTCAATTGAATTATTGAATAATTCTGTTTATACCAGCATTTCCTCAATAATACCACTTATGTAAATCTTTAAGAAAAATGCAAACTTCTAAAATATACATATGTAATTTATATATATATATGTAATTAATACTTGTAACAAAAATAAACAAACTGGCAGGGCGCGGTGGCTCAGGCCTCTAATCCCAGCACTTTGGGAGGCCAAGGTGGGTGGAACATGAGGTCAGGAGATCGATACCATCCTGGCCAAAATGATGAAACTCTGTTTCTACTAAAAATACAAAAATTAGCTGGGAGTGGTGGTCTACGCCTGTTGTCCCAGCTACTTGAGAGGCTGAGGCAGGAGAATCGCTTGAACCCGGGAGGCAGAGGTTGCAGTGAGCCAAGATCATGCCACTGCCCTCCAGCCTGGCGAGCAAGAGTCCGTCTCAAAAAAAAATAAACAAAAAATTTACTTTTATTCATGTAATAAATAAATACAGGGTAATGGGGTAATGTGATTTTTATTACTATAATCATCTAAATACTATTCACAGCTATGCAAAATATCCTTTAAAATGACCCTCTATTGATTTGGTATTTAATAACTGCTCCTACGTTAGTCTTACATGTTAAAGTGGCTAAATTGACATGTATTGCTCCTTCAACTTGTCCATGTTTTTAAAGCCCCTTGGATATGACAAATCAACATTAATCTGTACCTGCCTGATCTTTTATATAGATCTGTGATTCCATTTTTCATGCCTTGTCTCAAGTTTTTTTTATAACTTACAATACATGCTTGTGAGGAAACATTCAGAAGTGAAGATACATATTTTGATGCCTCTGTGTGGTTCAACCACATTTCTGCTAGCCCTAGCAATTTTCAACTGACTGGTAGAATGAAAATCTGATGATCACTTTATCATGCAGAATGTACTACAGGAGCCTGCCCTGGTTAGCTGAAAACACAAACTGAGAAGGTGTGCTGGCTACATTGTAATGGAGATAAGAAGGAAGATTCATTGATGCATAAAGAGCAAAGAATTGAAAATAAAAATATCCCTGATTCTATTTCTGGTTTTCCCACCAAATCCCTTATTCTCTCTATTAGCCTGCGAAAAGTGCCTAACATCTCTGTAAAATCAGGAGATTGGATTATCAGAACTTTTAAACTGACAAACTATATTTTTGTTTTGTTCAGTTGAAAACTGAGTAATTGTTTGTAAGGTAGCCTGGATTTCTAGCTTCTTTTGAAAGAAATGTCAGCAGGTGCCAAGAGTCCATGTTCCTATTCTTGCCACGTATGGCAACAGTGTTTGCTCTCAGAAAGGGCTCCTCTATCCTGTTACCACATCCTAATTCTCCTGAGTAAGAAACATAGAGCTCATTTTTGTTACTTACTTGCCTCTCTATCTGTTTGCAACACATAGTCTAAATGATATCTTTGGTCCCTTCATGTTCCAAAATGTTTTGACTTTATGATGATATATTTTTGTAATCCTACAGTGACCTCCTGTTTCAGCAAATCACACAGCTGGTATATATCACTCCCTAGGTTTAAACCTTTGTAGTAACTACTGGCAACTTCCTAAAGCAGAAGGATATACGTTATGAGAATCTGAATATATTTTATTGTGACTAGGTAAGAGGTAGTTTGGTATTGGTAATGAAGGGGGACTGACATGAGGTCCTGGATTAATAGACATAGTTGCTGATTGGTCCAGAGGATAAAGGAGAGAGTTATTACCCACAGTCTAATGCAGCCTAAACAAGATCCGAATGTAGACAGCATTCGAGAGAGGACGGGGGCATTCTATTGTGTTGGAGGCTCCAGCTCCTCAGCTGTGTGCGCCTCAAACCCACCTTGTATCTGTGAGGAATGTTAATGAGTCATGGGGTTAAACTCTTATGTGTTGCTTGATTGAAAACTTAGCATTAATGTTGGCTTTTTAAATGCTAATAAAAACTGTAATTTAGCCTCTGAGATTTATGTAAAATTACTGGCACCTTCCTTTCAGTTTTTGAAGAGAACGGAATTAAGGTTATCTAATTTAATATTTGATCTGTGTTTAGGGTCATGTAAATGAGGAAATTCCAAAGATGATAAAAATAGGAATTAAAACAGTGCTTCATAATTGAGAATATTCTTTCTCCCTTCAGTTAAAGCATATATTTGACTCAGGGGGCAGAAAAAAGTGACAGTCCCATTTCATAAGAAGAAACGAAATGTTATTTTGGTTACCAATATAAATGGTTTCCTCTAAATGCCTAAAATGATGCAACTAATGGTGTCTACCATTCATTTCCCACATAACTACCAGACTATTTGAAACATTTAATTCAGAAAATATCATTTCCTTAAATAAAATCTTATTCTCTATGTATTTAGAACAAAATCTAAAGTTCTTTATCATTAACTAAAACCCCATTGATATCTTCCAAAAGGGAAAGGGATGATGGTGGCTTTATGGTCATTTCAAGTATTAATAGAACAGCTGTGCATGGTGAAGGATGTTCCTTTGCACCATCAGAAAGTTCGCATCACTGGTTCCTGGGCATTAAATGTCAGCATATCCCCATTTCTTTCCATTCTGACAACCATACATGTCCAAGTGTCTTCTAAGTAGCATGCTACTGTACTCCCGTGTTTGTAAACAACTGGAGAGTAGGTGAGAACTGACCCCTGTCAGTCTCTCTGCTCCTATCTTCTGTATTCTCTGCCTTGTTTACTGGCTGTAGCATTTTATTTTCCATTCCTCAAAGTCTAAAGTGTTTTATGTGATGAGAGTTTTGCATTGCTTTTCACATGGAAGTCTCATTTTCATCCTTCAAGGCTAAGCTAAAATTTCCTTTCCTCAGAGTGGCTTTCACTGACCATTCTTTCTAAGTTTATTCAACTCATCCTCAGCCCTTCCTGTGACATCACTCTGTTGATTTCTTCCACTACTTTTAATGCAATAAAAAATGACATAGTAATGCAATAATAAAAAAAAAACTATCTATCTCCCTGCCTCAGGATAAAAGCTGCATGTGACCAGGAACGCCTTTTTTTCTTTCTAAAAATTATCACCTAAAAGGCAGAAAGTTATCTTTCTCCTCCTCTATGTCCTCTGTCTCTTCTCATAAACTTTATGTGTTCTTTATATTTTTATCTCTATTTGAAACAAAAGCCAGCGTCATCAGTAGAGAAAGATTTCCTGAAAAGCTTACACCCATTTTGAAGAAACAGTGTACTTTTATAGGGCACTTTATAAAGAAACAGATCCTTAAAACTGAAATTCAAGTGTGCTGTGGTTTAAACGTGTCATCTTGGAAACTCACGCTGAAATTTGATTCCCACTATGATTGCGTTTAAGGTGGGAGGTGATTGGATCATGAAGGCACTTCCCTCATAAATAGATAAATACATCTCATTGGAGTAAGTGAATTCTCACTCTTGCAGGAATGGATTCATTTTCACAAGAGTTAATTGCTATAAAGTAAGCCCAGCATTTCACATGTGTCTCTTTGCATACTTTCTGCTTTTGTGCCATGTTGTATTGCAGTGTGAAGCTCTCACCAGAAGAACAGATGCAGGCACTATGCTCTTGAACTTTCTAATCACCACAATTTTGAGCTAAATAAACCTCTTTATAGGACCTCAGATCCCAGAGGTCCAAATTTGTATTCCCGCAAACCTCGCCACCAAGGGTTAAAGTGGTCTCAGTCTCTAAGTAAACTTGAAAGTCAGTCTAGGTCATAAGGAAAGCAACTCTTAGCTGAGTCCTAGTGCTGAACTAGGCCTGGAGTCGGTGGACTTGGGGGGAAAATGACATACTAAGATACCAGCTGGGGCACCCAAGGAAGTGCTGGCATCAGCCCTTCTCTAACCCCAGGCTGCACATCTCAGGACTCCAAAAGCATACCCTTTTCTGCTCTTGAGGAGAGGAGAGGAGAGGGAAGAGTAGGAAGGACTTTGTCTTGCATCCTGAATACCAGCTCAGCCATAGCAAGATAGGGCACCTCTCAGAGTCATAAGGCCCCTGTTCCAGGACCTAGCTCCCAGATAACATTTCTAGACACACCCTAGGCCAGAAGGAAACCTACTGCCTTAGATAAAGGGCCCAGCACTTGCAGAATTTATCATGTGCTAACTAAAGAGCCCTTGGGCCCTGAATAACCAGCAATGATATCCAGGTACTACATCAGTGGCCTTAGAAGAGCCTGTAAGCTGTGCTGGCTTCAGGTGAGACTCAGCACATTACCAGCTGTGGTGGCTATGGCATAAAATTCCTTCTGCATAGGAAAAGTAGAGGAAAAAGTAAAGGAGACTTTGTCTTGCACCTTAGGTACCAGCACAGCCACAGGTAGGTAGAGCACTAAGTGGGCTCTTAACGTCCATGATCCAGGATTTGACTCACGGATGGCATTTCTGGCCCTGCCCTGGCCCAAAGGGGAGCCCACTGCCCTGAAGGGTGAGTCCCAGGCCAGGCAGCATTCACCACAAGTTGACTTAAAAGCCCCTGGGCTTTAAGGGAAAATCAGTGGTAGTCTGGCAGTACTCCTTGTGGCCTGGGGTGGTGGTGGTTCTAGGGTGAGACTCCCCTGGCTTTAGAAGGAGGAGAGAAAAGGGGGAAGCACTACCTCTTGTGGTTTGACTGCCAGTTCAGGCACAGTCCAATAAAATACCAGGTAGACTTCTAAGGTTTTTGACTCTAGTCCCTGACTCCCAGACGGCACCTGTGGAACCACCTAGGGCCTAGGGGAACTTGCTGCCCTGAAGGGAAAGACAGGCCTGGCTGGCTTTGCCACAGGCTAATTACAGAGCCCCAAGAACCTGAGTAAACATAGGCAGGAACCAGAGAGTGATGACAGCAGCCCTTGGGCAAGACCCAGTGCTGTGCTGGCTTCAGGTCTGACCCAGTGCAGTCATAGTGGTGGTAGCCACAGTGGTGCTTGTGTCAGTCACCCCCAGCTTCAGGTGGCTCAGAACAGAGAGAGAGACTCTATTTGTTTGGAAGAAAGTTAAGGGAAGAGAACAAGAGTCTCTGCCTGGTAATACAGAGAATTCTTCTGGATCTTGCTAACACCAGCACTCCATGAGTCTGTGAGAACCACAGTGTTACTGGCTTGCCATGTCCTCTAAAGCAGATATAGCTTAGATCACAACACCCAAGTCCTTTCAAATATCAGAAGACCCTCCCCAAAACAGATGACTACAAAAACGCCCAGACAGTGAACAGTACAATAAATACCTAACCCTTCAATATCCAGACACTCAAAAATATTTACTAGCTTTAACTCCATCCAGGAAAACATGACCTCACCAATTAACTAAATAAGCCACCAGGGACCAATCCTGGAGAAACAGAGATATGTGAACTTTCACAAAGAGAGAATTGAAAATAGCTGTGTTGAGGAAACTAAAAGAAATTCAAGATAGCACATAGAGAAACAATTCATAATTCCATTAGATAAATTTAACAAAGAAATTAAAATTATTTTTAAAAATAAAGTAGAAATTCTGGGCATGAAAAATGCAACTGACATACTGAAAAATGTATCAGAGTTTTTTTCATAGCAGAATGAATCAAGCAGATGAGAGAATCAGTGAGCTTGAAGACAGGCTGTTTGAAAATACACAGTCAGGATGGGTGCAGTGGCTCACGCCTGTAATCCCAGCACTTTGGGAGGCCAAGACAGGCAGATCACCTGAGGTCAGGAGTTCAAGACCAGCCTGACCAACATGGAGAAACACCATCTCTACTGAAAGTACAAAATTAGCCAGGAATGGTGGCTCATGCCTGCAATCCCAGCCAGTCAGGAGACTGAGGCAGGAGAATCACTTGAAACTAGGAGGTGCATGTTGCAGTGAGCTTGGATCATGCCATTGCATTCCAGCCTGGGCAACAAGAGCAAAACTTTGTCTCAAAAAAAAAAAAAAAAAAAAACAAAGAAGAAGAGGGAAAAGAAAAAGAAAAAGAAAATACACAGTCAGAGGAAACAAAAGAAAGAATAAAAAAGCATTCCTACAGGATCGAGACAAGAGCCCCAAAAGGGTACATCAAGAGTTATTGGTCTTAAAAAGGAGGTAGAGAAAGAGACAGTGATAGAAAGTTTATTTAAAGAGATAATAGTAGAGAACTTCCCAAACCTAGAGAAATATATCAATATCCAAGTATAATAAGGTTATAGAACATCAAGAAGGTTTAACCCAAAGAAAATTACCCCAAAACATTTAATAATCAGACTCCCAAAGATCAAAAGTAAAGCATTCTAAAAACGGCAAGAGAAAAGATATAAATAACACACAGTTGGTCTCTAATACATCTAGCAGCAGAATTTTCAGTGGAAACCTTACAGGCTAGGAGAGAGTGGCATGACATATTTAAAATGCTGAAGGAAAAAAACTTTTACTCTAGAATAGTATATCTGGTGAAAATATCCTTTAATCATAAAAGAGAAAAAAGGGCTTTTCCAGACAAACAAAAGCTGAGAGATTTTATCAACACCAGACCTGTCCTACAAGACATGCTAAAGAGAGTACTTCAATCAGAAAGAAAAGGTTGTTAATGAGCAATAAGAAATAATCTGAAGGTATAAAACTCACTGATAATAGTAAACACAGAATACGATAATGCTGTAACTGTGGTGTGTAAACTACTTGTATGCTAAGTAGAAAGAAGAAATGATGAACAAATAAAAAATAATAACTATAACAACTTCTCAAGACATAATCAGTACCATAAGATATAAATAGAAATAACGAAAAGTTTAAGAGTGGGGGATGAAGTTAAAGTGAAGAGTTTTTATTAGTTTTCTTTTTCTTGTTTGTTTATGCAAACAGTGCAAATTTGTTATCACGTTAAATAATTAATTATAAGATAGTATTTTCAAGTCTCATGGCAACCTTAAACCAAAAAACATACAATGAATACACACACACAAAAAAACAAACTAAATTGTATCACCTGAGAAAATAACCTTCACTAAAGGAAGACATGAAGGAAAGAAAGAAGGAAGAGAAGACTACAATACAATAAGAAAGTAAAACAAAAATAATGGCAGGAGTAAGTTCTTACTTACTAATAATAATATTGAATATAAATGGACTAAACTCTCCAGTCAAAATACATAGAGTGGTTGAATGGATTACAAAAAACAAGATCCATTGATCTGTTGCCTACAAGATACACAATTCACGTATAAAGACACATAGACTAAAAAAAAAAGGAGGGGGGGATGGAAAAAAATATTAAATGACAACAGAAACCAAAAAAGAGCAGCAGTAACTATACTTACATCAAACAAAATAGTTTTCAAGACGAAAGCTAAAAGAAGACACAAAGAAGGTCACTATATAATAATAAATGGG
This sequence comes from Homo sapiens, assembly GCF_000001405.40. NCBI lineage: Eukaryota > Metazoa > Chordata > Mammalia > Primates > Hominidae > Homo > Homo sapiens. Next base: position 104,983,994 of record NC_000005.10, on the reverse strand, counting down.
TCAGTTAAGCAAGGGGATATAACAATTTTAAATATATGTGCACCCAACAGTGAAGCACACAGATATATAAAGCAATCATTATTAGAGCTAAAGAGAGAGGTAGACTCCAATACCATAATAACTGGAAACTTCAACACCCCACTTTCAACATTGGACAGATCTTACAGACAGAAAATAAAGAACATCTCACTTAATCTGTACCATAGACCAAGTAGATCTGATAAATATTTACAGAATATTTAATCCAACAGCAACAGACAACACATTCTTTTCCTAGGCACATTGAACATTCTCAAGGATAGACCATAAGGGGTCACAAAACAAAGTCTGAAGACATTTAAAAAAACGAAGTAATATCAAGCATCTTTTCTGACAACAATGGAATAAAACTAGAAACTAATAACACGAGGAATTTTGGAAATTATGCAAACACATGAAAGTTAAACAATATGCTCCTGAATGACCAGTACATCAATGAAGAAATTAAGAAGGAAATTGAAAAGCTTATTGAAACAAATGATAATGGAAACACAACATACCAAAACCTATGGGATACAACAAAAGTAGTACTAAGAGGGACATTTATAGCTATAAGTGACTACACGAAAAAAGAAGAAAAACTTTAAATACACAATCTAACAGTGCATTATAAAGAACTATAAAAGCAAGAGCAAATCAAACTGAAAATCAGTAGAAAAAATAAATGATGATGATGAGAGTAGAAATAAATGAAATTGAAAGAAAAAACAATATGAAACATCAATAAAACAAAAAGTTGACTTTTTGAAGACAAAATTGACAAATATTTAGCAAGACTAAGAAAAAAGGGAGAAGATACAAATAAAATCAAAATGAAAATGGAGATGTTGCAACTGATGCTGCAGTAATTAAAAGGATCATTAGTGGCTACTGTGTGCAACTGTATGCCAATAAACTGGAAAATCTACAAGAATTGTACAAATTTCTAGACACATACAACTCCCAAGGTTGAACCAGGAAGGCTGGGCATGGTGGCTCACACCTGTAATCCTAGTGCTTTGGGAGGGCAAGGCAGGTGGATCACTTGAGGTCAGGAGTTTGAGACCAGTATGACCAACATGACAAAACCCCATATCTACTAAAAATACAAAAATTAGCCAGGTGTGGTGGCATGCACCTGTAGTCCCAGCTACTCAGGAGCCTGGGGCACAAAAATCACTTGAGCCCGGGAAGTGGAGGTTGCACTGAGTCTAGGTCACACCACTGCACTCCAGCCTGAGTGAAAAGAGCAAGACCCTGTCTCAAAAAAAAAAAAAAAAAAAAAAATTAAACCAGGAAGAAATCCAAAATCTGAACATACCAATAACAGGTAACGAGATTGAAACCTTAATAAAAAGTATCCCACTTAAGAAAAGCCCTGGACCCAAAACCTTCACTGCTGAATTCTATAAAACATTTGAAGTAGGACTAATACCAACCCTACACAAAGTATGCTGAAAAACAGGAGGAGAGAATACTTCCAAACTCATTCTATGAAGCTGGTGTTACCCTGATACTGAAACCAGACACAGATACATCAAAAATAAAAAATAAAACTAAAGGCCAAAATCTCTGAAGAATATTGATGCAAAAATCCTCAACAAAATACTAGCAGACCATATTCAAACAATAAATTAGAAAAATCATCCATCATGACCAAGCAGGATTTATCCACGGGATGCAAGGATGGTTTGACATGTGTAAATCAAGCAATGTGATCCATCATATCAGCAGAATGAAGGATAAACACTATGTGATAATCTGAATTAATGTTGAAAAACATTTGACAAAGTTCAACATCCCTTCATGATAAAAACCCTCAAAACTGGGGATAGAAGAATCATACCTCAACATAATAAAAACCATATATGACAGACCAGAAGCTAGTATCATAATGAATGGGGAAAAACTGAAATCTTTTCCTCTAAGATCTGGAACACAACAAGAATGCCCTGTCACCACTGTTATTCAACATAATACTGGAAGCCCTCACTAGAGCAATCAGATAAGAGAAAGACATAAGGGCATCCAAATTAGAAAGAAAAAAGTCAAATTGTCCTTATTTGCTAATGCTATAGTCTTATATTTGGAAAAACCTAAAGACTCCACCAAAAAACTATTAGAAATAATAAATTCAGTGAAATTGCAGAATACAAAATCACCATTCAAAAATCAATAGTATATCTCTATGCCAAGAGTGAACAATGCGAAAAAGAATTTTAAAAAGTAATCCAATTTAAAATAGCCAAACATAAAATTAAATGCTCAGGAATTAATTTAATCAGGAAGTGAAAAATCTGTATGATAAAAGCTGTAAAACACTGATGAAAGAAATTGAAGAAGACATCAAAAAATAGAAAAATATTCCATGTTTATAGATTAGAAGAATCAATATTGTTAAAATGTCCATTCTACCCAGAGCAATTTACAGACTCCATGCAATCTCTAGAAAAATGCCAATGACAATCTTCACAGAAACAGAAAAAAACAATCCTAATATTTATATGAAACCTCAAAAGGCCCAGAATAGCCAAAGCTCTCCTAAGCAAAAAGTCAACTAGGGGAATCCCATTACCTCACTTCAAATTATACTGCAGAGCCATAGTAACCAAAACATCATGGTACTGGCATAACAGACATATAGATCAATGGAACAGAATGGAGACCCAGAAACAAACCCACACACCTACAGTGAACTCATTTTCAACAAAGATGTCAAGAACATGACAGGGGAAAAGGCAGTGTTTTCAATAAGTGGTGCTAGGAGAACTGAATAACCATATGAAGAAGAATTAAATTAGACCCCATCTCTTGCCATATACAAAAAGCCAATCAAAATGAATTAAAGACTTAAATCTAAGACTTCAAACTATGAAACTAGTGCAATAAAATGTTGGGGGAAAGTCTCCAGGCCATTGGTCTGGGGCAAAAATTTTTCCAGCAACACCCCACAAGCATAGGAACCAAAACAAAAATGGACAAATAGAATTATATCAAGTTAAAAAGCCTCTACACAGCAAAGGATATAATCAATAAACTGAAAAGACAACTCACAGAATGGGAGAAAATATTTGCAAACTACCCATCTCACAAAGGATTTAATAAAGGTGCTCAACATCATTAATCATCAGAGATACGCAAACCAAAACTACAATGAGATATCATCTCACCCCATTTAAAATGACTTATATCCAAAAGACAGGAAATAACAAATGCTGGAGAGGATGCAGAGAAAAGGCAACCTTCGTACATTGATGGCAGGAATGTAAATTAGTACAACCACTAAGGAGAACAATTTGGAGGTCCCTGAAATAACTAAATTTGAGCTACCACATGGTCCAGGAATCCCACTGCTGGCTATACATCCAAAAGAAAAGAAGTAAGTATACAGAACAGATGTCTGCACTCCTACATTTGTTGCAGTACTATTTACAATGGCTAATATTTGGAAGCAACTTAAGTGTCCATCAGTAGATGAATGCCTGAAGAAATGTGGTACATATACACAGTGGAATACTATTCAGCTGTAAAAAAAGAATGAGATTCTGTCATTTGCAACAACATGGATGTAATTGGAGGTCGTTACGTTAAATGAAATGTTAAATGAAAATAAGCCATGGTTGTACAGAAAGATAACCATCGCATGTTCTCACTTATTTGTGGGATCTAAAAATCAGGAAAATTGAACTCATGGACATAGAGAGTAGAAGGATGGTTACCAGATGGTGGGAAGGACAGTTGAGGGATTGGAGGGGGAAGTGGGGATGGTTAATGGGTAAAAAAAATTAGTTAGAAAGAATAAATGAGACCCACTCTAATGTAATAGCACAACAGGGTGACTATGGTCAATAATAATTTAATTGTAATTTTAAAGTAACATAAAGAATGTGATTGGATTGTTTGTAACACAAAGGATAAATTTCTGAGGCGATGGATACCCCATTCTCCATGATATACTTATTTCACATTGCATGCCTGTGTCAAAACATCTCATGTACCCCATAAATATATACACCCGCTATGTACCCACAAAAATTAAAAATTAAAAAAAAAAAGATTTAATATCTACTCTCCTAGGTTTCAGACTTGCTTTGGGCTAGTTACTTCTTTCTTTCTGCTTCTCTCTCCTTTTGAAATGCAAGTGTTTACCATATGCCTGCCCCACCATTGTATTTTAGAAGTCAATAAACTTGTGTTTAGTTTTACAGGTCCACAGCTGGAAGGAGCTTTCCTTGATTCTCAAATGAGACTTTGGACTTTGGACTTTTGAGTCGGTGCTGAAACAAGTTAAGATTTTTTGGATTATTGGGATGGAGTGACTGTATTTTGCACATGAAAAGAACATGAGTTTTGGAAGGGTATGGGAGAAATTCTATGGCTTGGGTGTTTCCTATCTAAAACACATGTGAAAATATGTTTCCTCTTTTGGCAGTGTTGGGAGGTGGAGCCTAGTGGGAGGTGTTTGAATCATGGGGCACTGTCTTCATGAAAAGATGAATGCTGTCTCAGAGGAGTGGGTGGATTCTCACTCTTACAGGAATGAATTAGTTGCCACCAGTGCGAGTTGCTATAAAGTAAGCCCAGCCTCTCACTCATGTCCCTTTGCACAATCATGCTTGCCTTTCTGCTTCTGTGCCACATCATGACACATTGCATGGCCCTCATCAGAAGTCAAGCAGATCCCAGGACCATGCTCCTAGACTTTCTAGCCACTAGAATTGTGAATCTATTAAATCTCTTTTCTGCATAAATTACCCAGCCTCAGGTATTCTGTCATAGGAACACTAAATAGAAGACAAGGTGAGATTTATAATGTCATAATATCCTAGAGAAGTGACAGTCAGCTATCAGCTCTGAAAACACCTGGCTCACTTTCCTATAAACAAGTTCATCCAAATTTTGTAAGATTTGTGAGGTTATATTATTAGACTTCATTCACAAAACACTGTGTTCATATAACTTCTTTGAATGAAAATGATTACAAACACAGAGCAAGAGTCCAGTGCAATTACTTCAATACTAAGGCCTCCATGGGACAAAAAAGTAAATTAATTAATTAATTAAACTTTCTCTTACTAAAATGTCTAAGTCCTTCTGCTTTAATCATTTCCTCTTCCCCTCCTATGGAAATGTAGAAATTTCAGTAGTAACTTCTCAGCCATGTAACAGTTTTACACATTAAGGATTAGTTATATGTTGATGCTCTAAAATATACTGTTATGTAGTTAACCACAGGCTATTTTCTGGGGGATACTTTGAAGGTAAATAAAATATTAGTAGCTTAACTAATTCAGTTCTCTCTAGTGCTGACAGTTTGTTTCTGTGCCTTCCTGATACCCTTTGTGGCAGGTTGATAATCCCTAAAATGCTGAAGAATGGTGGGACTATGTTATTACTACCTTTCTAATATAAAGCCTAAAGAATAAAACAGAGAATAGTCCTCCAAAAACCACATTATAAGCAATATAAATTTTAAATCTATAATAGAAAAATTTATCTTCATTATTAAGAATCATTTTCTTAAAATCGATGTGTTTTGAAGTAGTGTTATCAGCTCATGATTCTTTGCTTTCACTCACCTTACTCATGGATATTTTTAAATTTTAATAAAACTATGCAGTTGCTAAAGCATTTTCCAAAATATTAGCTAAGTTAATTCTCACAACTGTAAAAGCAGGTATTAGTAAAGACATTTTCTCCATAATTCTTATTAGGGCAAGATCAGAATCAGCTTTGAAGCTACTTTGATGTCAAGTTCTTCTTGCTTTAACCCACTATGACAGATAATCCTTTAAATATAATTATATCCAAATGTTTAATCTAAGCCTAATATTGTCAAAATTCTTAACACTTCTTAATACATGAAATAAAATGGATAATAAATTAGGGTAAACCTTTTTCTTTTTGCCTGGGATGTCTCAGATTATGCCTGTCTGTACTCTTGTGCCAGAGATCTGATTGATAATATTCTCTACCCCAGCCTCTTTCACTCTCAAGTGTATTTTGGCTTGGACCATAATCTGTATGACATCTAATATGATACAGTGAGATATTTGCTAAAAAAAATGGAAAAGGGGACACTTAAAAAAGCAAATGCTGTAAGATGGAGTACAAGTAAGTTGTAGAAGAAACAGATCATTTACAGATTCTGACTGAGAAAGTTCAAGCGAAACCATACTTGGAAAGCCCTCGTTTACACAACAAGTGTACATCTGGCAGATAATCCATTCAGGTAGTGGTTGGAGCAGCACTGTAAGTCAATGTTTACTCAAGGCTGTATTGCTTTCAATCAGTGTATTAGAAAGCCTGCTCCCTTCAACTCTAACTGTTCCCTTCTCCCAGTCCTTTGTTCAAAACAAACTTACTTGTCAGAAAATTGAAGTCAAAGCCATGAGGGTCAGGTGAAGGGGATTTTACCACTGCTCAGAACTTCAGTGAAAATTCCAAAGACTGGGCTGGACTCCAGAAATCTGTTGTGGGATGATCACAGAATGGGCTGTCAGATCATCTTTGCTGCTCCTAAAGCAGAACGGATGGCAGTGCTTTGCAGTTGCATCTCAAGGATGAAGAGAAGATATGGAATAGGAAACAAGATAAAGACCATATGGAGATTTGCTCCCATTGTATAAGGAGCCCAGGGGCGCCCATTCTCTAGTGCTTTCACACAGCCACTGAGAATTAAGTGACAGTTTTCTAACCGTGATGTCCAACCCCTGACTTGGTTCACTGAAGTGAACCAAAGGAGGCATATTTCACACTGGCACATTGTTCTTTGCCAAAAGATGTAAATGAGCAAATTAAAATGGACAACTCTCAATAACTTCAGAAGCTGAGGAAATGATGTTAAGTAGTTAATTGATACCGAAGGCCTGAGGATAGCAAGAGCAAAGTTGTGATTAAAAGGAATGCTTCTAAAACATGCCACAGCAACTTGAGCCTTCACAGCCTCTATATGTTAAAAAAAAAATTTAAAAAGTCTGCACATATGAAAGCAAAGCTCAGAATAGGTCCTAGATAAAATTAGGATGCAGTTGAAATTGAAATTGTCTACTCCTTTCCTTACATTTTTCTTCCAGATTCTATCTTCTCTTTCTTTCAGGTAGTCCCAACCTTTTACCTGGGATGAACTTAGAGAGCCCTTAACTTGTATCTCCCATCATTTACACCACTCTAATAGCCATCAGCCCTATCTTTAAATGCAATACCCTCTGAATCATATAAACTCATAAGCCGTGAGATGGAACAATCAAGAAAATATACTGTAATTTTTTTTAGCTCACAATTACATCCCTGATTGAGTGCTTTGTGTTTCAAGTTGGTTACATTATTTGATCTCAAAATGAAACAACCCTGTGTTTATCATATTCCCAATTTATAGATGAAATAACTGATCCTCAGGGAGTTTTATTAACTTATTAAGTTCATGCAATAGTTGGCATGGCACACTGTCTTTTACATTTATCTTTCCTACTCCCTTTATCGAAGAAAGTTTATCATATGTCTAGCATTTTAGATCACTGAAAATACAAGTAAGAAACAAATCTAAAATTGTAATTTGCTTTAAATCAATAATTAACTCAATTTACTCTCTCTATTGTAATATTTGACTCTTGAAGAAAAAAATGCCCTCAAGAAAAATAAATGTAAATCAATTTCAATCATTATATCAAAATAGTAGGGGACATTGTGGAGGATCAGAATATTTGTAGTTTCTAAAAATCCCTGGATATTTTAATTTTCTTCTCTAATTACATGTTTTTGAAGGTTTTTTAATAATAGTAATACATTATAGAATTTATTTTCCTAAAAGGAGAGTGTTTATCCTAATTCTAAACAAATTTAATGTTTGATGGGCATTTATTTGAATTAAAATTCAAAGTATTTTAATCTGCTAGACCCTCATGGAAGAGGCACCTTTGCAGAGTTCCTGCCATACCCACTGCACTTCAAGCAAAAGCACAGTCACTCTTCCCATCACTCTACATAACACCTAAAAGAGTGTTGTGAAGAGGAAAAAAAGAAAAATTTCACAAAAAAGAGCCAAATGTCTATTAACTGAGTGAAAACATTAACTTTTAATTTCCCGCCCAGGCCACGCTCTTCATGCCTGTGTGTTTCCCGCACCCCTGGGAAGGCGAAGGGAAGGAGCTACATTGTCAAGTGTGGTCCAGCAAGTAAGCAGGTCCTGAGCACCAAACATATCACAGGCACTCACTGCTTGGGCCCACCAGTCAACAGGAGCCTGCTAGATACAGCCATGTGCCACTCCAACCTCCCTGAGGGCATGGCCTATGCACTATTTGGTATGTGTCCCCTACTCCCAACACCCAGAGTAATTTTCAAAAAAATCCCCATCAAATATTTCTAAAATAGTTCTAAAATAGTTTAAAACAAATTTAAAAGTCCCAACTGTTCATGTTAAATTCTTGATTATAAAGCAATAAACTCTCTTGGAAATAGAGGGAAATTAATTATTTTGTATCAGACAGTGAACTAGGATATCACAAAATAATTTTCTTTTGCACCTATTATTTTAAAATGCAAAACTTCAAAGAGTCTTTACCATGAAATGCTTCACACCTTGTCTTAATATCTGAGTTCTGAGCAAAGACTACTCCCATTGGAGAAGTCATTTGTGCTGTACTTCTTTTTTTAATGCTGTCACGGATGATCAGAGATAATAAAAAAAGTATTCACCACATTATATGCTCTCAATTTTGATAGAACTTTTCTATTTGAAAAGTATTGAGCATCTCTAAATTTAACTGCCATCCAGAAACTATACTTTTCAAAACCATCTTTGTTACCTGGTTGGAAAGGGTATATTCCTTGTTGTCTGCTTTTTATGTAACACTTGCACACAATCTTTGAATTTTACTCTGAGAATTGATTTTTTTATACCAAACCATTTATATCTCTGAGATAACACTGAGACCATATATATATATACACATGCACATATGTGTATTTATATATATATATATATATTTTTTTTTTAACCAAAGAAAAGCTAATAAATGTGAAATCCTCTCTCTACACTCAAGATATCAAGGTAAGGAGGATACGTTTGAAAAATTGCTCTAATACATCAGAAAATATAAAAATCAATAAGCTATAAAAGCTAAAAAGCTTCTTCAATTTTGTCCCCTTATTGCTCAGTGTAGGTGGCCAGGGCCTGGAGAACAATCCAGGGTTGCAAAAAAGCCATTATACATCTAGTTGTGTATTGCAGACAATATGTGCAGCTCCGCCAGGAAGGGGATAAGTATGCATTTGCCGAAGAATAGGGAGCTCTGAATAGCTTCTGGGTTCCTGCTTGTTTGATTGAGAGCTGGAAAGTGTCCTCGGGAAATCAGGCAGTGGAGACTGTGTCTTTTGGTCACTTTCGTGTGAAAATAAAACAGGGCTGAAGAACATTCCCCTCCTCCCTTTCTTCCTCTGCTATTTTTCAGGGATAGGATGTGCAGGGTGCTTTATGTCAGTGCACATTATTATCAGACTCTGAGAAGGGAAAAAAAACACAGTATTCCATGCTAAATAAAGCCTACACCCAAATCATATAGAACAAGAATAATCTTGCCTGAAAATCCTTATGCTTTTTCTAGAACAGGTGTAGGGCATGCAAGGGTTACCAGAATAATTCAGTGATGGATATGGCTAAAATAAGTTGGTTTTGGCCAGTGGTCTCCAGATATTTTTAATCACACATCACTATTATGACATTATTTTTGAGTGAGTGTTATCAATATTTATTTTTAAATAAATATATAATGTACTAATAAGTTATGTGTGTTGTACATCATATTTAACAAGTGTAAATGTAACAGATTAGATAAACCATGAATACCCATCACCACAAATCATCTTCAAGGATTCAGCCCATTTACCTGAAAGCAGTAAAGAAAGGGAAGTTTCATCTCCTCCTTGCCATTCCTTTCTCCTTAAATGGAGTTTAAATACGGTACATTATTAAGTACGATACAAGACCCTTGACATTCAGGAAGAATCATCCTAAGATTTTATGAAATCTTCAAATTCTAAATGTAAGTCCTGCATTTTTGTAGAATATGATCAATCGACCCTCAGCATTCATTCCCATCTCTTTCTAATATGCTTTCTTGTATTCCACAGGCTGGAAACCTATATTCCCAAAAGTCTCATAGCTAGAGTTCTGAATGCAAATTAGGTTTCAGCAATTTGATGTACTTCACAAGAATCAATGCCAATAGATAAAGCAGATGTTATTTCACTAATTATTTGGGCTATCTCCTTGCAATTATGGTTTCATGCTCAGACATGAAAACTTTTTCTGCAACAGATTTTCAGCATATCATCACGAACTCCACGGGCGTCAAGAAGCAATGGGTGTGGATGTAGAAGCAGCCCGGATTGCAACTGTGGTGGTGTATTCTTGAACTATATTGTTCTATTGGTGGTTTCTAGCTTTCTTGCCTTTCTGACCATGATACGAGTAGCTCCCTTGATGGGTTAGTTCTGAAGGTTCAGAGAGTCTCTCCTCAGGCCTACACAAGCTCACTACTGCTCACTTTATGTGATGTGGGCCTACACAAGCTCACTGCTGCTGTCTTTCTAACATGTCTATATGTTCTTCATTAACTCTATTAGATCACTTTCTGCTGAAAGAGATCAGTGTGCTTTCTGTTTCCTGAACTCAACCTTGGGAAAAATAAGCATAAAATATGTATACAACAAGTGAAGAACATCAAAGCAGCCCTGAGATGAATTTTCTAGGTAGACCATCAACTTCTTTGTCATCAAAAGCCTCAATTCAAGAGTGATTCAAATTAGTACTTTACTGAAATTACTGATCACTATTTGTCACATTACTTTAAGGCTGATTATGAATATTTGAAACTTCATGTTAAGTGCCTCAATACCAACAGACTACTGTACTTGTTTAATTTAAATTTGAAAGCTATCATAATTTCAATAAAGGAAACACAGTGTAAACAATAAGGAGTAAGACAAGCATATTCATATAAAACATTTAGTTGCTATTTTTTACTATTAAATTATATGACATAACACACCAGAAGTTGACAGTGAAAAAGTCACTTGGCCTGAAAATACATGAGTATGCCAAGGAAGGAAATGATGTGCTAAGTTGCTCTATTACCAAGGCTTACTGATTTCTACTCATTTTATATTTTATCCACTCCCTCTAATCTTCACCATGAAAAAAATAATAGTATATGTTTTTATAGAATACATTTGTAGTTACAGATTTCGGAATCATATAGAGTAAAATGTGGAATATTTCTATAAGTCTGGATAACTCTAAGTCTTGAAAGAATTCAACTATGTAAAAATCAATGATTTTAAAACAAACATTGAATACACTGATTGGTAAAAAGCTGTATAGTTAAATTTACCTATCTAATTTAGGTAGTTGAGTAGCCACATGTATATTTTGCTCTTGTTTACCATGAAAATTAGACATTTCCATTTTACATAAATTGAAATATAAGTGCACTTATGCTAAAGTGTTTTAGAAAGCAATTTAGATACTTAAAAGACAACTGTAACATATAAATACTAAATAATATGTTACAAAAACTGTGAGAATTTATAAAATATTTTGCATGGCAATGAGAGAATTAAATACTGTTTTAGCAGTTATATTTGGTATTTATGCTACCTCCAATTACAAGAAAGATAGGAGGAAGACATAAACCTGAAATAAAATAAGTGCACAATAATCTCTTATGGTTAAATATTTACTGAAATAAATTTGTAATTTCTTAATACTGTAGTATTAACTTTGTTCAAATAGCCCACAATTTAAAAAGAATAGCAAGTGTAAACTTTCATGCCAATCAGTGGAAAATTTGGAATTAAGCTCATTTTAAATTCTGATATGTTTATATACATGCATAATAATAGATATAAATACATGTCATGATTTCTGCTATATCTAGTAAAGTGTCTTAGATTGTTGCTGTCTTTTTAATTTAATTATCACATAATATCTGATACTTGTCTAATCATCCTTCTGCATTTTTAGAGGCTAATATTAATATAATTGTGAACAGACAAAACATATACATGTATACTGATGCACATTCACACACACATATACAGAAACTCCTACAGTCCAAAGCCTTCAAAAGAAGAGCCCATGCTGTACTAATATTTTCAGGCTAGAGAGTATGTCAAACAAATAATAATAAAACTTCACTCACAAAAAATTCTTTTTTAGTATTTCACTCTTCTTAAAAGCTCCACTTCTTTGAGAATTTATCTATTTTTCTCAATAAAGTTTCACCAACTCCTGATTTACTGCTCTTTTTGTTCACATTCCTTAACTTTCCTTGTTAACATTTCCTTAACTTAGCCTTTTCTTGACTTCTCTAATTCTCCTTTAGAACCAGTCAATCACTCAATACAGCCTTGGCAACCAAAGTCACCTCACCCCTTAGAAGGCAGAATGGAGAGGTCATTGTAAATACTAATGATGCAATTTTTTTTTTACCTTCCACACATATTAGATGTTCAATAATCACATCACATTTATTGGTTTTGTTAATAAAGACAATTCAAGTATTTTAAATACTATTTAATTCACTGGAAGTGGAAAAAAATGAGTGCTTAAAGTTAGTATGTAATGTTTACAGCCATTTGATAGTTTTATTTTTGCATAGATATTCCCTCCTGGGGATAAATCAGCATTATGTATTTCCACTGCATGCATATCTGCTGCTGGTGATTCTTATTTGGGACTTTGTAAGCCATGGAAATAAATAATCAAAGGTTTAAATAAGTACAGAATTAGTCTTGAGAGCCACGCTTTTAAGTTCATCAAAGAAAGCTATAATGCAAGAGGTGGTGATAGTATACGTTATTTTTAAAAAGTGATTAGATACATGTAATTAGTAGTATAAAATACACATTCCAAGATAAAATAAAATAAATGCATTAATTAGACATCTTTGTTTTAAGGTGGAACAATCTTAACGTGACAAATAATCTCTTGTCCTTATTTCAAAGTCACTGATGATATCCATTTTCACTATGCTTCACCTTTATAGAAATAAATTAATGACAGAGATGGTGAAATGAACAGTGAAATTTGTTTCAAGAGCCTGAATTCTCAACACAAAATCCACCAGGTCACTAAGTTTTTAACTCGAAAATAAATTCTTATATCAGAGTGCAAATATTTAAGTAAATATTAATTACTAAAGTTTGCATAAAAATCTTAATAGAAGTCATTATTTTTACCAGGATTTAAAGAGGTTTAAATAGATAGATACAATCTAAAAACACCTGCACCCACTTATATGAGGTGTTTTAAAGCTATGGTACTCCTTAAACTCTAAGTAGCAAGTCGTTGTTTTTCCTTTCATCATTTAGAAGAAAATGCTATGCAATCGCTTAACGTTAAACAAGGAAAACCTTCTAAAATTTCTCAATAACTTTGCTAATCCTGCATTTTATCCAGGACCCCAAAGGAAAATGCAAGCTCCTTTCTCAGTTGGTACAGCAAAATCGACGAAGCTAATATGGATTTTGATCAAGCAAATTAGCATTGAGATTCCAGTTCTACTATGTAATAAATGGCCTTAAACAAATTATTTTTCTGAGTACACATTTTCTCACTCAGATAAATGAAACTAATAATGTCTTAACGAGAAATTAGGAGGATTAAAAGAGAAGTATGAAAAGTATGAACAATAATCTAATACAGAATCAGTGGGTCTATATTTAAAATTGTCTTCTTCCTTCTGTAGTAAAAACATAAAGTTGGCCAGGCGCAGTGGCTCACGCCTGTAATCCCAGCACTTTGGGAGGCCAAGGCGGGCAGGTCACGAGGTCAGAGGGTCGAGACCATCCTGACTAACACAATGAAACCCCATCTCTACTAAAAATACAAAAAAAATAGCTGGGCGTGGTGGCGGGCGCCTGTAGTCCCAGCTACTCGGGAAGCTGAGGCAGGAGAATGGCGTGAACCCGGGAGGCGGAGCTTGCAGTGAGCCGAGATCGCGCCACTGCATTCCAGCCTGGGCGACAGAGCAAGACTCCGTCTCAAAAAAAAAAAAAATGTTAAAAATAGCTATCAGTATCTATTGCTAGTCTATATATGCAATTTGTTCAAGTGATTCTTTTCAAATTAAGAGGAAGAGGAAGTTTCTATTAATGTCAGGGCTTCTGTGCCCAGTAATTTCAACAAAAATAGAGGGTATGGTATCATCTAACTCTCCTGTGCTACCACACATTTTACTGTACTCTAATCTCTGTAGAATATTCACTGCATTCCCTCTCATGGACTACATTCTCTGATTCCTTGAAATCTAGAACCTAAAGATGGCATGATTGTGCTGTTTCTTCATAAAACTCAATCTAAAGGCTTAACTGATTGTAGTTACAATTCAGAAATTGTCATTTCTGGTGATAGAGGCTTCAACCTTATTTCAAGCACTTATATTCAACTTTTCGATGTCTGTTCTTGCTACTTCTCTTGTCCATCTTCAGATTTAATACCTTATTCCAACTTCTAACTACCAATTTTTTTATCAACCTCACTTACATTAACTCCCTAATTATCATATTTATTGATTCAAGAGAATGTTTGCTCATTACTTGTGATAGTCTATAGAATGTGTTAAGTTCCAGGGATTTTAGAATAAGTAAGACAAATGTAAGTATAAAGGCTTAATAAGCATTGCAGAAATGTAGGCCAACAGTTTGGTAAAGGAAGTCAGAGGTGTACTAATTCTAAGAATAATGGTTTCAAAGTTTGGTAAGGAACCAAAGTGACTTTCAGAGTTATTAAGTAATCCTCTGAATAAAAACAGGACACAAATACATTTTAAAAAAGGGATTGACAAGTAGTAGTTCAACTAAACCTAAAACTGAAAACAGTGATATTGAAGTTGTATCTTTATACCATCCCCTAAATTATTGCAATTTTTTTCCAAAAGTTTTTATTTTCTTACTGCAATAAGATAGATAACAAATTGCAATATTTAACCAGAGTTAGGGACTGGCTGATGAGTACAGCAGAAGGAAACAAAAACCATAATTATGAGACCATTAATGAGCTAGTAGGCCAACTCATCACCAGTCTGAGTGGGGAATTAGAATAAGGTGACTATGTTTCCTTGGAGAAAATTGTAGAGAAAAGCATAGCATATCTTGATAGATTGTAAACTAAACAAGGGAGAGATATTTATTAGTATTGAATGTTTTGGTCTAGAAGTGCTGTTTCATAGTTTAAAATATTAAAAATGAAATTATTTTAGTAATAGTAAAGTCTAAGATATGGCTATGCATAAGGGTTGATGATATGCAGCAAGACTGATCTCTAATAATCGCATTCTAACTTCACTAATTTACTAGATCACTACTTGTCTTTCACATGAATATTAATTCCCTAACTTTCATATCTTGTCCACATTAAGTATGATATCATTTTACATAATGTTGGCCCTTTCAAGGTTAGCACAATTACCTATGTTTTCCTCTTCCACCATTAGGTATTTAATCAGCCAACATTTACTATCACTATGACAGTCACTGGTAGGAGAAAGATGAATATATAGAATCATCCCTCAATGATGTCATGACCTAGTGTGGAATGGAATTAGTTACTGATCTCTCTGGGTCTCAATTATCTCATTTAAAAGAATAGGATTATTGTAAGGATTATATGAGCTGATAAATGAAAAGCACTTGGCACAGTGGTTGGCACGCTGGAGAATGTGATAGTAGTTAAAATTAATATTACTGGCATGAGACTTGCAGGGGCCCATGTGCAGAATCAGCTAAGCAGATGGTATGTTCAGAAAATGGCAAAAAGCCTGATATGGCTACAATATAAGGCAAACCTACTATGAAGTGCATCTTAATATCAGTGCAACAAAAATAACTGATAAAATAAATATGACTTGATACACATATTTCTAAGCATTACAAAGCCAAGCCAAAATTACTTTTGGCTTTTGAATTTATTAGTCATGACTCTCTTCCTATGAAATCCAGGTAAATAAAAGCTGACTTGTGTGTGTGGTGGGGGCGGGGAGAGATTTAGGAAAGAAATATATGGTTCAGGGAAGAAAGAATAGGTATTCGAAGACAATCTCTCTTCCTTTCTTGGTACACGTATAAGCTTATTTTGGAGATTCTGTCCACCTGATGATGCAGAGGTCAATTTCCCCAAACGCAGCCCCTAAAGATAGCCCATCACTATCATTTATCTGCATAGAATGATGAAAAGTCCTGATTCTCAAGAGAAAAAGATCAAACTTTTCAAATTGACTTTTCTGTCTATTCTTAATTTGGATACAACTTACCTGTCACCACTCCCCAATTCCTTTTCTGGAAGACTCACATGCCCAAATAAAACCTGATTTCTTGGATTTTCTTCTTCTGTGCTGCACTCTCTGGAATGCTTACCACTTTTTTCCTTAATCCGTCAAGCCTTTTCATTATTCCATAAAATTCAACTGAACTCAAATTTCACATAAGTCTTTCATTGAACCCTCAAGTCCACTCTACTCTTGTAATTAAAATAATTCTAATAATGTAACATTAGTCTTTCCAATACTCATACTGTCCACAGTCTTCTACTGTTTAATATTTTTGTGAACAGATTATATCCCAAATCAAGATAATAAATTCCTCTAAGTCAGAAGATCCATTTTATATCACTTATACTTCTTAACATTTCTGGTACCTGCTTGATAAGCAGTAATTATTTAGTAAACTTAAAGGTAATTTTAAGGCTAAACAGTTGAGAGCACAAGCGTACAGTTTCGTTCTATGAGAAAAAATCCCAAGAAATACAATTTTGACTCTGTCCTTTCTCTGAAGCTTCATATACTTTATAGAGGATGTTACACTACATCATGACACTTCTATAAAAACAGATCACAATTTATAGCTACACAGTGTCTTATTCCTGTATCTGGCTTTAGGAGAATATAAGCATTGACAGTAAATGACTGACAAAACTTGATTAAGAGAGTTATATAATTTAAATGACTATGGTACATCCTGGCAATTATTTTAGAAATAACTGAGACATTCAATGAGCATCACCATTGAACTTTGTATTGCTTTTCTTTATTTGTGGAAATGACGTAAGTATGAAAGTGGTATTTTTGTTTTTACTCTAAAATAGCCTCTTAATGTGAGAACTTAAAACTTTATAACAATTTGAATTATTAGTTCACCAGAGCTAAAAGGCAAATTTCTCCCTTTAATGCATATTCAATATACATTAACAGTAATATATTTGCTAGAAAGCTGAAGCAAATGTCATTCTTTCCTATTTGCATATATTAATACTACAAGAATAAAATCGGAATTATTTTGTCTTATCTTAGTCATTTGTCATGTCATATATTCAGAGACATTAATTTTTAAAGAAAATTTAAAATTGCATTATTTCTTATTAGTTTGTATTTCTATTTAATAAGAATAATAAAAGTGATTAAGTATAATTTATCTATAAAAAGGTCTACACACACACTCACAGGGTCAACTCTAAGTTATCCATGTTAATAGAAGTGTCTGAATATCTAAAATAATTTGTTTGGCTTTGGAATACACTCTAGCAGAGAAAATTTTATTTACTAATTATGGTGTGTTGACACTAACATTAAAATGAGTTGATATTTCCTAAGTACATAACCATGAAATATATTGCATGTCATAATAAATAATTCACATTGTGGAAAAAAGTCATTTTATTGGCAGTAGTTTTTTTTTACTCACATTTACATATGCACGTCAATAAAAATGTGTGCTCAGAACATTTAACGAATCCATAAAACTTGAATTTTTTTGTCTAAATCATAATAACAGTGTTAACTTTTTTTAATTTTGAGAATGGATTATATATAAGTAACTTAATCTTTAGATAGCTTGTTTATTACAGCAAAACAAGGAAATAAAGAAGATACTAATGTAAGCGGCCAATTAATATTAAATAAAATATTTTGCAATGCTAAGGAGAAAACCTGGGGGGTTACACATTTTTTAATATAAATTCAGATTATTTTCCTATTTTTATTCTAAAGAGACAATGAACTTTTTTTCTCACAGTATTCAAGGCAAAACATTTGAAATGATTTTCTTTAGGTAAAGCTAGAAATGCTGCAAAATAGATTATTCTCTAAATATACTTTTCTTTTTCAGTATTTGTAGCTGACAGCCATAATCTAATATTGGCCCGAGTAAAAGTACTTTACAAGATTTATAATTATGCAATGAGATCAGAGCAGAATACCTGGGTTTGTTATAATAATTTTTGCCCTTCCCACATTATTTGCTTCGGACAGCAATGGTTTTTCTTAGTTGAGCAAAATCTGTATAGACAGTATTAATAGGATTGGCATTTTTTCAATGAACAATAATTTTTAAAGCTGTTTTTATATTTACTGCTTTTCCAATATCAAATATAATAGCCACACAGTATTTTGCATATTTTGCTGAGATCTTATGGAGGTTACTAATATCCAAAGCAGACCACCACCAGTTAAGTAAGAATGATTACATAGCTAATTCAGGAATAAGTATTAATTAATTTTCTGCTTAAAAGATCATGCCTCCACACAAATTAAATGTATAAATTAAATATTCAATTACCTTTTTAAAGCTATATGTCACTAAGTTAAGCCTTGTAGCTAAATTATTCACGTCTTAAACAGTTACTTTTCTGTCATAGAGATACATCTCTGAGTTCCAGCCCAGAATCATGGGCAATGAGCCAGGCTTGAGTTGAATGGTTTTGATGTAAATGATGCTCAGGGTGACCCAGAGGCACAGTGCAGAGCTGAGCAGTCAAACACCTGCTCATGTCCAAGTTTTTATATACTTGATTACAATTTCAGAGTCTCAAAACAGAAGTCAAGAAATGAAATGCCTCCCCAAACAGAGAAACCTTGCCATTAGAAACTCTTTACATCTTTCCTGTTTGTTTGCCATTTGCATGTAAAAATCCTATGAGTAGAATACAGTAAACAGTTTATTTCACTTAAGTTTGCCATGAAACGGAAGTGTAATATTTGATGACAAAGCTTGTAGTATTATCTTCAACACCAAAGAAGTTATATTTGATTAGAAAAGTTAATTATATGCATAAAGAGAGCGGAGACACTAACAGCTAATTACTTACAAAGGGAAATTAAATCTAATTTTCTAACTGACAGTTGCTATCTGGCAATATTTTTATTAAACAAAACAAATTCCAATTTACTATATTGGGAACTCTAAAATTTTAAGGGGGACAATCAAATGTGTATAAATTAGGTTAAAATCCAATGAGCCACCGAGGGTGGCAACAGGTCAGCACATTTTTCAATGAATATTTTTGGTTTTGTTTTTGTTGTCATTGTTAACTGTTAGCAGTGAAACAAAATCATAATGAAGACTTGCAAGCCTCCTTAGGAACTGATTCTCTTTGCTACTTTGGCATTTGTTCACCTAGATTATTATACAGAACTAGGTAAGTGAGAAACTTACCTAGGAGATGGAAGCCTTGTATACAATTATAGCTGCTTCCTACTGATGATCCTATCTGCCTCTGTATTTGATTGTCACTGTTGACCCACAACTTGTTCATTTGTTTCATAATGAAGCAAGCCTTAAAAATATGCCGAAAAGCATCCTCCAAATTAGGAAAATGTTATCGTGACTCTGACCAAGAATGGAACAGAGAGCTTACAATAAGAACAAACACATGAAGAAAAAAAATAGCATTTTAAGAATTCCCCAACTGTTTTAAGATACTTGGATATAAAGGTTGAAAAGCTCCACTCAAAAGTAGTTGTCTCAGTGAAGGTGTGAACTCCAGGCAAGAGGTGTTAATAGTCAAGAGGGTGGAAAGATTACATTATGATTCTGAAAAAGCATACTTTGTAGTATACGAACACTGGCTTATTTTTTAAATAAAAATGTTGGCATTAAACACATTTATCTGAAGATGATTCTCTTCCCTTTTGTTTAGGGTATGATCATTGCCAGCTAAACAATGGCCTGAAGTCTGGGCATTGTCTTTGCTGCAATTATCCAATTGCAGGTGGCCTGCTTAAAGTGCCCAATTCATTTTTGGCACAAGGCAATGAGCCACAGGTAGGAGTGGCTACCAATTTAGAAGCGTTTCACAGTGATCATCACACATACTCATATGAACAAATGTAAAATTTTGCATTTAACATAAATCATAAGTGTAGATGTTGTCCTACTAGTGGAATTTGTTATAAAATCCTAGCAAACACAATATAGAATGTGTCTTTGTCTCTCATTTGTCTCAGAGAAGGCTCTGACAATTGAACTCACCTGACATTAGCATAGTAAAAGTTGTGACAGGAATAAAATTAAACAAAATAACATGAAATTAGAAAACACATTATTTCATGGCTATTATTAAAAAGACAAAACATAACAGATGCTGGCAAGGCTACGGAGAAAAGGGAACACTTATACTCTGTTGGTGGGAATGTAAATTATCTCAGCCACTGCGGAAAGCAGTTTGGAGATTTCACAAAGAACCAAAAACAGAACTGCCATTCATCCCAGAAATCCAATACTAGGTATATACCCAAAGGGAAATATATCGTTCTCCCCAAAAAGACACGTGTACTCATATGTTCATCACAGCACTGTTTACAATAGCAAAGACATGGAATCAACATAAGTTCCTAACAATGGTGAACTGGATAAAGAAAATGTGGTACATATTCACCATGGAATACTGGCCATAAAAAAGAATAAAATCATGTCCTTTGCAGCAACATGAATGCAGCTGGAGGCCATTATCCTGAGCAAGTTAATGCAGGAACAGAAAACCAAATACTACATGTTCTCACTTATAAGTAGGAGCTAAACATTGGGTACACATGGTCACAAAGATGGCAGCAACAGATACTGGGGGCTCCTCAAGGTGGGAGAGGGCAAAAGGGTAAGGACTGAAAAACTATCTATTGGGTACTGTGCTCACTGTCCAGGTGATGGGATTATTGGTACCCCAAACCTTAACATCACACAACATACCCACATAACAAACTTGCACATGTACCGTCAGAATCTAAATTAAAAGTTGAAATTAATTAAAATAGAAACATATTATTTCAGGTTGGTGAGCATAACAACTTATCAAATGTGAAGCTGCAGACAATCAAAATAATGCTGCGCACATCTGGGTTGCAGAACATCACAGTACTTATGGAAGGTATTAGTTTTGACTGGGGAAATACATTTTAAAGTAACAATGAATTAACTTTAAATTTTGTACCAAATAGAAAAACAAACTTTATATTAAACAGTGTGATGATAATTTATTCATGATCATGTTTGTAAGGAAAACCTTATGGAAATATATTAAGTGTTGTCACAATTTTTTAGTATTACCAGGAGGCTTTGTTAAATACATAACATTCTGGCTTTGCAGTCCATAGAAAGTGTCTTTAATCCACTTACTCTTTTTTTTTTAACATAAACACTATAGTAGGAGAACAGAAGATGTAATACATAATAATTGGGAGAGTAAAATATCATGCTGGATGTATTGGCATGCCTGTAATCCCAGCTATTCAGTAGGCTGAGGGAGGAGGATTACTTGAAGCCAGCAGTTTGAGCCCAGCCTGGGCAAAATGGTGAGACCTTGTCTCAAAAAATTTCTTTTTAAACTTTCGAGGCCCAGTGGCATGTGCCTGTAGTTCCAGCTACTCAAGAGGCTGAGGTGGGAAGATCACTTGAGTCCAGGAGTTCGAGGCTGCAGTGAGCTATGATTGCCCTTGCTATGACTATGGCATAGCATTTGACTATGCTATGACTATGACTATCACCATCCTATGACTGCACTCCAGCCTGGAGAGCCTCTGTATCTAACTTTTTTTTAAAAAATCATGAAATCAGAGATTTTAAAACAACTCAGATAACTTGACAAATTTTCTTTCCCTCTATAATTATTACACGTATCATACTTTCTTATGCAAGCAGAGTTTAAAACATTTAATTTTCCCCAAATGATTAAACCACAAAGCCTTCACTTCAGAACATTATTGCGAGACATTCAATAGAAAATTGCCTAATACAGAATTGATCAGATAGTTGCCTCGATAAGTTAAAATTAACCCTTATTTTTTTCTATTGTTACTATAAATATTTGAGTTAATCTCCAATTATTTTTATTGGTGGTTTCACACAGACTAATGATTCACTCACTGTTAATTAAACAAGCCTCATTTCCTTCAAAACTTTACTTTTCTGGTTCCCTTGAACTTTATATAAATTATATCAGGAAACAAATTAGTTTTCAAAAAGGGTCAAGCTTCTCGCTCTATAGAAATGCATGGAACTCAAATTACTAGACATAAGCCTGTCTAAAATTCCAACAATAGAATTTTAATACAAATTATTAGAGCTCAGGCAAATGGAAATAAGTCATAGAACATGAAATGTTTCACAGGGTCTTAAGAAATCTACCCTTAGATTTGTACTCAACTTGTTTCAAGGCACAGGTCAAGTGTCCAGGAAATGTTTTCAATACTGTCATCACAGGTTCAAGAAAGAGCATTGCCTCAATGTTTCTCATCTATGATCTGTACTCCTCATGCTCCCTCCCAACCCACAGTTCTCTAAAGAGAAGAACATCTTCACAATTCACCACTCTTCTCTTCTTCCAGACACAACTTTGAGAAGGCAGATTCATTTTCATGTTTTTAGAATGTAATAATTTTAGAGTGGAAATTATTTTTAGCCCTCATGAGACAAAAATGATAATATTAATAGTAACACACAATTCTAATACAGAACTTTTCATGTTCCAGGTACTGTTCTAATCATGTTACATAAATTTATTTATTTTACAAAATATTTATTGAAGTATTATTTTTCTTAGTGATTGTTCTAAGACTCATAATATATACCTTAACTTATTAGACTCTTCTTCATATTTATATTAGTCTAATTTAAGTAAGATATAAAAATTTTATTTCTATTTGGGTCCATCCCTTCCACTTTCTGTACTATTATTCATACTCATGTCTACGTATTACCAACCAATTAAATTATTATAATTATTGACATATAATACTATGTATTTTAAAGTAGGTAGAAAAGAAATTAGAGTACATATATATTTATGCAGTTTTTCTGTTGTTAGCATTTCAATTTACCGTTTTTGGCTTTTTCTTATTCCACGGACTTGAGTTATCATTTGGTGTCATTTCCTGCATGGATTCGTTGCCAATATAGGTTCATTCTTATTCCCCTGTTGTGTGTTTTTATTATCAAATACATTAAATTTCAATACAGTATAGATTCAGCAATATAATTATATAGATATTATATAAGAATTTTTAAAATCAGTTAAGAAAATAAGGAAAAAGACGTTTGTGATTATACTGGTTTTTACCATTATCTACACATTTCTTTTTTTACAAGGAATTCTGTGTTTTTCTTACGGATTTCAATTATTGTTTGGTGTCACTTACTTTCAGTCTGTAAAATTTCCTTTAGTATTTGTTGTAAGGCAGATGTCTAGTTCATTTTGTGTTGCTATACCAGAATACTACAGACCAGATAATTTATAAAGAATAGAAATTCATTTGGCTTATGACTCCGGAGGCTGAGAAGTCCAAGAGCTTGACACCAAAATTTGGTGAGGGCCTTTGTGCTGTATCATCTCATGGCAAAAGGCAGAAAGTGAAGAGAGTGCTGGAGAGCAAAAGGTTGTTGAACTTGCTTTTATAGCAACCTATTCTCACAGTAAGGAACTCACTCCTGTGATGATGACATTGATCCATTCGTAGGGGCACAGCCCTTATGGAATAATCACCTTTTAATAGCCATGATGATAGTAATACATTTCAAAATAAGTTTGGGAGGAAACATTCAAACCATTGCAGCAAGTCTCCTATTAATGAATTCTCTCCGTTTTTGTTTATTGGGAATATCTTTAGTTAGCTTTCATTTGTCATAGATGGTTTTGCTGGACATAGGATTCTTGGTTGAATTTCTCTATTTGTTTCAGCACTTAGAATATGGCATTCCACAACCTTCTAGTTCCCATTATTTCAGATGAAATCTTAGTTGTTAATTTCATTTTGGTTCCTTTGTATGTGTTAAGTATTTTCCTCTTACTGCCTTCAAAGTTTTCTGTCTTTTAACATTTTATCTATGATGTGTTGAGTTTGGATCTCTTTGTGTTTATTCTTCTTGAGGTACACTAAGCTTCTCAAATGTGTACATAAATTTTTTCACAAAATTATTTTTAACCCTTATTTCTTCAGACATCTTTTCTGCTTCCCACTCCTTTTGATATTCTCATTACATGTATATTGGTGTGCCCAGTGGTGCCCCACATGTCTGTGAGATTGCTTATTTTTATCCCTGCCTCTTTCTTGCTGTTGCTTAGAATATATCAATTTCTTGTAATCGACTTTAAAATAAATTCTATTGTTCAACTCAAACATACTGCTGGTCCACTTTCATCAGGTTTTTATTCTGGTCATTGTAGTTTTCACCTCCAAAATTCCCTATATATACATTTTTAAAATCCTGTTCCTTTGTTTGTGGTTCCTTTAATTTAATTTAATTTAATTTTTTATTATACTTTAAGTTCTGGGATACATGTGCAGAGCGTGCAGGTTTGTTACATAGGTATACATGTGCCATGGTGGTTTGCTGCACCCATCAACCCATTATCTACATTAGGTATTTCTCCTAATGCTATCCCTCGCCTTATCCCCAACCCCCGAGAGGCCCCCTTATCCCTCCCCTTACCCCTAACCCCCTTCCTGTGTCCATGTGTTCTCATTGTTCTACTCCCACTTATGAGTGAAAACATGCAGTGTTTGGTTTTCTGTTCCTGCGTTAGTTTGCTGAGAATGATGATTTCCAGTTTCATCCATGTCTCTGCAAAGGACATGAACTGATTCCCTTTTTAAAAAACTTCAACGTTTATTTTAGGTCCAGGGATTACTTGTGTAGGTTTCTTACATGGGTATATTGCATTACACTGAGGTTTGGGCTATGAATGATCCCATCACCTAGATAGTGAGCATAATACCCAATAAGTAGTTTTGTAACTACTACTTTCATTCTTTCCTTCTAGTAATCTCCAGTATCTATTGTTTCCATCTTTGTGTCCATGTGTGCCCAATGTTCAGTTTCCACTTGTAAGTGAGAACATGCAGTATTTGGTTTTCTGTTCTTGAGTTATGTAATTTGTGTAGGATAATATCATCCAGTGGCATCCATGTTGCTGCAAAGGACACAATTTCATCATTTTTTATGGTTGCATAGTATTCCATGATGTATATGTTCCACATTTTCTTTATCCAATCCACTGTTGGTGGCACTTATATTGATTTCATGTCTTTACTATTGTAAATAATGCTGCAATGAACATCCAAGTGCATGTGTCTTTTTGATAGAATGATTTATTTTTCTTTGGTGTGGTTCCTATTGATGAAACATTCTTATTATACCTTTCTTTAATTTTTCTAAACATGGTTTCTTTTAGGTCTTTAAACTTATTTATATAGCTACTTTGAAGTGTTTGTCAGCCAGTTTCAACATCTGGCAAAGTTAGTTTCTACTACCCACTTGTAAAATTTTTCAATGTATTGGTCACATTTTCCCAGTTTCTCTGCATGCCTTAGAATGTTTTTTGAAACTTGGACATTTTAGAAAATATATTGTAGCATCTCTGGGTGTGGAACTCTCCCCTTATCTTGAGGCTTGTGTTTTTGTTTATTTGTTCTTTGCTTATATTTACTTAGAACAATTTTCTAATGTCTGTTTCCTCTGTAGTGTACAATCTCTAATGGCCCTACTCAGATATTTCTCCCTTCCCACTTATTAATGAAAGGTTGTGTTCAGGCCACCTTAGGTAGTTATATTTTCACCTTTACTCTTGCATATGTGCGTAGCTTGCAGACTGTTTTCACAGTTTATGCAGTTTAGGAAAAGTGTCTCAAGATTGTTTCTCCAGTCATTCTTGAGGGTGTGCAGTCTTGCATGTGTGAACAGTCTTCCAAATCACCAGTAATTAGTGTGATTTTATTGTTCAGCCAGTGTTTGGTGAGCAGTTGGCAAGTGTTCAAGCCCCTCAAGCTAATAAGAATTCTGTTTGGTTGTTAGATCTGTGTGTGACTTTAGATATACTTTCCAGTCTTCCTATTGTGGGGACTCTGATTGCTCCTGAGTATGTGCAGCTGAGCACATAAGCACAACTTTCAGACCCCCAAGAAATAGTGTGATACCAAAAAGGCTATTGTTGGCTGTGTCTTTCTCTTGTTCTTTCTAGCTTCTCAGGTATTTTGCTTGTTGTCACAGTGACAATAGCACTACCAGTCCTCTCTTAATTGATCACTAATGTGTCCATTTTTGGACATCATTAAGCATGAACTTATCATTACCTTCCAAGTGAAGTCAGTTCTTTCAGACAGAACTGTGGATTACTGTATTTTTATGGCCTGCCTCTCCCCTTGGCAGAACTTCTATTGCACTGCACCAAAGCTGTTGGAAGTGGAAGCAGTGGTCAGATTTTCCTGGAGTGACAGCGCTGCTCTAAGAATGGACACTTGGGTTGGGAGGTAGATGATATTAGCCTCTGCTCTTCTTGGCTTTATCCTTCTTGTATGGAACTTAGACCCTACAAGACAGCTGGGTTGGTGGTGATTGGAGCCCCAGTGTTCTTGAACTCTCATTCCTGGAGTGGAGCCTTTATCCTAGGAATGAGAGTTGGGTGAGGAAGAAAGGCCTGACTTCTCAGTCGTGCCTGCCTGTAACCACACTTCTATGATACAGGACTGGGAAGGACAAAAGATACTAGTGGCTTGGCTCTCCCAGAATATAATCATATCCCTAGGCCAGGAGCTGGTATGAGAGAGATCCTCTATCTTGTCTTTGCGGTCACTCCTTCCCAGAGTAAAATCTTTGTCACACAGTTGGGGAGAGGACATGTGGGAGCAGGTCATAGCTTACATGTTGGGGACTCTAGCTATTCTTAATGAATTTAGTAAACTTTCTTGAATAAATATTTCTCCATTTTCTATATGCCCTTACAATAATTTTCAGAGACTTACTTGTTTTAAATAATTTTCACCACTGAAATGGTTGTTTCACTGTGGAAAAAATCCATCGATTTCCCTATCCTGCCACTCTAGAAGCCCCAGCAAGCAATACTTTCCACATTTATTTGAGATTGATACAGTTATTATTTCAAATTTTAGTTGAAGAAACAAAGTTGAGAGAGAATACGTAATTTGCTTGTCACTGTGTTTCTTAATTTAGTATAATTCTCAAGCCTATGGTATTAAATTCAATAAGTACTTAGGGGGAAAATAGATGAATGAACAAATGTTTCTGAACATTTTTTAGAAACGCTTTAAGTCCACTAATTAGAATCAAATATCTTTAAGTATTTTTACCAAAAGAAAAAAAAACAGATGAAATATATGCCAATGTCATGAGTTGAGTCATGATACTATAATTATAAGCCAGAGATTAGTGAGCAGATATGGGTTCTTTTGGTCCTCTTTTAGAATATAGTCTTTCACTGAAGACATTAAAATTGAATCTGGTTTGGGTTTATTGAAATTATTACTTTAATGTCCTCTGTGTAATGAAACTAGGAGTGACACATATTGAGAGCATTGACCATTAAGCATTTATGTGGCACACATCGTTCGTGTATGAATACATTGAATGACCTGGGCTTTGGGTGGATTTCAGTGGTTGCACCAGATATGCTTCCTGGATCCAGTCACCCCCTCATCTCTAATCTCTGCCAGATAACCTTTTCTTTGGGCATGAGGCAAAGTGCTGTCTGTCTGCCAAAACCACTGATGTTGATCAATGAATGGCTGCTCTCTCCAGGATACATAATGTCAATCATGTTGCTTCTGTGGGATCATTCAGGAAGGCACTCATGTTGTGGGGGAAAATCAAATGTGTATAGAAATTCAGTTAAGTTCACTTAAATGAGTTCCATTAATGTCAGTCCTCATGTACTTAAAATTTAATAAGAAGAATGACTTTATATTGTACTTTAAGGAGAATTCCCTACTGAGGAGAAAAAGGGTTTTGTTTGGCTTTTTACAATTCAGATTTGCAGGCTTTCTGATAAAAATTCATGATTTATTTTCTCTCTTCCCTACTTTCAGCTTTTAAAAGCAATTATGTATTGAAGAACAAAGGCAATAACATTGGAAATGTTTAGTTGATTTGTTTGAGGAATCTTAAAACGGCTGTAGGCCAAAGTATCATCTGTCTTACTGTAGCTGCCAGATTTAATGGATGCAATGATTGAATCCATCATGATGGACTGCTGGAAAGAGTATGAGGCACCTGGGCTTGCCTTCCACTGCTGCCACTTAAAAGATTTATGACTTTGAGTATCTGTCTTATCATCTTTGATTAGCAGGTATTTTTCTTTATAATGCATACAATAGTGTCTACTCCACATTATTTTTCTAAACGTTGACTAATATAACTATTACAAAAAATTTTTTATAGTAATATGAATTAAATACAGCATACACACACATACATATACCCAAATATTTTGTTTATATATAATGGGGCAGTGATTTGATTAAGTGAACATACTATGTTGCTAATTCTTAAATACAATTTTACATATATATATAATAGATATCATTTCTCATTGTGTTTTATATATGTATGTGTATTTGTATATAATGCATTATATGTTTATAGATATACATTATATATATGTGTCAATTTTGTAAGACAAATTGTTAGGGAATTTTTTTATCGCATAAATGTTTCTGGGATCATGAATATACATATATAAAAAATAAAAAACCTTTCTGTAGCTTTTATTATATATAAAAATGAACCCAAACCTGCTTTAAAATTCTAATGTAAAATTTTTAGAAGACAACATAGGAGAAAGCCTTGTAATTTATATTAGATATCAGTTTCTAATGTATGATACTAAAAACAAAATATATAAAATAAGTTGATTTATTTGTCTACATCAAAACTAAAATAAGTTGGGTGCAGTGGCTCATGCCTGTAATCCAAAGTGTTAACTTTGGAAGGCCAAGGCGGTAGGAATGTTTGAGCCCATCAACATGTGAATAGACAAACTCTAGCAAATTCAAATACTGAAGTACTATTTATCAAGAAAAAACTGATAGATAAGTGATATTTTTTATAATATGGAAGAATATCAAAGCAATATTGAGTGAAAGGAGTCAGACTGAGTATTTACTGTATGTTTCCATTTATATAGAATTATAAGTTATATACACTAATATATAATGACAAGAAACAGGTCAGTGATTATCTGGAGGATGATTTGAATGGAAGGGAATTATTACAAAGTGGCACAAGAAAACGTGCGGTTGATGGATATGTAAATTATCTTGATAGTGGTGATGGTTTCATGTGTGTGTATATATGTCAAACTTATCAAATTGTACATTTTAAATATGCATAGTTAATTTTATGACAATTGTACCTCAATCTTTTTTTAAGTTAATCGTCATTTTGAATTTTAAACATCATATGTATCTTCTGATTTATTAATTTCTGACTATACTGTGATTGAAAATATGTTATAAAGTTAGAATTTTGAAAGGTGAAAATTACATTAGTGGTATGACAAGTTAAATATAAATCTCCAAAATAAAAGTTGAAGGTATGTTGGCCACGTGTGGTGACTCACACCTGTAATCACAGCACTTTGGGAGGCCGAGGTGGGCAGACCACTTGAGGTCAGGGGTTCGAGACCAGCCTGGCCAACATGCTGAAACTTGTCTCTATTAAAAATACAAAAATTAGCCAGGCATGGTGGCAGATGCCTATCCAGCTCCTTGGGAGGCTGATGCAGGACAAACACTTGAACTCGGGAGGCAGAGGTTGCAATGATCTGAGATTACGCCACTGCACTCCAGCCTCAAAAAACACACAAAAAAAGAAAATATGTCACATTGATATCAGGTATCCAAGAATAAAACTTTGGCATAGCCTGTTAGTTATTCCCTAAACCCTGGCTACTTTGCACTGAACAATATTTTGGCTTAACCAAGTATTGTTTCACTTAGAGAAAATTTCCAGAAGCATATGAATTGTCTTGTTTCTTAAAAGCCTTTAAGCCTCTCAAAACGGTTTAGCCATGTAAAACTGTGAGTGATTGTATTTGGACAGCATTTTCATATTTTATATATACTGAATTTAGTTATGGGAAGTTCAAATATAGATTTAAATTATGACTCTAAGTTGATTCCACTTAATTGCCTGGTTAACAAATTTTAGTTTCTATGTTATATATGCATATATAAAGATGACAAAAGTCCACATATTTTAGAGTGTCATTGAAGAATGCAACTTTTTTCTCTTACCCAGGAAGATATGTAATATAATATAATTTAATATAATTGGGCTAAATATTGCAATTTTTACCCCACCATGGAGAATAAATCTATATGTAGCTTTTATGAATTTCTTGGAATGTATGGAAAATGTGTTTTCTCCTTCCCCTCCATTTTTTATACCTCCTTTATGAAGTAACATGATAACTTAATTTTGTGATTTGGATGGTATCTCTACTACTCTCTCTCTCCAAGAAAATGGGTGAGTGATGGAATTAGAAACTAGTTAACCAGGCTATGCAGATGTAAGAAAATGGTCTTTGTATTTCCAAGGTCTAGGTTTCAAAGAGGCAGCCAAACTCTAGAATAGAGAAAGTAAGGAAGTGCAACCATTGCAGGTCAGAAGTTTAAAAGTGGAAGTGAAGTATCTGGAGCTGTATTAATGATGTAACAAAAAGCTGAACTCAGGAGAATGCCAGTTGTGCAGTCTAACAGTGACCCTGGAAGAGGCAAATCTAATGAATTGAAAAAGGGATTACTTTAAGGAAATCCTTAAATAGAGCTTGCCAGAAATGATCTATCTGAGTAGAGCATTTGGAGATTAGCCGGCAAGTCAGGTGGATTATCAGTGCTCCTGTGCTAATTCACCAGTCAGAGTATTGGTTTATCTGCATTTTTAAGAAGCTATCTTCCAATTAATAGATGATTTACAAAAACACTGCCCTCTACACTCTGAAGCCTGAGATACCCAGAGAAACCAATAGTGTAGAAAAACAAAAAAAGTTAAAGAATATTGGCTGAAGGTTACTTTCACCAACAAAAGAAGTTTAAGTACCAGTACTACCAACATGCTCTTGGGTAAATTAATGCAGCCTCAGCTGTAAAAAGAGCAGAGAGTGCCCTCTGTTAAATATAAGTTAAATTCTATTGATAATACATTTCAAAAAAAGAGAAGGCAATTAAATAATCCTCAAGCTAAAAATAAGATCATTTTTGTTTGAATGAAAAGAAAAAGAAATCTGCACTGGTTTAGTTTACCAAGAAACACAATTATTAACCTTGGTTTTCTGCTTTTTGTATTATCATGAATGATGCAATGATGGACACTGAAGGGGGTACATGAAAGGAAATCATGGGGGCAGCTCCAGTGGGAGGCTCCCACCTGAGAAGAACTAAAACAGCATGTGAATCCTGCACCGGCAATGGAGGTATCCAGATTCTATCATTAGTATTGACTAGGAGGTTGGCATGACCCACAGAAAGCAAGGAAAAACAGGGTGGTGCATCACCTCACCTGAGAGTCACACGGGGCAAAGGGAGCCCCCAAACACAGCCAAAGGAGGCGGTGAGTGAGTGTGCTACCCAGCTTGTGAAACCGTGCTTTTTCCACGGATCTGTGCAACCTGTGGATCAGAAGATCCCACTCATGAGCCCACACCCTCAGGGCCTTGAGTCTCAACCACAGAGCCATGCAGATTCTCAACAGCCACTCAGCTGGAGTCTGCCTAAGACTGTGGAGTTCCAGGGGGAGGGGTGGCCATCATCACTGTGGCTGCTGCCTAAGCCAACTGAGCTCCCTGGGGGAGGGGTGGCAGCCATCATCACTGCAGTTGCCTGCTGCCTAAGAAAACCGAGATCCCCACGAGAGGGATGGCAGCCATCACTGCAGCTGCTAGCTGCCTCAGACACTGAACTCCCAGAGGGGAAAGGCAACAGCCATCTCTACAGCTCCAGGCAGCTGTTTTGCCCCTGCTTGAGCCTGGGACACTGGATGGCTTAGTCCCAAGAGGCATTCCCCACAGCGCAGCACACTAGCTGTGGCAGATCCTGGCCAGGCTGCCTCTTAGGCAGAACCCTGACCCATTCCCTCTCACTGGGTGGGATGTTCCCTAGGCCTGCTGGAACTCCAGCAACTCCAGCCAGGGGCTTAGGGACAGAACTCTGATCTCCCTGGGCCTAAGCCCCTAAAGGGAGGGGTGGGCATGGTCTCTTCAGACCAACAGACTTAGTCTTTCCCCCTGCTAGCTCTGAGGAATCTGGGCAGCCCAGGTGAGTTGATTTTCCCCCAGCACAGGACACACCTTCCATCAACAGAGAGCCAAAGTTCTTTGTTAAATGGGTCCTGGATCCCATGCCCCTGACTGGGTGAGACCCCCCCAACAGGACTTACCAGACACCTTATACAGGAATGTTCCTACTGGCATCAGGTTGGTGCCCCTCAAGGACAGAGACCCAGAGGAAGGAGCAAGCACCCATCTTTGGTGTTCTCCAGTCTCCTAGGGTGAAATCTCCAGGTGTGGGAGGGACCGAGATGAATAGGGCCTGAAATGAACCCCCAGCAAACTGCAGCAGCCCTACAGGAGAGGGACCTGACTGTTGAAAGAAAAACAAACAGAAAGCAACAACAACAGCATCAACAAAAAGTCCCCACAAAAACCTCATCCAAAGGTCAGCATCCTCAAAGATCAAAACTAGACAAAGTCATGGAGATGAGAAAGAATCAACGAAAAAATGCTGAAAATTCAAAAGGCCAGAGTGCCTCTTTTCCTCTAAATGATCACAACACCTCACCAGCAAGGGCACAGAACTGGATAGAGGATGAGATGGAAAAATTGACAGAAGTAGGCCTCAGAAAGTGGGTAATAACAAACTTGGCTGAGCTAAAGGAGCATGCTCTAACCCAATGCAAAGAAGCTAAGAAACATGATAAAAGGTTACAGGAGCTGCTAACTAAAATGTCTCATTTAAAGGGGAACATAAATGACCTGATGGTGCTGAAAAACACAGCACAAGAAATTTTGATGCAAACGCAAGTATCAATAGCTGAATTGATCAAGCAGAAGAAAGAATATCAGAGCTCGAAGACTATCTTGCTGAAATAAGGCAGGCTGACAATATTAGAGAAAAAAGAATGAAAAGGAACTAACAAAACCTCCAAGAACTATGGGAGTATGGAAAAAGATCAAACCTATGACTGATTGGGGTGCCGGAAAGTGACAGAAGAATGGAAGCAAGTTGGAAAACACACTTCTAGATATCATCCAGTGGAACTTCCCCAACCTAGAAAGACAGGCCAACATTCAAACTCAGGAAATCCAGAGAACCCCAGTAAGATACTCCGTGAGAAGATCAACCCCAAGACACATAATCCTCAGATTCTCCAAGGTTAAAATGAAGGAAAAAATGTTAAGGGAAGCCAAAGAGAAAGGCCAGGTCACCTTCAAAGGGAAGCCCAACAGACTAACAGCAGATCTCTCAGTAGAAACTCTATGAGCCAGAAGAGAGTGGGGGCCAATATTCAACATTCTTAAAGAAAAGAATTTCTGGCCCGGCATGGTGGCTCACGCCTGTAATCCCAGCACTTTGAGAGGCCAAGATGGGTGGATCATTTGAGGTCAGGAATTCGAGACTAACCTGGTCAACATGGTGAAACCCCATCTCTACTAAAAATACAAAAATTAGCTGGGTGTGGTAGTGTGCGACTCTAATCCCAGCTACTCAGGAGGCTGAGGCAGGAGAATTGCCTGAACCTAGGAGGCAGAGGTTGCAGTGAGCCAGGATCATGCCACTGCACTCCAGCCTGGGCAACAGAGCAAGACTCTGTCTCAGAAAAAAAAAAAAAAAAAAAGAAAAAAAAAAAAAGAAAAGAGAAAAGAAAAGAAAAGAATTTCCAACCCAGAGTTTCATATCTGGATAAACTAAGCTTCATAAATGAAGGAGAAATAAAATCCTTTTCAGACAAGCAAATGCTGAGGGAATTCATCACCACCAGGCATGCCTTGGAAGAGCTCCTAAAGGAAGCACTAAATACAGAAAGGAAAAACTGCAAAAACACAATGAACTGCAAAGACCAATGACACTGTGAAGAAACTGCATCAACTAGTGTGCAAAATAACCAGCCAGCATCATGACGTCAGGATCGAATTCACACATGAAAATATTAACCTTAAATGTAATGGGCTAAGTGCCCCAATCAGAAGGAAATCACAAGATTGAATCCACCAAAAAATATGTAATACTAATTAGTTACTGTGAATTTAGTCATTCACTTATCAAATTTTTAATAACCAAATGTACCCGATGCTGTGTTAGACTTTTTAAATTCCTAAGTTATACAAGCTAACTGTTCCCAAGAAACTTATACTTGGGGTGCAAGGGGTGGGGGATGAAGTGAACAACAACAAATAAATAATTAACACAAGATACCAAGAGATGCATATGTAACTATTCATCACTAACTTTTTAAGAATACAGGTATTTTTCTTAAGTCATAGAAATATATGGTGCTTATGATGGATAATAGACATTTTACAAATTTCAATTATTTTACTGGCCACCGGTATAAATCCTCTGACTCCTTGATCCCACTAATTATATTGATCTCAATATTTCATCAAGGTGCTTTTGATTGAAATACTGAGATCAGACTTGTCAGTAAAGGTCAGTGTAATGAATATTAGACCCGTAACTTCATGACAAACTTTAAAATAAATACAAATCATTTTTTAAATCATTAATTTCTCAAACAGTTTTATTACTGATTATGAGTGGAACAGAACTGAACCTGAGATACAATAGTTAAAAGTGAGATAAATCCTTGCTGTGCTAATCTTTAATGAAGAAGACACATAATAAACAACTGAACAAACTCTATTACATGACATAATAACAAGTTATGTGAAGCAGTTAAGCTTCATATACTCAAAACTAAGAGTAAGAGATGAAGAGTGATAGGTGGATATTTTTGACAGGTGGTCAAAAAATTCTTTCTCTGAAGTCTTCATTAAACAGAGACCAGAAAGAACTGAGGACACAAAAAGGAAATATTTGGTGGAAGAATATCAAAGGCAACTAATTTAGGAGCATGCTTGAAATACTTGAGAAAAAAAGAAGGTCAGAATGGCTGCAACAGAAAATGCGACTAAGAGGAAAATACTTTTCCAGGAAACAATAAATGTAGGGTTCTATGCCACAGAAAAGACTTGGGTAAATTTTTAAAGAGACCAAATTCTGGCCAGGCATGGTGGCTCATGCCTGTAATCCCAGCACTTTGGGAGGCCGAGGCGGGCAGATCACAAGGTCAGGAGATCGAGACCCTCCTGACTAACACGGTGAAACCCCGTCTCTACTAAAAATACAAAAAAATTAGCCAGGTGTGGTGGCGGGCACTTGTAGTCCCAGCTACTTGAGAGTCTGAGGCAGGAGAATGGCTTGAACCTGGGAGGCAGATCTTGCAGTGAGCAGAGATCACGCCACTGCACTCCAGCCTGGGCAACAGAGCGAGACTCTGTCTCAAAAAAAGAGACCAGATTCTATTGCCCAAATAGTATGACATGGTGCAGTTTTAAAAAAATATTACTGTACCTCTGGTGTAGAAAATAGCACACAGAAGCAGAAGCAGGAAAGGAAGCAGAGAAAGCAAAGTAGCCCAGGTGAAAGATGATCAAAGTAAAAATGTGGGCAAGTAATTAGATTTGAAAGTAGAGTCAAATGCAATTTGTAAATGGTGTAGATGTGAGATATAAAGGAAGGGAGGACTCAAATATATCTCCAAGCTTCTTGGCCGATAGAATTAAAAAATTGTGGAGATACTTACTAAGATGAAGAATAATAGGGGCATGGGGTGGAGGTGAGGGATGATGACAAAGTTGGGAGAACAAAACCAAGACTTTAATTTTGGACATCTCTATATACTCTTCACAGGTCAGCCCATGTGAATTGTTTCTATTCACCACTATTCATCAGGGCTTCTCCTGAGTCAGGTTGCAATGAGGGAAAAGTCCATTTGCAACTAATGCCAATATATTTCTTTAATCCGTTATGAATTAGCACTAGGTTATTTTCTCTCCTATGAGTTAGTTGTAAATAATGCAACCCTTCACCTGCCATGTGCCCAAACGTGAGATGAAGGGTAAGCACTGGTGCAACAGAAGCAAGTAATAGGGGAATCTGGTACAACTGTTGATATAATTTGTTTTACTTGAGCCCACATTGAAATGTATTACTTTCATACAACAATTAATTGAAACTATACTCACCTGACCTTATGAGCATGTGTTTCTGACAACAGCTGGGTCATTATAGAAAATATCAGTTATGTAATGACATGTCATCGTCATTTGGTGTTCCATTGTCAGGAGCTGACTCTCTACGAAAGCCCAAGGCTCCGTAGCACGTCAGGAGCTTCCTCCCCTACCCTCCTAATGAAACATGGTTTTCAGCTAAGAAGACATTTGCTCTCCACAATGGTAAGGGTTTTGTCTGCAAGTTGCAACTTTCTTATCAACCAGGTATACCTCCAGCACCACTGATATCTCACCTCCAACTGACTAAGCAGTATGCTCTGTAGCAAAAATCTTTTCAAGCTCTGAAGTAGGAGTTGCATTCCCAAGTGTTGTAAAAGCTATGTGCAAAGTCCAGAAAGACCACAAAGCACCCCGCCTCTTGCTTTGTGGTATCAGATGCAAGATAGAACTACTCACTCTTTATCTCAGAGAAGTTATCATTTCTGGAGTTTATTTTTGGCATACAACTTCTGACAGACATGTGGATTTAAAATTATATATATATATATGTATAATGGAAAAGATATAAATATATAAATATATATAATGGAAAAGTTATATATATAAACTTCCATTATATATTTATATATCTATTATATATATTCCTATACACACACACACACACACACACACACACACACACACACACACACAGAGACTGTATTTATTGGAAAACAGTTTTCATATTCAAAATGTATAACATGATATTATGTGCATATACATGGTATAATGATTACCACAATCAAATTAATTACCATCTGATCTCACAGTTTCACTTCTGGGTATACATCTGAAGAAAATGAAATCAGTATCTTGAAGAGAAGAGATATCTGCACCCTCATTTTTACTGCAACATTATGCACAATAGTCAAAATATAGAAACAATCTAAGTATCCACTAATGAATGAAAGGAAAGAGAAAATTTTATATTTGCACCAACACACACACAAACACACATCACAGTGGAATATTATTTAGCCATAAAAAAAGAAAGAAATCCTGCCATTTGCAACAACATGAATGGACCCGGAGGTCACTGTGCTAAGTAAAAAAAGCCAGGCACATAAAGACAAATACTGTATGTTCTTACTTACCTGTGAACTCTAAAAAAGGCAAACTCATAGAGACAGACAGTAGAACGGTGGTTACCTAGCATGGAGAGGAAGAGGGAATGGGAGATATTGGTTAAAGGGTAATCACATTCAGTTATAAGATGAATAAGTTCTAGGGATATAATGTACAACATGGTGACTATACTCAATAATATTGTATTACTTGCTTTAAATTTGATAAGACTATGCAGCCCTAAAAAGAATGAGACCATTTCCTTTGCAGGGACATGGATGAAGCTGGAGGCCATATCTTTAGCAAGCTAAAGCAAGAACAGAAAACCAAATACTGCATGCTCTCACTTATAAGTGGGAGCTAAATAATGAGAAAACATGGACATGTAGAGGGGAACAATACACACTGGGGCCTTTTGGAGGGTGGACAGTGGGAGGAGGGAGAGGATCAGGAAAAATAACTAATGGGTACTAGGCATAATACCTGGATTATGATATAATCTGTACAACAAACCCGCATGACAAAAGTGTACCTATGTAACACTTGTGCACTTGTACCCCTGAACTTCAAATAAAAGTTAAAAATAAATAATAAATAAATAAAAATTTGATAAGAAAACAGATTTTTTTAAGATGTGTGGCCTTTCCATGTTGCTAGAATAATTGCTATTTTAATACATTCCTTTAATTCTCCTAGTTTGATGGTAGAATTTTTTCAATATTCTTCTAACTCATTTTTTCTATTAACATATCATTAAGCATAATGTTAGTTGTAAATTTTTTGGTAATGGGCTTCCTAAAAAAATTATTATCACTTTGCTGACAAGTTTTATCACATTGCTTATTGGATTTCAACTAATGCATTTTTTGCATCTATTTAAATAATCATGTGATTTTCTCCTGCAGTCTTTATTTTTATTAAATTTCTAATTTTAATATACTCTTAATTCCTAGGACAAACCAACGTTAATCCTTAATGATTGTTCTTAAATGGGTATCTTTTATACTAATATTTTATTTGTTTTCTTGTCTATGTTCATAAGAAAGATTGGCCACCATTTTTTTAATGAACATCATGCTGGCTTCATAAAATCAGTGAAAATTCTTTTGAAAATGTATATTTTTTAATAGCTAAAGAAACATTTACAACATCGATAATCTTGAATGTTGGAAATAACTCACAAATAGAGCCATTTGAGGCAGATGTTTTTGTGGCAAAGTTGTTTTTAAAAAATGTGAATTATTTACTGATCAGATAATGATTACTCAGATTTTAATATCTAATATTTTGCATATAGTTAGTTTTAGGAAGTTTATTTTTCTAGAAATTTACCTTTTTCATCTAAATTTTCAAATGACTGCATAAAATTATTCGGAAATTCTCTAGTCTTTTTCACACCTGACAAATTTATTGTGGTGTTGTTTGTTTATAATTCCTGATATTGTTGAGTCCAACCTTTCATTTTTCTTTTTGTATCCTTCTTCTATTATGTGTGTTCTACTTAATTGTTTTCTATTTCGTTTTTCTTCCTATTTTTGCTTTACTTTTCTCTTTGCTCTTAACACATTTTCTTTTCTGACTTCTTGAGAGGTAGGCATACGTTGTCTATTTGTCTTTTTTCTTTTTTAATATGTACTATACATTTTAACATTTTCTACTATAAAGTTAGATATTTTCTCTATGCACTGTCTTAACTGAATTTTATGAATTTTGATATGCCAATTTTCCTTAACATTTCATAC
This sequence comes from Homo sapiens, assembly GCF_000001405.40. Taxonomy (NCBI): domain Eukaryota; kingdom Metazoa; phylum Chordata; class Mammalia; order Primates; family Hominidae; genus Homo; species Homo sapiens. The sequence continues at coordinate 104,944,784 of NC_000005.10, read as the reverse complement.
AAACATTTTCTAATTTCCATTATGCTTTCCTTTTGTACCCATGAGTTATTTAGAAGTATATTACTTAATTTCCAGTATGTGAATTTTCTAGTTATCATTTTTTATAGATCTCTTTCTTAAATCCCACAATGGTCAGAATATATTCTAATTGATTTAAATATTTTTTAACTTTGTTGAGAGTTGATTTATTACATAAGACATGATTACTTTTGTTAAAAATATAATATGCACTTTAAAAGATTGTTGTTGGGTACAATGTGTTCTGCCTGTCAATTCTGGCGAATTTACTAATCATTTAGGTCAATATTCCTATTTGCTAAAATTTTTGGTTTAATTTTTCTATTGATTACTGAGATGGTTATATTTTAACCTCAAATATACATATACACACACACACACACACACACACACACACACACACACATAGATTTATGAATTCTGATTTTTATTTTGTCAATTTTCCTTTTACATATTTTGAAATAGTGATAATAGGTACATATACATTTAGTTTTCATGTATCTTTTTGATGGATTGTTCTTTTCATCATAAATCCCACTTTATCTTTAGTAGTTATTCTAATTTTAAAGTTAATTTTGCTGCTCTTTATTTTTTTTTTCTTTCTTTTGGTCATGGTTTCTTGGAATACCTTCTACATCTTTTCTCTTTCTATTCAAGTTGCTTTTAAAACAGTGTTCATAAAACTATTTGCCTTTCAAAAGGATCATCATATATTTAACCTTTAATGCAATTGCTGATATATTTGGGTTTATATTTGCCTTATTTTCATTACACTTGTTTTATGGTTTTCTTCTTCTTTCTTTTCTTTATTTAAGTACTGAAGCATTTTAAAAATTATTCAATTTTTCTTTTCTATTAGCCTGTTATATATTATGAGTTTTTAATAGCTACTTTGAATATTAAACTATGCATCCTTCACTTATAGTTAAATATAAATTCATGCTTCTAATTGCTCTTAAGCAATACAGATCCTGAGAATTTTGTTATCCTAAGTGAAGGTCCTTAGATAAGCAGTCTTACCATCACTGTGAGCTGGTTAGAAATACAAATTCTCAGGCACCACCTCAGAGCCAATGTATCAAAATCCGAATTTTTAACATTACAGCAAGCGATTGAGTTGCTCCTAAATTTTGAGAAATATTCTCCTTCCTGCTTTTAACTTTATTACTATCTGCCTTTATTACCTACCGTTGCATTATTGATCCTACTATATGGATTTCTTTTTTTCTTTTTCTTTTTTTTTTTTTTGAGATGGAGTCTCGCTCTGTCACCCAGGCTGGAGTGCAGTGGTGCAATCTCAGCTCACTGCAACCTCTGCCTCTTGGGTTCAAGTGATTCTCCCACCTCAGCCTCTCAAGTAGCAGGGATTACAGGCATGCACCAAAGTGCCCAGCTAATTTTTGTATTTTTAGTAGAGATGGGGTTTCACCATGTTGGCCACACTGGTCTCAAACTCCTAATCTCATGTGATCTGCCTGCCTCAGCCTCCCAAAGTGCTGGGATTACAAGTGTGAGCCACCACACCTGGCATATAGATTTCAACTCTGGTGAAATTACTCATCTTTTCATCTACTTATTTAATTCACAACTATTTAAATGCTAGCATCTGATATCTCTAATATGTAGAGCCTGGGGATAAATTTTCTTTTCCTGTGTTGCTTTTTTTTTCTCTCACTTTGCTTAATATTCTTTCTGTCAAGTGTTTGTTTTGATTATTGAATGCCAGCATTATGTGTGGATAATTGTAGGTGCTCTGGATTATGTCATCTTCCTGTAGAGATGATTATCTTCTTCTCTAGCAGGCACTATAATCATAAATCTCCTCAACTTGTTCAGGGACTTTGCTTTTCCAAGGGCTGCTTTAAAGTTTGCGTAAGGCTTGGTTTACCTTTCATTCATCTCCACTTCTGAAATTCCAACAAAGAGCCTGAGGAATCTTGCTGGACTCCTGATTGACTCCTGAATTCCATTGCTTTGTCTCATCCACACCATGAAACTGATTAAAACTCCATGCAGCTTCTCAGACTGTTCTGTCATTAATGTTTGGAGAGTAAAATGGAAGCTGAATTCAGCCTTCTTTGTCCTTTCCTCATTTCTGGAACCTCAGTATCTCAAATTCTAGATGCGTCAAATTCAGGGAGACTCAAATTCCAAGTTTTGTCTCTCTATCCCTTTCTGATTTCCTAAAATGCTAATTGATTATTAGTGTTTCAGCAGCCATTCTCTCTGGGGGCTTATTGGGCATATTGTGTACTCTTGACTGAAGGCAAGAATCAGCAAATACCAAAAGAAAAACAATACGCAGTTGATTGGACTTACATTATTGTGTTTCCCTTTTCTCCAGCATGTTTCCTCTAGTCTTACCTGTCTAAGCAGCTCTCCAAGTCCCTCAACTGGGTTACTATTATTGTAGTTGTTTAACGCAGATTTTAAGTTGTTCTTTGTTGGAATATTGGTGTTTCATAAGTCACTTCCTCATAAAGCAGAAGTTAGCCTAACATTAAGAAAAACTACCAAATCCTATAGCCTATATAGTTATTAATGTTCTGATAAAGATATTTTATCAGAATTTTGCCTTACACTTTCACTTAACCAGAGGTTCAAATGTTAATAATTGAACTGTCCACACATAGTAAGATTCAATATGACACCACTTACCACCAGCAATGTGGCCCTTAATACCTTCATAGAGGTATGCAATCCAACTCTAATATTCCATCTTAAAGATGGAGGAGACTCCAAGTTAGCAAGAGTGAGAGAAAAACAAAATAAAATAATAAAAACAAATATATTCATAAGTGAGCTAGCTTCAGCTTCCAAATAAAATGCAGCCCCTTACCAAATAAGGTAAGAACTCTTACAGATAGACTATGTGAAACTATCACATCTTGGAAAGAGAAGGGAGAGTTCTTTGCTTGCTCCATCCCTTCTTTTATCTCCCATTGTTCCAACATCATCCAGTAGAGAATTAACACTGCTTTTCTGGGTTGTGATACTGACACTGTCTGGCACCATTCAGAATGTCTTGCCTGGGTCTGACCAAGCTATGGTGTTTTCCCACAGATGGAGTCTAAAATCACTGTGGTAAAGTCAAGAATTCATACCTTGGGAAACTGAGACCGCAAGTTAGGTGAAGTATCTGAGTTTCTCCTTTGAACAAGAGGTTGAGACCCAGGGAACAGGAGACTGATAACTTCTGGGAAGCTGCATGGACTGGATCTGGTAGAGGGCACAGCTGAAAGTACATATCTGGAATTAATCAGTACATTGATGATAATTAAATGGACTCTTAACCTGCCCTGGCCATAAACTCCCACTTTTAAACTAAGATCTGGCAACTGGAGCAGTAGCTTCTTTCTCTCTCTCCCTTTCTTTCTCTTTCTTCTTTCTTTCTTTCTTTCGTTCTTTCTTCGTTCCTTCCTTTTCCTTTCTCTCTTTTTCTTTCTTTCTTTCTTCTTTCTTCCTCCTTTCTTTCTCTTTCTTTTTTTTCTTTCTTTCATCTTTCTATCTTTTCTTCTTTCTTTCCTTCTTCCCTCCCTTCCTTCCTTCCCTCCTTCCTTCTTTCCTCCTTTTCTTTTTTCTCTCTCTCTTTCTTTTTTTATTTCCCTCCTCTCTACCACTCCCTCTTTCTTTTCCTCCCTCCCTCTCTCCCTCCCTTCCTTCTTTTCCTCTCTTTCTCCCTTTATTATTTTGTTCCTCTATCTTTTTTTCTTTTTCTTCTTTCCTTCCTTCTTTTTCTTTTCTCCTATCCTCTCCTTGACAGTTTATCTATCTGGCCTCTTTATCTTACTGTAACTGACTCTTCATATCATTCAGATCCCAGCATATGTCATCTTCCCTAACATCTTTATAATATCTCTTTCCCCCACTTGCCAACCTGGCACTTTTATCCCTTTACTGTACATTGTTTTCTTCATGGCTTTTGTCACTATCTGGGAATTATTAAATATATGTAGGGTGTGTGTGTGTGTGTGTGTGTGTGTGTGTGTGTGTTTGTGTGTGTGTGTTAACTTTTTATTTTCTTTCTCTCCTAGCATCAGGCAAGATGCGTGATGGCAAGAATTTTGTCTGTCTTTTTAATGCTTCTATTTCTACATCCAAGGACAGAGCCTGAACATATTAGAATAGTAGAAGCTATGACATTATTTATGAAGGAAACATACAGAATCTACCTGGTTATCATTGAAATAGCTATGATTTCAATCCAATGAAGAGGAATAACCTGAGAATAATTCAGAAAAAATAAGCAAATAGATTAGTTAAATCAAATAAAGTGTTGACACAATTTAGGAAGGGATAAGATATTTGCAAACAGAAATGAGATCTGAAAATCAAGTAATAGTTAAATTCAATTTACAGATGTGGCCCAAGACCCAACACCTTTGTTATTATATAGTCTTCATTTTAGTGACTCTAGAAGAGTTAAATCCCCACTCAAATTCCTTCTTTCCAGCCCAGATCTCTGGTTGATACACAACTCAGCTAAGGAACACTGTAATGACATTTTTTGAGATATTATCATCAAATTTTTTGATTTTGTAATTATCTCTTTAGTGATTTAGGAAGTTTAGAATTAAATAGAGTGATGAAACAAATCAAATGCATAAAACTTTGGTATTCATATTTGTATTTAAAGTTTATCAACACATTTTATATACTTATTACATTTGGACTTAATTGTTTCATATAATTTCTCATAGAAAATTGTGATTCCATTTTAGAATTTTTAATTAAGTAATTGCTTTAGTCACTGAGTTGAAGTTTTAAAGATAACTTTACACTAAATTTGCGAAAGAATCACAGTTAAATATTTTTAAGCTTAATTTATTAGAATCTATGAGCTATTTAAGTTCTTGACAGAGTTTATTAGGTTAGTCAAACAATTAAAGGACCTAAAAAGACACAAATTATTAAAATAATCAATGCTGATAAAATTATATGTAAATCACAAATTACTAAACTCTACTTAACAGTGATAATTAAATTATACTAAATTATTGGAGATATTACTAAGATTTGTGGGTTGAATTTAAATGTTGAATCTGTTTTTTATTATATTAATTCAACAAATTAAGGATCAATTTTAAAAGTCAAGTTTTTAGGAATGAGTTGTTCTGTTTACAAAGACCACCATCAGTTATACCATGAAAATTATTTTAAAAGCACATATTAATTTTCAAGAAACATTTTTTGAATAAATCAATGAATGAATAATTTGTATTTTAGTACTTTGAGGATAGTGACCTTTACTTAACCAATCTGCAGAATCATCTATGGTGTTTGTTAACAACACAGATTGTAGAAGTTCCTTTATTTGGATTAACTAATTGAGTATATCTAGGTGGAACCCAGAAATCTCTCCTTTTTATTAATGTCTCATTTGATTCTGACAATTAGCAAATTTGTGATACACTGCCCTAATGTGCATTCCTGTACTGAATTTGCTTCCCATCCAGTCTGGGTCTGAAGTTTTTTTTATTAAGTTCCAAGTCTTGTGCTACCAACCTTCCTGACACAACTATTTCCTTGAATGGACACACACCCATGCTACTTGAGGCTCTCTCTTGCTAGCTGAGATTTCTTATTGTCCTTGATAGCAGATCTAATCTGACTTTCTGTCCTAGCATAAGAATCCTGGGTAATATGTTCAGATACATCAGCAGGCTGCTTACTAAGCTCACTTCATAATAGTTCTTTTTAATATATGACAGCTGATTGGTGTCAGAAATAGGCATGAAAATGGTAAATTTGGATGGCAACTTATAGTAGAGTTTGACTTCTTTTATGTCCTTCTCAGAGAAGTTCAGATAACATGAATGTTTATTTGAATATGTTCAAATTACAGTAAGGGTCTTGAGTTAATTTATTTCTTATACTCGTCTAAAAATAATTCAGTTTTTCCTTTTTGTAATAAAATCAAATACTTCATTCAATTGAAAATGCAGAAAATAACTTTCCAGGTTGGTGATCTGTTCCTAGGATGTGCTATTTGAGCATTAATAATTCTTTTTATAATTCATGGATCCTCATTTTGCTGTGAAATGATACCCTTTCCTGTGTAAAATCACAGGTAAACATGCTTATTCAATAATCACCAGCCAGAGTTTACTCAGACAATGCAAGATTGGTTCTTAAAGTTATTGAAATCTATGCCATTTTCTGCTGTCACTTTGTATTCAAAATACTTCATCTGAATCAGAACTGTGATTATTGAGGACTGTCTCTAATATCCTGCTGTCTGTCAGCAAAATTATTAAGTCTGAGTTGAATTTTTAAAATCCAGTGGCTTTTTTCTCAAAAAATAAAATGCATAAACCTATCATCTAAGATAAATGGGTTATCTAGTACCAGTGGATAAAAAAAAGAAAGTCTGCTATCCATGAAATCTTATATCCAGGAAAGAGTGTCAGCACTCAATGTCCCAAATCACTCTAAATTGAATTCACCCTCATATTTCTCCTCACTTTCACCTTTTTTTGCAATATTGAAAGTACAATTCAGTTACTTTTATACTAGATGTAAGAATATCTTTTGCTAATCATGTCATCTCCTAATTGAGGACAGAAAGATCAAGAAAGAAGTGCCTTATAGGATCACCGTAGCTGCAAATTTGCAGCACGGTAATTGCCCAGCATGTGCTAACCAACTGTTCATCTCATCTAGGCACACTCAGTCAGCAAGTAAGGAAGCAAAGAGGAGGAAAATAATCAATGGCAATCACATCTGTATTTTTATTCCCTTCAAATGCCATTGTCATCTCATTTATGGGAGAAAAACAAAAAGTCATTTAGAAAGTTATCAAAATAAAAAGGAGAAAAGGTGAAATTTAGAGACAGGAAATATTAATGCAAATTGAGGAGAAGGTTTAATTTCTTCAACACTGAATGAGTTTACTTTTGTAACAAGAAAGGGTAACAGTATGTTGCTGTAGTGAGGGTGGCTATTGCAATAGAAATCTGAAAGTATTGCATGATGAATTGAATCATGCTGTGTACATCAGCAGGAGATAAGCAGAGAAGCTGGATTAGGGATTTTGTAATATACAGTTAGTCTGGTCATTACTATATTAGATTTTGAACATAACCAAGAAAATAAGTACGGTTAACTGTTTAATATTTTCTATACTAAATAAGGCTGACCATAATAATCATTAACTATCTAATATAGTTTTTTAGTGCACAGATTTAGAAGTGCCATTGTTTATACCAATGCTAAACTAAGCTCCAAGCCTCTCTTATTCCATGTCATGCCATATTCATTTGCATGTATACATATATATGTATATTTTCAGGCATGAACTTAATTTAAATAAAGACATGCATTCAAAGAGATCTGAAATTAACATCCCCATTAAATGCCTCAAACATATATTCAAATTATAAAATTTGATTTTATGTGTTTATATCACTCAGGCATAAAGAGGTAAATTCACATGAATGCGTTAGATGATTGGATTTATTTTCTTGTTTCAGGTTAAATAGAAATGTCTTATTTAAAACATTTTGGAAAGGGATGATTATTTGCTTCAGAGTTTTATTTGTTTTTTTTAGTTTTTTTTGTTAATAATGATGATAAATATCAGATCTTATGTTGTTTACATTTTGGGGAATGTTAATGAATGTTAACATGTACTTTACGGCAATAACCTTAGAATCACTCTTCTTAATCATCATATTTCTTGTTCCTAATTTCTGGTATAATGTTAGGAGACGGAGAGGGAAGAATGAACAGCAGCACATCCAGAGAAAACCTGAGCCAACTTTTAAGCATAATCTTAGTGTGGTTACATCTTACTTTCTGTCTTTAATTTAAATTACCATGTTATTTGGCTCCTCAGATAAGCACCATGCTTAAGTCTATCAGTATAGATGATGTTCCATATACGAAGTTTCCAGGTGTCCTAGACCATACACAGTTATCTGCAGGCCTACTGGATAACTACTTCTGTAAAGTGAAAATTACTTTTTAACTAACATTTTCATAATTGATCACAACTCATGACTGATTATAATCTAGAGTGTTTACCTCTTAGATAGTAAATCCCCGGCCAATGAGGTGTCAGCCAGTTAGGTAATAATCTCTTTTACATTACTGAAATTATCGCATGGATTCTACCCTGTCTCTTTTTGGTAAAATTCTGTAGATGAGAGTCTCTAATTTTCTTCTTTAAAGCGAGAAAGGCACCTGTGGTTTAGACTTACTCCTGATTTTGTCCAAAACACCTGTACCATTTCATCATAGGTACCCTCTTCTACTGAAGTGAGCAATACAAGTTTTCCCCCCTTGTAAAGATCTATTTCTGTCTCTAGCATTTTGCACCTATGAGTTCTGGATCCTTGGAAGACATAGGATTTTATTTTTCATAAAATGTTGATTTTAAAATAGTTCTAGATTTATTTTTAAAGTTAAGATAGTAATGAGTCTTCATATGTCCCACAGCCAGTTTCTCCCATTATTATCATCTAATTATTAAGGTACATTTGTCACAATTAATGAACAAATATTGTTACATTATTATTGACAAGAGTTCATAATGTATTCATTTTTTACTTTTTATCTAATATATTTTTTCTATTCCAGAATCCCACTCAAGGTTACCACATTCTATTCAGTCCTTATGGCTTCTTGGCTTCCTCTTTCTGTAACAGTTTCTTAGGCTTCTCTTGTTTTCAATTACCTTGACAATTTTGCAGGGCACTGGTCAGTTTGTAGAATGTTCTTTAACTGAGACATTTAATGTTTTTATCATAATTAGACTGTGGTTATGAATTTTTTTAAGAAAGAACATTGAGGTAAGGTGAAATTTTTATCACATTATATCAAGGGTACATACTATCAGCATGGTTTAACATTGCTGCTATTAATGCTACTCAGTGGCTGAGATGTGTTTGTCAGGACTCTTGTTGTAAAGTTATTTTTGTTTAGCTTCTTTTCATATGGTACTCTTTGGAAGGAAGTCACTGGGTGAAGCTTACTTAAAGTGTGAGGATTTATGTTCTGTCTCCTTGAAGGCAAAATATCTACATAAATTATTTCAGATTTTTTTTTTCTTTTTGAGACGGGGTCTCACTCTGTTGCCTAGCCTGGAGTGCTGTTTTTGCAATCACTGCTCACTCCAGCCTTGACCTCCCTGAGCTCAGGTGATCCTCCCACTTCAGCCTCCTGAATAGCTGGGACTACAAGCATGAACCACCATGCCCAGCTAGTTTTTGTATTTTTTATTCATAGTAGAGATAGGGTTTTGCTATGTTTCCCAGCCTGATCTCAAACTCCTGAACTCAAGCAATCTGCTCGCCTTGGCCTCTCAAAGTGCTGAGATTATAGGCATGAGCCACCTTGCCTGGCCAGGATTCTTCTACATGAGGGATTTGTCTCTTCACCTCCATTTATATATTTATTCAATCATTCACTCATTTTTATTACAATTAAACTCATTTATTTTAATATTTGGGTTACAGTCCTATATTAATTTTATTTATTTATTTATTTATTTTTGTTCAAATTGTTCCAGTATGGGCATTTGAGAGCACTTTCAATTGCCTTCTTCGTTATTTGACACATCCTCAACATTGCGGCGTTTTTGTTTATTTGTTTGAATACAGTTTCTGGCATTATAACACTTAATTCTAGGCCGATCTAGAATATTTCCTGCCCCGGTTCCCAAATCAGCTATTTCTCTAGCAATCCCTAGCGGCTTTTTAGGAGAAACAAAGATCTGAATGTGCTCATTTATACTGGGCGTTATTGATTCTAGGCTCTCTCAGATGAAAAGGAAGAAAATATATGTGTACATCCTAAATCCGTGTATATACACGTGTCTGTAAATATTTCTATGTAGCCATCTATATCTGTATTAAGCTAAACATCTATAAACATTCTATGTAACTATGTCTATCTTGAAAGAACTCTAATTCATTACCACATGGATTATTTTAACTTCCTTCTCTTTCTTATCTATAGCCTCTCACTTCAACTGTGAGAAACCTAACTGCCAATATCTACCACTCCTTTACTTGTTTATTTTCTGTCTATAAATACAATGGTTTCATAAATTGTAACCCATACTCTGTTGTGGAGGAACTTCATAAACTATAGTACAGTGCTTATGTAAAATTTATTTGCTTTTAGGATTAAAGATTTCACTCATTTCCAAAGTTACCAAGTCATCACCTTTTATCCCACCCCCTTTTGTGAGGTTGTTTCATACATATGTAATACAATTATATTCCTTTTTCACATTTTGCATTATATCCTCACATCTGACCTCCAAAATTATTTTTTCTAAGTTGCCTCTATTAAGTTTCACTGTTAGTGTTGTAAAGTTCTATGGGTTTTAACAATTGAATGATGTATATCTACCATTACAGTAATATATAGAATAGTTTCTCTACTCTAAAAATGTTCCCTTTTACCTATTTAACTCTCCTTCCCCTCTGTCGTATCTTTGGCAACCACCATTCTGTTTAATGGCTCTATAGTTTTGCTTTCTACGGAATGTCATGTAAGTGGAATAATGCACTACATAGCCTTTTGAGACTTTTCTTTCACTTAGCACTATGAATTTAAGATTCATTCATGTCATTGTGTGGCTTAATAGCTCATACTTTTTGCAAATGAATATTTTTTCATTACAGGAATGCACCACAGTTTAGTTATAGATCCACCTATGGGAGTCATCTTAGTTGCCTCCGGTATGGGGCAAATATAAATACGTTGTTATAAACATTCAGCTTCCAATGTTTGTGGGAACATAACTTTTTAATCAGTTGGGTAAATATCTAGGAATGCAATTGTTGGGTTATATGGGAAGGCTATGTTTAGCTTTGTTGAGAAACTGCCAAAATATCTTCCAAAGTGCCTGTACAATTTTGCCTTCCCACAAGCAATGAATTAGGGTCCCTGTTACTCTACAGCCTTACCGGCAATTGATATTGTCAGGAGTTTGTTTTTATTTTTGTTTCTGTTTTGTTTTGGTTTTATCGTCATTCTAATAAGCTTGCGGTAGTATCTTATTATTTTAATTTGCATTTTCATATTAGCATCTTTTCATATGCTTATTTGCCATCTGTCTATCTGTTGTGGTGAGGTGTCTGTTCAGAACTTTTACTCCTTCTTTTAATTGGGTTGTTCATTTTCCTTTTGTTGATGTTTAAGCGTTGTTTTTACATTTTCAATACAAGTCCTTTATCAGATGTGTGTTTGGAAATGATTTCTCCTGGTCTTTGGCTTGCCTATTGATTCTCTTAACAGTGTCTTTGGCAGAAGAGAAGTTTTCAATTTTAATAAATTCCAGCTAAGTTTTTTTGTGGTATTGTATGTAAAATGTCATTGCCAAATGTGAGATCACCTAAATTTTCTCCTTCTTCTTTCCTAAAAGCTATACAGTTTTGCATTTCATATATGGGTTTACTTTTAGTTCATTTTAGTGCAAATATTTAAGGTATGTGTCTAGGCTCATTTTTTGCATATGGAAATCTCACTGTTTCAACATCATTTGTTTAAAGACTATTTTTTCTCTATTGAATTGCTTTTGTGCCTTTGCAAAAATCAGTTGACGATATCTGTGCAGGTCTATTTTTGGACTATCTGTTCTATTCAATTGCCAATACCATGCTGACTTGATTACTTTAGCTTTAGAAGAATTCTTGACCAAGATTAGTGTTAGTCCTCCAAATTTATTCTTCTTTAGTATTACGTTGACTATTCAATGATTTTGCCTTTTCTTATAAATTTTAGAATTTGTCAATATCTATAAAATCGTTGTCTGGGATTTTTACTTGGATTATGTTAAATGTATAGATAAAGATGAAAAGAAGACTGGGCTCATGCCTGTAATCCCAGCACTTTGGGAGGCTGAGGTAGGAAGATCACGTGAGCCCAGGAGTTTGAGACCAGCTTGGGCAACATGAGACTTCATCCCTATAAAAAAAATAAAAATAAAAAATAAAAATACTAGTTTCAGAGGTGGAGGTGCATGCCTATAGTTCTATCTACTCAGGAGGCTGAGGTGGGAAGATTGCTTGACCCCAGGAGTGCAAGACTGCAGTGAACTAAAGCAGGGATCTCCAACCCCAGGGCCAGGATGGGTACCAGTCTGTGGCTTGTCAGGAACCAGGCCGCACAGCAGGAGGTGGGAACAGCAAGCACTAAGGCCTGAGCTCCACCTCCTGTCAGATCAGCTGCTGCATTAGATTCCCAAAGGAGCAGGAACCCTGTTGTGAACTGTGCATGCTAGGGATCTAGGTTGCCTGCTCCTCATGAGAATCGAACTAATGCCTGATGATCTAAGGTGGAACAGTTTCATTGAAAGCATCCCCCATCCCCTGAGCTAAAGAAAAGAATTAACAAGATTGCCTTCCACTCTATGAACAAGGATGATCTCTTAGCTTATTCAGATTTTCTTTTTATTTTTTCTGTTCATTTATTTATTTATTTTGGAGACAGATTCTTGCTCTGCCACCCAGGCTGGAGAGCAGTGGCATAATCTTGGCTCACTGCAACCTCCGCCTCCTGGGTTCAAGCAATTCTCCTGCCTCAGCCTCCCAAAGTGCTGGGATTACAGGTGTGAGCCGCTGCGCCTGGCCTTCTTTTAATTTTGTCATAAGTGTTTTTAAAGTTTTCTACATAGAGATCTTGTACTTCGTTTTCCTTATATTTATAGCTAAGTATTTCTTCATCTTTGATGCTATTAAAAATTATATATATTTTTTAATTTTTCATTCCAATTATTCATTGCTGGTTTATAGTAAAACAGTGGACTTTTTATATTGACCTGTATCCCCAAACATGCTATACTGTCTTATCAATTCTAGATTTTCTTTCTGTAGATTCTTTTCTACACAAACACTCACAGAACCTGTGAAAAAAGATAGCTTTATTTCACCTATCCAATCTGTGTAGATTTTATCTATTTTTTCCTTGTTTTACTACACTAACCAGGACATCTGGTTGATGTTAACTAGGATTAGATAGTGTGTCTTTAGTGGCATGACATTTTTAATCATTTAAGTACAGCTTTTTCCAAAATAACTATTAATTTGGAAATAAATCCTTATGTATTATAAAAAATTGTGTCTATATTCAAATTAGGGTTAAAGTCAAAGAAATTTTAAATATTGATCTTTTACTGTGCTAAGAAATGAAATAAGATTATGGTCTTTATCATTTATTTTATATAGCCTACTTACAAGTATTAGAATAAATGTCTTTTTTTTAAATTTTACTATTGTAAAATTACACCCATTCACTTATGCTAAGGCAGAGATAGATTTCTGATAGCTATGTGATTTAAATCTTATTTGTTAAAAATACCCCTTATGAGTTATATCCAGTGAAATTTGTCCTTATGTGCTGTATTTATGCTGGCATAAGCTGTGGTATATTTTTATGAAGTTTAAAATAATTTCATCTTCTTAGTTTTCTTTTCCTACATGAATTATAAAATAGAAATAAAAAAGTAGAAAAGGAAAGATTTACTGGGGAAAAAATGCAATTCAAGTATGATTGCTCTAAATATACAAATTTTCTTTGACCAGTAAATGTTGGCAACATAATTTTTTTAACATTATACTCTAAAAGAAATCAATTCTTGCAATTTAAAAATAAGGTTATTTCTATGAATTTTAAAAATTAAACTGTTTTCTGTGTTTTTGTCTCCTCTGTGTTGTCAGTCTTTAATGACAAAAACAGTCTTATTTTGTAACATCTCTGCTTTTATGAGCCTCTTTTCTGTTTGTAAGCAGCTGTTTTCTGGGGTGTTAGATGGACAACTTGGTATTATGAAGAGGATAAGACAAAATATTTCTAGGAAATTCACTCCACATAACTCAAAACATTCTGAGATTGAATTTTTAACAAATCTCAGCAACTATTCCAATTATCTCAACTCTGAGCTAATAAGAAAAGCTATAGGATCCTGTTTTTCAGCCTGTGATCAGTTGATGGTATCGTGTCACCCACAGAAAAAAATATTTTAAGTGAAATGTTTAATATTGACAATTTACCAAAGAGGTGCATTTGTCCATTTTTATATTGCCTCTCCTTTGTGAAGCAAGTTATATTTTCAGTGCCCATACTTGCCACTATGCCGTTCTATAAACACAAAAATGAGTAAGGATATGCTTCTAGCCATCCAAGGATGTCACGTATGCCAAGAGAGCTAGAAACAGATGTTAATGCAGCACACTATATGTAAAGGTTGCAAGACTTCACTGAGTATTACGGTTCCATCTGTGGTAATTATAAAAGTTGTTACAGATAAGGTATATCTCTGCTCTCAAGTATTTGAATTAAGAAAATAAATGTGAGTCTCTGTTATATTATCTATAAAATGGCCTATTTAAATAATAGATGATTAAGAAAGGGAGAAATGCAGGTCTAAATTCAGTAACCCAAAGGCTGCCCCAGCATATTAAAAGGTCAGATTTTTCTACCACTTGTTCAAGTTGCTGTTGTTGTTGTCCATCTGGATTAGGGAACTTGTAGGCAGACTTAGCTTTTCCTATATCTAAATGCTGACTGACAATGTGTCCGGAATTGGTGGGTTCTTGGTCTCACTGACTTCAAGAATGAAGCCGCGGACCCTCGCGGTGAGTATTGCAGTTCTTAAAGGCCGCATGTCCAGAGTTTGTTCCTTCTGATGTTCGGATGTGTTCGGAGTTTCTTCCTTCTGGTGGGGTTCGTGGTCTCGCTGGCTCGGGAGTGAAGCTGCAGACCTTCGCGGTTAGTGTTACAGCTCTTAAGGCAGCGTGTCTGGAGTTGGTCATTCCACCTGGTGGGTTGGTGGTCTCGCTGGCTTCAGGAGTGAAGCTGCAGACCTTCGCGGTGAGTGTTACAGCTCATAAAGGCAGTGCGGACCCAAAGAGTGAGCAGCAGCAAGATTTATTGCAAAGAGCGAAAGAACAAAGCTTCCACACTGTGGAAGGGGACCAGAGCGAGTTGCCACTGCTGGCTTGGGCAGCCTGCTTTTATTCTCTTATCTGGCCCCACCCACATCCTGCTGACTGGTAGAGCCGAGTGGTCTGTTTTGACAGGGCACTGATTGGTGTGTTTATAAACCTTGAGCTGGATACTGAGTGCCCATTGGTGTATTTACAATCCCTTAGCTAGACATAAAGGTTCTCCAAGTCCCCACCAGAGTAGCTAGATATAGAGTGTCGATTGGTGCATTCACAAACCTTGATCTAGACACAGGGTGCTGATTGGTGTGTTTACAAACCTTGGGCTAGATACAGAGTGCCAATTGGTGTATTTACAATCCCTGAGCTAGACATAAAGGTTCTCCACCTCCCCACCAGACTCAGGAGCCCAGCTGGCTTCACCCAGTGGATCCCGCACCGGGGCCACAGGTAGAGCTGCCTGCCAGTCCCACGCCGTGCGCCCGCACTCCTCAGCTGTTGGGCGGTCCATGGGACTGGGCGTTGTAGAGCAGGGGGCCACGCTTGTCAGAGAGGCTCGGGCGGCACAGGAGCCCACGGGGGTGGGGAGGCTCAGGCATGGTGGGCTGCAGGTCCAGAGCCCTGCCCTGCGGGGAGGCAGCTAAGGCCCGGCGAGAAATCGAGCACAGCACCCGTGGGCCGGCACTGCTGGGGAACCCAGCACACCCTCCACAGCCGCTGGTCCGGGTGCTAAGGCCCTCATTGCCCAGGGCCGGCAAGGCCGGCCAGGTGCTCCGAGTGCGGGGCCCGCCAAGCCCATACCCACCCGGAACTCGTGCTGCCCAGCAAGCAGCGCGTGTTCCCACCCGCGCAGCCTCGGTTCCCGCCCAGGCCTCTCCCTCCACACCTCCCCGCAAGCTGAGGGAGCCGGCTCTGGCCTGGGCCAGCCCAGGAAGAGGCTCCCACAGTGCAGCAGCGGGCTGAAGGGCTCCTCAAGTGCCGCCAAAGTGGGAGCGGAGGCAGAGGAGGCGCCCAGAGCGAGCGAGGGCTGTGAGGGCTGCCAGCATGCTGTCACCTCTCAATAAGTTACTTATGCAGATAATCTACTGATTTCCTCATACTTAACTAAATAGGTATATATATTTTTATTCTTTAAGTTTGAACAGACTCCTCAAATATTGCCAAATCTCAGACATTTTATGTGAATTCAGCCAATTGAAGTGATAGTCCAATTCTTATATTATAAATCCCATTAATCTATTCTCAATATAAAATTAAAATCATTTAATGTAACATTCATTTATTAAATATGACTGCAGTATAAAACACAGGAACACAGTTTGCAGGGTAGTTGGAAGGTAGGGAGTTGGGAAGCAAACATAAGTAGACATGAGCCTGAAAACATCTACAACTGTGATCAACAAACTTTTTCTATAAAGGCACAGATAGCAAATATCTTACATTTTGTAGCTCATGGGTCTTCATCACAAATAGTTCTGTAATTGTAGTGCAGCCATAGACAATATGTAAATGAATGAATATGTTTTACTTTTAGTAAAACTTTATTTATAAAATACTAAAATTTAAATGTTATTAACATTTCAATTTTAAATTTTTTTTTTTCTTTTTGAGACAGAGTCTCGCTCTGTCACCCAGGCTGGAGTGCAGTGGCGCGATCTCGGCTCACTGCAAGCTCCACCCACCAGGTTCACTGCCACTCTCCTGCCTCAGCCTCCTGAGTAGCTGGGACTACAGTCACCCGCCACCACATCCAGCTAATTTTTTTTGTATTTTCAGTAGAGACGGGGTACCGTGTTAGCCAGGGTGGTCTCGATCTCCTGACCTCGTGATCCGCCCGCCTCGGCCTCCCAAAGTGCTGGGATTACAGGCGTGAGCCACCGCACCCGGCCTTTAATTTTAAATTTCATTTAAATTTTCTGTGTTATGAATTTTTCTTGTTTTGATGCATTTTAACCATTCAAAAATATGAAAGACATTCTTAGACAGCTAGAGATATAAATACAGACATTGAAATGGATTTCTTCTGAGTTATGATTTGCCTATCCCTAATATAGTCCTAATATAATGATGTTGAATCATTACCTTGTACCTAGTGGGAAATTATTGAAGCATTTTATCCACTTTAAAAATTTATATCCTTGAATTGGTACCTTCAAAAAATTTACATTTATTAGGATTTTTAATGTGTTCCTACTGAAGTCTGCATTCATTTTTGGTTGTTTTCTATTTTTCTTTCTCCTGTTTCTCTGTTTCTTCTTTCTTTCTTTTGTGTGTGCTACTGGAACATTTTGATATTTAATTTTTACTTATCTGTAGTATTTCTGAGTGTCTCCATGTATAGCTATTTTAGGATATATATTTTGGAACTTTACATGTATATTTAAGGTAATATATAATAATCTATTATATACATAACATATATAGTAAATATTATATATGTATAAAATTATGGTTTACAGGTGTTAGCATTTTACAGAAAACATGCTTTTACCCCTCACTATTTATGATCTAAGTATCTTAAATATTTTCTCTACATATATTGAGAACTACAGCAGCAGTTCCTATAATTAGTGCTTCAATTTTCTAACATAATTTAGAAACTCAAAAATACAAATAATTCTGTTATATTTATCTATATAAACATTTTTCTGTTCTTTTTCCTTCTTGTTTTTCTAGGATTACTTATTTTATCATTTTATTTATGTTAGGGAACTTCCTCTATTCATTTTTTTTAGAATAAGTTCCCCGGTGACAAATTCAGTTTTTCTTTATCTGAGAACGTTTTTATTTCCCCATTCTCTGGGGAAAACATTTTGCTTTTCCAGAGAAAATAAAGAATGTTTTCTCTGAATATAGAATTCTGGGTTGACAGTTCTTTTATTTCAGAAATTGAACTTTTGTCTTGCCTCTATACTTTATTTCCTTTTTTTTCTTTTTCTTTTTTTTTTTTTTTTTTTTTTTTTTGAGACGGAGTCTCACTCTGTGACACAGGCTGGAGTGCAGTAGCGCATTCTCAGCTCACTGCAACCCCAGCCTCCCAGGTTAAAGGGATTCTCATGTCTCAGCCTCCTGAGTAGCTGGGATAACAGGTGCCCACCACCATGCCCAGATAATTTTGTGTTTTTAGTAGAGACAGGGTTTCACCATGTTGGCCATGCTGGTCTCGAACTCCTGACCTCAAGTGATCCACCCACCTTGGCCTCCCCAAGTGCTGAGATTACAGACCTGAGCCACCACACCAGGCGCATGGTTTTTGATAAGAAAATCACTTATTTGAGGTGTTTTTTTTTCAGCATAAATAAGGTGTCTCTTCTCCTTTCAAATGTTTCTTTTTACTCATCAGTTTTAGCTGTTTACATATGATGTGACTTAGTGTAGGTTTATTTAAATTTATCGTGCTTGAGAAATACCATTTGACCCAGCAATTCCATTACTAGATATATACCCAAAGGAATATAAATCACTCTAGCATAAAGATAAATGCACGTGTATGTTCATTGCAAAACTATTCACAATATTGAAGACATGGAATCAACTCAAATGCCCATCAATGATAGACTGGATAAAGAAAATATGATACATATACACCATGGAATACTATGAGGCCATAAAAAGAATGAGATCATGTCCTTTTCGGGGACATGAATAGAACTGGAAGCCATTATCCTCAGCAAACTAACACTGGCATAGAAAACCAAACATCGCATGTTCTCATTAAGTGGGAGCTGATTGATGAGAGCACATGGGCAACAGCATTCACTGAGCACTTGTTGAGGGGAGTGGTGGTAGGGAGAGCATCAGGAAGAATAGCTAATGGATGCTGGGCTTAATACCCAGGTAAGGGGATGACCTGTGCAGTAAATCACCATGACACATGTTTACCTATGTAACAAACCTGCATGTCCTGCAAATGTACGCCTGAACTTAAAGGTTGAAGAACTTACAATGTTGTTTTGACTCTTATCATGTCATAACAAACTATTCCAGAACTTAGTGGCATAAAACAGCCATTCAGAGTTTCCGTGGGTTAGGACTTTAGAAGGGCACCAAATTAAAAAAATAAATAAATAAATTTATCCTGCTTGGGGTTCACTTTGTTTCTTTATCTGTAGCTTTGTGTCTTTTGCCCAATTAAAGAATATTTAAGCATTATTTTTTCAAGTAGCTTTTCATTCTCACCTTTCTTTTCTCCTTTCAGAACTCTGACACCGTAAATGCCAGTTATTTTAGTAACACAGGTCCCACAGTTTTTTTTAATTAATTTTTTAAATTTAATTATCTCTATTCTTCTATCTTCAGTTTTACTGATTCTTTCCTCTATCCTCTCCATTAGTTATTGCATTTTTCAGTTCTATAATTTCCATTTAATTCTTCTCTTTGCTCAGACTTTTTATCTTACCATTTGTTTCAGATGTTCTTGTAATTGTTTGTTACAGCATATTATGATGATTAAAGTCCTCATCAAATAATTTTAATACAACATACTTCACTTTATTCACTTCATAGATATTGTGTTTTTTATAAATTGAAGGTTTATGGCAACCATGCCGTAAGCAAGTCTGTCAGCACCATTTTTCTAACAGCATATGCTCACTTTGTGCCACTGTGTCATATTTGGCAATTCTCTCATTTCAAACTTTTTCGTCATTATTATATCTGTTATGATGATCTGGGATTAGTGATCTTTGATATAACTATTGTATTCATTTAGGGGTGCAATGGACCATCCCCATAGAAGACAGCAAACTTAATTGATAAATGTTACTTGTGTTCTGACTACTCCAGCAGTTGACCACTCCTTAATCTTGCTCCCTCTCTCCAGGCCTCCCTATTACTTGAACTCTAAGTGTTAAGTTGAAAGGAAGAGTTACCTGTGTCTTACTTTAAAAGCTGAAAATAATTATGTTTAGTGAGAAAAGACATATTGAAAGCTCAGATAGATGGAAAGCTAGCCTCTTGTGCCAACAGTTAGCCAGCTTGTAAATGCCAAAAAAAAAAAAAAATATATATATATATATATATAAAGAAATTAACATGCTAATCCAGTGAACACTCAAATGATAAGAAAGCAAAACAGCTTTATTGATGGGTATAAAGAAAGTTCCTGTGATCTAAATAGAAGATCAAATAAGCTACAACGTTCTCTAAACCAAAGCCTAATAAAAAGTAAGATCAAAACTCTCTTTAATTCTGTAAAGGCAGAGAGAGGTGAGGAATCCAGAGGTAAAAAGTTTAAAGCTAGCAGAGGTTGGCTCATAAGGTGTAAGAAGCGAAGCCATATCCATAACATAACAGTCCCAAGTCAAAAGTTCAAAGTTTCATCTGGAAATGAGTTCCTTCCACCTATGAACCTGTAATATCAAAACACGTTATTTACTTCAAAGATACAATGGGGGCACAGGTATTGGGTAAACATTCCTATTCTAAAAGGGAAAAATTGGCCAAAAGAAATGGGTACAGGCTCCACACAAATCTGAAACATAGCAGGGCAGTCCTT
Organism: Homo sapiens; assembly: GCF_000001405.40. Classification (NCBI taxonomy): domain Eukaryota; kingdom Metazoa; phylum Chordata; class Mammalia; order Primates; family Hominidae; genus Homo; species Homo sapiens. The sequence continues at coordinate 104,924,372 of NC_000005.10, read as the reverse complement.
AAATCTTAAAGCTCCAAAATAATCTTCAACTTCATGTCCCATATCTGGGACACATAGCTTCAAGAAGTAAGCCCTCAAGGCCTTTGGCAGCTCCACTCCTGTGGCTTTGCAGGGTACAACCCTCTTTCCCTCACAGCTCCATTAGGTAGTGTCTCAGTGGGGCCTCTGTGTGGGGTCTCCAAATTTTCCTTGGTATATGCCCTGTTAGAGGTTCTCTGTGAGGGCTCTCTGTTCCTGTAACAGGCTTCTGCCTGGGCATACAGGCTTTCTCACATCCTCCGAAATCTAGGTGGAGGCTGCCAAGCCTCCTTCTCTCTTGCATTCTGTGTGCCTGCAGGCTTAACACCATGTGGAAACTGCCAGGACCCATGCCTCGCACCTTCTGGAGTGGCAGCCCAAGCTGTACCTGGGCCTCTTCGAGCCATGCCTAAAGCTGGAGTGGGATATAGGGAAGAGTGACCTTAGGCTGTGCAGGGTAATGCAGCCCTTGGTCTAGTCCACTAAATTATTCTCTCCCCCTAGGCCTCTAGGTTTGTGATGAGAGGGTCTGCCTTGGACATCTCTGAAATGCCTTCAAGGTGTTTTTCTCATTTTTCTTGACCTTCAGCACCTGGATCCATGTTATTCGTACTACTATCTCTAGCGTGTGGTTGCTCAGCCTGCTTGGATTCCTCTTCTGTTAATAATTTTTCTTTCTCTGCCACATTGTCATGAAACTGCCTTTGCAAAATTATGACAGTATGAGAAATCTGGCATGACTGACTCCATATTGCTTCTAGCATCACAGACTGACTATTCCCTCATTCCTGGGCACAGGCCAAGCTAACTTTGGGAGAAATTTAGTTTATAGTTTAAATGATAGTAGTGCTTTCCAAAAACTAAACTATCCTAAAACTAAACTATCCTTGTAAAACTAATGAAAGGCCACCAGTTAGGAAGATGAAAGGGGCCTAAATTGTACTAAGAAGTAGGCATAGTTAAATAATCACCAGCCACTAATCTGGAGGCCACAAGATTTACAACTTCCCCAATTACTCCTGTAAATAACATCACTATTGTAGAACCTAAGATTGGCCTTTTGAGATGTATTTTCAGGCTTTTACCTTTCTCACTACTGAATGGCCCCACCCAGACCAGCAATTCCTCTGGTGGCCCCCACCCAGAAATGGACTCAGTACACAAGGACTGTTTTTCACACTCCTGTGATTGCATCCCCAGTCAATCGTTATGCCCCTTTCCCTGGCCATCTGCTCACCAAATTATCCTTGAAAATGCCCTAACCTTCAAGCCTTCAGGAAGCTTGATTTGACTAATAACTCCATCTCTCATATAGTACGTCCAACCTTGAATCAATTAAACTCTTTCTTTACTGCTATGCCATGATCTCAGTAGATTTATTTTGTCTGTGCAGTGGGCAGGAAAAACCCATTGCACAGTTATAGTCAGGCTACACATTTTTCAAACTTTTAGGTTCTGCTTCCCTTTTAAATGTAAGTTCCAATTTTAGGTCATTTCTTTGCTCCCACATCCAAATATGAGCTGTTAGAAGCAGCTACAATACATCTTGAAGACTGATGCTTAGAAATTTTCTCTGCCACATACCCTAAGTTGTCACTCTTAAATTTAAACTTCTACAGAGCTCTAGGATATAAACACAATGCAGCTAAGCTCTTTGCTAGGGCATAACTAGGGTTACTTTGCTTTAGCTCCCAATAAGTTTCTTATTTTCACCTGAGACCTAGTCAGCCTGGACTTCACTCTTCCGATCACTATGAGCATTTTGGCCACAACCATGTAACCAGTCCCTAAGAAATTTCAAACTTTCTCATCTTGCTATCTTCTTCTGAACCCTCCAAACTCTTCAAACCTCTTCCTGTTACCTAGTTCCAAAGTTACTTCCACATTTTCAGGTTATCTTTATAGCAATGCTCTACTCCTTGGCACAAACTTTCTGTTATGCCACTCTTGCATAAAGAAATACCTGAGACTGGGTATTTTATAAAGAAAAGAGCCTTACTTGGCTAATGGTTCTGCAGGCTGTACAGGAAGCAACGTTCTGGCATCTACTTGGCTTCTGGTGAGGCCCCAGGAAGCTTTCAATAGCAGCAGAAGGCCAAAAGGGAGCCAGTATCTCACATGGCAAGAACAGGAGCAAGAGGAGGGAGGTGCCACAAGCTTTTAAATGACCACATTTTGGAAGAACTCACTCACCGTCATGAGAACAGCACCAAGCCATGTGAGACTTGCCCCTATGACCTAAACACCTCCCCCCAGGCCCCACCTCCCACATTGGGGATTACATTTCAACACAAGATTTGGAGAGACAAATATCCAAATTATATCAGGTCCTTAAGAATTATGCTAAATCAACTCTACATGTGCTCCATAAATAGAGTAACAAAGCCTGGATGATAATACATCTGTTTATACCATTGTTTACTGAATATTTTAAGCCTGTTAAGACTTACTGTTTAGAAAAAGAAGATTCCTCTCAAAATATTACTACTCATTGAAAAAGCACCTGGTCCAGGAGCTCTGCTGGAGATGTACAAAGAGATTAATGTTGCTTTCATGCTAGTTAACACAACATCCATTCTGCAACTCATGGATCAAGAAGTAAGTTTGATTTTGAAGTCTTAGTATTTTAAAAATACATTTTGTAAAGGTATAGTAGCCATAGATAGTAATTTCTCTGCAATCTAGACAAAATACATTGAAAAACTTCTGAAAAAGAAATTGCCATTCTAGATACCATTAGTAACATTGGTGATTCATGGAGGAGTTCAAAATATCAACATTAACAGGAGTTTGGAATAAGTTAATTCCAATTCTCATGGATGACTTTGAGGGTTTCAAGACACCCGTGGAGGAAGTAATTGCAGATGCAGAGGATGTAGCAAGAGAACTAAAGCCTGAAGATGTGACTCTATTGCTGCAACCTCTTGATAAAACTTGAATGAATAAGGGTTATTTTTTATGAGTGAGAAAAAGAAGTGGTTTTTTGAGATGAAATCTACTTCTGGTGAATATGCTATGAACATTTTTGAAATATCAACAAAGAATTTAGACTATTACATAAACTCAGTTGATAAGGCAGTGGCACTGTCGAGAAGATTGATTCCAAATTTGAAAGAAGTTCTACTTGGATAAATGCCATCAGACAGCATTGCATGTTACAGGCCAAAGAACATGCTCTGTAACCACAATATCATGTAGTTGTGTTGTTCAGAGTTCCTATTGTATGGTTTAAACATGAAAAAAAGAAATAAAGTATTTTAAAATTAAGGTATCTACATTTTTATACATACTGCTATTGCACACTTAATAGACTATGAAATAGTATAAACATAATTTTTATATGCACTGGGAAACCTTAACATTGTGTGACTCAGTTTATTGTGATGTTCATTTTATTGCCTTGGTCTGGAAGTGAACCTTCAGTGTCTCCAAGGGATACTTGTATCTATGTCATCTCAGTCTGGCATTTTCTGATTGTTTTTTTCTCATTCAAATGTAAATCTGTTTTTTGTTTGTTTGTTCATTTTGTTTGTTTGTTTTAGCAGAGTGGAGAGGGAGACACCAACTAGTTAGTGTCAATTATGTGTGGAAGTTCAGCTTTGCCATTTGGGCTCTGTTGACACCTAGTGGGGTGGCAGGAGGGGTTCCTGGTTTCTCAGTGCAGGAGTGGAAATTAAGGCTATCCATTAGGGCTCCTAGTGATACCAACCTGGCTGAAAGGTGGGGGAGCAACTCTTATTTGTCCTCTCTGGTGGTTAGCCTCCTTATATTTGAGTGGTGAGATTACTGATTTTCCACTATGTCTCTTTTGACATTATCTCAGCCTGGAAGGGAAGGGTGACTCTTTAGCTTCCAAAGCTGGTGGAAGTCCAGCCACTCTGTGTGATAACTGACAGGGGTAGCTGGGTTCTGCTACCTTACTGATGAGTACTCATGAAAGTCCCTGTTCCACACTCTTCCTTGTTTGACACCATATCAGTAGGGGGTCTGTGGAGGAACCTGGACTCCTCATTGCAGCATAGTATAATTTGGTGTCTAGAGAGATGTCAGGTGCGTAGGTTGAACAGTAATTTTTTCTGGTATTTCTTTTTTACAGAGCAGCAATTGTCTAAAAGTCTCTGTCTCGCCAGCTTTACTATTTCCTGTTGGTTGTTTTGAGAGAGCAGACTTGAAGGGTAACTTTTTTTTTTGTCCACATGTGTTGGCATTCCTAGGTTGCCAGCTTCTCTACCACCCAGTGTAGGATGAGCATAGTTAACAATATTATATTGTATAGTTTTAAATGGGAAGGAGGAGGATATGGAATTATTCCAACACAAAGAAATGCCAAATGTTTGAGATAATGGCTATGTGTATTACCCTGATCTGATCACTATACATGTATCAAAACAGATATGTACAATTATTATCTCAACTTAAAAAAGAAACATTGGCAATTTCATAGCTCTATGTTTGAACACTAGAAAGATAGCAGACAAAAAATAATCAGATTCTAATGATAATGATTTTTCAAGTAAATGTTTTACATGATAAAAATGTTACCTTTCTCCTCTTGTTAAAAATAAAACACAGTAGAAGAAAGGATCAGATAAAAAAGAAAGTAAATTACTAAATGATAAGTAATAATATGAATTATACATATATATACATATGAGACATAAATATGTATGCATAAGTATATGCACACACATAAGTACATATATGATTTGATGACATTGAGTTTATTACCAAAAATCCAATCCTTTCACTCATATACAAACACATGTACACACACATACACAAACGGAAAGTGAGCTTCAAAATGCATTTTGCTTATTAACAACGAAAAGGTCTTTTATTTATTAATAGAAATATTTGTTTTTTTTTTAATTCAGTAAATACATATTGGGTGTCCACTATGTTCTTCTTAAGTTAAATTTAAAGGGAAACCTCTGAGTTCCAAGGGCAAGATATTTAGTTGCTTTATTTAATATTACTTATCATCTACGTATTTTGGATTTTAGAATATCAGAATGTTGCCTCTTTTTAAGAATTTGTTTATAATATAGCTTTTGATAGAAAAAATAGCAATGGTTTCAACTGTGAAAAAAATTAAATTCTTTAGCAAAGTTGAACTCAAAGCAATTTCAATGAATATGAAATCTCAAACCTATGTGTTCACTATTGCTGATGAATATTTACAACTGAACTTTAATCATTTATTCTTCAACACAACTTTTGACAAGTTTGTCCGGGTTCAAGTTGTCTTTGTAAAATTTTATGATGAAAATTTTAATTATAAAAGTATAAGCTCAAGTCATTGCTGATAGATGCTTTCTTCTCATAAATATTATAATTTTGTCTTGATAAGAAATATGACGATGATGATGATAAAATATTAATAGTTAATATTTACTGATAAAATTTTAAAATAGACACTGTACTAAATGCTTTATGTGTACAAGCTCAGTGACAATGTACAGATTATGTGTGAGTAGTTGCTCAAAATCACAGCTAGTAAAGGGTGAGAGCAATATTCAAAACCTATACTATCTCTAAAGTGCATACTTAATCCGTATTACATTATCTTAAACTTAGATTTGATCAAGTTTTTAAATCTTTGTGGTTATATAATACAGCAAACAAAATATGTTATCCAAATTTCAGTATAATTTTATCAATGTGATGTTTGACATCTAAAAAAAGATAAAATTTCTATAACATAAAATAATCCTTTTGTTTACTATTGAAACAAATAATACTTTAGCTTACAGTTTAACAAAATAGAATCTGTTATTCCAAGTATGGGTTAAATAACATGCAGTTTTGGTTTAGAAAAAAATTACAAATACTTGATCCATAGTTATGTACTAGGATAGATTAGGATCTTTATAGATTTTGCTGAACCTGTGGAGGATAACAATTACCATGCTATACCACCCATTTTTGCCCCTCATGAAAATTACATCCTAAAAATATTCAAAAGATGTTTTTAAGAAAACATAATAATTCTCATTTTAAAAACTAGTATTTAGCACATAATATGTTGCCAATACTAAATGTTTACTAAAATTTGAATAGTAAATATAGGAAAATATTCATGCATTACAAAGTGAACATGCTGTAGACAGTAATACGATGGGGATCAGCTTCATCTTTACAGCAGATTTGTAGCACTTGCAGCTTCTCTCAGTCGACTTTCAACTGTGGATTCAGAAACACATGCATAAGACTTATCTTAGAGGATATATTCTAATGTGGAGTGAAAAGTTCAAAATATTTTTCACAAGGGAAGATAAAATAAGTTGTATTTTTAAATAGTCCTCAGATATAATCTTGAATACTGATTATTCCGTTACCTGTAGCTGATTTCAAAAGCAATAGTGATTATTGCGTTATATGACAAGAGGAGTTTTACAGATGTAAATTAAGGCTCTAATCAATTGTCTTTCATTTAATTTATTTTTTTAAAAAAAGGTTTTCCTGGGAGGGCTTGACTTAATCAGGTGAGCCCTTTAAATGGATTGGGACCCTCATGGAGGTCAGATGTGTTCTCCTGCTGACCTTGAAAATGTAATCTGCAATGTGAACGTGTTGATGGAGGGGGCCAAATGCCAAGGACCTGAGGGGGCACCGTGGGATCTGAGAGTAGTCCGCAGCTAATAACTAGCAAGAAAATGAAACCCAACACTTAGCCACAAGAAACTGAATTATGCTAACAACTATTTGAGCTTTGAAGAGGATCCTGAGCACCAGAAAGTAATGTCGCATAGCAACCACGTTGATTGCATCCTTGCAAGACCTCGTGATGACCACTCAATTAATTCATGCCCAGATTCATGCCCATTGAAACTGTGATAATACATGTATGTTGTTTTACATTATTTAGGTTTTGGTGATTGTTATGTGGCCATATGCAACTAATACAGACTGTAACACTCGGTATAATCCACATCCCCTACCTATAGAACAACCCTGGCTTTATTCATTGTTCTTATCATAGTAACCTTCCCATTATATCCTTGATTTAAGTAAAAAAAAAAAATCATTCTTCAAAAAAATTCCAATTATGTTGTGAAGAATATGTCATATACAAATGTCTTGTAAATTACCATCTGAGGGGGAAATATTCTCTTCATTTAGACATAGACATAATTTTAATAAATCAATTATACTTTTTAGCTCTCAAACAGGCCCAATCTATTGATATTTTGCTCACAGGTAAAAGCATGTTTAACTATGGCACCTTAACTTGAAACCCAGAGTTGAAAAGGAAATGTTTCATAACTCATATGGCAATAGGATTTACAGAGTACATTGATGTGATACCTAAAATGTTGGAGAAAAACATGTAACCCTGTATTAGCATAACTACGTGAGGAAAAAAAAATTTCTGAGATAAATTTTAAGTTGTTGTGTTTTGTAAAATATTATCTCTAATATCATCTCTGTTGTTCACCACATTTGCTTGTGAAGGTTATTTGGCCAGCATTTTATATTAAGCAGTTAGTTATTGATAGTATTTGCAATGTGCATTTCAAGTGCTTCTAGGGATACCTACACTGTTATGAGCTCACAGAGTGCTTACAAGCTCTTAGTTCAACTGGAGTTAATGTTTTCTTATCTCAGAAATAACTCCTGATTTAACAGGATAGATAATTACTGATATATATATATATATATATGGATAGATAATTACTGAGAATAAGTCTATAAAATGGATTTTTATCTCTTTTTAATATATTTTTGTATTTTTCACATCATGGGGGATTATAACACTTCAAATGAACTATTGTTTATGTTTTTACTCTGCTTTTACTCTAGAAAGGGGTATGATTTTCCTCTCCTAACATCCTATTGATAAGTCTTCTCAAATAACTGAAACATTTTACTCAGTTCATAAAGTGTGGTAAGCATGTAGTACACATTGGTTTTGTATTTCTTACAGTAATCTTAAAAGGTAAGCTTTAATCTTAACTGCAAAGACAAAAGTTGAGCTACTTAGCCTAATGTCCTAGCTAATGACAAGTAGAGATGCTAATAATCAATCTGATTCTGGAGCCACTGTCTCCATGCAAATGCCTCTCCATCATATCTATGTCTCTCTTATCAGTAGCAATGAAATATATTAGTTTTTTTCTCCTTGACTTCCTCAAAGAACATCTTACATTTCATTGCCTCTAAGCACTCAATTCTGAAGCTACACTTACAGATGGAAATACACAAAAAGCGAGATGGAGAAAAATTTATAAATAATTATATTTTTGCTTTTGCAGCCTTCCATTCTAAAACCATTAAAAAGACCAAATACAAAGGCCAACTTAGAGTTTTTATTTTTCTGGGGGACTAGACAATCTTTTTTGTTGTTGTTTTATTTTATTTTTAATTGCCACGTAACAATTGTACATATTTATGGGTTAGAGTGTGATGTTTTCATACACGTATAACAGTCAAATCAGGGTAATTAGCATATCAATCATCTTAAACATTTATCATTTCTTTGTAATGAGAACTTTTTTAAAATTCAAGACTGTGTTTGGAACTAAAAGTGATTTGGGAACTCTTTATGTTACATAATGCAAAGAAAAACCAAGAGCTTGTTAGAATTTTCATCTGGGTTAGAGAACTTCATACTCAATGATTAAAGTTTGAAGGGGCAGTAGAATATGATAAGTTGTGTTTTCTCTAAACTGAAGTTCAAACATTTTCTTTCCTATGTATTTTTGCTTTTCATTCTGCTCTATAATCTTGTTCAAATAGTTTTAGCTTCTATATTTAAGTATTTTTTGACAGAAAAATCAATGGCAACTGGCTTAAGCAACAAGGGTATATATTGACCTTGTTGCCCAAATGATGGCACTGACTCCTGGTTTCTTTCTACTTCTTTCAATGTGTTGACTTCATTCTGCAGCTGGGCATAATAGCAAGATGTGTGGATACCTAGATAATCCATTGTTAAAGTCCAGTGGAGTGGAAGTTTTTACTCGAGGCAGTTTGAAAAAGCCTTGAAAGTTACTTTGATCAGATTGCTTTAGATTTTGTTCACATCTGAATGACTCAGGTGGCCAGGAAATGTTATTCCAGAATGGGTTTAGCCTGATCTACAGTGTACCTACCACACTGTATGAACTGAATAGATGCTGCATATTTTTTGCTGGGGTGGAGACTCAGTTTCAAGCCACATAGACTGAGAATGGGAGAAGAATGGAACTTCCAGTGAAAATCAGGGCCCCTCCCAGGAAGAAAGAGAAATGGGTGCTGGGGAAGCAAATAATAACTGTCCACTAATGCTTTCTGTGAGGATTCTATTACAACAGAATCTATTTATTTCTGAACGTTCCAAGCATTATATCACACGTTAAGAACCAAATTCATTTAACTTAAGCCTTTTTTGCTATATAACTGCAGTCTTCATACCTTCTCTTTCTGTGCTAGCCTTTTACCTCTTTTACTATTATCCACCATCTGCAGGTGTTTTGCCTTGGGTTATAATATGCATTGTTCAGAGACTGACTGTGTTCAGAAGCTTGATGACAGCCTTTCTCCCTTGCCCCATTGTCAAAGGTGGATTCAAGTATTGCTCATAAATGTTTCAAGAACTTAGATGAAATGTCTAAATCATCCAAATGAATAGTTAAGTGTGATTATTTAGTCTGTGCAGATTTTATCTGATGCTACATTACAAAGATTTTTTCAGAAAAATTCCAGAACTACAATTTTTCTAGAATTTCTTTGTCAGAACATTCACTGAGTCTGAAAAGCTGAACTGCAATGATGAAGCAATATAATGCCCTTCAATTCCATAGCCATTTGCTTCCACTTGCACATTTAAATTTGTAGCACAAATCTAAATGTTTAGTTTAATTGCCCCACTGTGAAATACAGAGATTTATGAAAAGACGCTAACAGCCTGTCCCCGTGCCATCATTGAAAAGGCTCACTGGGTATTCAATAATAAGAAGGGAAAAAAGCATAAAGAGGCAAAAATTACATTTAAATCAACATGGCAAAAGGTTTCCATGGTACAAAGAAAAATTAAATCAAACAGTGGGATTCTTTTCAATACAGGCCTTTAAGAAAATGGGCAAGATGTAATGTGCTCTGTTTGTCAGACAAGCGACACAGTTAATCAGTGCTAATTGCCCAGGATTGGCCTCTCAGTTATGTCAGTCAATTAAAGCACATTCTAATATCTACTGACCAAACCCCCCTATGTGGTAGGTAGGCAGAAAAACAAAAGGCATATACAGTGGGTCCTTCTCTTAGTTGGGAAAAGAAATCAATACTGATTTAGTTGTAGCAGAATTGAGCTATTTTGTCTGCAGTCTTTTTATCTACAAGGCCCCCTGGCCATCAGTGTGGGAAAACATTCATGGAACGAATGCATTTAGCAAGAGTAATCATCATCATCGTGAAGTGCTTGTCAGAAATGAAGACAAAATGCAATTAGGCTAGATTTACAGTTGGACCAATAATTACCACTCAGATGTTTCAGCTGAATGGAAAATACATGATTCCAAACCATGACATTTGTGTTCGATTGCCTTCTCCTCCTTTCTCTTGTGATCTCTAACCCTCCTCCATTTTCTTTTCTTTCTTTCTTTTTTCATTTATAAAATATGTCAGTCATGATGTACCACAGCTGAATAATTGTCATAGAGTCAAATGCTTGCAGATGGTTAATGGAAACAGAAAATTAAATGAACAGCAGTAAAGAAACTCATACAAAATTAAAGAACTCTATTGCAAATTTAAAGGGTCATTTGGTTTCATCAAAAATCAAATAATATGAATATGTTATCCTCTGCATGAAAGAGACTATGTTAAATTATTTTGAGAGCTGAAAAATGAGCAATCAATGGTGTGCTAATGAAATTTGTGAAAAAATCATTTTTTTCACATATTGAAATATGCCATAAATTGTCATTTACTTCCTGCAGAAGAAGGCCTACTTTGGGAGATCACTTTTTTTGTTTTGTTATGTTTTATTTTATTTTACCTCAGCTTATTGTTTATTTAAATGGTCACACTGATGATAGGACTTGAATCAAGTTAGTGGGATTAAAGTAAGCAGACTTCTCTCTGAGTTGCAAATAATAATAATAATAATATGCTACTCTATCATAAAAGTATCTTGTCTGAAATATTTTCCTCGTATGACAGAAAACGAACAATTCATATTATATTCATTAAATGTCCAAAGAACCAAATCAATGACCTAATAGACCTGCAAAGATTTAAGATGGTTTAGGCCAACTAAGCTCTCACCCACCTGGCATTTTTCAAACATGTAATTGATAAAACTTTTGTGAAAGTAAAAACTGTCTTTCTGGTGAAGCATTAGATATGATGTTGCATGGTGTCATTCAGAAGTGAATTTCAGTTACAGATTCTTTAAAAATAGATCAATATTACAAAGCATTACATTCTTTATTCACTCCTTTTTATTTTTCATTATCCTCTTTATTCTCTGGGAAACCCAAAGTCAATATGAAATGTCTTTGTCCATCATAGAAATGATTTTCATCTTTGATGGTTGTTCATGTCAAAGAGAAAGAAAAATAAAGACATATAATGAGTCTTCAATGAAAATAACTCAAACATTTGTGACATTGTCATGAATGACTATATAATAGCTGAATATTTTTAATGACTAACAAATCTTAGTGGGTATTTGAAAGTGAGTCAATTTTTCACAAAAAAAAAAACAAGGCTGTAAAATATTCCAAAAAGAACAGCTTTCAAAAGGTTAAAATATTTTTTTTTACAAATCCCTTAAGATAAATCATGGTCTTTTCAAATGCAAAACAAAAATGTATTTTATCTTGCATTAATGAGTAGGAAAAAATATTATAAACACACTTTTTTCAATGATCCTTGATTGATTATTTAAATCAATAAAAGCATTTCATTTTTTCCCCTCTCAAACTCTGAGTTTATATGTAAAATTGGACTTCACATAAAATTGATGCACAGGTGAAATATTTTCCCAACTTTTCATTTGACAAAGTACAAAATTCTTTATTTTAAATGATATCTAGCAAAGGTAAAGTTTAGTTGTTAGTTATTCTGGGTTAAAATAAGATAGGAACAAATATAGCTCAACAATTTTGAACTCTTTGTATAAATAAGTTATAATTAAATATTCAATTTTATTGAGTTAAAGCAGTTTTTTCTATATTTTTCAAATAGAACCCCACTTTTTAAGATTTGTCTGCCCTTTTTCTAACTACACCTCTTTAATACCTTCATTTTTAATGTAACATTGATATAGTTTTCACTTGAAATCCAGCCATCTCAACACTAAACATAGAAGCATTATCTATATAATATCCAACAATAGTGCTCTTTGCAGATTCATCACTATAAAGTCATTTTTTATAGATGAAATTGCAGTAGGAACAATGTCACTAGTCCCAATTGTTAGTATTTTTTTTTTACTTTTCAAATAAAATGCGAGAAATGTTTATGGCAGGAGCAAATGTCTTCATTTTGATGTATTAAACTGCAATTTCTACAAATACCTCAGCCCTACTGATTTCCTATACTTAAGAGCTCAGAGTGCAGTGCATGGGTATGCCTGATACATTGTATATTTTCATAAATACATTCCCTTTTTGATAAGTATATTCCCTTAAATTAATAACATACCCCTGCTTCATGGGTTTTTTGGTTTGTTTGTTTGTTTCTTTGTTTGTTTGTTTTGAGACGGAGTCTCGCTCTGTCTCCCAGGCTGGGATGCAGTGGCACCATCTCGGATCACTGCAAGCTCCGCCTCCCGGGTTCACGCCATTCTCCTGCCTCAGCCTCCTGAGTAGCTGGGACTACAGGCACCTGCCACCACGCCCGGCTAATTTTTTGTATTTTTAGTAGAGACGGGGTTTCACTGTGTTAGCCAGGATGGTCTCAATCTCTTGACCTCGTGATCCGCCCCTCTCGGCCTTCCAAAGTGCTGGGATTACAGGCGTGAACCACCGCGCCCGGCCCCCTGCTTCATGTTTGAGAGGAAAATCTAATTTGTTTATACTAATATTTAGAGCACGCTTCCGGATTCAGTATGGCTACTGGATGCTAAGGAAATGTTTCTTTAGCAGTTTGAGATTCTGTGGTTGAGACACATACAAGAAATAAATTAAGTACAAAAACATCCGTTGAATTTTTAGGAACTCTCAAGGTTTTAAAGAGATGCAAGCAGATGACAGTGAATGCTGTGTTACTCTGCCTGGGTCTACCCTCAGGGCAAGGGCGTGCGTTTCCCCAGCTGCCAGGAATGTTTGCCACTAACAGCTCACAGCTGAGTTCATCTCCTGTTATTACCCTTTACCTAAGGGAGCGGCCTCCAAGAGAAACTTGTTTGCCCTCAACTCAGTCTGCATCTGGTGAGTAATGTGGGTGTAAGGAATCGACACCCTTGCGTCTAATCCAGACATCTCTAAAAGACCACCCCGGTTTCAATGCTCCTCATGAGACCAGATGAAGCCATCATTATTAACTCCTTAATTTGTCCAATACTGCTTCACTTATTTCCTCATGGGGTTGCCTCTGAGAGCAAGCCCCGGTAAACTTCTTCCTTATACATCTTAATCTCAAAGTCTGATTCCTAGAAACCCAAGAGATTTTGATTTGAATTTAAATAACAGGCGGAGTTTGAAAGAATAAAGAGATGGAGGGAACGCATCATAACCTGGTATGACCTGGATCAACATAAACAAAGGTGAGAAAGTGGATGTTTATCATATTGTAAAGTGACTCTGGTCTGATAATCTGTGGGATTTTCAGGGAATTATTTCAAATGAGAATGGAGAAGATGGGTGCCCATGAAATATGAAAGGCATTAAAATCCATGTAAAGGATTCTGATTTTATTGAGTAGATGTTTGTGAGTCACTCTAAGACTTGAATAAAAATGCAGTTTGTAAGGAAGCTTAGCAGGGCAAGAACATTCAGTAAGAAATAGTAAGGAATGAAGCCACAAATCCACATCTTAGAGATGAAAGTCTGTATAGGTAGTAATAGAAAGGGTGAAATTTCTTTCTTTCTTTTTCTTTCCATTTTCTATGCCTTCCACCACCCCCGTGTGTGGGTGTCTGTGTGTGTGTGTTTGTGTGTGTCTGTGTGTGCATGTGCATGTGTTACGGAAAAAGAGAAAAAAAGTCTTGTGGATACTTTCTGAAGTATAAATAAGTCTTTTGATGACTCCTCTGTTTTGAGTTGTTTTGCCATATCTGACATCAAAGAGGTAAATTGCCTGATATATTTTTCTTTTCATTACATAGTTCACATTTCTATCTTGTGACGATAGTAATGAAAAAATTAAACAAACATGAAAGAAAGCCAGAGGAAGAAGGAGGCTAATGAAAGGGCCTGGATAATGGTACATAAATGGAATGATCGACTCTGGCATAACTGAGAGTTAATTGTTTTACTTTAACTCAACTTGCACTCTGTGTCCAAATCATCTCCCCAGGATACAAGTTGAATGACAAAACACCCAATGGAAATAGTGAATTTTCTATAATTGAATTTCCTCTTCACCATACCTCAAATAAGACACTAGGTGCTCACCACATACCTTGTTCTCCAGGAGCTATTTCAATATTGTTCTTTCTCACTAGAAGCAGTTTGAAGTTGCCATTGATATAATAAAATCCGACATCTTTCAATGAATCAGCATAAATAGGTCTTTATTAATAGCCAAATAAAAACCCTAGAAACATATTTCTTTCAGTCTCATCGTTGCTCTCATATACAACAGGTATTTCTATTTATTTATAATTTCTTCAAAATTAAGATGCACAACTCAGATTACAAGAGTTTAAATTTCCACCTACTTAGTTACTCTAAATGTAATCCCAAGTCTCCTATTTTCCAGAAATTCTGCTTTGCATGATTATAAAAAGTTTGAGTCCTGACAAAACCCCTTATTTAAAAAAAAATAAGCAAACACTTATTCAAAAAGTTTAAAAAGAACACAATTCTTTGTTTCACAAGACATTGACTTGTATAAACATTATCAAATAGCAGTCAGTGTTGTTTCTCCTTGCCTGACATATGTAGGCATTTAATACTGAACACTCATGTGCTCTGTTGCTCTTTTCCTTGGTTGTCTTTGTGTGGGTTGGGGAGGGGGTGTGGGGGGGGACACAGAGTTTCGCTCTGTCACCCAGGCTGGAGTGCAGTGGCACAATCTCGGCTCATTGCAACCTCTGCCTCCCTAGTAGATGGGATTACGGGCATCTGCTACCACACCTTGCTAATTTCTGTATTTTTAGTAGAGATGAGGTTTCACCATGTTGGCCAGGCTGGTCTCGTGCTCCTGGCCTCAAGTAATCACTCAGTGCTGGGATTACAGGTGTGAGCCACTGCACCAGGCTCCCCTAGTTTTCCAGGAGTGTTTTCACCTGATTTTGTGATCAAGCATAGGAAATTGTAACTGTTTTTCTCCCCTATGTCTATTTTCTTGTTATAATTGTATAAAACATCTTGTACAAAGTGAATAAGACATTCATATAATATGAAATTCATTCAGAGAATTCCAATATTGCCCTGGGGTATGTTCACCTCACTGCTGCTGTACCTCCCTTCTGGCCACCACATTGTTCTTTGTAGATTCAAGTTTGATTGTTAGAACTCAAGTCAGGCAGTCAGTGTCTGAAAATCCTTAGCATTCTCCAGAACTCTTTTTATACTGATTCCTCCCCTACAAAAGGGCTTTTGCAGGGAGGATGGGGAGAGAAGAAAGAACAGGATTAGAGACCCTTTTAAAGTCACTCACCACCAAGGTGAGGAAAAATGACTCCTAAGTCAGAGGTAAGGTTATCAGCTGAAATAGATGACAGTGATTTTCTTCAATCTAGGTCATTTTTATTATGCTGCTGAAGTTTCTTTTCTCATTACAGAGAGCTTATCAAGAAAATGGTACTAAAATTGCCAGAGTATTTTTGTTTGATATAATTAAGAACTTCAATTCAAAGAGGAATTAAATAATGAAACAAGGTTATATAGAACTGTGGACATTTAATAATATAATGAAGGTTTAGGAACCTAAAGTGTCTGCTTACTTAGATAATTACATCAGATAATTTACTTTGAGAATCAGTCAGTGTTTTTCAGGTGTTTAAAACTCATTCCAATCAGTGTCAATTGATTGATTCTGAAAAGAAAATTTTTATCTTAGCTGTGTTGTGATTGGACTAAAATTTTCAAGGCAACTGGAATTTAAGTGGATAATCTCATGGAGGCTAATTTGTATTTGATAACTTAATATGCACATAAAACATAGTAAGATATGGGTCCAACCATTGCTTGGGGCTATTGCAGGAGTATGACAATTAAATAATAAGTATAAGCAATAATAATAAAAATTTCACAGAGCATATTTTATGTTTAAGGCACTGCGTGAAGCCTGTTTTTATATTACATCTATTCATTCACCTCATTTAATATAATTTCAAATAGCCTTTACTTGGGATTTCTTTTTATCATTGCCTGAAGTTTTCTTCTTAGAGTCATTTATTTGGGTTACACAACATAGATAGGGAAGCATACCACAGCCAATATTAAATTCCCTAATTAATTTGAACTGTGATTCTCTGGAAGAGACTCTGTACTTGACATGTGTAGGAAATAGAAAGTCATGTCTTTGGCAGTTCATGATTCTACTGATAAGTATCTGATGGAGCTACAGAAAATTATAGAACATTTATATACCTTGAATATGAAAATGCATTCAGCACTAGGTAACATGCGGTTTAGAAATTTTTCTGTTGTTTAGATGTTCAAGAGCACAGGTCCTTCAATTATTAGTAATAGCTCTGAAAAGATGTAATACATGATAGGTTAGTTTCCTTGAGCTTTTAGGGATGGAATTCCAGAAGATAGCAGAGATGGTAGGAAGACAAGTGATGCCTGAATGTCACAAGACACAGTATTAGCTTGAGAGAGGAAGCAAAGAACAATTATTAGGAAAGTCACCAGAGAAAAATATCTAATCACTCTGCCAACAGAATGGTAGGCACCTTATACCACACATCTCCTAAGGACTAAGTAACAAGACTAACATTTGAGTTCCCTTTCTCTAAAGAGGCCCTGGTCACTAAGTGCAACCTTTCTACCATCTCAAAACATGTTTCACTCCTCTACCATCTCAATTCCAGCCGAGAGGATGAATGGCTACTAGACACAAAGTGTTTCTAGGGCAGCCTCATCTTAGGGCAGCTGCAATGATTAGATGCCATCAAAATATTAGAGGATTTGTTATTAAAACAAAAACAACAGGGCGCAATTACAAGTCTCAAATGTAATACTTGCTTCATTTCCTAAGTGAGGGAAATGTCTGTAAATACATCCCTTGCATATATTCAATTTGATTTACTCAAAAATTCTTAAAAACTGTCCCTTTATAGCTGATGAAAACTATTGTGAACTATGGAACTTTCTTCACAAAAACACAGCTGCAAAAGTGTCAAGGCTTAAGTTCTTGTGTGGCAGTTTCTCTAATTTAAATTGTGGAGATGTCTTTAGACAGAAGTTGGTTTTGGAAATGACTATTCAGCCCAAAGCAAGCTTCAACGTTAGTTCTTTTCTGAATATTTCTTTGACTAGTCTTATTTGTTTAATCATGCTAACAAGTTATAGGTAGATAGGTGAATTTATTTTTCAATAACATGTTAACTGAAGCTTCAGATTTAGATTTCTTTACACACTGGTGTTTTCATAAGTTTACAAAGTGAGCCTTGAAAATGCCTGAAGGGTACCTAAATATTGCTTACCCAGAATATAGTAGATAATAGAAATAGACTTGCTTAACTTCAGGCTAAATGTCAGGGAATTTTTATATTCACTCTCCATTATTAAGGATTGAACCAGCTGAAGAATAGTCTAATACTTCTTTAGAAGGGCTATTTTCTGAAAATATGCAGCAGAGAATATTAAACACAATATTTATTTGAAAAAATGGACAAAAGTGTATTTCTTTACTTTTGGACTTTTTTATGGTCTTAGAGTCAAGATTTACAAGTCTTTCTTCAATTTATGTTTTTCATAATTTCCCATGAGTAAGAAACTGACCAGCATTCATTTGAAACAGAGGGTAAAATAACTTTTAATGAATTAACTTCTTGAGAAAGTATAATTCAGTACAGTGTATTTGCCACTTAGGATTAAGGGGTGTGAAAATGTTTTGAATTATTTTATTACAAGCAAAGACATATGATCAACAATATGTCCTACATAGTAGAAAAAATGCTGCATTGAAAATATTTATCTTAACACTTTGAATCAATATCTGACTGCCTGAAATTGGTCATATATTTGTCATTTTTAAGGAATAAAAGGAACTTACTTATAAATTATATAGAACTATAAAACTTTAAAAAAATTAACCCACATTGTAACATTAATCTACATCTATGCAACATTCTTTAGACTGGTAGCTTTACACAATTCAATCTAAATGGATAAATATGTTTCTCCAAGGGATGGAAGACATAACAAATAGTAAATAGATAGATCTATAATGAATTACAATGAAGTGATATATGGATAACTATTATTTTTTTACTCTTCAGCAAATTACCTTCTCATACTACCACTATGATTTCCCTGTGAAGAATTACTCCTTTCCTGGCCAGGCACGGTGGCTCATGCCTGTAATCCCAGTACTTTGGGAGGCCGAGGGGGGCGGATCACGAGGTCAGGAGTTCGAGACAAGCCTGACCAACATAGTGAAACCCCGTCTCTAGTAAAAATACAAAAACTATCCAGGTGTGGTGGTGCACTCCTGTAATTCCAGCTACTCAGGAGGCTGAGGCAGGAGAATCACTTGAACCCGGGAGGTGGAGGTTGCAATAAGACGAGATCACACCACTGCACTCCAGCCTGGGCAACAGAGCAAGACTCTGTTAAAAAAAAAAAAAAAAAAAAAAAAAAAAAAAAGAATTACTCCTTTCTCTTGGTCAGCAATTCTTTTCAGGTAGGTGGACCCTACCTAGTCACTCTATGAGTGGACGTGAGAATCACATTCATCTGGCCACAAACATTGTTTCAGTGATGGGCAGGTGACTTAAATTGAGTCCACCAAATGCAAATAGCATTAGTACTAAATATTTTACTATATCTTTCAGAAAGGAAGAATCTCTTTTTGTACTGGTTTAACCAAGCTGGAGCTTCGGGGGACTGTTCATCAAGTATGAAACAACAAGCTGAGAATAGAGCAAAACACAGAAAAGAACTAATAAACAAAGATAAACAGTTTTCCTTTAAACAGAAAACCAATATCTTTTTATGTTTGAAGCTAGATTGAATGCTTAGTATCTTTTTGCTTGAGCCAGTTTTATATTGGGTTCTGCAATGTGACATTTACAGAGTTCTGACCCTCAAAATTATACTGATGATTAGAAAGATAAAAGAATATCATCTTGAAATAATCTTGGAATGTTCAAGGAAAAAAAAGTCAGCAAACTTTTTATGTATGTATTATCCATGGCCTCAAGTCTTTTGTGGTAGATATGGCTGACTAAATCCCTCAGTCTTTTCTGACTCTTCTGTAGCATGGCTTACAGAAGTCCTTCCCCAACTCAATGTGCTTAATAATCTACTGGGAATCTAAAGGTCAGAAGTCCAAAGAATACATTACCTAGAATTCTCTGTAGCTTGAAATTTGGCTTGTGATTCAGCTTTCACTAAGCAAACATACAGCAGGATATTTGGAAGGAATTTATGGGGCAGAAAATATTCCCAATCTTCAGCTGCTCCCCTTCAGAGAAGCTCCATAGTGGCATGGGACATTCCTTTCGCTGGTGAGGATTGTGACTATAGTAATGTGGTCCTAGATACAATAGTTTTAGGGGTAGCTTTATGGTCCCCAGAAAACAGGAGGACCAATGTGGCTGCAACATAGCAGTTAAAGCAGCAAGTTCCTGATTAATCAGCTTCCTAATTATGTCAGATACAGCAACTCCTGTAAAAAGGCAACTTGTGGTATGTTGTTCTCGGGATCATTCCCCAGTCCTAATCTAACCTGGCAAATCTGTAATTCTTCAAGTTTGATCTTTTTCAATATAAATGATCCAAAATATTGTTTAATGCCAGGTTAAAAAGAACCAATTAAATACCGTCTTAAGGCATAAAGCAAAAGGAGGGAATATATGAAGAACTGGAAGGAAAAAAGGAATACCTCTAATAGCAATGGAGTGGCATAAGCCCTTCATGAGATGCGGGTAGTTTCCTCATTCAGGCTTCCTACTTTTTGAAAGAGTGTGGCCAGGCCACATCACATGCAGTGGTATGGTATAATGACAAGGGTGATTATGTGATATGTAGGAGACCAGGATTCTCATCCTAGTTAGAGAGTTCCCAGTGTCCATGAGGGCCAGGAAGGTGACAAGTGATAAAAACAGATGGGGAACAATGAAATAATCAGATAGTATGCAGCTCTTTGCAATAAAGAGGACCAAGTCCTGCAAATTATACCGATTTTTAAATGTTTAAAGTTATGGTTTTATCAACTATTGTGTTGGTTACATAGAATATATTTCCCAGAATACGTTGACAATCATTTCATAACTTCATTGCTAGTCCTATAGATTATTAACTACTTCACAACCTTGAGTCTCAGCGCATTTTCATGTATATCATGTAAATAAAACCTACTGTATAGTTAAAAATCAATCACAGATGACTATTACTATTCTTAGCTATCTTTGTACTTCTGAGAATTACGTAAAACCTTGAAAAAAATAAGATACATATGATTTACAATTAGCCAGATTATATAAATGTGAATCATTTGTTTAGATAAAAGTTCTATTTTATGAACAAAATAAATGTCAAAAACACTACAAGGCAAGTTGCAGAGCTACTCAAAATAATTTTCAATTGCCTTTGATTTGAAGAGCAAAGGCTCAAAATGCTCCTGTGATGAATAGAAAATGAGTTCTATGTTTTTAACATTTTTACTCTGCTATAATCAAGAACAATTCATGAATAGTGCTTGACCCTATAAGCTATGGATTTATAGAGTATATCCAGAATGGTAGGCAATGAATTAAAACTTTATATAAAGCTAATCTATAGGTAATCTAGTAAACTAATTGTAGATTAATTACTGATAAAAATTGTCACATGCTTCATTTAATTAAATTATAGTAATCATGGCAAAGATAAGACTAATCTAGTCCAAAAAAAATGGAATACTCATTAATCATGGAGATTAAAACTCAGAGACTTTGAATCAAAATAATAGTATTTTTCCAAAATTAGTCACTTTAATTTTATTTAAATAATGTCAATAACATAAACACAAAAGACCTAAAATGGATATATCAAATGCATATTTGAATATGCATTTCCAATTTAAAAATATAAGTAGTTTGTATTTTCATAAGTCCTTTTACAATTGCAGGAATTTTCTGTTTTTACTGTCATCTTGTGTGTATTTGTTTCTCCATGACAAAAGACGTACAATTCAAATGGTTCATCATCCCTTTCAAAATATAGTGTTTAATTTAATGCTGTTTTCACGTTTTTATAATTTGGCTGTTACCCATGAGACTTATTAAGCCCAAATATTATTGTAGTTTATTTTGTAACCAATTTTATATATTAACATATATACTTATGCATATATGCTTTGTGAGTATGTACATTCTATATATCACATATAAAACACTTTTTTGAGCTTGTAAACATTAGGAATTTGTGCCCATAGTAAGATTTATTTATTTGTTTATTTATTTATTTCAAAGAAACATAATTTATTTTCCAAGAAAATCATTTTCCAAGAAATTTGGAAAATAATTTTTATTTATATTTTATTTAATTTAATAATTATTTGGAAAATAATTATTTTCCAAGAAAATTGTTTACATGGTTTTGTTTATGCACCTCTAAATGTTAAAATCTATGTGCAATATAAATAAGTAGTAATGCATTGAATATAATAGAGAAAATATGTGCAAAGTAAAGTGTTCCTATATTTCTATTACATGAGTGAGAGAAGGACAACTTTTAAAATTAGGATATTCCATAGTACTATAATCACCTCACATTTATGGGGCACGTGAGAACAGAGAGCTGAGAGGATAGCACGTTCATATCTTTATTCTTAAACACATTCTAACACTTAAGTTCATTAATTGCAATTGTGGGTATAATGTCTCTCACAATATTTCAAATGTTACTGGTCTGTTTATCTTTTTTCATTCTCTCTCTCTCTCTCTGTGTTTCCCAATTTACTAATTGGATTCAAGTATATTAAATAGACTCTATTGATTTCCCTGTTTTGTCCATATCATGTAACGAAACTGTGCAATAGGTGTTCTTTTGTTAACTGACTGCTTTTACTTAGTATCAGGTTTTCAAGGTTCATGCCTGTTGTAGCATGTGTAAAGTCCATTTATATGCTGCTGGATTTAGTTTGCTAGTATTTGGTTGCAGATTTTTGCATACATTTCCACAAGGAACATTGCTCTGTAGTTTTGTTTTTTCTTTTTTTCCTTGTGATCTTTGATTTTGGTATCAGGGTAATACTGGCCTCAGAAAATGAGGTAAGAAGTGTCTCCTCTTCTGTATTTTGGATGAATTTGGAAAGAATTAGTATTAATTAATTAAATATTTCATCAAATTTGTTATACATATATTTCAATCTCTTTACTTGTTATAAGTCTCTTCTGATATTCTGTTTCCTCAGAATCATTTCTGTAGTTGTATCTTTCTAGGAATTTGCCATTTCTTCTCAGTTCTCTAATCCTTGGCATATAATTATCCATAGTATTCCCTTATAATTCTTCTCATTTCTGTTAATTCAGTAGTAATGTCCTTTCTTTTATTCCTGATTTTAGTAATTTAAGTATTCTCTACTGTTTGCTTCGTCCATGTAACTAAAATTCTTTTATTTCTGTTGGTCTTTTCAATGAGCTATCTTTTGGCTTTGTTGATTTTCTCCATTGTTTCTTAATTCTCTATTTAATTAATTTCTTCTCTAATTCTTATTATCTTTTAACTGCTTGTTTTAGGTTTAGTTTTTTTCTTTTTTATCCTGTGTCTTAAGTTAAAAAGATAGATTGTTTATCTAAGATAGTTCTTTGTATATGTGGTACCTACATCCCATAAGTTTGATAGATTGTGTCTTCATTTTCATTCATCTCAGAATATTTTCTAGTTTCTCTTGTGATTTCTTCTCTGATCCATTGGTTATTTAGGAATGCATCATTAAATTTCCAGATATTTATGAATTTCACAAATTTCTTTCTGTCAAGCTATCTTTCTTTGTTTATATCAAACCCAGCTAT
The DNA here is from genome assembly GCF_000001405.40 of Homo sapiens. NCBI lineage: Eukaryota > Metazoa > Chordata > Mammalia > Primates > Hominidae > Homo > Homo sapiens. The sequence continues at coordinate 104,901,085 of NC_000005.10, read as the reverse complement.
TAGCTTTCACTAATTGGCAGCTAATTTTTCTATCATTTTCACCAATGCCCTGGAGCATAAATTCCTCCACAGTCTAATCCAGTTCATTTCCTTTGCAGAGATAGTCTTCTAGATTAGTCTCTGATGTTTGTTCTGACTCTTGGAGGATTATTCTTAGCCGTCTTTTTCTCTGGTCCTCTCTGGTAAAATTTTAGCTGTAAATGCAAGATGGGTTTGAGAAGTAGAGTAATCTATGACAATAGGGAAGAAAATGAAGGAAGGATAAGTGTGATATAGATTAAATATGCAATTAGAGTATGATTTAACTGGCTGCTTTTATGGAGCTAACAGCTTCTTCTTAATTGCTTACCACCACAATAGCCATTGCTTTTTAGCACACCCTTACGCTTGAACTCTCCCATATTCTGTTCCAGATAAGGTCACTTCTTTCACAGAAAGCGTCAAAACTCCCTGTTCTTTTAGCTTTCCTCTCCCCCTTGACAAAAACATCTGATGTTGCCTTGGAGCTGGGAAATGGACAATAACCTCTTTCTTTTTAAGTGGTCTCTCTATTTTAGGCTCAGGAAGCTGAGTGAGATGTTAACTTCTGGTCTTTTTGGCTTGCCCCTTCATGTGTGCAGTTTTGCCTTGTAAATAAGCTGAGGTGAGGAAATTGAGAGTTAGGACTGCAGGATACTCAGTCTAAAATGCTTTGGATGAACCTGCTACCCTATCTGTGGGGGCTAGGTAAAGAAGAAAGCATTGGACCTCTCAGACATTTTCTTCTGTAAAAAAATTTCTGTAAAACAAAATTGGGCAGGAGGTGGGGAGAGATGCAGATCATAGTTCTAATGTCAAAGCTATTGCTCTTTTTACAAAGATTTAGTAGAGTGTTGAATATTTTTGTCTTTATTTGCATCATGCTCTTAGAACAATTTCTGAGGATTTAATTTAAAAAAAAAATAATTTTTATAGTTATAGTTGTTACATTGGAAAGGTCTATGGAGTTTTTTATACCATCATTCTAGATATTTTATCTTTAAAATGTTCTTCTAAAAAATTATATCGATATTATATATTATGCATATTAAGTGACATTTTCCTGAATACGAAAGAACTGCAAATCAAAATTTACATATAAAGTGGGATTGAGTAATATATAATAAATTATTCAAAATAAATTTATTGTAAATGTTGAGACCAAATCAATTCTAGTTTATTTTTTCTTTTTGTCTCTATTTTTTTCTTAATTGTCATGATACTAAACTACGATAACTAATATTTCAAGAATAAATGCCCATTTTTTTTAACGTTGAGAGACATCTTCAGTCTTTTCATTACAATATATTTATGGGACGTTTTGTTTCTTCAAGGCACTATTCTAGATGCTTGAAATATAATGATGGGCAACAGAATATAGTTCTTTTAACTCCTGAGTTTACATTATAGGGAGATTGGTTGGTAAGCAAAACAGACAGCAATATGAAAAAAAGTAAAAAAGGTAAGATGGTGATGAGTATTAAATAATGGGATAGAAAGAGACCATTAAAGGATGAAACTTTAGCTTTGTGGTCAATAAAGAAATTATATTTGAGTTGGCCAGAGGCAGCCATATAAAGATCTGTGATACTAGCTTTACAGGCAGAGGCAGCAAAAGCTGCCACCTCTGACATGGGGACTGGCTTAGAGTGTTTATAGGACAGAAAGAACGATGATGTAGTTGAAAGTTTATGAGGGTGGCTGAATATAGGAGGAGGTGAATATCAGAGAGGTACTAGGCAGAAGCAAGAAAGTGTAGTGAAGCAATTGGAAGTTGCAAGATGGATTTGAGAAACAGAGTAATCTATGGCAATAGGGAAGAAAATAGAGGAAGAATAAAATATGATATAGATTAAGTATGTAATTAGAGAGAGATATTGAAGAAGATTCCTGCTTATTGTCCTGTTCTCACTTTTAAGTAGGAGTTATCTGCTATGTGTAACAAGTGGCAAGAGGGGACGTGAGGGTTTGGAGAAATTCTTAAGATTTGCAAACAGTTGACATAAGAAGATTGATGTGCATATTTAAGCTGAAGTTGGATGTGATAGCTGCAATCAGCATATCTATCTAAAATGCTCCAACAGCAGAGAACATCCAAGCAGACAGGACATTTGGAGTAATCTGGGGATGAGATCATTCGTGGAAGATGTATGTAAAGTTTAAAAGGATCAGAGATAAAGGGTATCATTTGCACTGTTGTGAGAAATTTGAAGATGGAAAGGTAGAAATAGGGTGAAAGAAAGTGAAAACATGAAGTTAATGTTACTTCAGCAAAACAGCAATCGATTTTTGATGAGTCCTTAAGGAAATTTAGCAGAATATGTGAATGAGTAGACATGCAACATGCAGGCCTTAAAGCTTAAGGTTTTGTAGTAGAAGAAAAGTACATTGCGGGCGATTACCACAGCTATGAATTGCTGAAGAGAAGTGAAATGACAGCCACTGTAGTGCAGAATGCCCAGAATGTGTAGAGCTCCATTCTTTGAGGGGACATCCAAAAAGAAGTTGAATCTAAATACAATGAGCTAGCAAGGATTGTATCCTGGAGCAGATAAAAGGCATGAGTGGAAAAACTAGGTAAATCAGAATAAAATTTGTAGTGTAATTCAGAGTATTAAACCAATTTTGATTTCTTAGGTTTGATAAATGTGCAATGTCGTGAAAGATGTTAGCATTACAGGTGGTTGAGTGAGGACATTTAGACACTCTATGCTATATTTGGAATTCTCTTAAAATCCAAAATTATTTCAAAACTAAAAAGTTTAAAAACGTGTTCAAGAATCCCTTGATTGCAACAGTGTAATCTGGGAGAGAGTAAAAGGCAAATGTGCATGCCATCAGAAAAAAAAATCATAAATTTTTGGTGGCTTAAAATGGTTTTATTGACATCTTAGAATTGTGACTATGTTTTTTAAAAAATTGAACAATAATAAAAAAGCTCAAATTAGGTTTTATTTTGTTTTGTTTTGTTTGAGACATGGTCTCTCTCTGTCACCTAGTCTGGAGTGCAATGGCCTGATCTCGGCTCACTACAACCTCTACCTCCCATTTTTAAGTGATTCTCCTGCCTCAGACCCCCAAGTAGCTGGGATGACAGGCACGCACCACCACGCCTGGCTATTTTTTGTATTTTTAGTAGAGATGTGGTTTCACCATGTCAGCCCGGCTGGTCCTGAACTCCTGACCTCAAGCGATCCACCCACCTTGGCCTCCCAAAGTGCTGGGATTAGAGACGTGAGCCACCACACCCGGCCAAGCCCAAATATTTTTTAAAAGCAGTTTGTACTTTTATACCTGCCAATTACTTCGTAAATTCTATTATTTTATGGCATATTACATTTTAATTTTTATATACATATTTCCAACATATAAAAAGTGATTAATTTGATCTGAAATAATTTTGGAATGAGATATATAATAGTGCATCTTTCTTCCCTTTATGTTTACACTTACATGTAAAACAGAATTTCAGATTATCATTCTAACCTTCCTTACTAGTGTTTGAGAATGCTAATTATCTGAGAACCCTGGATGAATATACCCAGTTCATCTCTCAGGTTGGAAATATCATTGAAATCATATTTGCTGCTTCTAGGAAGGCTTTAACTCAGCTATCCTAAGAGCTTTGAGAAGTTTAGCTAATAACTAAGCTAAACTTAAATTGGTTACTTTGTGGAAGTATAGGCATCAGAGTATATTCAGGCTATAGAAAATAAAACTTTCTCTGGAAAACTGTCATTGCATCAAGGGCATAAGTGGGAGTTCTGTGTATTTGGGAAGCATAGAATTTCATGGTTTCAATCTGCCATATTTTATGAAAGAAGTGCCCTTTAAAAGAGTTGACAAATCATCAACTGTTATTAAAACAATAAATCACCAACCTATAGTCTTTGAACATTGCTCTTAACCCAACACTCAAGCCGTTATCTTTCTCATAACTTTCTTGGCTATTTATCTTCATGGTACACCAAAGACCCATATATGAATCTTGTAAGTATTGCCATGTGATGAGTGTATCCTCCAAATGCTTCATCATCACTTGCAGTGTTCTCAATGGAAATGTAAGCTTGTTCTTTCTTTTGACTAAAAGAAAACTTGCAGTGTAGCAAGTACATTTAGGTGTAATTTTTTAAACAAACTTTTAAATTGGTGGAAAATAAATGCCTTGCTTGAATGAGAACAGGGCCCATAATTTAGTAAAACACAAATATTTATAAAATGTAATGGTCATGTACAGTACATGTTTTATCACAAAACTCTGCCTTCCTAAGACTATGGATTTCTTTCCCAACAAGACTTATAAGCCAAAATATTTCCCATGTCCCAAGCCCTTATTTTATCTCAAATAATTTCTGGTTATATGATTGTATAAAATTTACTGTAATGGGCAAAGTCTTGTTCCCTGTTTCTCTTCAAAACTCCATTTGATAAAGCCTAGCTTCTTTGTTATAAGCCTCCTTTGCTCCCCTGTGAATTTTAAGTTGATTTTTTTCCTGAGTTTCGTTTGCTGTCATGAGAATTACATTGTGCACAGTTCTTCAAAATAGACAGGGTCAGCCATTGCTTCATTTGTTATCATGGGTTATGAATGCTGATAGCATTCTTCGCTCATTTTTGCCCACCAAGAATCTAAGTGCTAAAGAAAATCTGAATGCTACAATAGACTGACTGTGAAGGTCTTCTAGCTCAAAATTCATTGCCACACTTGTCGCAGAAGAGAATGCTTTAATAAGGATAAATTCTCAAGTATGAATTCTTATATACTTAAATCATAAAGCCAATAACAAATACACGGAAATGGGTATGTGTGGCTCAGTTACAATACTTCTGAAACATGTTTATGTATTTTAAATGACAGTACATGTGATATTTTATAAAAAACTATATAAATGGTTGCCAAGCTATGAATCATTAAGAAAAGAAATAGAAATATTTAGAACTAGCTATATTTATAAGTATATAAATAAAATTATGTGTTATATATTTAGAAATGTATCTGTATCATTTAGAACAGAGTAAATAATAAAAACACGCTGCTTGAAATAATTTAGAAATATCCCTTTTAGTCCCAGACACCCTGAATCGAGAGGTATGGGCAAACACAAATGTTGGCTTAGTTAGAGAAAAATGACCAGAAGAGTAGAATGGTGATTTGGAGTCATATCTTTTGAGATATGTTTCCAAGGTACTGGGACATTTAGCCTGCAGCAAAGTAGATCCATGTAGGCAGATCTTTAAACATATAAAAAATGACATCAGAAGAGGTGATTGAACTTACTTTGTGTGTTGCCAAGACTTACAGCTCAGTATAAGAAAATATATTCTAATAATTAGAATTTTACACAGATATAATTTCATGTGATTACATATATTTACACACATATACACACATACATACTACTAACAGGCACTATGCTAGACCACAAAAATGAAAGGTTCCTCTTCTCTTAGAGTGTTTATTCTAAAGGAATTCAATGGTAAGAATATGAGTTGGTCAGTTCTGTGAAAGAACAAATATATCGAAAAATGGAAAAATAATTATTTCATATGTTCATACAGATTAGATGTTGTTCTAGACAATATTTTATATTTGTAATAAATTGTTTGATATTAACACAGCATCATTACCAACTTTTGAGTCATTTCAGTTACAAAAGTGTTATGCCTTTAGCTAGCAGAAATGATTTCAGAGAGAAGTTCAAAAATAAAAATCTGGAATTGACTCTCTATCCTGATTATATTTGAAGTTAGTAATGGCCTCTTTGACATTGGAATGAGAGTTATGGACCCTCACTTTAATTCCCAGACCTGAGCCAATTGGAAACCAGATCTCCCTGAAAGGGAGGCAAGAGCACCTTAAGCAATGCCCTTAAAATTCTGACACAATTACCAAGTATAACACTTCCACCTAGTCTTCCCCAAGAGAATATGAGACAATTTACCAGAGTAAATTTGCTTTGGGAAAAGGAAAAAGTAAAAACTTTGTAGAGACTACTTGGCACTGCCTCTGAACTGATATTAATTCCTTGAGACCAGAAACACTACTCTGGCTCCTCAGTAAGAGTAAGAGCTATTGATAGTGAGGTGATGAATGGAGATTTTGTCTCAGTACATTTCATAGTGTGCTTGGTATGTCCCATCACTTACTTGAAACCCACTTCTTAGATACAGGATATGAACAGCTAAATTCCACAACTGTCAAAATCCCCACATTAGTTTATGATAAATGGAGTGAGGACTTATCAGGATGAAAAAGGCCAAACACAAATCCCTGGAACTCCCTTTCCCAATGAAAAGAATAAATCAAAAGTAATAACACATTGTGGAATACCTGAAGAGATTAGTGTCACAATCAAAGACTTGAAAGATACAAGGGTGGAGATTACATTCACCTTCTCATTCAAATTTATATTTGGCCTGTGCAGAAGAAATATTGATCTTGAAGAATTACAACTAGATTTTCAGATTTCAGCCTTAAAAGAAAACAAGAGCAAGTTAATACCTATAATGGTACCTGGTATGCTTTTATTAATCTTGAGAATGCTGTTTCTTTTTCTTTTTTAATCTTAGCATAGAGCAGTATCAGCTCCCCACTTCTGTTATGATATACACATCCTAATTGTCTTTCCATTACTCAAAAAGGTCTCATTCTGCCTCACTGTATTGCTGACTTCATGCTGATTGGAGTTAGTGAGAAAGAAAAATAAAATATCTTAGGAGCCTTAATAATATTTATCTATGCCAGAGGGTGGGCAACATAGTCTCCCAAGGTTAAAGGGCCTGTCACGTCAGTGGAGTTTATAACAATCTAGTGGTTTGGGACATTTTAAGATATACATGACATTGAAAGATAATATGTTAAAACTTGTGTCCTCTAACAATAAAAAGGAGGAGCCATACTTAGTGGATCTCTTTGAGTTCTGGAAGTTACTTGTACTACGTATTTGATTGAGTGAGTTACTTTAATTCAATAATAATTACTGAACCAACCATAAGGAGAAATAAAAGGCATTAATGAAAGTCTACCCTGCTAAGAAAGGCGTTCTATCACTTGGTAATACGATCCCACAGAGCCAATGGTCCTTGAAATTTCTACAACTGCTAGAGATGATGTATGGGAATTCTGGCATTCCCCAATGGGAAAATTAATGTGCATCCCCTTAGGGTTTTGGGGAAAAGCAATGCCCTCTTCATCAGAGAACTCTCCTTTTTGTTAATACCCCAGACATAAACAAACATAAAGGTACCATGCATCCTCAGATACTGTTTATATCATTTGACCCATCAAATCATAAATTTGAGCATGCAAAAAAAGTATACAGCTATCACATTGAAGTGATTGAGATAGCTTTAGAATAGGTTCTAAGGTCACACATAACTTACATGAAATGGAGCTGAGATTTCATTGACACCACTCCTGCTATATTGATAAAACATTTGCATCCCCCGCCTGTGGCCACATAGGCAATTACCTATGTCAAATGGATTGAAAAAAAAACTATCACATGATAGTTTGTCACCATTCAAGAGTTGGTGGCTGAAGCAGCATAGCTTGTCAGTAAAGAAAGGGTATAATCCTAGTGAAAACAAAGCAGTGCATTTGGTTGGTTGTTATGTCTGGAAGGAGAAATGAGAGATATATGGATCTACACTGATTTATAAGCAATTGATAGTGGTTTGGCTGATTAGTCAAAAACTTGAATAAACATACTTTAAAAGTTGGAAATCTGGGTTAAAAATATGTGTTTGGCCTCTAAAAAGACACAGAATATAATTTTGATGTCCCACATGAACATTCTCCAGGGGAATTTCACTGCAGAGGAATCTCTCATTGATCAGGTGGAAACAACCTTTTCTGTTGATGTCAGTCATTCTCCTTTACTATTCAGTTCTTGAATAAGGAGCTTATGAATAAACTGTTATCGTAGCAAAGGTGAATATGATTCATGATCACACCAGCATGCTTTAATTTTCACCAAAGATATTCTAGCAGCAACTACTACTGGGTTGTTAAAATACAACAAAGCAAAACAAAACAAAACAAAACCTGCCAACAGTAGAGATCAGTGCTGCACTTCTTATATGACAAAATTATCCACAAAATTGTAGCTAGCTGGTTCCTTTGAAGAACTGAGCCATTCAAAGAGTTCAGCTAGTAATAGCATGGATAGACTATTGGATCTGCAGTTTTCTGCTAATTTTAATTTGATGAGAAAATAGTAAAAGGCACTTCAGAGGATACTCACCCAAATACCATTCAGAACCAATATTTGTATAGACACTTTTGGACCCAATAAAGACAGAAACTGTTGATTCAGATCCTTCCAATTATCCCACCAAGTAAAGAATAATAGTAAATGCAGATGCTCAAGGAAACAAAAACATGAAATTGATGGTGAAAAGGAGAAAATATAAATCCAAAAACAACTACATACTGCAGAATGTAGTATAACAGCCATGAATATTGTCTTCCTTACTTGACATGTATACAGTTGTATATACACAAATTCATGAATTGCAGTGTCTACACTATAATTCAGAACATGCTAAAATATGAAGAGAAACTGATATAAACCAGAAAATAAATGGTTTAGAAGTCGGAGATGCATAAAGATGCATTTTGAGGCAAAAGAAGGTAGGTCTTTGGCTGTACTAAGAATAGTTATATTGTATTAGGAATAAAGTTGCCTTTCCTGAAAGCTTAAATATGATTTTAAGGGGCATGTATATGTATGCTAAATTGACAATTGGTGGACTATGCGGGCTTGCATGATTTAAGTGACATACTCTATCACAGAGAAGGAGGCAGGATATTCAGAAATCCCTTCTGTCTATTATTTCCAGGTTGGACTTGGCAATGAGAGGCACTCCCACAGGTGACTACATTAATACAAGTGTTTTAATAATTTGTGCATATTATAAAATAAACACTGTTTAGTTTATAGTGCTTCAAATTTACATAAATGCTATTTTTGCAAGGTATCTCATGTAGTTGTTGCTCTCTTTCAACAGTGCTTTTTGTATTTACCTTTCTTGACCTATTTATATACTATACATGTGTAGCGTGCTGCTTCTTTCTGCTACATAGTAGACTCTAGTATGTATCCACCATATGCTGCATTTCCTTTCCTCTACTGATGAGACCTAGATGTGTTTCAACTCACTATCACAAATAATTCCATGGTAAACATCTCCACACATCTTACTCCGAGAAAATATAAGAACATTTCTCTGGAACGTTTACAAAAATTTCTGGGACATATGGCATACCTCAAACTCCATTACACCCTCCTATAATGCTTCCTCCACTTCAGAGCCTGGAAGATACAGACTATGTTTCCTAGAATCCCATGCAGCAGAATTTTAGATATGCATTAAGTTTTGCCAGTTACAAGCACCGAAGTGAGATTTGGCAGGTGCAAATAAGTCAGAAGCCAACTTCCTGCCTCTTCTGTTTTCTACTAACACACAATGCAAGGTCATTTTTTTAGCCCCAACTTTATTAATAAAATAGTAAGCCAGACATTTTCTAATATTTTTCTGCTTCTGATTTTTCCTGCTTATAGTGAATGTGAAAGTGGACTTTTTTGCAGTGTGAAGAGAATTTTTACAGTGATCTTCAAGTCTATCTGAGCATTTCTAAGGGTCCCATAGTGTAGCACTGCCTTGACAAAATGAGGGCCTGGTTCTTAAATCTCGGATTTAGAAATTTCATTTATCATCATTTGTGCAGTGGATTAATAATTTGGGGAAAAATTACTTTAAACAAGCCCTGAGAGACTGATGTATTAAAATCGGAATACCAATGCATTAATTTAAAATAGAATCTATAATGCCATACTTGAGTTCATAGTCACTCCCTGTAGGCAGTTATATGGGAAGTCAAATTAAAATCAGAATATTGCTTCATACTAGGTAATCATAACAAGAAGCAAGTCGTATAGTCTTTATGATTAATTTCCTCAAGCCATGAACATTGATGTATCCATCTTTATACTGGTGGGTCTGCTACATAGCCTAGAGACCCATTTCCATGAGTCTGGTCACTTTCTATCCTGAACAGTAATGGACACACACTGCCAAATGTAGTCTTATTAGATTACTAGCCTTTTATAATTCATGTGTAAATCACATTCCTTTCATAACACTTTCTATCTTTTGACAGAATAGCTTTCATATACATCCCAAGATATAAGATGTTTTTAGTTAAAAACATGATTCAAACAGAAACCTCATGACTGAAAATATCCTGAAGAGTAGTCAGTTTACTCATAATGGATATTTAATGTTATTTCTGCTCTATGTTTGGAAATATGCCAGGAAAAGTTTAGGTATTTAGAAACCATTTGTTCAATTGCTGAACTTACCTGTAATTTTTTTGCTATTGTTAACCAGATAACCACCCATATCATAAATATATTAATATAAGCTAGTTACATTCTTTAAGAGTAGTTTTAACTTCAGCTATCTAGATATTTTCTGTTAGCTCTATGTACCATATTAAAATGATATTTTACTTTGTTGATATATAAAGTAATAGAATTAAAATAAATGGTGTGCAGCATTATTAAAAATAGCATTTATTAGGACTTTATAGTTTTAAGACTAATTATGCATACATAAGATGATTTGAAGTAACTTATATTTACATAATCAAATTAGCCCAGGTAATATAATTTTAAATAATTTTAATGTGTCTCTTTTAATATTTAATATGATTAATATAAATGATTCTCCTGAAATTCTGGAATGGATATTTAAGCCATAATTTGAATAAAACACAATTGTAAATAAAATTAGACCTTTGAAGTCCTTAAAAACTAAATCAGTAATGATGCCCCATTTTTCTCTCACCATCTGTGTATTACAAAATGGAAACCTTTGTTATATGTAGGCCTAAATTAAAATCACTTGCTTATAGATATTGTAATTGGAACAATGTGGATAATTTCTCAAAGCTGAATTTCTCTCAAGTTTGGGTTCCCATGCTTTATTGATGTCATCAGCATGATTTTAATACTTCTGTGTTGGGGGCAATCTAGTAAAGAACATCATTACAATTTAGTGATTCTTAATTTATGAAAAAGGTTGACTATATTAAATGTTGCTACGTGTTCTGATTCTGTGACACATCTATGAGAAAGTATTACACCTTTTCCTTCTTTCCATGTCTCTCTTTGGTTTCAGGTTGTGTGTTTGTACATGTGTGCCTGGGTGTGTGTGTGTGTGTATGTGTGTGTGTGTGTGTTAGTTTCCTCCTCTTTTATTTTAATTAAGAAGTTTGAATTTGCCTATTTTTTGTAATCTCATTATAGACCAATCTTTATGGCAAAAATATCTATCAAAGACTCTTAAATGCCTGGTTTTCCTGAGATGAGGTCTATTAAGCTTTCTAGAGGCAACATTTTTAGTAATTTTGTTTAAAAATATTTGGTCTTTTATAGTTTATAGATACCATCTACTGCATGTTGTAAACCAACTGATCAATTTGGATCACATGATAGGACACTTGGATAGATAGGCATAGATTCCATCTTTACAATTTGTATGCTACCAGTGTCAATTAGTGAACACTTTTGTGTGTATTATCTAACACTATAATATTACCTACATTCATATAAGAGAACAAGTTACTTATTTTTGTATTCCTTACTTACATAAATTTATTTTAAGAAGAAGTGTAACAATTCCTAAGAAGTTGTTGTTGGATCCTATTTGCCTTGTAAAAATTTGCTTGCCAAGAAACAAGATAAAAAATCATCCTACTACTGAAAATTCAAAAAAGCAAAAATAGCGGATGAAATAGATGAAGTGGTAAGATTATACTTCTGATTTCAGTACCTGTCATTCAACTTTAACCCCATAAATTAGACCCTTAGAATGTATTTTTTAGGCTTAGCAACAGTATTCCTAGTGGTTATATTGAATTACAATGAAATTATATGACCTCTAGGAAAATAATAGTTTTAAATATTTATTATTTAATTATATAATATCATTGAACATTTTTTCTTCAGCCAGTAGTCATGTTTTTGTTCAATTGCCAATCATGCAAAACACCCTTTTAATTAAATAAATTTTAAATGTGATTTTTAGAGCCTCTTATCTTTTTCATTCTGTCTTCCATCTAAGCATTTATTGAAAAGAGGTAAGTTACATATAATGCAAATTAAGCTCATACCTCACTAGAGCTCTTAAGCCATTTATTCAAATTCTTTTCCAATTCAAATGCAGCCTAAAGCTTAAAGTTATTAGTGGTAAGGGTAATTTATTTTTTAAATTTAATTAAACTATATTTAATTCAGTTACACGAAGCCATTCTAGAAGTCTTTTAAAGTACATTCTAGAAGTCTTTGAAAGAATAAAATTCTCTAAAAATGATGGCTAAAAACAAATCATACAACGAACAATGAAGAGTAAAATTAACATAAAGTATGATTTTAGATTGAACAAGTAAACCTAGGTGACCCTTAAAGCTCACTGCAAAACAAGATCAATAGAGCACAAAGAAGCATTTCTACTATCCAGTTCCAATGAATAAATTAAAAGTTTGAAAAAAAATTACAACAAAAACATAAGGAAATCAGTGTCTGCCTGCTTTCTTCTAGTTTCTTCTGTATGAGTTATGTATGGTGTAAACAATGCCATGTGAAACTTCCTATTGGGTTCCACTGTGTAATGAGTGTGTATGTGTGTATGCGTGTGTGTATAAACACACATTATTACCAAAGCTTATCCATATTCATGAAGAGAAAAACTTATAATGGCCTTTTTTCCCTAACTAAAGCTTACACGTTGTTCTTAGAGGCAAGGAACACTGGAGCCAGTTATGAATGGAGTTTGTGCAGTGGCTATGGGGGCCAAAAACATAGAGTGCAGTCAACCCCTTCTCCAGACATTGAGCAGCCAGTTCCACTTCATCTACCAAAGGCATTTTAAACCCAAAGACTTTTGAGGCAATGTCTTGATGATCTCACAGAGATAACAATCAAAGCCTTCACTATGTGCTTTAAAAGCAGAATCCTAGTTCTCAAACTTTCCATGTCTCTATTGACTTCCTGTTCTTTCCTCGATTTTTAGACTTTTCCTCACCCCTTGTACTGTTATTTGTGTCTACCCTGCTTTTTCATGTATGAATGTTACTTTTTTCTTCTCTTATATACTATGTTGTACATTTCTTCATTTTTTTCCTGTTATTCAAGTATTTTACTCTAACTGAATTGTACTTTTCACTTTTTTACTTGCTTTTATTACCCTGTCTCCTCATTACTCTTAATTTTTATAATTAAATTTTAATCTTATTTTCAGAATGTATTTAACAAAATACGCTCTTTGCTCATTGTGTCTTTTCAAAAGGCACTACAAATTATTTTCTTCAAAAATAATATAAAACAAGAGCCCTATGGCCCTGTGGTCCCTTATACAAAGGGGTAAATGTAGGCGCATCATAAAATAGAGAACTGGAATAGAAGGAAAAGAGAGACTAATAAAAAATTAAAAGAAAAATAACAGCTGCAAGATGAAAATAATAGAATTCAATGTTCCTGAACTAATGGTGAGTAGATAGAACAATGTGAATGGGAAGAGAGAGTTAAGGTCAGAATAAAAAATAAGCTCAAATTTTCTGACCTTGTAAGCAAAATTCATTACTTTGTGAAGGAACTGGAACAGACAGGAAACATTTGAGGGGATCTAAAGGCTAATTTACTTAGATATTCTGATAGGAAAGATAAAAAATAAGACCAAAATTTCTAAACTAAGGGAATATCCAAGGAATAGGAAGTGAATAGATTAGAAGCAAGAATGTATCATACCGTTTTCTCTGATGATCACAAAATTAGGGACAGAGGAAATGATTTATTTATAGACAAACATATATCTCTGGATATTTTGCCATAAGTTACAGACTATAAAGTCTATTCCACTATGATACATTCTAGGATCACTATTTAGTAATAAAAATGGCTTCATATTATATAAATCTTTGTACATCATAAGCAGAGAGAAAATGGAGATTGTCTATACCTGTCTTAGTCTGTTTTGTGTTGTTATAACAGAATAACTGAGACTGCATAATTTATTTTTTTTTCAGGGGTTTAGATAGCTCATGGTTCTGCTGGTTAGGAAGTTCAAGCGCAAGGCCCTGACTTCTGGTAAGTGCTTTCATGCTGCATCAACACGACTAAGAAGGTCAAAGAAGAAGTGGACATGTGAGTAAAGGAAAAACTGGAGGGGTATTCCTAAAGCCCTAGGGCATGAACACAATGCAACCACATTCTTTGCTGTGGTGTGACAGGAGGGAACTTTGTTCCAGTTTTCACATAAATACTCCTTATTTCCATCACAGATTTCATCAGAATGGTCTTTCCTATCAGCATATTGGTCACAATTATATAACAAATCTCTAAGAAGCTCCAAAGTTTTCTTCACCTTTGTACTTTCTTCTGAGTTCTTGCCAGAACCACCCTTAATTCTTCATTCATGGTAAGATAGACTTTTTCTAGCCTGCTCCTCCTAACTCTTCTAATCTCTTTCTACTATCCAGTTCCAAAGCCAACCCCACATTTTTATATACCTATATAACAATGATCAATTGTTAGTACCAATTTTCTATCTTAGTTTTGTGTTGCTATAACAGAATACGTGAGCCTCGGTAATTTATAAAGAAAGGAGATGTATTTAGCTCATGGTTCTGCAAGCTGGGAAATTCAAGGGCATGGCTCTGGCTTCTGGGAAGGGCTTTCATGATGTGTTATAACATAACAAATAAGGTCAAAGAGGATGTGGACAAGTGTGAAAAGGCAAAATCTGAAGGGCATCCCAGCTTTTTTAGTCACTAACCCTCACAAGAACTAATCTATTTCCATCATAAGTAATCAAGTCTCACAAGAGCAAGAAATCACTCACTGTGGTGAGAACAACCACCAAGCTATTCATGAGGGATTTGCCGTCTTGATACAAACAGCTTCTACTAGGCCCTACCTCTCAACACTCCCACATTGAGAATCAAATTTCTTTTCTAGTTGTGGCTTGTTATATTACCCAGGCTGCGCTCTGACTCCTGGGTTCAAGGGATCCTCCTGCTTCAGCCTCCCAAGTGGCTGGGACTAGAGGCACATGCTACCATGCTTGGTGCGAGATCAAATTTTAGCATGAGTTTTGGTGGGGATGAACAAACTATATCCAAACCATAGCAAGACGCTAAAGGACACTGAGATCCTCTGACACTTAGAGAAAACAGAAAGATGATTGTTGGTACCAACACATATCATAGGTAATTGACACTTCTATGTAGGAAACAGAGTAACCACTCAAAATTGCATTTTATTTCTATTACTGACACCATTTCATTCATTGAAGAAGAACTAATATAAACATATCAAGTTCTACACATAAAAGCCTACGTGTAGAAAATATGATAGTCACCACTGGAAACTAAAAATTTTATTGGAGACCTATGATGTATCCTTCTCTGTTGTCCTATTGCTTTTTTGTTAAATTAGATTAAATATCACACTTGAATCCGTATCTCTAAAGTTTTTGTCATATAATGCACAATTTGTTCACTTAAGCTGATTATTTTTACATTTCTTCAGGTTTTTTTTTAAATAAAACTGCCTGCCATCTTTTTGGAAACAAATGACATGTTCCAGGACAGTCTCACACACACATAAAGATTAAATGCAATAATCTAGAATTCTGAGTATCATGTGGCTTTGTGGTTGGTTTATTAAGGCTGCCAAAGCATTTTTGCCAGAATAGAAATTCATGGAGAAAATTGTGAGTAAAAACATTAGCTTTTCAAGAAATATCGAGGAATATAGTCCTTTATTCTTATGTATTACAGGTACAATGCTTGAGATAAAAGTACAGAGAAGAAAACATGAAAGGCCCGATTTTTATAATCTTACAGTCTAGAGAAGGAGAAAGTTACATAAATAGATAATTTAGATTCAGTAGAAAAATTACTAGAATAGCAACATAGACAACATGCTGTAACAACAGAGAGTGGGGCTAGTGAACTCTAGTGATTTAAGTAGTCTTTATGAAGAAAAGTATGTTACTTTAAGTTTTTTATTTAAACAGCTTTATTGATGTATAATTAACATATCAAAAGTTAATCTATTTAAATATACTATTCGGTAGTTTTTGTATATTCACAGCTGTACAGCAACCAACGAAATCAAATTTTAGAAAGTTTTCATCAATCCAAAATGAATCCCCACACATATTACAGGTCACTCTCCACCTACCCCACTCCCGCACCCTAGGCAAACACAAATCTGTTTTCTCCCTCTATAGATCTGCCTATTTGGGCTATTTTATGTAAATAGAAACATAAACAAGTGGCCTTTTGTGACTTACTTCTATCACTTCCCATAACATTTCTGAGGTTTATCCATTTTGCACCATGTGTCAGTAGATTGCTTTTTATGGCCAAATAATATTCCATTGTGTAAATATATTACATTTGTTGATTTAATTTGGTAGCTTCCACTATTTGGCTATTGGGAATAGTGATGCTATAAATATTTGTGTACAGGTTTTGTTTGAGCACTTATTTTCATTTCTTTTGGAGTTAAATTGCTGAGTCAAATAGTTCTGTGAGAAACAACAAAAACTGTTTCTCAAAACAGCCACACCATTTTACATTCTCATAATCAATGTATGAGTGTTCCAGTTTCTCTTTATTACTTGTTAACTCTTGTTACTGTCTGCCTTTTTTGTTATAGCCATCCTAGTGGGTATGAAGTGGTATCTGATAGTTTTAGTCTGTATTCACCTAATAATGTTGCGTACCTCTTTATGTGTTTGTTAGTCATTTGTATATCTAATCTGAAAAAAAAAAGGTTTATTCAAATTGAGATATTTACCTTTTAATTATGGACTTGTAAGAGTTTCTTATTTATTCTGGATACAAATGCTTTATCAGCTAAAGGATTCGCAAATCTTTTCTCTCATTTTGTGGACTGGCTTTTCACTTTTTTGATGGTATGACTAGCAACACGAAAGTTTTTTATATTAGTAAAGTGCAATGTATCTATGTTTTTCTTTCTTCACTTGTATTTTGGTGTCATATCTGAGAAATCATTGCTTAATGGAAAGTCACAAAGTTATTCATGTTTTCTTCTAAATATGTTAGAGATTTCACTTTTACATTTGGGACTACAATCTATTTTGAGTTAATTTTTTGTGTATGGTTTAAGGAAGAAGTCCAATTTCATTTATTCTCTTATATGAATATTCAATTATGCAGCCCGATTTGTTGAAAAGATTATTATGCCCCTATAATAATCTTGAAGGCCTTGTCAAATCTCAATAATCCTATCCAGTTGACCTATATGTCTATTCTTATGCCAGTGCTATACAGTCTTTATTATTTTCTTTGAAATTAGTTTTAAAATTGAGAAGTGTTAGTTCACCAGAAGTGTTCTTTTTCAAGATTGTTCTAAGTATCCTGGGACCTTGAATTTTGTAGAAATTTTAGGATCAACTTGTCAATTACTGTAAAAAAAATGGCAGCTAAATTTTATTATTATTATTATTATTATTATTATTATACTTTAAGTTTTAGGGTACATTTGCACAATGTGCAGGTTTGTTACATATGTATACATGTGCCATGTTGGTGTGCTGCACCCATTAACTCGTCATTCAGCATTAGGTATATCTCCTAATGCTGTCCCTCCCCCCTCCCCCGACCCCACAACAGTCCCCGGTGTGTGATGTTCCCCTTCCTGTGTCCATGTGTTCTCATTGTTCAATTCCCACCTATGAGTGAGAACATGCGGTGTTTGGTTTTTTGTCCTTGCGATAGTTTGCTGAGAATGATGGTTTCCAGCTTCATCCATGTCCCTACAAAGGACATGAACCCATCATTTTTTATGGCTGCATAGTATTCCATGGTGTATATGTGCCACCTTTTCTTAATCCAGTCTATCGTTGTTGGACATTTGGGTTGGTTCCAAGTCTTTGCTATTGTGAATAGTGCCGCAATAAACATACGTGTGCATGTGTCTTTATAGCAGCATGATTTATAATCCTTTGGGTATATACCCAGTAATGGGATGGCTGGGTCAAATGGTATTTCTAGTTCTAGATCCCTAAGGAATCGCCACACCAACTTCCACAATGGTTGAACTAGTTTACAGTCCCACCAACAGTGTAAAAGTGTTCCTATTTCTCCACATCCTCTCCAGCACCTGTTGTGTCCTGACTTTTTAGTGATTGCCATTCTAACTGGTGTGAGATGGTATCTCATTGTGGTTTTGATTCACATTTCTCTGATGGCCAGTGATGATGAGCATTTTTTCATGTGTTTTTTGGCTGCATAAATGTCTTCTTTTGAGAAGTGTCTGTTCATATCCTTTGCCCACTTTTTGATGGAGTTGTTTGTTTTTTTCTTGTAAATTTGTTTGAGTTCATTGTAGATTCTGGATATTAGCCCTTTGTCAGATGAGTAGGTTGCAAAAATTTTCGCCCATTCTGTAGGTTGCCTGTTCACTCTGATGATGGTTTCTTTTGCTGTGCAGAAGCTCTTTAGTTTAAATAGATCCCATTTGTTAATTTTGGCTTTTGTTGCCATTGCTCAATGAAATAAAAGAGGATACAAACAAATGGAAGAACATTCCATGCTCATGGGTAGGAAGAATCAATATCATGAAAATGGCCCTACTGCCCAAGGTAATTTATAGATTCACTGCCATCCCCATCAAGCTACCAAGACTTTCTTCACAGAATTGGAAAAAACTACTTTGAAGTTCAAATGAAACCAAAAAAGAGCCCACATTTCCAAGTCAATCCTAAGCCAAAAGAACAAAGCTGGAGGCATCATGCTACCTGACTTCAAACTATACTACAAGCCTACAGTAACCAAAACAGCATGGTACTGGTACCAAAACAGATATAGACCAATGGAACAGAACAGAGCCCTCAGAAATAATGCCTCATATTTACAACTATCTGATCTTTGACAAACCTGACAAAAACAAGCAATGGGGAAAGGATTCCCTATTTAATAAATGGTGCTGGGAAAACTGGCTAACCATATGTAGAAAGCTGAAAGTGGATCCCTTCCTTACACCTTATACAAAAATTAATTCAAGATGGATTAAAGACTTACATGTTAGACCTAAAACCATAAAAACCCTAGAAGAAAACCTAGGCAATACCATTCAGGACATAGGCATGGGCAAGGCAGCTAAATTTTTGATGGGTACTGCACTGAATCTGTAGATGAATTTGGAGAGTGTTGCCATCTTAACAATATTGTCTTCTGGTCCATAAATGTAGGATATCTGTATATTTACTTATATCCTCTTACTGTCTTTTAATAATTTTATATAGTTCTCAATGGATAAGTGTTGCACTTATATTGTTAAATTTCTTCCTAAATACTTCATTTTTGTTTTTGCTGTTTTGAATGGAATTGTTTTCTAATCTCAATTTTTTTCATTGATAGTTTTTGGAAATTCAATTAATTTTAAATACTAATTATATATTTTGCCTTGTTGAATTCATGCATAAGGTCTAACAGTTTTTAGTGTCCTGCATGGGAATTTCTATGTACAATATTAGGCTTTTCACAAATAGAAATGCATTTATTTTTTATTTTTTCCAATCTGAATAGCTTCTCTATATTTTTATTTAACTTAATTATCCTGATTAGAACCTCAAGAGATATTGGACAGAAGTGGCAAGAGTGGTCATCTTTGTTTTCTTTTGACTCATAAAGAAAAAAAAAATTTTTTTTTGAGACAGAGTCTCACTCTGTTGCTCAGGCTGGAGTGCATTGGTATGATCTCAGCTCACTGCAACCTCTGCCTCCTGGGGTCAAACAATTCTCCTGCCTCAGCCTCCCGAGTAGCTGGAATTACAGGTGCCTACCACCATGCCTGGCTAATTTTTGTATTTTTAGTAAAGACAGGGTTTCAGCATATTGGCCAGGCTGGTCTCAAACTCCTGACCTCAGGTGATCCGCCTGCCTCTGCCTCCTAAAGTGCTGGGATTACAGGCGTGAGCCACCACACCCGGCCAAGAGAAGTTTTTATGCTTTTCCAATTTAGCATGATGTTCATTGTAGGTTTTCAAGCACATGATGTTTTTTCAGTTTGAGGCATTTCCCTTATATTCCAAACGTGTTGAGTATTTTTTTGTCATGAATGATGTTGGCATTGTCCAATTTTTTTCACATCTGTAGACATAATTGTGTAATTTTTGTCTTTTATTTTTAAAATATAGTTTATTATATGGGTGGATTTACAGATGTTAAACCAAGTTTGCATGCCTGGGATAAATTCCCCTTTTTCATGGTGTATTTTTTTTAATGTATGTTGCTGGCCTTGGTTTGATAATTTTTTCTGCAACTATATTCCTAAGTGATATTGCTTTGTCATTTTCTTGTGATGTTTTGATTTGGTTTTTGAATTAGGGTAATAATTGCCTCAAAGAGTAACTTATAGGTATTCTCTAATCTATTTTTAAATAAGTTTCTGAAAGATTGAAAATTATTATTTAAATATTTTGTATAAATTCAACAATGAAGCCATTTGAGTCTGGACTCCTGTAGAATGTTTCCTTATTACTAGATCAATCTTTTCACTTGTATAAATATATGTAGATTTTCCTTGTCTTGTTGAGTCACTATTGTAGTTTGCATTTTTTCTTAGAAATGTATCTATTTTATCTAAATTATCTAATTTTCATTTATGCTATTCATGCATAATATTTTTATGTAAGTTTAGAAGTTATATTACCTCTTGAGTTCTTGATTTTGGCAATTTTAAGTATTCTCTTATTTTTTTCATGGTTAATGAAGCTAAAGTTTAAAAAAATTTTGTTTCTGTGATTTTCTCTGTTTTGTTACTTCCTATTTCATTAATTTCTGCTCTATTATTTACTATTTCTTTCCTTTTGCTAGCTTTGATTTAGTTTAGTGTACTTTTCCTAGTGTCTTGTGGAGGTTAGTTTAGTGAGTTGTTAGACTGCTTTCTTCTTTTAAATATTAGTATTTATAGTTATAAATCTTCTTACACTGTTTTTTTGTGTGCATGTCTCACAAGTGTTGATTTGTAGTGTTTTTATTTTCATTCATCTGAAAGCATTTTTTAATTTTTCTTGTATATTTTTACATTTGTTGGTTTTAAATGTGCTGTTTGATTTTCACATATTTATGAATTTCCTGAAGTTTCTTGTTTTTCATTTATTTTACTCCATTGTGATTAGAAAAATATACATTGAACAATTTTAATTATTTTTAATTTATTGATTTTTATATTATGACCTAGCATATAGTATACCTTAGAGAATTTTTCATTTACACTTGAGAATAATTTGCATTTTGAAATTGTTGGGTAGCATATTATATGGATATCTATTAGAACTACATGGTTTGCAGTTTTGTTTACATCTTCTATTTGTTTTTCATCATCTGCCTAGTTGTTTTATCCATTATAGAAATTTAGCTATTGAAGTTTCCAATTACTATTGTTAAATTGTTTCTTTCTTCATTTTTCTCAATGACTCTGCATGCACTTGAGTGCTCTGTTGTTAGGTGCATACATCTTTATAGTTGTTATACTTTTCTGATACTTCAATGCTTTTGTTATTATAAAAATGTTACATTTTATCTCGATAACAATTTTTACACTAAAATGTACTTCATCTTATGTTAACATAGCCACTCTGGTCTCATTTGATTACTGTTTGCATAACATATTTTTACTGCCTCTTTACTTTTAAGCTCTTTGTGTCTAAAATGTTTCTGTTATAGTTAGCATATAGATTATGGAGACTATTAATATTGCAAATGTCTGTCTTTTTATTCACTAATTTAATCCATTTACATTTAATCAAATACTGATACTTGAGTTTACATCTGTTACTTTGCTATTTGTTTTCTATATTTATTATATTGTTTTTGTTCATCTCTTTCTCTGTTTTGTCTGCTTTTATGTTAAATTGGGAGTTTTTTTGTACCCTTTTAACTACCTGCTTATTTTGCTTTATTTGGGGTAATTTTTTTTTCTGTTGTTGGCCTTGGATTCCAATTTCCATTCTAAAGTTAAGCAAGCTAGTTTATATTTATACTAAATTAATTCTGATAGTATACAAAAATTTATTCCACTATAACTCACCCCCTTCTCATTTTTGCTGTTATACATATTGACTACATCTCTATACATCATAACCATATCAATATAGATTTATACTTACTGATTAACATAGCCATCTTTTAAGTCAGAAAAAAAGGTGTTGAACCAAATATATTCATATTATCTTTTATAATTACCTATGTAGTTACCTTTACCAGTGCTCTTTATTTCTTTGTGCTGATTTAATTGCCTTTCATTTCAGCTGGAATAGCTCTCTTTAGAATTTATTCTACACAATAAATTCTCTCATTTTTATTTTTATATGGGGATGGCTTTAGTCTTATTTTTGACAGAGAGGTTTTTAAATGTAGAATATTTAATTGATATTTTTTCCCTTTTAGCACTTTGAATATGTCATGCCACTACCTTCAGGCCTACGTAATTTTAATGCCAAATCAGTAGTTGGTGTTTGTGACAATACCAATGTAATAAGTTATTTTTCTTGTGTTGTTCTTCAAATTCTCTTTGCATTGGCTTTTTGACAGTTTAGCCATGGTGGATATATTGTAGATTTCTTCTAATTAAACTTTAGTGAGCTTCTTAGATGTGGATCAATATTTCCATCAAGTTGAAAAGTTTCAGCTATTATTTCTGCAAATATTTTTTTCCTTTTCCTTTCACCTTATTTTCCGAAATTCCTGTTATACATATGCT
The DNA here is from genome assembly GCF_000001405.40 of Homo sapiens. Taxonomy (NCBI): domain Eukaryota; kingdom Metazoa; phylum Chordata; class Mammalia; order Primates; family Hominidae; genus Homo; species Homo sapiens. The sequence continues at coordinate 104,878,259 of NC_000005.10, read as the reverse complement.
GGTGTATTTAATGGTGCCCATAGCTCTCTAAATTTTTATAAAATTTCCTTATTTTTTTTCATTCTGTTTCTCAAACTGGGTAGTCTCAATTGACCTATTTCTATGTACAAGGTTGCAGATTATCTTCTTCTGACACTCAGATCTACTGTTGAGCCACTCTAGTAACTTTTGTAAATTTTGGTTATTGTATTCTTCATCTACAAAATTTAAATTTAAATTAATTTATATATCTTTTCTCATGTTATTTTGTGAGATATTACCATACTTTTCTTTAATTCTTTGAATATATTTTCTTTTTGTTATTTGAAAATATTCTTATTAGCTGAGTTAAAGTTTCTGGGCCCTGAATAGATAGTTTCTATTTATTGGTTTTATATATGTGTATGGGTTATAGTTTACTATTCCTTTCTGTTTTATAATTTCTTCTTCAAAACTAAACATTTTAGATGACAGAATATGACAATTTTAAAATAAGATATCCTTTTCTCTTCTGGTTAGATTTTGTTGATGTTTTTATTATTTCTTTAAATTATGGTTTTGGCTTTTTTTATTTAATAAATTTTCTGGACTAATTCGGTAAAGTTTATTTCCTATAGTACATGGTCATTAAATGTTCTCCCCGAATGTCTTAGTAGTCAGCTAGTAATTAGTCAGAGATTTCCTGAAATGCCTTGAACTAATAAACCTTCAATCATTTGCTAAGGAACTTCATGTATATGTGAAGGGATTCCTTCAATGCTTAAGATTACAACTCTACTTCAAGGTCTGTCAGAAGTGAGTGATTGAGGCTCTCTTATGTCATGTCTTTATTTTGGTAGGTACCTAATCATGCACATGTGCATAGTTTTCTAAATTTTTATGTGTATTTCAGAGCAATTCCAAACTCATGATCAACACCTGATTATCCAGATATTTATTTTAAATTTTTGTCAAGGCACTTATGTGCCCCCACTGTATTGAAGCTTTAAGCAGCTGCAAGGTTAAACAATTCCTTCTAATTGTTGCAAACATAGTGAAGATGGGGAATTTTCTTGCAGAGCAGAGCCTGTCTTTTCAAATAAAGACACTTGAAAATGGGGCTTTGCCAGGGAGCTATGGCAGAGATAGAATAATAATAATGCTCTAAGGATGGAGCTTTTCACTATTGTTGAAGACCTATGCACTATAATTCTTTAAAGAGCAGATGTTTCACACGTTTACAAAGTATGCAAGTAATTTTTCAAAAAAAGTAAGTTTTACAAGGAAAAGTGATTCTATGAAGAATATAACCATGAATTAAAGCACCAAAAATATGAGATTGAAAGCATAAAATATTTGAGGACTTCATAATAGTTTGTTCAAGCTAGAAATTAGTATACATGTAAAGGACCAATAAATTCTAAAGCTAAAAAACATATACACCTCACCCACGAATGTAGGCTATAATAGGTAGGTGATGAATTTTAACCATGGAAGTGTGAGAGTTAGGGGTGGAGTGTGTTGTTGTTGTTGTTGTTGTTGTTGTTGTTGTTAGATGGAGTCTCACTCTGTCATCCAGGCTAGAGTGCAGTGGTGCAATCTCGGCTCACTGCAACCTCCGCTTTCTGGTTTCAAGTGATTCTCCTTAGACTCTTGAATAGATGGGATTACAGGCACCTGCCACCATGCCTGGCTAATTTTTGTATTTTTAGTAGAGATGGGGTTTCACCATGTTGGCCAGGCTGGGCTCGAACTCCTGACCTCGTGATCCGCCCTCCTCAGCCTCCCAAAGTGCTGAGATTACAGGCGTGAGCCACCATGCCTGGCCAGGTTGGAGTTTTATGGAATGGCTAGACATCATATTTCTATTCCTATCTGCTCCCCAAATGGAAATTCTTGTATTAATGATCAATTTCCTTCTTTCCAAGAAGAACCAACCTGTTAATATATTTGTAGTTTCTTCCATAACAAAACATTTGATAAATGCAGCTTGGATCCTCATAATGATTTACACCTCAGCTATCTCAGGCAGTACTTAAATACTAGAGTCATTGGGAGATTCTATTAGAAATTGCAAGGTTTAGAGGTCTGGTGTCTATTATCATGAAAAGCACAAATATTTATCCAACCTAACCTGGTAAATAATCTTCATGGGGCCAATTTCAATAACTTTTGTGACATCTCCTCAGAGACTTTCCCAACCACTATTTTTTAAATTTTACCTCTACCATTGTCTCGCATCTTCCTCTGCTGTATTTTTCTGCATAATATTTACTGTTGCCCAATATTATGTTTATTACTTTATTGTTTGTATTTTAACTTAAGATGTGAACTCCAGAAGGGCAGTAATTGTGTCCCATTAATTGATTGGCACTTAGAAATGTTCAGGCATTTACATAGTAAGTGCTCATTAATATCTGGTTAATAAATAAAGTATTTCCCCTGTTAACATCACCCAATATAGAAAACTGCTCACCCAGGGTATGTAAATATTTATGTAGTAGTACACGATCATCTTTTAATTGTTCATTTTCTGCAAATTGTAAATGTATGATTATGTGGTTCTTCGTTTCTACTCTAAAATTGTGGTAGTATTATGTCCCATTCTGCAGAAACTTGACTACATAGCAAAACCTGAAATTTTGCTAATCCCTATGTTTATGCTAATAACGAAAAATAGATATCTCTTGAAAGATTTCCCGGACTCATCACTGTGCTCTAAATTTTTCCTGCATCCTTACTAAAAAAGCATGAAGGAGGTTCTAGAAGTGTGGCTTAGAGAGGCCAAATCACACACTTAATTAGTAGCAAAAACATGACTCAGATGAGATTGAATTTGAATCTCATTTGACCTTTGAAAAGTCTTGCTTGTATTAGTTTTCTATATCTGCTGTAACCAATTACCACAAACTTAATAGCTTAAAACAACACATGTGCATTTTCTTCCATTTCTGAAGGCCAGAATTCTAAAATGTCATCAAATCTAGAAGAGCTGAGTGGAGTCTTTCTTACATGGTATCACTTTGATCTCTGCCAGTGTCTTACCACTTCCACCTATTTTTCTTTTTTTTTTTAGACAGAGTCTCACTCTTGTCGTCCAGGCTGGTGTGCAGTGGCACAGTCTCAGCTCACTGCAGCCTCTGCCTCCCGGGTTCAAGCGATTCTCCTGCCTCAGCCTCCCAAGTAGCTGGGATTACAGATGCCCACCACCATGCCCAGCTAATTTTTGTATTTTTAGTAGAAACAGGGTTTCACCATGTTGGCTGGGCTGGTCTCAAACTCCTGACCTTGCTGCCACTGTCACTTTTAAGGGCCTTAGTGATAACATTGGTCCCACTTGGATAATTCATAAAAATATTTCCATCTCAAGATTCTTAATTTAAACACATTTACAAAGCATTTTTCACCATGTAAAATATTTATAGGTTGTAGAGATAAGGTCATGAATATCACTGAGGGAACATCACTCTATCTACCACAATGTTTTCATTCACTGTAAAGTGCTGGCTGAAAACAATATTCATCCCAATTACTTTATATCACTGTATAGTTCACAAAATATATAAATAGCGTAAAATATTTTTCTTCTGGTTACCCTTTACACCCTGAATCCCTTTACACTGTCTCATTAAAACATGATATTCATAAATCTCATAATTGGTTAATGACAACAGCATTCATACTCCAAAAACTCTAGTTCAGAAGGTTTGATCTGGGCCAGAACATTATTATTTTTCAAAATTCACCTGGAAAGTCTGACCACTTGTTAGAACCACTGATACTCAAAAACAAATCCAAACTCCTTAGACTGATATAAGGATCTTTTATTTCTCAACCTTATACCTCCTCAGTGTTTTTCAGTTCATGGAATGGATGTAAGCCTAATACACTTCAATTACACATATTATCTAGATAGCAAAATATGCCATCTTAATATTGCTATGCTTTTATCTCAGAAAGATAGCAGAGTTACTAACATCTGACCAGGAAACATCTCTTCTTCCTTCAATTTTCTATCAATTTCCTCTGTGACTCGTTCTTTGAAGATCTCCTTTTTCCATCTTCTTATTTCAGTGTGCTTCACCATATTTTGTTTTCACCCTTCTTATATGTTAGTTTATTACTAAAATTATGTTAACTGAATTGTAATTACTTACTTCTGCATATTTTCTTCACCAGCTATGAACTCCTTATAGCCAGAAGTCCTGCCACTTTTTTATATATACGTATACAGTCAGGCACTGCCTAACAATGGGGATACTTTCTGAAAAAGGCATCTTCAAGTGATTTTATCATTGTATAAACATCATAAAGTGCACTTACACAAACCTAGATGGTATAGCCTACCGCACACCTAATCTATATGGTATAGTCTATTGCTCCTAGTCTACAAACTTATATAGCATGTTACTGTACTGAATACTGAGGGCAATTTTGACACAATGGGAAGCATATGTATATCTAAACATTTAAAAAGCACTGTAAAAATCTGGTATAAAAGATAAAAAGTCTTACACATGTATAGGGCACTTACCATGATGGAACTTGCAGGACTGGCAGATGCTCTGGGTTATGAGTATTGAGTGAACGTGAAGGCCTAGGACATTATTGTACACTACTGTAGTCTTTATAAACACTATAGACAGGCTACATTAAATTTATGATAAAAATATATTTTTAATAATAAATTAACCCTAGCTTACTATAATTTCTTCAGTTTATAAACCTTTTTAACTTTTTGACTCATAAAGCCCTGAGCCTCAAATACAAACACATTGTACAGCTATACAAAAATATTTTCTTTCTTTATATTCTTATTCTATAATTTATTTCTATTTTAAATTTTTTAAATTTTTTAAATTTAACCTTTTTGGTTAAAAACTGAGATATAAACATACATACTTGCCAAGGCCTACACAGGATCAAGATGATCAATATCAGTGTCTCCCACCTCCACATTTTTTTGCACTGGAAGGCCTTCAGGGGCAATAAAAAGTATAGGGTTGTCATCTCCTGTAATAATCAATTCCTTCTTCTGGAATACCTCCTGAAGGACTTGCCTGAGGCTGTTTTATGGTTACCTATTTTTTAATAAGTAAAAGGAGTTTGCCCTAAAATAATGATAAAATGGATATTACAGCAAATACATAAACTAGTAATACAGTAATATGTCATCATCAAGTATCATATACTGTACATAATTGTATTGCTATACTTTTACATGACTGGCAGGACGGTAGGTTTGTTTGCACCAGCATCACCACAAACACACAAGTGATGTATTATGCTACAATATCACTAGGCAATAGGAATTGTTCTCCTCCATTATAATTGAATGGGACCATCATCAGATATGCAGTCCTTCATTGACCAAAATGTTGTTATATGCAGCACGTAAGTGTATTTGAAAAAATATATGAGATATTTACATATTTTTTAACATCTATCATAGTGTTTCAATTGTGAAAGTTATTTCATAAACCTTATGGAAGTTATAAATGAAATAATAACTGACATATCCTAAGATTTTTTGGTAAGGCCTATCTGGGACTTAATCTAAATGAATCTATGCATTCCCTGAGACATTTTTTTGTACCAAACTCAATTCCTAGAAAGGAAAACCAGATGTGAGGGATGCAAAGGCAACGAGCACAGTGTAAATGGAAAGGACTAAATTTTGCAGATTAAGCCCCCACTTTGTGGAAGGAGGCCATGTTCCATGGCATAGATAAGGCACAGGGAAAACAAAGGTTGCCAACAGTAGGGGCATGGAGTTGTAGGTCAGTGCAGATAATTTCTGTTCCCTAGGAACTCTCTTCTTCACAGATACTGGCCGCAGTGGCACCCAAGGATGGCATCCATCTAAGGTAGTCCAGACTCGGGCATAAAAAGATGAATGAGAAAAGGTGGATGCCCATTTTCTCTCTCCGTCAACCCCCAGATTTTTGCTGAAAGAGGGAAGGGGAGTGAGGGACACCTATTACTTTCCCTTTCAGAATGAGCAACCAACTATCTTCACAACCCTCAGTCTATACTCCTCTGGAGTGCATCCTGAATCACTGGGACTGCTTTGACCCTTAAACTCTGATGGAAAAATGCCTCACAGCCCTTTACACAAAGCTTTGGCCAAATTATGATCTGAAGGAAGGAGTGTCTTGGCCTCAGGAAAGAACCATTTATTTTGATACCATTCTGCAGTTGGACCTTTTCTGTAAACACGAGGGCAAATGATCTGAGGCCCCATATGTGAAGGCTTTCTTTACCTTGCAAGGTGTATTAGTCAGGATTCTCTAGAGGGACAGAACTAATAGGATATACATAAATGTGTATGTGTGTATATATACATATATAAAGGGGAGTTTATTAAGTATTAACCTACATGATCACAAGGTCCCACGATAGGCTGTCTGCAAGCTGAGGAGCAAGGAGAGCCAGTCCGAGTACCAAAGATGAAGAACTTGGGGTCTGATGTTCCAGCACAGGAAGCATCCAGCACAGGAGAAAGATATAGACTGAGACGCTAAGCCAAGTTAGCCCTTTCGCATTTTTCTGCCTGCTTTATATTCTAGCTGTGCTAGCAGCTGATTAGATGGTGCCTACCCAGATTAAGGGTGGGTCTGCCTTTCCCAGTCCACTGACTCAAATGTTAATCTCCTAAGGCAACACCCTCACAGACACACCCAGGATCAATACTTGCACCTTTCAATCCGATGAAGTTGACACTCAGTATTAACCACCATAAGTCCACCTCTTGTCAACTTGAACCCATACACATCTCCTTAGATCATATGTAATCCTCAAATAAAGACAACAATGAGGTCATAATTACACCTAACATAATACAACTATCCTTTGTACTACTGGAAACGCACCAATCCCCAACCCAAATGCTATTACATAAAGTTAACAATACTTAAATGCTGATATGAAGTCAGTAAATCCTATGTCACATGATAAAGGAATAAAATAAAGATATTTTCTTAGAACAAGTGTATACATACACAAACATGTTTCTAATAAAAAAAGGAGAAAATACTCATGACAATTACAGTGCTCTTTTCTGCAACTGGTCATGTGGTCATAGTTGGTATTAATAACTACCTTCTTCTACTACCCATTCTGTATTTCCTTTGCCTTCAGTAAGCACTTCAGCAAGCCATATTTTTTTTTTTTTCTTCCTGGTGGAGCAACACAAAGCTCCAAACCTGAAGGGCCTGGGTCATTTGTAGCCCTGCCTGGACTGGGCTGTTGTAATTTCTCATTGACCTTAATCACAGGGCATGGTAACACTAAGAGATGTCCTAATGGATTTCCTGTATTCCATGCATACTCTTCCTTACCACCATTGTGGATTTGTACACTGATTTCATCTTGATAGTCCATGTCAATCACCCCAGCCAACACTATAACTCTCTTCTTAGCCTGTTGACTTAAAGGTAGCAGGAGCCCAAAGTGTCCAGGTGGTAATCTTAATTTCCAGATTAATTGACTCCTAGGCTTAGCCATTTAGCTTAGAGATAACCGTGATGACCTCTCACATGCCCTAAAGACATTTTCCTCATTCCTTCTGCTAAACTTCCTCTTACAAGTTTGAGTTTCGAAAACTGTGGTGGAGTTAGTGAGATACACAGAGAGTGGACAATACTCAACACTGTGATGTGCCATCCACATCCATTTTCAGGACCAAAGTTGAGAATGTCAGCAGAGAGCCCTCAACTGTCCACATTCTCTGTAATTATCTTGGCTGAAGAGAGATGCTGCTCCCAAAGTGATGGTCTAATCTCAAGGAAGCTACCATCCAATGACTTCCATAGGATAATTCTAAAAGGCTATTCTAACATTGTATTTTCTTTTGGTGTCATATGAGACCTTCACTGAGACTGTATCATTATCTAATTTTTCCCTCTGGCCAATTCTGCTTCCATTCTTTCTCTTCAATAGGGGTTGATCCCAAATTCCTCCCTTGATAAACCTTCTCCATGCTGATCTCTAATGAAAGACTCTGCATCCTGGAAAGCCTTATGAGGATGCTTATTAAAGTGCAATGGAATGTAATAGGAAACTCAATATCTAATAAGCCCTAATCAATATTCCTTTCTGTGGTTCCATTAAAAAAGGGTTTCAAATTAAGAATGTATTTTAATTTCAATGACCATTTCAAAATTGGTCAAAAATTACATTTCAAGAATATAAAATTATTTTATAAGTCATAAAGTGAAAATAAAATATTATATGATATGAAGCCAAGTCTTATTTTTCTTGTAAAGTACAAATGATAAATTGAGTTGTATTATTCACATAAAGAACTCTGAAAAGTTAATAACATATTTAAGAATTGAAAGATCATAAAAAGCAATAAGGTATTGGGGTCCAGAACAAGGGATAGTAATAAATTATTTGTGTATGTCCCTGTCGCTCTCTGTATGTGTGTGTGCGCACACATGTGTGTCTGTGTCCAAATAAAGAGGATAGAAAAAATTTGCTTTCACATAGGTTGAGGTAGGTTGTGATTCTGGGAATTTGTCTACTGCTTAGTGGAATTAGTCATATTCTGAATGAGGGTACCATATTCGAGTGAAAGTGAATTCTAATTTGAATTCAAATATTCTTTTTACCAGATGTATATTAAATTATTACTATAAATAGGTAACCAAGAGAAAAATAAATATCTAAACCCATGAGTTACCTACCATAATTTTATAAAGCCACAGACTTTCTTTTAAATACACTGACTAGAGTGAGAATATTAAACTTGAAGAAAAACTCTGTATTTTTCCATCTCTGTTTATTTATTCTATAGGCAGAGCCTCCACTTGAATTAGTGGGGATAAAGGGAAAATGTGTAGAGCATACATTTGAGTCTCTTGCCCTGTATTTATGGATATTGCAAAGCACAATTTTATTCTTTCACTGGAGACTGTGTCTTAAGATCCTCTCTAATCAGCACCAGAAAAAAGCAGGAAAAAGCAGGTATTCTACCACAGCACAAAACTGTATCTGGAAGTCTCCCCTTTAAACATACCTGCATGTATGCATTTTATACTAGTAGCTAACTGTTACTTCACTTTTAGGATTTTGTTGTGGCGATGTTGTTTTTGCTTAAAAAGAAGGCAATATTTTCTCAGAAATATTGTCACTTTTTAATTTTTAAATTGAAAGGTATAAACATAGACATTGTAGACATTTCATCTTTCAGCCCATTTGTCACATATTATTTTCACTTTCTCCAATTTCTTCCTTGTGAACAAGTCTTCAAGAACTTGGTTAAATATTTCTTTTTTTCTTCTCTTCCATTAACAACATATGTTTTATGAAAAATATAGTTGCTTATATTCAATAATTTATTGTCTTTTATGTATTTGTATTCATTTGGCCTTTGTCTTTGAGAAATCATTATAATAAGAATATAATATACACCAATTATTCAAATATTATGAATTTCAAGGGCACTGGTTTTCTACTTAATTAAAGATGCTTTTAAAAATGCATAAAATATAGCTTTCTTTATCATAACAGTTTCATCGTAATATTATTTTTATTTAAAAAAAATTCTGTAGCAATTTATTGCCATTAGCTTCATGATCTACACTCCAAATTTATACCTTATGGTTCCTACAGTTTTTCAGAACTAGAAATATTCCTGTAAAAATTATTATTATTTATTTTTCTCTTTGTAATTCATTATTAATTTCATCATTTAATATCAAACGTGTATATAAAAGCTTTGTCTATAGCCAGGTAGTGTTTTTTTTTTTATTTTGTTTGTGTGTGAGTTGATATTGTACTTCTTCAACTTATCAAATGTCAATATTAATAGGAAAAGCATTTTAAAGTTCAGTAATAAGTGAATTGTTTAAGTGGTTTAATTTATCTAAAGCAAGAGAATATATGGCTTGTTGGGTGATAGTAAGAAGTGTAACTATCACAATTGTAATATATTGATTACGTGATGGTCTAGAGTTTACCTTTCCTAGAAGTTTTCAAGTTCTATGAAAATAGAGAGTGTATTTCTCTTGCTAATTGATAATTGATGCTTTTCTGTGGCCTAGCACAGACACACACACACACACACATATATATGGGTGTATATATATATGTGTGTGTGTATATGTGTATATATATGCACATATATACATATGTACACATATGTGAACACACATATGTGTACACACATATGGTACACACATATATGTACACATATATATACATACACACATATATGTACACATAGATACACATATATACATATATACACGTGTATATATACACACACATATATACACGTGTATACACATGAGTATATATATACGTGTATACACATGTGTGTACATGTACACGTGTATACACATGTGTATATATGCACGTGTATACACATGTGTATATATACACGTGTATACACATGTGTATATACACATGCACATACATATGTACACATATATACACATATGTGTGTGCACATATATACACATGTGTGTGCACATATATACACATGTGTGTGCACATATATATACACATGTGTGTGTGTATATATATATAGAGAGAGAGAGAGAGAGAGAGAGAGAGTATTTGCCAGGGTTCTCTTAGAGGCTCAGAACTAATGGGATATATATATGTGTATATATATATATATATATATATATATATATATATATATCCTCTCTTAGAGGCTCAGAACTAATAGGATATATATATATATATATTCATATATATATATATATATTCTTATATATATATAAAAATAGGATATATATATCCTTATATATATATATAAATAGGATATATATATATAAATAGGATATATATATATAAATAGGATATATATATATATATATATATATATATATATATATATATAAAGGGGAGTTTAGTAAGTATTAACTTACATAATCAGAAGGTCCCACAATAGGCTGTCTGCAAGCTGAGGAGCAAGAAGACCCAATCCGAGTCTCAAAACTGAAGAACTTGAAGTCTGATGTTTGAGGGCATGAAGCATCCAGCACTGGAGAAAGATGTGGGCTGGGAGACTAGGCATGTCTTGCCTCTTCATGTTTTTCTGCATGCTTTATATTCACTGGTGGCTGATTAGATGGTGCCCACCCTATTAAGGGGTGGCTGCCTTCCCCAGCCCACTGACTCAAATGTTAATCTCTTTTGGCAGCACCCGCACAGACACACGCAAGATCAGTACTTTGCATCCTTCAATCCAATCAAGTTGACACCTAGTATTAACAATCATAAGTCCACCCTTTGTCAACTTGAACCCATACACATCTCCTGAGATAATACAGAACGTTCAAATAAAGACAATTGTAAGGTCATAATTATGCCTAACATAATACAACTATTTTTCATACAACCTGAAACACACCAATCCCCAAAGCAAATACTATTACATAAAGTTGACAATACTTAAATGCTAATATGAAGTCCATAAATCTTATGTCACATGATAAAGGAAAAGGAAATAAAATAAAGATATTTTTATAGTACAAGTATATACATGCACAAACATGTTTTTAGCAAAAGAAGCAGAAAATACTCATGACAATTACAGTCCCCGTTTCTGCACCTGGTCACGTGGTCATAGTTGGTATTTATGACTACCTTCTTCTAGTGCCCATTCTGTATTCCCTTTGCCTTCAGCAAGCACCTCAGCGGATCATGGGGTTTTTTTGTTTGCTTGTTTTTTGTTTTTTGTTTTTTCCTGGTGGAGGAATTCAAAGAAGTCTTTTGTCCATTTGACCTAGAAGTTTTCTATTTGCATAATCTAAGTAGGAATGCAGTAGGCTTTCTATAAATTTCACTTCTAGGAACACCATGATTAATTAGCCAATGCCGGAGCTCTATGAGAATCAGGCTATTCTGATTGCTGCTTTTCCTCTACTGTTCATTACAGTAGCTATGCCCACCTTGCCTTTGACAGTTGAGTGCTACCACTTGGCCCCTGCCATCTCGGGATCCAATTATTCCCATTTTATTTAAATTTTGTAATTGAGCGACTAAAGTTCCCACCATTAGATCTGACATACAGAGAAGAGCAATTATAGGGCTCTTCAAAGATTCAGGTGCTGCCCTCACAAATCTATTTCACAAGACATTTGTCAAGGATATATCTTCCAGACCCTCCCAGCTGGGATGAGTAGGTGTAAAATGACTATTCCTCTCCACCATCCCAGTTTCCCTAAGCCTTTGGATTTCTTCCTCTACATTAAACCAAGGGAGATCAGGCATTTCCACCTCACTCACAGTGGGCCATCTTTTAATCCATATTTTAGCTAACCAAGCAAATAAACTATTAAAATCTTTTTAACTCCCTGAGTTGCAACATTAAATGCAGAGTCCCTACTTAGTGGGCCCAAATCAATAAATTCAGCCTGATCCAACTGTATGTTCCTTCCACCATTATCCTATACCTTTAATATCCATTCCCTTGCCTGTTCTCCTGATTTCTGTTTATGTAAATTAGATAATTCAAACAGTTCTTTTCAGGTGTAGTGCACCTCCTCATTGGTCACACGCTCAACCTCTCCTCTAGGGGCCTGCCAGGTCTTTAGTCTGGTTATAGGTCTAGAAGCAAACAGAGGTGTTAGGAGTGGCTCATGAGGAGAATCAACATTATCTTGACTGGCAACTGCCTCAAGGGAGGCCATCACTGTTGTCTCAGGCAGCACAGGGTTTATCTCCTCAGAGAAGGGTGGAAAGGCTGATGGCAGCATAGGTTGGAGAGGGGATGTTGCCACTACTGGGGATGTGGAAGCTGTTCCTCCTGGCAAAAAAGTTTCACCAAAGTTTACAAACTCAGTGTCCTCATCTTCATCAGGGTCCTCCCACACATCCCCATTCCAAGTTGCAAAGTCCGATTCTTTTACAATCAGTGCCCTCAATTTAACAGTAGACACCTGGCAAGGCTGTGCATGCATCTTTCATTGCAGGTTAGCCACTCGCATGGTAAGATCTTTTGTCTGTTTTTCCACAATTTCAGCTGTTTCTCTACAGGAGATAAGACTCTTACTCAGGGCAATCTTAGCAGATTTGAGGCTCATTATCTGCTTCTGAAGCCAGGAGACAGAATCCCTGAGTTCATCATTTTCTTTCATCATTTTGTCCACTGTACTTAGGAGCAACCAACCAGCTTCATTATGTTCCTTGGTTCTCCACATATGGTCAAAGGTATTACGTGTAGAGTCACTAAACTCCTTGCCTCTCACGAGTGGTGAATCAGGAGTGTTAAATGCATTTATTCTGTTCCTCTAGAGCAGAATATTATATAAAACTCCTGGGACCAAATCTATAGAACTCCTGGTACCAAAATCTTTATTAGTCATATTAGTCATATTAGTCAGAGTTATCTTAGAGGGACAGAACTAATAGGAGATATATATATATATATATATATATGGGAATTTATTAAGTATTAAATGATCACAAGGTCCCACAATAGGCTTTCTGAAAACTGGGGAGCAAGGAGAGCCAGTCTGAGTCCCATAACTGAAGGACTTGGAGTCCCTTCTTCAACAGCAGGAAGCATCCAGCATGAGAGAAAGATGTAGGCTGGGAGGCTAGGCTCATCTCTCTTCTTCACGTTTTTCTTTCTGCTTTATATTCGCTGGCAGCTGATTAGATGGTGCCCACTCAGTTAAGGGTGGATCTGCCTTCCCCAGCCCACTGACCCAAATGTTAATCTCCTTTGGCAACACCCTCACAGACATAGCCAGGATCAATACTTTGTATCCTTCAGTCCAATCAAATTGACACTCTGTATTCATCATATACACACACACACACACACACACACACACACACACACACACAACATATATATGTATATATGTTATTATATATATTATATATACATATATTTATATATGTATATATATTATATATAAATACATATATACAACATATATATACACACATACAACATATATATTTATTATTTATGTTTGTTTCAAGGAAGGAAAGATAGTTGTATCTTGAGGCATGATGCAACCAAGATACATAATCATCCTTCTTCTCATCAGCTACCTGAGGGTTTATGACTTCAAAGATAACATAAATGAAGGAAAGAGTTCTAGCAAATAGGAGAAAAGAACTGAATAACAAAATATTTAAAGTATGGAGATTTGTGAATGAGATAGTATACAATTTATCATCACATTCATTGAGTTGAAAATAAAAATTGTAATAATTTCCCCTCTAAAGTGATCTAATCACTACAAGTAGAGCATTCATAATCTAAAAATCCAAAATCTGAAATGCTCTAAAATCTGAAGGTTTTTGAGCACTGACAGGACACCACAAGTCTAACATTTCACACCTGACTTCATGTGACTGGTCACAGTCAAAATTCAGGTGCACAAAACAGTTTTTTCAGCATCCCTAAGGGATGACAGACTCTCCTGGCCCCCTTCAGCTGTGATACATACACATATCTTTTTCATGCAAGTCCAGATTTCCCCATACAAGCCACCCACAAAGGGTAATGAAATGACACATGTGCAGTCCAGATGCACCAAACACAGGTTCCCCACAATGTCCCACATGGAGCCAACACCTGTGTGCATTATTCACTGTTTTTATTATTTTCTTTGTTTTTGCTTATTTTCTGTCTGTTCTGTAAAGATATTGTTCAAAATGTCAAAACAGTCTTCAGATGCTCAAACAGGCAACAATGACAAGAAAAAGAGGAGGTATTTTTGTTTATTTACAGCACAGAAAGTCAAGCTGTTAGAGAAACTGAATAGCAGTATAGGCGTGAAACATCTTACACAAGAGTATATTGTTGGAATGGCTACCATATATATGAAATAAAGAATCAGAAGGATAAACGGTTAAAGTTCTATGCCAAAAGTGATAAACAGAAATTAATGAATAGTATTCATTTCTGCATAAAGCTAGAAATGAAGATTTTGATTGTGTATTGAATGAGTGGATTTGTCAGCATTCCAATGAACACATGACACTTAATGGTGGACTCACCAGGAAACAAGCAAAGATCTATCACAATGAACTGAAAATTGAAGGAAACTGAATATTCAACAGGCTTGTTGCAGAAATTTGGGAAAGATGTGACATTAATTTTTTAAAAAATTGGTGGTGGTAAAGCATCTGCTGATTACAAAGCAGTGTAGAAATTCATTGATAAATTTCCCAAACTCATTACTGATGAAAATCTGACACCAGAACAAGTCTGTAAGGCTGATGAAATGTTACTGTTTTGGCATTAGTGCCCAGAAAGACACTGACTACAACTGATGACACAGCCCCTATAAGAATTAAGGATTCCAAGGACAAAATAACTGTGGTAGGATGTGCTATTGCGGGTGGCTTGCATATGTGTAAACTTTCTGTGATAGACAAAGGCTGGTACTCTTTCTGTTTTCAACTACTGAATTTCTTACCAGTCCATTATGATACTAACAAAAAGATATGAATTACCAGGAACATCTTTTCTAACTGGTTTCATAAATATTTTGTGCCAGTGGCTTGTGCTCACAGCAGGGAAGCTGAAATGACTGAGAAGTGGAAGATTTTGCTATTCCCTGACAACTGTTGTATTCATCTTCCAGTGAAATTTTCATCAAAAATAATGTTTATGCTGGTACTTCTCCAGACAATGTGACTTCGGTCATTCAACCATGTGACCAGGGTATCCTTAGATCCATGAAGAGAAATAGAACATGCTACCAGCAGTGAACAGAAGCAAGGGTGTGGAAGATTTTCAAAAGGAGTTTAGCATGAAGCATACTATTGTCAACACATGGAACACAGTTGACTAAAGATATATTTACTCGTGCCTATCACAACCTCTGGCCTATGTCTATGTCCAGTGATGATGATGAACAAGGTGGTGATTTGAAGGATTCTGCTTGTCAAGTGAGGAAAAAAAATGAGGTCTGACCTTTTTTCATATGTGAATGTATACCTTCATAATCTGCCAGTAAGCTGGAAGAAATGTATATTGAATAATTTTTTAACATTGATAATGAAGTTTCAGTTGTTCATTTATTGACCAATGGTGAAATAGCCAAAATGGTTCTGAATCAAAGTGACCCTGATGAGAGTGACGATGAAGATAAAAACTGCCTATGGACTACATGGTGAAAATGTGTAATGGGCTTATTGCAGGACTAAAGCAGCATCCAGTCATAAAAGAACAAGGCATACAGCAACTTATAAAATCAAAGAGAGACTTCTAAGACAGAAACTGCTGTTAATGAGGCAGATGACTCTGGAAGAAACATTTTAAAAAAGCCACCCAGCAGAATGCCTCCTCATCCCTAGAGATTTCACCTCCTGGTCCCTCAACTACTCCTGATGTTGCTTCTCACCAGAAAACACACACAAACAAACAAAAACAAGACAGTATACAGTAATCTTTTAATCAAATAACAATGTTGCAGCTGGAGACTGAAAGCTACCATTGTTTGTTTGTTGCTGTTGTTTAACAGCTGATATGCTATTCTGGTGATTTTACTGTGTGTTAAATTATCCTGAACATGTTTTCACTGTATTAATACATCATCTTTTTCATTGTTAAGTATATATGTATGAATGAGTTTAAGAAAATTGTTGCTAATTGGTAGTATATAAATTCATAGACAGGAATAATGGTGATGCCAAACAACTGCAGATTGTCCACATGGATAGCTGAGATAGTGACACTTTTGCTTTCTAATGATTCAATGCACACAGACTTAATTTTATGCAAAAAATAATTTATTTCTTATTTTTATTTTATTTCTTTCCATCCAATTGAGTTAAAAATTATTTAAAATATTTTATAAAATATATGCATTTATATTTAAGTTTATGCATTGATATTTATATATACATTTGTATAAAATACATTCATTTATTATTTAATTGGTTCTATGATGTGATGGGTAGATTAAAAAAAACAAATATCAACTACTTCAGGCTATGTGTATAAGGTATATGTGAAATATAAACAAATTTTGTGTTTAGACTTGAGTCCCATCCCCAAGCTATCTCATTATGTAAACATAAATATTCCAAAATCCAGAATCATCCAAAAACAGAAACATTTCTGATCCCAAGAATGTAAGATTAAGAGGACTTAACCTGTACTGATTTGGATGATAGGCTTGTGTATTCAGATTACATGTTTTTTTCTCCTTTGTGTTCTGCAATTCACCATCTAATTGTGCATGTGTATGTACATATAACGTAAGCATCTGTAGCATTTTACATCATTAAGAAATTAATATTTCATATTTACTATGGAATATAATATTTCATGAAGTGTAGCATTGGGTCCTATATGGAAGCACTCAAGATAGTTTTAGTAATTATTGTTGTTGTTGATGATGGTGATATTCATGTGGGCTGATTAAAAGCAAATCTCATTCCTCATGCATTCACTGTTCTCATCAGGATGCAAAAGCCTTAAAATAATTACACAGGGTCATGTTGCAAACTGTTTGGATGGTTATATCAACTGTGAACTTTATGCCAGTCTTGGCAGTTGAATCTATTTCTACAGTGGTTGCTATGGTAAGTAATTGTGAATATTTTTCATATTAAATGAAAGGGGAGTTAAATAATATGAAGGATTGCATAAAAATGGTCACAGATATGAAAGCTAATGTTAAAGTTCTGGGGCATAAAAATGCAGTTTGAATAGGCATTGATTCACAAGACTATTTTAACCTAAAGACTTTCCTACACCTTACAAAGGAATCAGCACAATACTCAGACCCAGAGTTTAAATGAAATATAGTGACAGTCAGAGGTGAAAAAAGTTACCTAAGACACAGATACTGTTCTAAAGCCTCCGAGTCTATCTCACTAACACATCACTGGGTATAAGAGAATGAAACCACAAAGTACTGAAGTGCTGAGGCCTAAATATGTGACAATGTTTCAAGAATCATTTCTAGATATAACTTAGATTCTGAAACTTTCTTCATATAATAAATATCACTTTCGATGATGTTGTCAAGGTGGATTGCAACCCTCATTTACCAGCCGCTATCAATCCAAGACCATTGTGGAGCTTCCAGATTACAACTGTCAAGATCTGTCTCAGTTGGTTGCATAGCACCTATTATTTAGATATGGGGCAAGGCCATCTTCTAGAATAGAAATGACTTTCTATTATTAGGGGCCAATAAAAATAAATATAAAGAAATGAATGACAGAAAGAACATTGAGCTGACAATATAGGGCATGTGAAATTGATAATTTAATAATGCAGACAGGACATAAAACCTTCAAAACTCTTTCTTTTTAAATCAGAATTTCATTAATAGCTTTTTTCTTCGTATACTTGTAATATTTCATTTCATATGAAAAAGTCAAGCCTTATTTAAATAGTAGTTATTTGCCTAATATCTCAATGTAAAAAAGTCAGTGCTTATGGGTGACAAAGTAAATATATAATCTCACACAAGCATCGGAAAGCTGGGAATAGAGTTGTAGTGCCTGTAGCAAACTGGAAATGTATACCCAACCTAAAGTCATTCAAATTCAATGTATTTTGCTGAAGTTTTCTGGCAAAGGAAGCACATTCAAAAATCTAGATTTCTATCAAAACATGGGCCACACGTTTTGATGGTTCTGGTAAATCGTGTGGTTAAGTGGGTCATAGCCCTCTTTTCTCCTTTCTTCCCTTTGAGGTGGTCAGCCATGCCTAACTAACTCTTCAGATTACTCCCCACTGGATAGCTCTTACCCAACTCTTATTTTTTTATCATATCACTTACGAGAATCTAACATTACGCAATGTTTGTGTTTCCTTTTTTAGTTATTTTTAGTCTCTTCTATTGAAAAATAAGCTTTGTGAGCATAAGGACTTTGTTTCATCTCTGCTTTGTCCTAAACAATTAGAACAATTTGGGGGGCATGTCAGGAGCTTCATAAATCTTTGTTAATTTAATAAGTAACATTTTAACAGGAAATAATTACTAGACATTATTAAAAATGCAAATTACAAACTAGAGAGCACTCATTTGTTCAATGTTAAGTGGTAGATATTTTATCAAGCTTCTGAAGATAGCTGTTCCTCAAATGAAAAGATACCTAGAACAAAAGGACTGAAGTTTATTCTTTAACAGTTAAGTAGGTTTCCTCACTATACTCCCCATACTGTATTCCTTAACACTAGTTCAAGTTAGTAGAAAATACTAATTGGCACTAATACAAAATAAAAATAAATGAAAGACACAGACCTTCTGTTAAATTACTTCAGAGCATAAATTATTAGATCAATCCTAGTAATCAGAACAACTGCCTAAAATAATATAAATTTATGTTTGATCAGAAATTATATAATAAGCTATGCTGCTTATATATAGTTGATATTAAACATGATTATTGAAAAGATTAAGAAAAATGAGGTATTCGGGGTAGATTAAAACAGACATAAGATAGATTCCAAATTTACTGTGATTCGCAGATTGCAAGATTAATAATATGCCACTTTCATATCTAAGTAGCAATGCTCTTTCCAGTTAGAGTCATACTGAAATTTATTTCTCTTTGTCTCTGCTTCTCCTTTCTCACTTTCTTTCTTTCCCTATCACCGTCCCTGACTTCCTTCTCTTCTTCCTGCATCTCTTCTTTCTCTCTCAAAAATCTTGTCTCTCTCAAAAATCTTTCTCTCTGAAGACATACTCCTTACTTATCTTCTGTTGGCTATACAGTCACTTTAGGGGGAAAGGCCCGGCCCTTGTAGTGGGATATGTGACTGACTAGTGGTGACAGTTACTAAGTAAACACACACATTTAATTTAAGGTTAAACATTCAGAAGCCCATTGTTGTCACTAACCTAATTTATATTCTCCTAGTAGTGTAACTTCACACATAACAAAAGAACTATTTTGATCTATTTCCTAGATATATGCACTTATTATTTAATTAGATCCATGGTATGATCGGTAGATGAAAAAGAATCAGTTATCAACTCTTTCAAACCTCAAGAATTATTCTCAAATTTTTAACACATGAACTTCTATTCAAATGTTTGAATAATCTTCAGTTTTTTTAGGAAACAAGGCAAATATTTTAGTCTTTTTATTTCAAAATTTTAATATTCCATTTAATTGCTATATAGAATCATAATTTCTCTAATTTTTTATTTCTTATTGGTTGATGAGTATCTTCAATACAGTTAATTTTACAGTTTAATAAATTTTGACAAGCATATTCCCCTATCTAACCCACAGTGTAATCCAGGTATAAAACATTTCTGTCATCTAAGAAAATGTCTTTGTTCCTGCTTCCAATCTATCTTCTCTCTTCGACCCCAAATACAACTTGCTGAATTTCTACCATGATAAAATTTGCCCAACTGTGAATTTCATAGAATTGAATCATATTGAATGCACATTTTTATCTTCTGCCTTATTTTACTCAACATGTTTTGAGATTCATTCATGTTGTTGAGAGCAAAAGTAATTTTTCTAATCAATTAATTTTTAATTAATATATTATTAAATTCTATGAATATACCCCATTTGTTTAGACATTGGGTTGCTTTAAGTTCTGTGACTATTATCAACAAAATTATGACACAAATATTGTGAAGGTCTTTCTGTATATATAAATTTTAATTTCACCTGGAAAAATGACCAGGAGTGCTCTTGTTGGTTAGTAGATGTTGTTTTTTCTTTTTTTAAAGTGGATTAAAATAGAGTTGTCCAATGTGGCTGTGAAATTTTACACTGCCACTGAAATATATAAGATTTCCAGCTGCTCCACATCTTTGCCAACATATGTCTTTTTGTCAACATTGTAAGTTTTATAATATCAGCTTTTCTGTGAATGTGAAGTGGTATCTAATTGTGATTTGAGTTTACATTTTGCCAATGACTTCTTTTGAATACTTTTTTCATGAGTTCATCAGTCAGTAATGTATTTTCATTTCTAAAGTGTTTACATGAGTCTTTTGTTCTTTTTTTTTAATACAAGAGTCTCACTCTATCACCCAGGCTGGAGTGCAGTGGTGCAATCTCGGCTCACCCATAACCACTGCCTCCCAGGTTCAAGCGATTCTCTGCCTCAGCTTCCCCAGTAGCTGGGACTACAGGGGCGCACCACCACGCCCAGCTAATTTTTGTATTTTTAGTAGGGACGGGGTTTGCCATGTTGGCCAGGCTGGTCTCAAACTCCTTATCTCAGGTGATCCACCCACCTCAGCCTCCCAAAGTGCTGAGATTTACAGGCATGAGCCACCACGCCTGGCCCTTGTGCTCATTTTTTAACTTTTGACTATTTGTTTTTTCCTCATATTATTTTGTTATGGGAGTTTATTGTGTAACCTAGACACATTTTATTTGTCAAATATACATATTCCTTATATATTCTTAATACAATTCAGTTTCTGAATTCTGGTTTTTGATGAGCAGAAGGTTTTACTTCGTGTGACTACTTTTTGAATGTATGTCTTATAAAAAAAGAAATTTGCCCATATCAAGGCCATGAGGATATTCTCACAAAACTCCCATGAGAAAATTTGTATATTAACTCATAGTTTTAGGTCTAGTGTCCAACTTGAATAAATGTTTGATGTGAGATAGAAGTTGAAGTGTTTTTTTTTTTCCTTACCACATAGGTATTTAAATGTTTTAGCAGCATTTCTTCAGAAGACTATTATAACCCAGTGAATAGTTTTGGCATGTTTGTAGAAAATCAACCGTATGTCTACTTCTTACCTTCTATTATGTCAACTAACTGATTTGTCTATCCTTACATGGATACCATATTAATTGCTCCATTAAAAAAACCCTTCTAATAAAGCCATGTAATCATCCAATTTTGTTCTTTTTCAAGATTTTTTTTAGCTACTCTCGGCCCTTTGCATATTTCATAGTAATAATTTTAAATTAACCTTATTTATATGGGAAATAAGATATCATTATTGATTAGAATTGTAGTGAACCTATAGCTCAACTTGAAGAGCACTGATTCTTCACATTGAATTTTGAAATCCAAGATTACATTATAGATCTCCATTTATTTAGATATTTTTAAATTGCTCTTAGCAATGTTTAGTAGTTTTCATTTTACACTTCTCACACTTTTCATTTAATATATCCCTAAAGACTTTGTGTTTGTTTTTAACTCTGTTTTAACTAGTTTACATTGCATTTTATAATTTTACATATACTTTACATATGAATGATTATTTTTATTTTGGACTTGTATTTTGCAACCTCGTTAAGTTCAAGTATTGGTTTTAATGTGTGTGTGTGTGTGTATTAGATGCTTTTGAATTTTCTATGTACACAGTTATGTTGTCTGCACGACATTGAAGTCAAATTTTTAATTTGGTTTCTCAAGTAATTTTGATACCATTCTGCAAATACAGAATACAACAAACCAGAGAGGTGAAATATCTCTACAATGAGAGTTATAAAACACTGCTCAAAGAAATTACAGAAGACACAAACAAATGAAAAAAACAACCCATGTTCATGAATAGGAAGAATCAATATCATTAAAATGGCCATACTGCCCAAAGCAACTTACAGATTCAAGGCTTTTTCTACCCAACTACCAATGACATTCTTTCTGCACAGAACTAGAAAAAAATATTTAAAAATGTATATGGAACCATAAAAGAGCCTGAATAGCCAACACAATCTTAAGTGAAAAGAATAAAGCTGGAGGCATCACCTTACCTGACTTCAAACTATACTACGTGGCTACAGTAACCAACGCAACAATGTACTGGTACAAAGACAGACATATAGACCAACGAAAGAGAATATAGAGCCCAGAAATAAGGCAACACACCAATGACCATCTGATCTTTGACAAAGCTGACAAAAACAAGCAATGGAGAAAAGACTTCCTATTCAATAAATGGTGCTGAGATAACTGGCTAGCCATATACAGAAGATTGAAACTGAATCCTCTCCTTATACCATATACAAAGATCACCTCAAGATGGATTAAAGACTTAAATGTAAAACCCCCCAAAAATAAAAAAACTCTGGAAGACAACCTAGGCAATACCATCCTGGACATCGCAATGGGCAATGATTTAATGATGAAAACGTCAAAAGCAATAACAAAAAAAAAGAAAAATTGACAAATAGAATCTAATTAAACTTAAAAGCCTCTACACAGCAAAAGAAACTATCAATCAACAGAATAAACAGACAATCTACAGAATGGGAGAAAATATTTGCAAACTGCACCAGGCAAAGGTCTAATATCCAGCATCTATAAGAAACTTAAACAAATTTACAAAAGAAAAACAAACAACTCCATTAAAAAGTGGGCAAAAAACATGAATAGATATTTTTCAAAAGACATACCTGTGGCCAACAAGCATATGAAAAAAAGCTCAGTATCACTGATCATTAGAGAAATGCAAATCAAAACCAAAATGAGATACCATGTCACACCAGTCAGAATGGCTATTATTAAAAAGTCAAAAAATAATAGATGCTGGCAAGGTTGCGGAGAAAAGGGAACTCTTATACGCTGTTGGTGGGAATGTAAATTAGTTCAACCATTGTGAAAAGCAGTATGGTGATTCCTCAAAGAGCTAAAAACAGAGCTACCATTCAACACAGCAGTCCTATTACTGGGTATATACCCAAAGGAATATAAATCCCTCTACCATAAAGACACATGCACATGAATGTTCATTGCAGCACTATTCACAATAGCAAAGACATGGAATCAACCTAAATGCCCATCAATAAAAGAATGAATAAAGAAAATGTGGCACATATATACCATGGAATACTATGTAGCCATAAAAAAGAATAAGATGATGTCTTTCACAGGAACATGGATGAAGCTGGAGGCTATTATTCTTAGCAAATTGGTGCAGGAAAAGAAAACCAAATACCACATGTTCTCACTTGTTAGTGGGAGCTAAATGATGAGAACTCATGAATACAAAGAAGGAAACATCAGACACTGGAGCTTATTTGAGGGTGAAGGGTGAAAGGAGGGAGAGCAGCAGAAAAAATAACTCTTCACTATTAGGTGTAGTACCTGGATGATGAAATAATCTGTACAACAAACCCCATAACACAAGTTTACCTGTATAAGAAACCTGCACATGTACTGCCATCCCTAAAAGTTTTTTAAAAAACTTAAAAAGAAATAATAAAAAACAAAAAAAAATAAATTAAATTAGGATTTGTTTTCAAGTGGATGGATCTCCATTAAAATTAGAAAAATATTTGGGAAAAGTGTGAATGTGTGCGTTTTTAATGTGACTACTAAATAAAATATAATGAATAGATAAGTACCTCTCCCTTTTTATCATGGAAGCTCCATGTTTAAAGCAATTGCTTTTATAATCTTGGCTGTCTGAAACTCTTTCCTTCTGTTTTGAATATTTATAAGTTTTTTAAAAGTTAGTGTCAGCAAATTAATTAGTTACACTTCTATACTGAGACATATTTAAATTACTTAGTATAGTACTGCTGCTGCTTTTTCTGTTTAAAATGTATGACTTGGTGTTTTAAAGTAAAAATTATGAAGTTATTTGTGGAGAAACTAAAAAAGTTTCACAACTGACTGAAATAAAACGCTTGAGACAAGTTTAGTGAGGGAATTGGAATCTCCAAAAGACTAACATTTTTCTTCTAATTTTAACAATCAGAATGCCCTGTTCTAGTCCGTAAGAATTCTCATTGCATACTATGCCAGATTATAAAATACTTACTTTTAAAATGAAACCTATATATATATATACATTAACTTTCTTATCAATCATCTTGTTATGCAACTAAAATTAGAGTTGCTTGGTTTGAAAACAACACTGAGAGCCTCCAGATAACTTTTAAGACTTATTTAGCTTTGTGGGTGGTGTTTTCATGCGAATAAGTAAGAGTGAGTTTTATATTTTGTAGAAGTTTTTGGTCCTGTTTTAATGTTCTTTGTGTGGCAGTATGTATATAATCTGTTAAATTTCTCAAGAATGACTCCTTAAAAACTTTGAGATTAATGCTTTATTGCAACTGTGTTTTGACTAAAGCAATGACAGTATTAAAAACAAACAAGGCCAGGCACTGTGGCTCATGCCTGTAATCCCAGCACTTTGGGAGGCCAAGGCAGGTGGATCATCTGAAGTCGGGAGTTTGAGAACAGCCTGGCCAACATAGTGAAACCCAATCTGCTAAAAATACAAAAAATTAGCAGGAAATGGTGGCAGGTGCCTGTAATAACAGCTACTCGGTAGGCCAAGGCAGGAGAATCTCTTGAACCCAGGAGGCGGATGTTGCAGTGAGTTGAGATCATGCCGTTACACTCCAGCCAGTCAACAGTGTGAGAATCCATCTCTAAATAAATAAATAAAACAAAAATGCACTACTGTTGATTATTCTTCTATTGTTTCTTTTCCTTGTTTTTTAGTGTGTGTGACTGCTGTAACTTCAGATTTCGAAACTGAATTGCTTCAAATAAATTGAAGATTTATTATTTTAAAAAACTAGTATTAAACAAATGAGTGGTGTTCCATGTAGAAGGTAGAATTACAGCACATATGATCAGAAAAGAATGGAGAATATTTACCTGTTCTCTAAGATATTAAGTCAGCATACTCATTTTATGGGTAGACTGTAAGCCACCTCAGCTATTAATTAAGAGAAAAACATACCAAATTGTAAAGACCATCCACACTGTGAAGAAACTGCATCAACTAACAGGCAAAATAACCAGCTAGCTTCACAATAACAGGATCAAATTCACACATAACAATATTAATCTTAAATGTAAATGGGCTAAATGCCCCAATTAAAAGACAGACTGGCAAATTGGATAAAGAGTCAAGACCAATCAGTGTACTGTATTAAGGAGATCCATCTCATGTGCAAAGACACACATAGGCTCAAAATAAAGGGATGGAGGAATATTTACCAAGCAAATAGAAAGCAAAAAAAAAGCAGGAGTTGCAATCCTAATCTCTGATAAAACAGACTTTAAACCAACAAAGATCAAAAGAGACAAAGAAGGACACGGTATAATGGTAAAGGGATCGATGCAACAAGAAGAGCTAACTATCCTAAATATATATGCACGCAATACAGGAGCACCCAGATTCGTAAAGCAAACTCTTGGAGACCTACAAAGAGACTTAGACTCCCATACAATAATAGTGGGAGACTTTAACAACCCACTGTCAGTATTAGACAGACAGATCAATGAGACGGAAAATTCACAAGTATATTCAGGACTTGGACTCAGCTCTGGACCCAGTGGACCTAATAGACATCTGCTGAACTCTCCACCCCAAATCAACAGAATATACATTTTTCTCAGCACCTCATCACACTTCTAAAATTGACCACAAAATTGGAAGTAAAACACTCCTCAGCAAAGGCAAATAATGGAAATCCTAACAGTCTCTTAGACCACAGTGCAATCAAATTAGAACTCAGGATTAAGAAACTCACTCAAAACTGCACAACTACATGGAAACTGAACAACCTGCTCCTGAATGACTACTGAGTAAATAACGAAATGAAGGCAGAAATAAAGATGTTCATTGAAACCAATGAGAACAAAGAAACAACATGCCAGAATATCTGGGACACAGTTAAAGCAGTGTGTAGAGGGAAATTTATAGCACTAAATGCCCACAAGAGAAAGCAAGAAAGATCTAAAATAGTCAGCCTAACATCAAAATTAAAAGAACTAGAGAAGCAAGAGCAAACTAATTCAAAGGCTAGCAGAAGACAAGATATAACTAAGATCAGAGCAGAACTGAAGGAGATAGAGACACGAAAAACCCTTCAAAAACAATTAATGAATCCAGCAGCTGGTTTTTTGAAAAGATCAACAAAATAGACCACTAGCCAGACTAATAAAGAAAAAAAGAGAGAAGAATCAAATAGACACAATAAAAAATGATATAGGGGATATCACCACTGATCTGACAGAAATACAAACTACCATCGGAGAATACTATAAACACCTCTATGCAAATAAACTAGAAAATCTAGAAGAAATGGATAAATTCCTGGACACATACACCGTCCCAAGTCTAAACCAGGAAGAAGGTGAATTCCTGAATAGACCAATAACAAGTTCTGAATTAGAGGCAGTAATTAATAGCCTACCAACCAAAAAAAGTCCAGGACCAGAAGGATTCACAGCCAAATTCCACCAGAGGTACAAAGAGAGCTGGTACCATTCCTTCTGAAACTGTTCCAAACAACAGAAAAAAGGGACTCCTCCCTAACTCACTTTATGAAGCGAACATCATCCTGATACCAAAACCTGGCAGAGACACAACAAAAAAAGAAAATTTCAGGCCAATATCCCTGATGAACACTGATGCAAAAATCCTCAATAAAATACTGGCAAACCAAATCCAGCAGCACATCAAAAAGCTTACCCACCACGATTAAGTCAGCTTCATCCCTGGGATGCAAGGCTGGTTCAACATACACAAATCAATAAACGTAATACCTAGGCTCAAAATAAAGGGATGGAGGAATATTTACCAAGCAAATAGAAAGCAAAAAAAAAAAAAAAAAGCAGGAGTTGCTATCCTAATCTCTGATAAGACAGACTTTAAACCAACAAAGATCAAAAGAGACAAAAAAGGACATGGCATAATGATAAAGGGATCAATAAAAAGAACCAATGATAAAAACCGTATGATTATAGATGCAGGAAAGGGCTTCGACAAAATTCAACATCGCTTCATGCTAAAAACTCTCAATAAAATTGGTATTAATGGAACGTATCTCAAAATAATAAGAGCTATTTATGAATAAGAGCTATTTTCTTTGAAAACCAGCACAAGAAAAGGATGCCCTCTCTCACCACTCCCATTCAACATAATATTGGAAGTTCTGGCCAGGGCAATCAGGCAAGAGAAAGAAATAAATAGTGTTCAGTTAGGAAAAGAGGAAGTAAAATTGCCCTATTTTCAGATGACATGATTGTATGTTTAGAAAACCCCATCGTCTCAGCCCCAAATCTCCTTAAGCTGATAACCAACTTCAGCAAAGTCTCAGGATACAAAATCAATGTGCAAAAATCACAAACATTCCTATAGGCCAATAACAGACAGAGAGCCAAATCACGAGTGAACTCCCATTCACAATTGCTACAAAGGGAATAAAATACCTAGGAATCCAACTTACAAGGGATATGAAGGACCTCTTCGAGGAGAACTACAAACCACTGCTCAACAAAATAAAAGAGGACACAAACAAATGAAAGAACATTCCATGCTCATGGACAGGAAGAATCAATATTGTGAAAATGGCCATATTGCCCAAGGTAATTTATAGATTTAATGCCATCCCCATCAAGCTACCACTGACTTTCTTCACAGAATTGGAAAAAACTACCTTAAAGTTCATATGGAACCAAAAAAGAGCCCACACAGCCAAGAGAATTCTAAGCAAAAAGAAGAAAGCTGGAGGCATTATGCTACCTGACTTCAAACTATACTACAAGGCTGCAGTAACCAAAACAGCGTGGTACTGGTACCAAAACAGATTCATAGACGAATGGAACAGAACAGTTGCCTCAGAAATAACACCACACTTCTACAACCATCTGATCTTTGACAAACCTGACAAAAACAAGAAATGGGGAAAAGATTCCCAATTTAATAAATGGTGCTGGGAAAACTGGCTAATCATATGTAAAAAGCTGATACTGGATCCCTTCTTTATATCTTATACAAACATTAATTCAAGATGGATTAAAGACTGAAATGTTAGACCCAAAACCATAAAAACCCTAGAAGAAAACCTAGGCAATACCATTCAGGCCATAGGCATGGGCAAGGACTTCATGACTAAAACACCAAAAGCAAAGGCAACAGAAGCCAAAATAGACAAATGGGATCTAATTAAACTAAAGAGCTTCTGCTCAGCAAAAGAAACTACCATCAGAGTAAACAGGCAACCTACAGAATGGGAGAAAATTTTTGCAATCTACCCATCTGACAAAGGGCTAATATCCAGAATCTGCAAAGAACTTAAACAAAGTTACAAGAAAAAAACAAACAACCCCATCAAAAAGTGGGCAAAAGATACGAACAAACACGTCTCAAAAGAAGACATTTATGCAGCTGACAAATGTATGAAAAAAATACTCATCATCACTCGTCATTAGAGAAGTGCAAATCAAAACCACAATGAGATACCATCTCACACCAGTTAGAATGGCGATCATTAAAAAGTCAGGAAACAAGAGGTGCTGGAGAGGATGTGGAGAAATAGGAACACTTTTACATTGTTGGTGGGACTGTAAATTAGTTCAACCATTGTGGAAGACAGTGTGGCAATTCCTCAAGGATCTAGAACTAAAAATACCATTTGACCCAGCAATCCCATTACTGGCTATAAACCCAAAGAATTATAAATCATTCTACTAAAAAGACACATGCACCCGTATGTTTATTGCAGCTCTATTCACAATAGCAAAGACTTGGAACCAACCCAAATGTCCACCAATGATAGACTGGATAAAGAAAATGTAGCACATATATACCACGGAATACTATGCAGCCATAAAAAGGATGAGTTCATGTCCTTTGCAGGGACATGGATGAAGCTGGAAACCATCATTTCAGGAAACTAACACAAGAACAGAAAACCAAACACTGCGTGTTCTCACTGATGAGTGGGAACTGAATAATGAGAACACGTGGACACGGAGGGGAACCTCACACACCGGGGCCTCTAGGGCAGTGGGGGGCTAGGGGAGGGATAGCATTAGGAGAAATACCTAATGTAGACAGGTGATGGGTGCAGCAAACCACCATGGCACGTGTGTACCTATGTAACAAAACTGCAAGTTCTATGCATGTACCCCAGAGCTTAAAGTATAACAATAAAAACAAACAAACAAAACAGGAAGCTGGCTGGATTTCACCTGCAGGCCCTCCTTTGCAGACTTCTGCTCTATTATTATCAACCCTGACTTTCCCAGCCACGCGATGATTAGAATAGCAGTTTCAGGGTGGCCCTGTTTGTCAAATGTGAGCAAGCTGACCCTTCTGGGAGCCAGTAGAAGTGAGAGAAGCCAGTCCAAGGAAAAAGCCAACAAACTTTGGAGAGTAGGGGTGAGAGAACTGCAAAAAATATTTGAATTGTATTGTAAACATTTGAATCAACTTTGTTGATGCATTGTAAACATTTGAATCAACTTTGTGGAAGCCTACCCTACCTTGAGGTTTCATGGTTATGTAAGCCAGTAAATTCCCACTCTCGTTAAAAAAAAAAAAAAAGAGAGAGAGAGAGAAAAGCACTTAACACATTGCTTAGGGATATTCTAAGAACCACCTAACTTCATCCCATAAGTTATTGACATTATACTCATTCTGAAATTCAAGTTATTTATTTAATGGAATTTGGTTACGTAATTTGATTTGAAAGTCTGTATTTAACCCAGTTTTTATCTTATGAAGATCATAAATAAATAGGATATCTTAAGAAAAACCAATGCTTGAGCAAAAATTAACAGAAGACGAGGATGGTAAAGACCAAAGCAACAAAGCATAGCAACCTGGAATCCAGTCAGTGATAAGATAAACAGCCTCTTGTGTTAAATAGTGTCTGCAAGGGTTCAATATTATTTGTAAACAGTTTGCCAAAGATTAAGGCCACACATGAACAAGGAAAACAATATTATATTTTTCTTATGATGTTAAAGTAGGAGACAAGGCATTCTGAAATCAACCAACCAAATACTGATAGTGTTGAAGCAATGGTAAATATCTTTAAACATTTGAAGATCTCCAATATGTATGACATTATATTTGTCTAAGTTATTATGAGATTTTTAAAAAATTGATAAATTGATGGCAATTAAGGTCAGATTTGGGGTCAATATTAGAAAGAAGTTGATATAATCTAGAACTGCCTGACAATGGACTGTAAACTTCCTGGTATGAAGAAATTTCCATTATTATGGAGAGGCCAAAGATAACTCCTTAATTTGCAATACACAGTCCTAGAAGGGATTTTTATTTGAAATGTAAACTCTTAAGTCCTATGAAGTCTTTTTCAACCTTTCATTCTATGGTCAAAAGTGTCTAATTTTTAAAAGAATATGTAAATTTCTCCCCAAAATAGTAAATCACATTGATGTAAAACTATACCAAAATTGAACACTACATTTTAAAAACTCCACATAAGTGAGGTTTTTACAGTACTCATTTATAACCATTTTTTTAATCAAGCCAGATTGGCTGCCTTGTACAACTATATGCACACTAACAAACTCTTCATACATATCCTCTTTGTGTCTTCAAATCACTTGAAGTGGCAAAAGTGTCTTCACTTCTCAAATTAGAACAGAAAACAAAAGATAATGGCCATAACTGTCATTCTTTGTAGCTAAATCTCATTTTCAAGCTGTAAAATTAAGAATGTGAATTTAGCATCAGTGTCAATGAACAAATTGCAGTCTGCTTTGGACTGTAAATCATTTTAGTGTTTTTAAAGTCAATGTAACTACAGTATAAAATGCAGGAACTTGAAGGTATTAAAATACTTAGTTATTATAAAATACTCCAGAAATAGATTCAATAGAATGTTTACAAAAAAAAAGCAAAAACAAAAACAAAACAAGATTAAATATTTACATATTCACACCAGCAATCTTGTTTCTTCCAGTAAAATTTTAACATTCTAAGAATGTAGGTATATACAAATAAGAATTAAATAAAAATGGAAAGATTTTGTATTTCTTTAACTAAAATATCTCTGAATATTAATTATTTTTATACTCTCCAGAAAATTATCAAAGGATTTAATCTGATGTTCCATCCTTCCCAAAGGTTTATCATCAAATTTCATTCCAGAAAAAAGAAAAAAAGAAAAAAATGTATCACTGACTTAGCAATAATTCTAAGGTCATAATAATTTCTGAAGGTTGATTTGTTGAACCATAGATCAGTGTTTTTGCTGTATGCTGGGGTGAACTGGGTGTTTTGCTGCAGCCTATTTCAATTAGGAGTTAACTTGTGAATAATCAAGAAACTTCACAAATACTTCTAAGTTCCACTTTCCTAATCCAAAGGTGTGATAGGGTGCAGTCAACCATGGTGATTCAACTTGGAAGAAGTTATTATCAGATAGAAAACATGATGGTCGGCTGAAAGGTGCTAGAACTTTAAAAGCATCAAATGTTCTACTAAATACTATATGCCCTTTTCCATTCGTGTGTTTGCTCAAAATGGACCACTTGTGCCCTACAGTTGAGCCTCTCCTGTCAGAGTCACCTTTTATTTTCTTAGTGTTAAGAAAATAAAACAGAAACTTTTTCCCAAATTTCATATCATTCCCATATAATTAGCCATGTATTATATTTTTGCCTTTTTTCTCCCTATGGAAATTGTCTACAGACCTCTCTGACAGAGAAGCTTAAGGCTAATACAGCTTAAGGGCCTATTAAGCTGACTGCCTGGCCTTTCTGCATCAGGGAATCCAGGACTGATTTATAAACAACGAAACTAATGCAGTTTGGCAGAGAAATGGGATCACAAAATTAAAAATTTCCAAAAAAAGATTACGAGTTAACACACTGTTGATGTTGAGTTCTTATATTTGCATATTAAAAGAACGTCTGTTCTTTTGCTAGAGACATTGAACTTTTTTTATTATCATTTACATTTATAGAAAAGAACTCAGTGGGCTCATAGGTCCACCAAAGTCTTTTTAATTTGTTCTTAAAGTTCAGATGGCATTTCTGCTATAAAACAGCCACCCTGAATAAACTCAAAAAGTATTTTGGGTATTAACATGCGAATGAGAAAAAGAAGCATAACTCTCTGCTATGGTAATTCTTCCCAGAGGATTTTTTTTTTTTTTTATAAAGGCTGTTGCTGAGGTGCTACAGCATCCACAGCTGAGATTGGCCATGAGAACTGGGAGATGATAAAACTCTGTGAATGTATAGAACTAAACTTCAAAAGATTCCAGTTTATCTTGTTCTATATACAGGCTATTGAAAAGATTCTGATGTTTAGATCACATTAATGATGTATAGACCAAGGCAAGGCATACCCTGAAGCAAGAAGAAATTAAACCTCTTTAACAAAATAGGCTATAAATGACCTTTAGGTGACTAGTATTGTATACTTGAGGGAAAAAGTTGATAGTGAACTATCAACAAGACTCTCTGGCATGTCCTATTCTAAAGCAGAAGAACAAATCTTATAGGAAGGACTATTCCTTCCAATCATTAGTGAATTCATCATCTTTTAGCATGTCCAGGACTTTATTTGCCAAGGAGCTTTAAACAGTATACTATGACCATTTGGCAAAACGTGAAAAATATTTTAAATGAGGTCCACTTAGAAGCCATTTGCTTTATTAGATAATTGAATTTACTATAAATTTTAAAGACATGTTGTGTATTCTTCTCCCATGATACCAATTCTTAGTCTTTTCAGTTAATTATTATTTTTATGATTCAAAAAGTGATAAGAAATTTCTTCTAGCTCCTACTTACTTAGCTTACAGTTTAGAGAATAGAGAAAGAAAATAATTATTCTCACTTGCTTCTCAACCAGTTTTTGCCCTTAAGGCTCCAACATCACTAGGACCTAAGAATAACAGAGAGCAGAAAAAGAAAAAGAAAAAAGAGAAAGAAAAGGAAGATAGAAAAGGAAGAAAAGGAAGAGGAAAAGAAGAAGTAGAATCAGGATTGCAAAAAAGAGCAAGTGTTAAATAAGAAACTTGGAACACTTTATATTTCTATTTTTTATGTCTTTTTTATTATTGTTGTGATACTATTCATGAAGCAGCTCTATATTATGCCTCTAGCCATATTTCAATGCACTCAATACACCGGACCTAACCTACATATTCACACACTTACCATGATAATCGTGTATTAATACTCTACTATAGTCAAGTTGTTACTGAACCGTCCACTCACCTGGTGCAGTAAAGCAAACACAGACACTGAGGTTTGCAGCGAGAGAAAGAAGGGTGGCAAACAAGGAGAATGGGCAGTTAATGCCTAAGACACGAACTTCCTTGATGGGTAACAAGCAAGGATTTTTAAAGGCAGGGGTACATTTTAGGAAAGCAGAAGTTATGTACAAAACTGTAAATAAATACATGAAGATTATACATTGGTTTGGCCCCAAAAGGTGGGATATCTTAAAGCAGGGGCTTACGGGTCATAGGTAAATTCAGGGATTCTTTGATTTGCAATTGGTTAAGGGAGTAAGCCTTTGTCTAAAAACTTGGGGTTAGCAGAAAGGAGTGTTAAGGTTTGGCTTTAACATGTGTTAGTTAAGATAAGGAAACCTGTTAATCACCGTGTGCTGCTATCACAGAGTCAGGTCAAGAGACCAAGCCACAATATATACTGAGCCATTGTGACCAATTTAGCAAGATTGATGGCCTGCAGGCATGACTCTCTCCAGGCCCCTCTGCTCAACTTAGAACAAAGAGCAATGGTCAGAGCTCAGTCCTCAGTTCCCCCTTGTCCCAGGTCTGCTTGACAGTGGTTCATATTTTCCATCTGGCAGGCTTCTGGTTTCTGAAAAACAATTTAAGAACATACATTAAGATGTTGGGCCAGGCATGGTAGCTCACACCAGTAATCCCAGTGCTTTGGGAGGCTAATGTAGGAGAATCGCTTGGGGCCAGGATTTCCAGACCACCCTGGGCAACATTGTGAGACCCTATCTCTACTAACAGTAAAAAAGCCTGGCGTGGTGGCACATGCCTGCAGTCCTTGCTACTCAGGAGGCTGAGGCAAGAGACTCTCTTGAGCTTAGGAGTTTGAGGTAACAGTGAGCTATAATTGTGCCATTGCACTCCAGCCTGGGTGACAGAGTGAGACCGTGTCTCTAATAAAAAATGTTATCTTTTAATTTCTATGGAGAACCAAACGCCTGTGACTCTGACTTGCTTGGGTGACTATTGTTTAAATTATTATCTTCTTAATTTATTTACTTCTCAGGCCTAGCTAAGGGCCTAGAATTTCCCTTGAAGGGACTCAATATTTTTTTTTTATTGCTATCCTTGAGGGGGTGGGGAGAGTGCAGGCCCCAAAGAGAGGACCCTGCTCCGTCTCAAAGTCAGTCTTCATAGAATACTCTTTTCTCTTTTTTTCCTCTATCCATTTGTTCTAAGAGAAAAAGTGATTGTCTTCTTATAAGTTAGAAGAAAAGAGAAAAAATAGAAAGAATGAAGTAAGAGTGACTCAAAGATTAATAAGATTATCTCTTTTCTCAAAACGTATAGATTTGTTGAAACTAAATTGTAAATGTAGGTTGTCACCTTTACAGAGAGGTAGATGGTAATTGAGTTACTATAGAGATACAAAATGCTTAAGGGATCAAATGAAAACCATTGTATCTACTTTCCTCAATTAACATATAAATTATAGGGGAGAAACCCAGGATGGTTATGTTTAACATAAATGCAGGTACTTACTCATGCTAGATATTGTTAACAGTTCTTCCCCAGCTCTAGTCGATGATGATTAATGTCATACTTCTTTAAAAAAATGACTTACAACTTTTATCAAAATTGACAGTTTTTCAGGTGTAGAGGAACAATATAACTTACATGTTACATTCATATAACATGTATGTTATATTCAGGTTATAACATATGTTATATTCATGTTATAACTTATGTTATAGTCATATAATTCATACAAAAGTATGATCAGTTGAGGGTAAAGTTGAATATTATTGACACTGGAACAAAAGCCACATGGTTTCCCTTGTTAGATAGCTGGAATTTATCAATAGCATGTTTGTGTCTCAATTTATGTCAACTAATCTAAAAACAAAACCATAGACATATGTATGCTGAGGGTCAGTTGTTTAAACACAAAACATTAATTGAGTACGACCTAAGAAGATGACAAAAGAGAATTCGTCAAAATGGGCTTATCTTATCGTTATCAAAGCAGAACCATACACACACACACATGCATAAACAAATAAAGTGTCTGGCATGAAGAACATATGTTTTTTTTTCTGAGAAAATGTTTGTAGTATAAGAGAAAATTTACAAAATTATGATTTACCGTGAGTAGGCTATTTATTTTAATTAGGATGGGGATGTATTCCCAAAGTACATTAGACTTCAGATCCAAGCAAAGAGTCAGTTATTTTATTATTATGAAAGTATACAATAAGAATACAATAAGAATAAACTATGAGGAAAGTATACAATAAGTACACAATAAGAATAAACCCTACATTTTCATTATAGTACTCTAATTCTCCCTCCCTCTCTCTCTTTCTACACATACATTTAATTTAGCTGAATATTCAAATACCATGTTTTGGAACACATATCAGCATTTGAATTTTTCTGCTGAGTTACTTTCTCCTTTCATACCTAACCTGGGGATACTGAGATATCTGATATTAGGTTTGGCTTTTAACAATTTTTGCCTTTTTGTCTTACATAATTTTTCCTTCATTTTTCAATCTTGTTCTTATCTTGTTTATAGTAATCTTGTTTATAGTAATATCAAACCATTGTGATGGATATTTAGATTTCTAATCTCTAATGTCCGACATTAAGCTTGACATGTCAAATAATACCTACCAGCATGGATGCTTTGATTAAGCAACCAATTTGCCTGTCATAGCTTTATGTATATATCATAATTGTAATTCTCAACTCTTTGCACTTTCCACTTCATAAAATTTTCATTAAAATTGTGGCTTTTAATCTGTCTGGAAACATGTACATAAAAACTGCAATCATGCTTTCGACAACATTTGTAAAACCTTCATGTCTTTTGTTATTCCCAAACTTAGTGATTCCATGTGAAAACAGAGAAATACCCTCATGCACATAGTATTTCTATTGACAAATTTCCTCAGATCTTGCTAATTTTACATAGAGTATTAATCAAGATGATCAAGCTTTCCAATAATCAAGATATTTTTCTTGTTACCAATGAATTTTTGCTTTGGCACATCTCTGCTGCGTTCAACTATAAACCCGAAACTTTTATATTTGCTACTAGTGCTTCCTTCTCCACTCAAATAAGTAGAGCAGAGTACCAATACAAAATCAGTGGAGGCCAGTACTTAAGAGGCAGGTTCAATAGTTTTTCTCTTCCACAAGCAGATGCTCTTGAGGGAGAAACTGGCTATATGCAAAGTCTGTGTAAATGAAAGAAATGGGGAAAATTTATTATTTCTAATTGATTAAGACTTGATTTTAGAGATATTCATCTAGGTCACCATATTTTACATTTTTTAAAAAGAGAGATAAGGTCTTGCCCATACTAACACTAGTAAAAAAAAGGTTTTTTTTCCTAGCGATATACTTAAATTAAATAGAATTAAATATAGCTCCTGAATAGCAATGGGTATGCATTAAATTATGAGTAGGCCTGTGCATTTTTAAAATATTAGGTTACAAGCAAAATTATGAACTTAATTTACTCACTTTCTCATTCATATATATTATGGAACCAATGCATGAAAGTAGAAAATAAAGCAAAAGAGAATTTGCTACGTATTTAGAGGGGGAAAATTAAAGTTCAAGGCACCCATATAAATTTACTTTTTCTTAATTTATGAAGTATTTTATCATATTATATTCACACTGACAATATAGCAATTGCCTTAAAACTTCACCCAATGCTGTTATGATTCCCTGAAATGCATTTTAATTTATCTTCAAAAGGTATTTTATCCTCTGAGTTTTAAAAGAACATGAAATAGATTCCATTCCTGTCTGGCTTTCCTAAATTTAACCTTCTCTTCTATTAAATGATTAAAAATAATTTTAAATAACAAAGCTGCATCAAGTAATTCATCTTTTGAACATGTCAAGGTTCTTTAAAGCTAAATTGCTTTTAGTAATAGTGGGTTTCAATTACAAATTAACTTTGATTTGTTGCTGTTCTTTTCTGTGGCATTTGACTGGAATGAATAACTGTGGTCTATAAATTCTAGTCTCAAACTTACACTTGGCAATTCATTAAGAATCATTTTGAGAGACACAAGGAAACATAAAAGAAACAAGAATAATTCTTCCACGTAAAGCTTTCTTCATCAGAAAGACCAAGTTCAAAAACAAATTATCTTTTTCATATTTTAATTTTAACTAAAAAGTGATTAAAATAAAAATGCACTTAAATGTTTTTCCTTTTAGGGCTAAAAGGAAAAGGTCTCTTTTCTATAAAATGTACTAAAGTTAAAGCACTTTTCATAATTAACAAATGTTTTAGTCACTTATACTTTAAACTCTTTTGCTATAAAAACTGTCACCATTTGACCTTTTCAGTTTCTTATAGGAAAAGGTGAAATGGGGCTTTGCTATCTGAGTTGGAATAAAAGTCTTTGCATGCTAGGTGACATCTTTAGCTTGACAATGAAAACTTTCCATACCAAAAGGAAACTTGTTCAGTGAAGCTCACAGGGTTATTTCTGTCTCTATCTATGTCATTATCCTCACAGCTTTAGAATCCTTTTAAGATCAACAAGCTAGTTTGTAAGAACAGTTCATATGGATATATGCAGTATTTAAAGTCTGTAGCATAGGTCAGGCATTTCTATATACTGGTGGTACAAAAGAGACTAAATTTAAGTTATCATCAACAAATTCCACCTACCTATGTTTAACACATTGAACAAATGTACTTTTCTTGCCAGCTGGGCTTCAGATATTTTTTTAGGAATTTCAGCTTGAACAGTCATGTCCACTCAACTGCATATAATCTTCACTCTCTTACTCCCATATTACAAGTAATAAGCTATCAGAAATCATTGAATGCCCACTTCTTCCAATCCTCCCTTCTCTCATTTATTATCCTTGAATGGCTTTAGTTCTCTTTCTATAGGTCTTGTGTATCAAGATATCTTAGCTAGCCTAATAAGAACTATAAAAAGTATTCCTCTTGCTACGTCAACCCTGTAGAGCTTTAAATTTAAAACAGTAAAACTCTACTTTCTCTGTCTCTATATTTAAGATGCTAAGCTGTGATAAACCACTCAACATAAAGATTGTAGCCAATATATTTTATGGTCTTCATTCTTAACTGAGTGAGCCTTCTGCACCACTTGTTCATCTTTTCAAGAGCTGTCTGACTGACATCCCTTTCTCATTCTTCAAA
Organism: Homo sapiens; assembly: GCF_000001405.40. Taxonomy (NCBI): domain Eukaryota; kingdom Metazoa; phylum Chordata; class Mammalia; order Primates; family Hominidae; genus Homo; species Homo sapiens. The sequence continues at coordinate 104,839,276 of NC_000005.10, read as the reverse complement.
GAAGTTACTAGACTAGAGTAACTGAAGGAGAATTACCCTGACTTGTTTCTTCTGTATCTCTAAGGAATGTTTACCCTATGTTAGATGAAGGAACAAATATTCCAAACTTAATGTCTCTATTCAATCTTTCAGTTCCTCCTCAAACACTATCATCAATCTCTGCAGAAAAACAAATGAGATTTTTAAAATATAATTCCTAAAATAATTGATAATACTTTGTTTCTTGCTATACACTATTTGGATATTTTCCTATTTAATTTGCATGGCATTTCTCATAAAACAGGTGCTATAATTCACATTTTACACTTTAGGAAGATAATGATTCAACTGTTTAAGTAATAATTCCAAGCTCATACACACAGAATGGGGCAGGGTGATATGTGTCTGACACCATATACAAGTCTGGTGACAAAGTTCTGAATCTTATTCATTAAAATTTCTCTATCTCCTACACTTGCACTTGCAATTTTTTATGATTTGCAAATTTCAAGTTTGAGATTTGTTTTACAACCCTGATGCAATTAAAAATATAATTTTTATGTATGGATCTTTACTCAATCTTGATTTTGTGTATTGTGAAGTGGAGATTTACTTCTTTTTCTGTATAGATAAATGTCTCAGCACCCTTTTCTGACAAGTTTAGGATTCCTCACTGATAGACGATGCTAAATCTCACTGTCTTAATTAACTCTTTCATATATACATGTATCTGTAGATTCTCCATTCTGTTCCATCTATTAATTTATGTAGTCTTATATTGACACCCTACTATTAAAACTATTAGGGCTGTATAATGTTTATTAATATTTAATATGGTAGTTTCCTAATATTGCTAGACTTCTTCAAAATTTCTTGGCAATTATAATTTCAAAGTAATTATTGCATTGAAACTTATTCAGGTCATATGGGACATCTTCTAGTGTTGGAGATAGAAAAGAATATTATTTTATTCTAAATTTAGAAACTATAAAAATCTCATGGATTTCAAGATTCAAATTAAACTTTAATCATCAAAGATTCAAGTTTAATTTATTCTTATTAAATCACAGAATTTTAGGTATAGAAGGACTTTTAAAGATCATCTAGTTGAACTCATTTCTTTTATCTGAGAAAACTGAGACTTGGAGAAGTAATTTGCAAAATATCACACATTGAGTGTCACAGTATGTACTAAAATTGCATCTATTAAGTGAGTAAAATAGGAAGACTCTACTTTTAATTCTCATAGTATTTAAGCTAGCTTTATTTTTTTCTGATTCCAGAATTCATTAACCAAAGAGTCAATGATAATTCAATGTATATCAAAAGATGAAACACTGACTGGTTAATAAAGATAATTTGGAAACACATTATTAATATAGTTTAATATGTATTTGAATATTTGTATTATATTTGAATAGTTTAATGTGAATTGAATATTACAAAAGGGAAAACAGAAATTCTACTTTTAGTAAAGGAAGTGTAGCTATCTCTAGACCAATATTCTCAACCAATAAGAAAAGTCAAATTCAAATAAACAAACAAACAAACATCATACAAATAAAATGAAGGACTAAGAATGGGTATGAACTTAAGAATACAACATATTAGGCAGAAGGAAAGGGAAGAGAGGTGAGCTGAGATTCTGAGCCCCACTTCTCGGTGTTTATTGAGTCCCAAAGAGCAGCTGAAAGGCTCAAAAGCCAAGCAGTAAGTGGCTGTTTAGGAACATCAATTGGAGCAGACTTTCTGAAATCCTTAAAAGGCTAGAATAAAAACTTTCCTATTTATGGCCCCACCTGGAGGAGGAAGGCTAAGAGTTTTACCTGTAGCCCCTGAAGTGCTATGTCTTAGAGGAGTAAGGATGAGATGGGATTAGGCAAGTCTTTTCAAAGACAAGTCCAGCTTCAAATCAGAGAATCTGCTGATCAGCTTCTATTCTATTTGCCCAGGCAGAGCAAAATATATTCAATTTTAATATATTAAATTTTTATAAATTTTTAAAAATTTAAATTGTAAACTTTCACCAAAGGAAAGTTACACTATCCAAACTCTAAAATTACTTCTTCAGGTTTTCATAGAAGCTATAAAAACTTACATATAAAACAATAAGGTGTTAAAAAAGAAAAATATGAGTGATAGAACAAATAATAGATATAATAAAAATAGATCTGCAGGAGATTCAGAGGAGTTATTAGATGTGGGTGTGATTAATGCTTAAAAAAGCTGGAGAGTAACATATAGAATTTTACCATACAAGACAAAGCCACAAAAATAATAATCTTACAACAGAAATTATAATAAATGAATATAAGTGATAAATATATCATTTTAACAGCAAAGTGGATTCAGTGTAAAATAAGTTGAGTGGACTGGAAAAATTAAATAAAATATCTAGGCTGACCCATGAAGAGCAAAAAAAGAAGAAATAACTCAGAAGTACCAGGAAGAAATATAAGATTCAGCAAAAATATCTAATTTTTCTTTAATCAGAGTCTCAGAATGAAAGGAGAGAATGTTTTAACAGAATTAATACATGAGGACATAAAAGCTAATAATTTTTTAAAACTAATAAAAATAACTCAAACAACATATTTAACAATTTAAATTTAAGTTTAATTTTAAGTTAAATTTAATTTTAAGTTAAATTTGGAATCGTTAAATCTAATTTAACAATCATTAAATTTAAGATTTAACGATTCCAAGCAGTATAAATTAAAAGAAAACATAATCATTTATGTTTAGTTTACTTAAAATAAAAGAAAAAAATGTAAAAATAATAAAAAATTAAAAGATGTGGTTAACTTCAAAAAGAAAACAATAAAGCTAAATTCACTATTCAAAGCAACTAATAGAAACCAGGAAGCAAGAATGAAATTTTAAAAGCATAGAAGAAACAGCTGCTAAACAAAAATTCTATATGTATGAACATTTCCTCAGTGAAGAAACAACAAAGAAAAGAGAGTACTTATCAACAGATCCACATTAAATGGAGTTCTTCAAACAGAAGAAAAGTGGTCTCAAATGGAAGGAAGAAGATATAGGATGGGAAGAGTTAATAGGTGACTATTTCTAAATAAATATGGGCTATGTAAAACAAAAATGACATCTTGTAGAGTATATAAATTTACAACAAATATAGCACAAATTGTAAAAAGGGGGTAAAATGGAGCAAATGTATTTCATATTATTTGTGTTAATATCAACCAAGAATATATAGCAAATCTCAATGTGTTTATATCTATCAATAATCTCATGCAATCAATAGCTATAATTTTTTAAGTGACATACATATAAGAAATGGGATAATCTATCATTGTAATAGAAGATTTCAACATACCTCTCTTAGTAACTAAAAAAATTTTCAAGAAAATTGCATATTTATTCAAAGTGATTGACAAAAGGGAAATACAGACTCCTGATAAAAAGTGTCCACAAAAAATCATGACATCTGCCGAGGCAAAAGAAACTTCATTTTCTGAAAAGCAATCTGTAGATTGGGGAGACCTAGCCTTTGGATCAAAACAAAGTTTGCATTGATCTAGGCCAAAAGAGTCTAAGATTATAAAGAAAAAACCTGAGGGTAGGTGGAGATTAGGGGCAGAGTCCTGAATGGATGAATTTTAAGTCCAAAACCACAAGTTTCTTTTATTGGGTGGCTCCAGGTGGTCAGTTGTGGTGGCCTGGTGGTCTGTTGGGGAATCTTTTTTTTTTTTTTTTTTTTTTTTGAAACGGAGTCTCACTCTGTCGCCCAGGCTGGCACAATCTCCGCTCACTGCCAGCTCTGCCTCCCGGGTTCACGCCATTCTCCTACCTCAGCCTCCGGAGTAGCTCGGACTACAGGCGACTGCCACCACGTCCGGCTAATTTTTTTTTTTTTTTTTTTTTGTATTTTTTGTATTTTTAGTAGAGACGGGGTTTCATCGTGTTAGCCAGGATGGTCTCGATCTCCTGACCTCGTGATCCGCCCGCCTCGGCCTCCCAGAGTGCTGGGATTACAAGTGTGAGCCACCGCGCCCGGCCCTGTTGAGGAATTTTTAGCTGTAGTTTGTTTCAACATTGATAGAAAGAACTGGTCTGGTTTGATAACAAAAAGGAGGTTTTGAAACATTTTCTGAAAATGCAGAGTCCATGACGGCTCCCTCATTCTGTCATGCCTGCCTGGTTCTATTTCAACTTTTGAACATCTCAGTGAGTCACAGGGAGTCCATTTTGTCTGCCAGCTGGAGCATTATTTTGACAAAGAATAAAAAGTGGAAGAGGAATTTTATTTGGAATATATATTTGTAGTATTTTTGAACTCTGGGTAGTTCTTGGAAATGAAGGTTTGAGGGTTAGAAATTAATCTCGTCCTTGTAATAGTGCAAGTTTTTGGAGGTTGGGCTCTGAAGCAATAAAGGGCAAGCCTATGAGATTTCGCCGATCACGAAGCATCCAGTCATAACAAGTTTTATTCCTTGAAAGTATACTCTTCCCCTAAAAGCAGCTTAATCAATACTTCCCTTATGGGACTTTTAATGCTGCCATAAATGAGTGAGAGAAAACTCACAGTACTCTCTCAACTATCTTCAAATAAAAATTTGAAGAAGTCTAAATTTCTCTTCCATATAAGCTACAATTAGGTGATAGGCTAAGTTTTGCAATTCTGGTTTTATACACTTCTTTTTCAATTCCAGCAGTGATTAATTTAAGAATTCTCCTTGGAAATTGGTGTATTTATTATGCTTAAGTTCTTCTAAGCTTCATAATACAAGAATGCAAAGTTTTATACAATTAGAAAAGTTTCATTAAAAAACCTTTTATATCCTCATATATGTATATAAGGAGTACAATTTGAGGCTTACGAGCGAATTTACTTTATCCTTAATAATGCCTAGTTTCAAATCATTTCAACAATTTCAGAACAGGACCCACTGTTACCTGATTCAGATCATAGCAATCATTTTATACTGTAAAGAATGTTAATTTTGATGGCTACTTCATGTGTTCAAAGGCAGATGTGAAATAGGTAAATTAAGATACCACTAATATACTAAAAAATAGGAGAAAACAATAAAAAGTTTAAGTAGTATATTCTGCTTTAAGTTTAGGACAGGAAATCAATTAGGCCTGCAATTGCTCCTTGGTCTCCTGTAGCATCCTTCCGCTTCTCTGACTCTTCAACTATGTTGATACGTGTTTGGCTATGCAGTGCAGGGCCCTGGCTTCTGTAAGATAACTTTATTACCAAGGTTGGAAGCAAGAAGAACAGATACAGATTTCCTTCTGTCATCTTGAGGTTCCAGCTCATGCTTGTGGGTTCTAATCCACTTGGGATTTCACTCCCTGACTACTGCCTGCCCTGTAGACTTCAACCTGCATCACGGAAACACAGCCTTAGAGAGCATGTTCAAGCAGTTCCAACAAATATGTAAGCCAATTCTCAAGGATACTTTATAATCTTTATATCTATTTATCATCTATTCAATCTCTCATTTATCTATTATAGTTTTAGTTTTGCTTGTCTTGTTGAATGCTGATTCCACAAAATAAAAGAAAAAGAGAGAGAAAAAGGAGTTGTAAAATACTTTTTTGCCAAAAGAGAGTATTTAAATTACAAAATTGAACTGGAATGACCAGATTGGGCTCAGTTTGTCCCAACTTGCCCTATAAGGTATAATAATTTCAATTTATAGAAACTGACTAAAAGCATGTATGTGTGTGTGTCTGTGTATGCGTGTGTATTCCTTTCTCATCTTCAATTCTAAAACAACCCTTAAAGAGTTTATCTTAGGTACTCTATCATGAGCTTTCCTCAAACTCTGTTTTTTCATCTTTCTCTACCAGTCTTAAATTCATAACTTCTATGATATCTTCACATTTAACTATACCATATGGAATAAAAACAAGAAATATTCATCAAATGCCCATTGTATTAATGGCAAGGAGCCCATAAATCATACATGTGTGAATACACACATATATACTACATATTATACATATGTATATTAATCTGTTCAAGCTGACATAACAAAATACCATAAACTGCATACATAGACAATAGACATTTTTCTCTCACAGTCTTGAAGGATGAAATTATGAGATCAGGGTGTCAGAAATGGTCGGTTTCTGGTAAGCGCCCTCTTTTGGCATGCAGACAGCCATGTTCTGGCTGAATCTTCACATGGCAGGGAAAAGAGAGAGAGACAGCACAAACTCTCCAGTGTCTCTTACAAAGCTACTAATGTCACCATGAGGGCTCTACCCTCATTACCTCATCTAAATGTAATTACCTTCCAAAGGCTCAATCTTCCAATACTATCACGTCATATTGAGTGTTAGGAGTTCAACATATGAATTTTGAGGTGATGCAGTTCTGTTCATAGCTCACGTGTATACCTCATATTAACCACTGGCTTCCATACAATATCGTGATATTATTACCAACACATAGTCCACATTCTTTTGGGGAATTATAATTTAGGGGATTTTGATCATTACTTTACTAATATGAACCAGAAAGCACCTGAGGAATCTATAGCAGAGCAGAATACTAAACAAAAGTCAAATAATTCACCCAGTGACCCTCACCCAGGAAATCTTTCCTAGGATAATCACTCTTAAATAAAATCCAGCTAACAAACTTAAACTGAAGGGGGAGGGAATGACACAACTTATCAATATTTAATCATAAAAATTTATAGAATTGCTTGAAAAAGTTACAAAAATGTTTGAAGTCAGTATTACTTTACTGGAGCAAAATAATAGGTTGAACATAGTTTTAAAAGGGGAAGGTTTATGCAAAGAAAGGAGTGCAAAGGGTCTTGAATTCCAGAATAAAGAAATTTAATAGAAAAAAATAAGGAAAAATATTTGGAATTATTGAATGGGGAAAAGTTATAATTTAATTAGTAACAGAGCAATAAAGCAATTTTGCAATGATACTGATTGTGTTGGGAACAGGACAAAAGTCATTACCATAGTAGTCTAAAAATTAGATAGTCAATGTCTGTGCTAATACATGACTTAAAGGAATTGTGATACAAAATGCTGTTCTCAGAGACCTGATCATTGACAAATATGAGACACTTGAGGTATTATCTATATTTCATATGGTGGTAATGAAGCATTTGTGCAGCAAAATATGTTAAAAAGTGCATAGAGTTTGGAATTAGGGTGAACCATGTTCATTTTTTATCTAGATAAGTTACTTTTTTTTTGTAAATACAGAATTTCCCTTTATTAATTTTTGTTCCTTTTTTTATTATACTATAAGTTCTAGGGTACACATGCACAACGTGCAGGTTTGTTACATAGGTATACATGTGCCATGTTGGTTTGTTGCTGCACCCATCCACTCATCATTTACATTAGGTATTTCTCCTAATGTTATCCCTCCCCCAGCCCCCTAACCCCTGACAAGCCCTTGTGTGTGATGTTCCCTGCCCTGTGTCCAAGTGTTCTCATTGTTCAATTCCCTCCTATGAGTGAGAACATGCAGTGTTTGGTTTTCTGTCTTTGTGATAGTTTGCTGAGAATGATGATTTCCAGCTTCATCCATGTCCCTGCAAAGGACACGAACTCATCCTTTTTTATGGCTGCATAGTATTCCATGGTGTTTGGAAAAAACTACTTTATGTGCCACATTTTCTTTATCCAGTCTATCACTGATGGGCATCTGGGTTGGTTCCAAGTCTTTGCTATTGTCAATAGTGCCACAATAAACATACCCGTGCATGTGTCTTTATAGTAGCATGATTTATAATTCTTTGGGTATATACCCGGTAATGGGATGGCTGGGTCAAATGGTATTTCTAGTTCTAGATCCTTGATGAATCGCCACACTGTCTTCCACAGTGGTTAAACTAATTTACACTCCCACCAACAGTGTAAAAGGGTTCCTATTTCTCCACATCCTCTCCAGCACCTCTTGTTTCCTGACTTTTTAATGATCGCCATTCTAACTGGTGTGAGATGATATCTCATTGTGGTTTTGATTTGCATTTCTCTGATGGCCAGTGATGATGAGCATTTTTTCATGTGTCTTTTGGCTGCATAAATGTCTTCTTTTGAGAAGTGTCTGTTCATATCCTTTGCCCACTTTTTGATGGGGTTGTTTGTTTTTTTCTTGTAAATTTGTTTGAGTTCATTGTAGATTCTGGATATTAGCCCTTTATCAGATGGGTAGATTGCAAAAATTTTCTCCCATTCTGTAGGTTGCCTGTTTACTCTGATGGTAATTTCTTTTGCTATGCAGAAGCTCTTTAGTTAAATTAGATCCCATTTGTCTATTTTGGCTTTTGTCACCATTGCTTTTGGTGTTTTAGACATGAAGTCCTTGCCCATGCCTGTGCCTGAATGGTATTGTCTAGGTTTTCTTCTAGGGTTTTTATGGTTTTGGGTCTAACATTTCAGTCTTTATTCCATCTTGAATTAATTTTTGTATAAGGTGTAAGGAAGGGATCCAGTTTCAGCTTTCTACGTATGATTAGATAGTTTTCCCAGCATCGTTTATTAAATGGGAATCTTTTCCCCATTTCTTGTTTTTGTCAGGTTTGTCAAAGATCAGATAGTTGTAGAAGTGTGGTGTTATTTCTGAGGGCTCTGTTCTGTTCCATTGGTCTATATATCTGTTTTGGTACCAGTACCATGTTTTGGTTACTGTAGCCTTGTAAAATAGTTTGAAGTCAGGTAGCATGATGCCTCTAGCCTTGTTCTTTTTGCTTAGGATTGTGTTGGCAATGTGGGCTCCTTTTTGGTTCCATATGAAATTTAAAGTAGTTTTTTCCAATTCTGTGGAGAAAGTCATTGGTAGGCTGATGGAGATGGCATTGAATCTATAAATTACCTTGGGCAGTATGGCCATTTTCACAATATTGATTCTTCCTGTCCATGAGCATGGAATGCTCTTCCATTTGTTTGTGTCCTCTTTTATTTCATTGAGTAGTGGTTTGTAGTTCTCCTTGAAGAGGTCCTTCACATCCCTTGTAAGTTGGATTCCTAGGTATTTTATTCTCTTTGTAGCAATTGTGAATGGGAGTTCACTCATGATTTGGCTCTCTGTTTGCCTGTTATTGGTGTATAGGAATGTCTGTGATTTTTGCACATTGATTTTGTATCCTGAGACTTTGCTGAAGTTGATTATCAGCTTAAGGAGATTTGGGGCTGAGACGATGGGGTTTTCTAAATATACAATCATGTCATCTGCAAACAGGGACAATTTGACTTTGTGTTTTCCTAATCGAATACCCTTTATTTCTTTCTCTTGCCTGATTGCCCTGGCCAGAACTTCCAACACCATGTTGAATAGGGAAATGTAAAGGAACAGAAATCACAACAAACTGTCTCTCAGACCACAGTGCAATCGAATTAGAACTCAAGATTAAGAAACTCATTCAAAACTGCACAACTACATGGAAATTCAACAACCTTCTCCTGAATGACTATTGGGTAAATAAAGAAATTAAGGCAGAAATAAAGAAGTTCTTTGAAACAAATGAGAACAAAGAGACAACGTATCAGAATCTCTGGGACACAGCTAACACAGTGTTTACAGGGAAATTTATAGCACTAAATACCCATATTAGAAAGCTGGAAGGATCTGAAATGGACACCCAAACATCACAATTAAAAGAACTAGAGAAACAAGAGCAAAGAAATTCACAAGCTAGCAGAAGACAAGAAATAACTAGGATCAGAGCAGAACTGAAGGAGATAGAGATATGAAAAACCCTTCAAAAAAAGCAACGAATCCAGGAGCTGGTTTTTTGAAACAATTAACAAAATAGACTGCTAGCCACACTAATAAAGAAGAAAAGAGTGAGGAATCAAATAGACACAATAAATATTGATAAAGGGGACATCACCATTGATCCCACAGAAATACAAATTACTATCAGAGAATACTATAAATACTTCCATGCAAATAAACTAGAAAATCTAGAAGAAATGGATAAATTCCTGGAAATATATACCCTCCCAAGACTAAACCAGGAAGAATTTGAATCTCTGAATAGACCAATAACAGGTTCTGAAATTCAGGCAATAATTAATAGCCTACCAACCAAAAAAAGTCCAGGACCAGATGGATTCACGGCCAAATTCTACCAAAGGTATAAAGAGGACCTGATAGCATTCCTTCTGAAACTATTCCAATCAATAGAAAAAGAGTGAATCCTCCCCAACTCATTTTATGAGGCCAGCATCATCCTGATACCAAAGCCTGGCAGAGACACAACAAAAAAGATAATTTTAGACCAATATCCCTAATCAACATCGATGTGAAAATCCTCAATAAAATACTGGCAAACCGAATCCAGCAGCACATCAAAAAGCTTATTCACCACGATCAAGTCCGCTTCTTCCCTGGGATGCAAGCTTGGTTCAACATACGCAAATCAATAAATGTAATCCATCACATAAACAGAACCAATGACAAAAGCACATGATTATCTCAATAGATGCAGAAAAGGCCTTTGACAAAATTCAACACCCCTTCATGCTAAAAACTCTCAGTAAACTAGGTACTGATGGAACGTATTGCAGAATAATAAGAGCTATTTATGACAAACCCACAGCCAATATCATACTGAATGGGTAAAATCTGGAAGCATTCCCTTTGAAAACCGGCACAAGACATAGATAAGTTATTTTTTAGACTTTGGAAACCTCAATTTCCACACTTATAAAATAGAGCTAGCAGTAGTATATGGTAGAATAACATTGAGGTCAAGCAAACCTCAATTTGAGTCCCTCAATTGTTATTAGACTGTGTAAATATCTTCATCTCTCTCTTTCTTCAAATTAAAAATGACCATAACGGTCATAAAATTGGTCTGAGGATTTACTGAGCTGGCAAATAAAGAACAACAAATAAAATATCTGGCACATTGCAGGGGCTCAATAAATGTTAGTTTTTCCATTCCCTTTTTGGTAATATCAAGAGACCTAAAATATGATATGAAACACTTGGCAAGATATTAGCTTTGGAAAGGGATTTCTCTCAGTGTAAAGAAATTTATTTTCTTTATTTTCTTTCTTTCTTTTTTTTTTTTTGTGTTGTTGTTGTTGTTGTTGTTGTTGTTGTTGTTGAGCCAGTCTCCTTCTGTCGCCCAGGCTGGAGTGCAGTGGCCCAGTCTTACCTCACTACAACCTACGCCTCCTGGGGTCAAGCAATTCTCATGCCTCAGCCTCCTGAGTAGCTGAGATTACAGGCACACAACACCAAGCCCCACTAATTTTTGTATTTTTAGTAGAGACAGGGTTTCGCCGTGTTGGCCAGGCTGGTCTTGAACTCCTGGCCTAAAGTGATCCACCGCTTTGGACTCCCAAAAGTGCTAGGATTACAGGTGTGAGCCATTGCGCCTGGCCTTTATTTTCATTTTCATATTTTCAAAATATAACAGCTAAGGTTTCAATTGCTGCATACTAAATTACTTTCACAATTTACCTGAAGGCTTGAAGATGCAACTTCAGAGAATGCATATTTCCAGAAATCAAATATTTAAGTACGGGTTATATGAAATATCTAAAACTTTGAAAATATCTCAGAGGGAATTCCATTTCCAGTAGGAAGACAGAAAGATACCCTGAAGGGACTTCTCGCTAGACTACATAATTATCCTAGATAATTTACAACAAATATACTTTTAAAGCACTGTTATAAGCAAAGAAAATATCCAAATAAAAATACAAAAAAAAAAAAAAAACAGTGAGGTAAAAACTGACCCTTGCAAACTAGTACACAGAAAACCAGGTTGCATTCAGGAGAAATGGTAATGTCAGATTGGAAACAGAGAAACTAATTCTGATATTTTCCACAAAACATAGAGAAAATCTGACCCTGAAATTATCCCATGGATCTATGAACACTGAAGAGAGCTGAAGTGAGTTCAGGTTGGTAGTTTTCCCTGGATTCTGGAAAAAGCCCAGATTTTCTCAGGAGCAGTGTTACTACAGTTTGGTTTCTTAAAGATGCAATAGAGAGATTAAAGAAAGTAAAAAATGTGGCTATACTGAAAAGACTAATAAAAAAGTATACCTCTAACAAGACTGATAAAAAGAGGGAGAGAAATTGCAATATTGGAAATTGAACGGAGGACTTCATAATGATACTGCATGCATTAAAAAATTAATGAGAGTGTCATGAAAACCTCAATGCCAATAAAAATTAAAATGTAAAAATTAAATTGACAGATATCTTGAAATAGATAGTAAGACTTATTGAAGAATAAAGAGAAATGTAAGTTATCTTAAAACACTATATAAATTAAACCTATGATTAACAACTTCTTAGAAGGAAGACACCAGGCCCAGATGGTTTTACAGGTGAGTTCACACGAACTTCAAGTAATTTATAATTACAGCATTAAGCAAGTTCATAAACAAAATAGAATAAAGAGAAAAGAAAAAGCAACTCATTTAATAAGTCTTGTGTTAACTTGATAGCAAAACTAAGTTAGTACCTTGAAGAGATACAGAAAACAATCTAACACAAAATATTAGTAGCAACATATTATTATATTTTAAGAAGATATCCTAGAAATTCAATGAAGGTTTCACATTATAAAATACATAAATTTAACTCAGCTCACTAACATATTATAAAATAAAAATCCATATTGTCCTTTAAAAATGTGTAGAAAAAGCACATGATGAAACTTATGACCCATTCAACCTACAATCCCTAGCAAATCAGAGATATGAAGAAACTTCTATAACCTCCTAAACTCTATTAAAAACATTTAGCAAATATAATTTCCTCGCTAAAACATTAGAAGCATTTCCTCTGAATCAGCAGCAAAACAAAGAACATTTTCTATGTAAAATTGCACTAAGAATCCAAGTCAGTGCAGAAAAAAATGAATTTTGAGAGGAAAAAAAACACTTTTATTAATGAATCATATGAATATTTGTATTAAAGCCCCTAAAGCCTATTTATAGACAAGTTGTAATTATTAGAGTTAGTTAAGAATTTAGTAAGGTTGTAGATTTCAGCATAAACAATGAATTTCATTTCTATTTATCAATAAAAAGTTATAAAACATTTTAAAAAACAATATTTAATAAGAATGATGAAACTATAAGGTAAAGGGGATATAGATATAAAAAGTAGGCCAGAGTTTCAAGGTTAAAACATGAAACACTCTGGAATATATAAAATACCTAAATAAATTAAGCAATATACTATTTCAAAGACAGGTGTATTCAATGTCATAAAGATTGATCTATTGAATGAATACATTTACAGCTAAACCAAATAAGTTTATTTTTTAAAGAAATTAATAATAATGGTGCTCAGATAATTGGACATCCAAAAGGAACAAGAAATTGAAATGTAATCCATATATGAACCATTAATAAAAATTAATTCAATACAAACTAAATGTTTCAATGTGAAAAACAAAATACTTAATCATTTCTCGAAATACAAGAGGACGTTTTATATCTTCATGTTAGGAAAGGATTAATTTTATTTCAAAATAAAAATGAACTATAAATAAAGATTATTAACTAAATATAAGATTTATGTTCATCAGTAGACATCATAAAAAAGTTGAAAGGCAAGCTACAGATTTATGGAAGTTACTTTCAACAGCTATAACTGACATATTTGCACCCAGACTATATATGGGATTGTGGGGAGAATAAAAGTAGCTTTAACAGTACTCATAATATTGGAGCTCACATGTTGATGCATAAATTCACCAGCCTTCATTTCATTATTAAGCATGTGTATGTATTTCTGCATGTATTACTCGCATGTTATTGTTTCATGTATCAATTTCACTCTATCATTTTAGTTATCCCACAAGAATCTTTTCTTACATTATTCCAGATTTTGGTATTTCTCAAAATGCTATAGAATTTACACAAAGCAAGAACAAAAACTGTGGAAAATTATATAATTAAGTGATAATGATTTTGAATTTCTAGGGGCATTTGATATAAAAGGTAAAATTTATGCAAACTTCATTTCATCAATCATTTTTTATCTCATTCATTTAATTTTTCATACTGATTTTGAATCTTAAGATAATATACTGAGCTCCTATTTACTTTTCACTATGCCATATTCAGCTGATGTCCAATCCTGCTGATGTCTCTGGACTAATAGATACAACATTTGGCACATGGACATCCATACACACAAAGCACACTGCCAGCACCAGCAGCTTGCACAATCTGTGCTTGGAAATTTACATTGATCATAATTACTGCTCCACCTGTATTAAATAAAGCTCTTCTATCTTTAGGAACAAAAGTGGCTTCCCGAAGTATCAGGGATAGCATAGTAAGTACATGTCAAGAAATGTGAACAATAAATTATTTTTCAACATTAACAGCATAGTGACATCAACTTACTGATTTTTAAAAATATATAATAAATATGCCTATTAGTGTGGGGCTTTTGTGTGTTTATCAGAATGTTATAGTCTTTATCTTGGGTGGATCTAGAAAGAGATGTTAGTAGTAAACTCCTAAATTATTTATAAGACCATATTCAGTCAAGCAATGAGTACTTATCCAGCGTTTCTTTTCTTTCTGATAGTCAAGGTACTATGCATAACAGATATGAAATCTGCTGGTTTATCCCTGAGTGTGTTTCTTAGAGAAAGGAAATAAGCAGGAACTACTGTGGTAGTTTTGTTTTTCTGACGAGATTCCAAGGTAACTTATTAGAAATATTTACATCATGGTAAATGTCTTATTGGTTTATTTGCCAGTGTTACTAATGACAAGATATATTCTAAAATCTTAATTGTCTCTCAGATGGAACTCAGTGCATCTTTTCTCATTAAAAAATCAACATGTTGATTAAATTATACTTATTTTTAAAACGTCAAAGAGTTAGAATTTATGGTTACATAATTCTTATATTTCCTCAGTCTTATCTCTATTTTCTGGCTTTAAAGACAATAGCTTGATAATATGGAGACCATAAGAATATGAAACTAAAAAACAAAACAATAATATATAATGGAAATTATAAAACAATAAATAATTAGTTTTAAGACATAGTAAAAGAAAATGATAAGGCAGTTTGAAGACTGTGTTTCAAGTCCACATCTTCTCCATTGTTCTAGAACATTACATCTAAGGGTGTTTTTTTGCTCTTTTCTCTTCCTGGAGCCGTCTTTGTCACTGTCTTCCCCTATTCCCTGCTCCTCTTGACCTATGTAACATGAAATATGTAAATAGGTAAATATAATATGATTATTCAAGTCAGTATAAATATCTCTTCCTCTCTGATCACTTTGCTGAACACAACTCTTATCAACAATTTACAATAATAGGTTTATGGCATTCGCAGCCGCCTGGATGGGATTGGAGACTATTATTCTAAGTGAAGTAACTCAGGAATGGAAAAGCAAACATCATATGTTCTCACCCATAAGCGGAAGCTAAGCTATGAGGATGCAAAGACAAGAATGATACAATGGAGTTCTGGGGACTCAGGGGGAAAGGGTAGGAAGTGGGTGAAGGATACGAGACTACAAATTGGTTTCAGTATATACTGCTTGGGTGATGGGTGCACCAAAATCTCACAAATCACCACTAAAGAACTTGCTCATCTAACCAAATAACACCTGCTCCCCAAAATCTAAGGAAAGAATTAAAACAAAAATCATAATAGGTTTAATGCCCTCTTTTTGGTTCCCACAGCACTCCACATTTACCACTACCTACACTATCACTATATTAACCAATTTGAAGTTACATTGTAATGCCTGCCTTCCCAGCTAAGTGGTAAGCTTCCTTAAAATAAAGAAGAGCTTGTTCATTATTTTTTTCTACAGGGATCACCTCAATAACTGACACATAATAGACAATAAATACTAATTGAATAGATTTTTTCAAAGCCATGCAGTCTTTTCTATTCTACTTGGCATGAGGTTATTGTTTAAAAGTAAATGGCAGATTTTATTGATGGTCTTATCTTTACAGTGCTTTAGAAGGAGAACAGATATTCTCCATATGTGAGTTACGTATCTCAAAAAAGTATTCAAAGTCAAAATAAATTAAGACTTACACAGAGGGATATTATTAAAATCTGTGTTCATATCAAGGAACTTATTCCCAATTTTTCACAAAAATGAACAGATGCATCCATTATTTATATAATTAAATAGCAGTCATAAAAAATGTATCTGGTTTTACCAATATAGGAAAAAAGAAATAAGGGCCAAATTTTCTTTTAAGAAAGTAACTTCAAGGACCCACAAGGACATCTGTGTCAGAAGTAGATAAAAACACAGAAGTCAAGAGACTGACTATTGCTGAGTTTGTCTATCTTTATAACTGTCTATGGCTTAGATCTCAATCTCCCTTCCTCATATGAGAAACAATCAACATCATTCGCATACAATAATACTTAATATCATACAGACTCACCATCTTTCACATAAATATATTTTTAAAATTTCATCCCTATTCATTAGAACAAATCATAAAATGAGGTGCATTATTATCAAAGCCATGGAATTCTAAAGGAATTCTTGGTGAAGCTTCAACAAGTAGCTTTTTGGGGAATTTTATGGAAACTTGTGGCCACTTGATGTTTTAAAAATGAAATTATGAACATCTCACAATTTCCTGCCTTGCTATTTCCTCAGAATTAGCTGAATGATATGTTATGTTCTAGCTGCCTATTGTGTCATAAAGAATAATATTGACGAAGTTAAAGTGCTGTACAGAATCACTGTAAGTTGAGGTCTCTGTGTATTTGGTTTTCATAGCCAAAAATTCATGGACTTGGACATTAAAATATTCTACAGGCAGGTATCCTAAATTTTCATAGTTGTTAGGCATTTTTACATAGCTACAATTATAAAATAAAGTATGCCATTGAAATTTAGGTCCTAAGATACGATTTTTCTTCATACAATGAGGTTTAAAGTTCACAACTTCATTTATTGCCTTTCTGTTTCAAACCCCTACTGATAAAAAGCAATCAAGCAAACAGAGCAGGTAGCACTGGCATTATATAATTATTAGTCTCTTCTTCAGAAAGGGACTTTACTTCCAGTAGCAGGAAATGCTGCAGAGCTACTTAGTTTGGCCAAGAATACAAGTTTTACATGCAGGTTACATTTTCTAAAGATTAGATGGTTTTTAAAGCAATTTTTGTTTGTTCGTTCAGATGAAAACACTTAAAATATAGTTACTAATAGTAAATTATCAGTTAAAATAAAACAATTCAGTCAGACAATGGGAATCACTTATTTACCATATTGCTACTTTTAACATCCTTCTCCGCATGCTCAGCAATGTCTTTCATTCTGGGAAAAAAACATCTACAAATACGTCATACAATTTCCACAGTGTACAAACAACATTATGGTATGTAGACATCCACTGTACAGAGAAAAAAGGCAGCTTAGTGTACTCTAATCAGGCTCATAAGATTTGAACAGAGAAAATAATATTTGCCTCAAAGGAACTGTAAACAATTTACTGAGGAAAATGGTAATTAATGATGTTGAACTCAAGCCAGTACCTTAAATTATCCAGATGAAAAATGTTCTGAACTCATCATTGCCTCCATGGTTATCCTGACTTTGCCTCACTATATACAACAGATTTGCACATTCTAAGCCATTTTTTTCCAGGGCTAGACCTAAATTACACATGTAAACTTCCTAGTTGGCCATGAACTTCTCATTTATGCAGAAACAACTTTGCAGTTATTTGTTACACAAACCTATTGAGAGCACACTAGCCTGTTGGCTTCTGTGAACATTTGCTGAACAGCTGCTCTGGCTTTAAATTTTGGATTTTCCAAGTACTGTTTGAAATACCAATGGAAAAATGTAGACGGTACAAAAAAGAATGACTACTAGAATAACATTATTTCTTGAAATTTATATTTTTTTCAATTATGCATTAAGATGATGGACAATCAATTTAGAAAACAAAATGAAAGATATCTAGAAACATTTGACTTTATAAACTTCCAAAGGTACAAAAAGATGTGTATATGTGTAAAAATGGTAAAGTTGTAACAATTTTAAACAAAAGGATTACAATAACGTAATTTAAAGTTTATATATTAGTAGGATCATTCTGAAGGACACAAGTGTGAAAATATTATCTATACCAAAAGATGTTGGCTCTTCTTGAACCATGAAGAGTTGTACAACCTAAAACTTCCTTCAATAGGATTTTTTTTAAAAGCAGTGTTTGTTTAAAGAAAATAGTGTATTGTACTTCCACACAATGTAAAACCACACAGCCAATAGAAGTGGTATTGTGGGTACACTTTAATTGGCATAAAACATTTCCACATTTACTTGCTTATAAGTGAAATTGCAAAGCATTAAATAAGTTAAAAGATAAAGAAGTATTTTCAATATGATACAATTTATACAATGGCACTAAAGCACTGTGTGTGTGTTTGTGTGTGATTTCAAGATACATTAATCGGGTCTTTGAAGTAACAAACTAGCCCTCATGTTTATTACAATATTCTTATTTATGTTTTGTGTTGGTGGCAGTGGGCTGGTTGCTGTAGCTCTGTATTTTCTTTTTTATTACTTTTTACCGAGTAACAAATATCACCACTGCAGTACCTTAAAACCACATTTATTTATCATCTCACAGTTCTATAGGTCACAAATGTGTTCATACGTGGCTCAAGGTTGCTCAGATGTGTTCTCTGCTTAGGCCAGGTCCTGTCCAGTTTAGGTTCTAATCTGGAAGCTCAGTAAAACAATCTGCTTCCAAGTTCATGCAGGTTTTTGGTAGAATTTGGTTCCTTAGAGTTGTAGGGCTGAAGTCCCCTTTTTCTTGCTGGCTTTCTAGCCAGGACCACTCTCATCTCCAAGAGGCTGCTCTCAGCTTCTTGCTCTGTGGCCTCTTCCACCTCAGCAGTAGGGAAGCTTCTTTACATTGAATTTCTTTCACAAGTTGAATCTCTCTGTTTTCTTCTTCTACCATGTCAGAATAACAACAACAACAAAAAATCTCTCTACTTTTGAAGAACTTATATGATTAGGTCAGGTCTTTCTGGATAACTTGCCTATCTTAAAGTCAATTGATTAGAAACCATTTTGTCTTCAAAATCCCTTCACCTTGTACCATAACATATTTATGGGAGTAACCTCAGGGGTAAAGGTTATGGGAACCATCTTAGAATTCTGTATAGCATGAGTTCTATTGATTTCTATTCGATTTTCTTCTCATTCCAGGACTCTGGGACCTAACATGAAAAAGAGGCTGCTATATCAGATATTCGTTTCTAGTTGAATAGGGAAAAGAGCAAGAGAGCAGGCAGAAAATACACAATGCTTCAACACTATTATGTACAGACAAGGTGTACATAATGTCCATCCACACACCATTGGCCAAAGCAAGTCTCTTGGATAAACAAAATGTCAATGAGGCAACCGTGTATGCTCACCCACAGGAGAAGCTGCAAATGACATGACAACTTGACTTACATAGGAATGAAGGGCAGAGTAATACTTGGGAACAGTATTTCAATCTGTGGATACAGAGAGAGAGATCTGAACATGTGACTACCAAAAAGGTACAGGGATTAGTTCTGGATGGAATAAACATGATTATTTATTTGTTATTTGTTGCTATATTATTTATATTTTTCTAAAGTCCTGTGAACTTTTTTACAATTAAGAAAAATAAAAATAGTATTTTGGAAGAATATAAAATGTAAGCCAAGGGTTAGAGATTTTTCAGATCTGCTTTACAGACAAGAAAAATAAATCAGAGAGATTGTGACTTTTTAGCTATAAGTAGTACTTATGCGTACTGCATTTTGTTTCTAAAACATTTAAAATATAGTTTTACATTTAATCATGTATCAATCCTTGGTGAGAATTGTTATATTTAATAAAAACTTTATGGCCAGAATTGGAAGCTCATTTTTTTAGTATGGATTATATACCCTTCTAAAATGCTATGTTACCTCTTATTTTTATAAAAATTAAAAATAACATCTAAAAATTAATAACATCTATTATTTGGTACATGCCAGAGACTTTTCACTGAGTATTTCTAGACCTCAGTGAAAACTTTTATTCCCTTATGCAATAATTTTACATCACTCTTAAAATATATGACGATATCCTGTCCAGTATTAAATGACTCAAGTGCTCAAATGCAAACGCTTTTCCTTGTACTTCAATTGCAATTTAAATAAAAATTAGCAGTAATATCAAAATACAGGCATGCAAGTATTCATAAGAAACAAGGAAAGTGTGTATTATAGTACTAACAGAGATGCATATATACTGATCATACATTCTGACATGGATACTGTACCCCCTACTTGATGAATATCTTTAACCTACACTGAGCCACCCATCTGACGCCTTGGCAAGAAACTCACATTTGGTTATGCTTTGGGAATGCCTTTCCCCTTTTCTTGTGCTAAAGACCTATGATTCTTATCTAGTCCAAAATATAAGGGACATCTCTGTGGTCTTTTAGGTTAGAGAGCCCACTAATTTTGTACAGAAGCTTGCATGTGAGTTGCTGTTGTTTGTGAGGAGGAGGAATTTGCTTAGAGTGTATTGTCAGTTTAATTCCCAAATTTATGACAGTTCTTAAATGCGTAAGTGTATCCTCACTAACTTTTGCCTAAAACTGGATTGACACGGAGCTTATACTGAGGAGTGAGCTGAGTAGATAGACAGAAAAGTGTGTGTGTGTATTTTGTGTGTGTGTGTGTGTGTGTGTGTAAGAGAGAAAGAGAGAAACTAAGTAAGGAGCCAAAAATATCAGGTATTCAGAGAGGCAAATTTTGTATGAAATGTTTCAGGAAATAAAAGTGGTCCACTGGCCAGTGGTGACAAAATACCTCCTTACTACATCACTTTGGACCTGTCAGGATGCTCCACCTAGCCTCAGTTTCCTTTCTTATCCTCATTCCCACACCCATAGCAAACTTAACTTTATATTGTGGAAAATATCAAGGTTCCAGTTTCCATTCTAAAGTCCCTTTCTGTGGTGGAGATAACAGTTCGAATTGTGTTTGTCATCTCAGTTAAGATTCATTCATTCAAAAAATAAACATTTATGAAGTTAACATTGAATACATGGTGCCATTATTCTTCACCTCTGTAACATTAAGCCTCTTCTCAGCTCCCTTAGAAAATTTTATGAATGTAAATCCACAGATTGTATTGATATCCTAGGCCATTTTCCTTCACCTATTTACTTCAAAATGTTGAAGACTCTATAGGAGATTCATGTCTTGGAAATATATATAGGTTTAACTTTTAAAAAATATATTGTTATTAAGTATTTTAATTTATATCAGAATTTACTAAAACTAAAAATATTTCAAACATGTAGTAAAATAACATTATTCTCACATTTATACTTTTTTGTTCTTTGGAGAGCAATTACTATATGATGGAAAGCCATGAGAGCATCTGGCTTCTTGGCAAGTCCCAAATACAACCGGCAACCTAGAGATACTGAATGGCTGTCAGATGGTTCAGATGCTATGGATGAGCTTTCCATCTTAACTCATCCACAGTTGCCCCCATTCTTTATATTGGTTGTATTCTGTTTTCCACATAAAGTAAACCCATCATTTCTATGCATGCACATTATTTGCTTCTTTATAATAATACAATTAATTAGACTTGCCTACAATCTATTTTTATATTTTAAAATATTTTGGAAGTATAATGTCTTTCTGAGTAACCATATTTTTTTATATACTCATAGCAGTGACACCTATAGGCAAGCTTCTAATCTTCATGGTGTATATTTTCTGCAATGATTAATAGCTTTGCTTTGAATAAGAATTTAATTATTTTAGGACAACATCTTCCAAATAATGCTATGTCTTGTATTTCTCTAAGGACTATGAATTGTGGGTTTTTTTTTTCTTATAAATATTTTAGACTCTAAATCCCTGGATCAAGATGATCTTGACCTTCCTGCATGTATGCCATGTGGAAATCACCACAGGAACAGACTGCTGAACCAAAGGCAAACAAACAGAGCTGGATTGTTGCCTCCTCATAAATCTGAACTTGCAGTCAGTGGGTAACTGCCAAGTCATAATGAGTATTCAGACGGCATGCCCAGCAAGCAGCTGAGATAAGAAGATGGTACACCCTAAATATTATTTAAAGTTTTAATCCATTTCCAACCATAAGAATCAAAAATGCTCTAAAATAAAGCACCTCATATAGAAATCATAATTGTAAAACAACTTATTGAAAGTTATGAAAAAAATTAAAACACTATTCCTGTTTTATTTTGCCATGAAGATTTAAAAATTCTAGTTCGTAGCCTTCTTTATACTAAATTTATTATGTTTCTATACCACTCTTTATCAATTTGCTTCAGAAACCATTTCTATCATATTAGGATTTTTTCTATTAAACATGGTAGTGCAGTAAGTCTTTAAGCATTTGTCTTCTCTTCTCTTATTCTATATCTGGTGTTAGGATTGACCATCAGAAGCGACTCAACTTGTGTTGTAATCACAGTGTAATTTACTTTTAGTTTTGAAAAAGATTTGTATAAAGGTTTCAATCTTACTAAATATAACAGTCAACCAATTTTCTGTACCAGTTGATATTTGGGACAAAAAAATTCAGATATGTCAACATAAACCAATATTTGAACATATACTAAACTATCCAGATAGACGGCTGAATCTACTTCCCTGAATGGAGACATCAAAAATTAGTTAGTCATCAGATTAGTTAGCTCACTGCTTCTCAATTTTAGTGGAATATCACATGCATGGTAATTGGCTTAATTTTGAAGCATCTCTTTGCATTGTGGCTGTGTAATTTAGAGGTCGTGGATTTTGTTGGGTTTTGTTAAGTTTTATCTTCAGTGAAGACAACAGCACCAGGTACACGGTGCTCAGTAAACAAAGTCTTCAAAATGTAGCCTTATTAGATGAATGCTAGTTGATAATTTTATAGAAATTTTAAAAATCCAGGATAAAACTTTTTTGATATTTTATATTGAGGAGCTAGTGTGTGCTGTGCCTGAAATTTTAAGTTAGAATTGAAGATAGCCTGAGGGCAAAGTGTAAGCCTGAATTAGAAAGTGGAATTAACAAAATAGCGCTGGCAACACACCAAGTACAGGACATTAGAAGGATTATATCATTGTAATCTTAGCAATTTAGAGGTATCACTTCTCTTTTGCTAAGAAATGATCAGATATCATAGGTAAAGAAATCTCTACTAGACACATGGTCCTTCTAATCTAGTGGTTAGCAAAGGGAGGTATCACATGGGTGGTATATGAGATAATAGTGTGGGTGACAATCTCAATGCAGATTCTATGGCCTAGTACTTAATTTCTTATTGAGTCTTTTATCCTATAAAAAGAAAAATAATTCCTTACAGAACCAGTCTTATCTCCATTCTATAAAGAGGATGCAGGATTCTAACTGATCTAGGGACCAAGGATTTCTTGCATTTACCTCCATGGTATCTACCATGGACAGTTAATGGGTGAGACAACATTCTATTCTACTTCTTTAAACTAAGGAGAGACATGTTTTGAAGGTTACATCAATCAAGTTCCTTTCGGAATATTCTGAAAGCAGCTAACAGCCATGGGGTTGAAAAACAAAGGAAAGGTTTCGAATCAGAACTTAGAAACATGGAGAAAGCATGCCTTGTAGCTAGTACCCAGATTTCCAAGAAAAGGCCAGTGGTCAGTTGCTTTTGGCACCCTGGGAACTTAGCAGTGGATAACTACAAAGTCTAGAGACTTTAGGTCTGAGAAGAGAATGCAATTAAGCTGGTCCTGGGAACTGAAAATTAGAACCAACTGCTTTTGCTGAGGATGCAATCCTGATAATGAGAGTATGCCAACTGGAAACAAGGAGACAGCACAAAAGAAGTAAGTCTTATCTTTCCACTCCTGACTGTGTGTCAGCCTCCAGCACCTGCTATTGAAAGAACCTAATAGGAAGCCAG
The DNA here is from genome assembly GCF_000001405.40 of Homo sapiens. Taxonomy (NCBI): domain Eukaryota; kingdom Metazoa; phylum Chordata; class Mammalia; order Primates; family Hominidae; genus Homo; species Homo sapiens. The sequence continues at coordinate 104,815,388 of NC_000005.10, read as the reverse complement.
CTGGTTCAGAGAAAATTAGATTGCAGAGTTCCAGCAACAACACAACAGCATCACAGAACAGAGTGTTAAATGAATTTAGAACTTAGAGACAACAGCTTAATAATTGGCACAAGTTTAAAAGCTTACAGTTAGCATTTTTTTTTCTATTTACCTTGGAAACGACACCAAACCAAGGAGAAGATACACAAAATTAACTCTATCTTTGAAAAAGTAACAAGTTACCAAATAACAAAATAATGGAAAGGTTCCCAAGAACAGTGATTTCAGTAAAAAAGGAGGAAGTTTGCTTTTGGCTGCAGTTCTTGAAAAATCTGACAAAGTAAAATTATCTAAGATGAGGGAAAACAAAAACACTTGTTTGCCACATTGACAAATTCTCTGGAACTTGAACAATACTGAAAGAATAGGCATGAAGTAGCTGAAGGGGAAAATCACTTAGGTCACATATATGTTATTCAAAACAACCATATGTCTAAAAGACTAGTGAGAGCAATGAGGAGACATTTAAATCAATATTGCCTTCTGTCTGCCTATATCTATTGATGGGGAGAAGTAAACACACACAAACACACAGAAACAAAACCACATACTCAAACTGGAAATAAAGATATAACCTTGTCCTTATTGATAAAAATCTAAAGGGATCTCCTCCCCCAGATTCATTTTATTCAGATGAGCAATCAAAGGAGAATCAGCACAGAATATTTACCAAAAATGGGGGAAAGGAACCAGAAAACAAATATATGAATGATAAAATTTTGCCCAGTGTGATGGCATCACTATAGTCCCAACTACTCAGAAGACTGAGATGTTGAAGGCTGCAGTGTCCTACGTTCATGACTGTGAATAACTACTGTGCTGCAGCCTGGGCAAAAGAGCAAGACTCTGCCTCTTGGAAAGAAAAAAAAAGATTAATTCTCTCTTAATAAAATAAAACTATATAGCAATATAATTTATAAATTATATAATTATATAATTAAATTATACAGATAATAAGAAAACTATCAGATATAGAAGAACTCAACATTTAGGAGAAAAGGAAAAACAAAAAAATTCAATTTTTTTTCAAAAAAAGGTACTTATGAAGAATGAGACAAAAACCAAAACTGATGAAAATAAAAGATCTAGATGATAAATGATAGAAAGCAGAAAAGGAAGCAAAATAAAATGGAAACACATAAAGTATTTAAAAGTATTAGAGAAAAAATGAGACTCTTATATACAATCAGCAATCTAAGAGCCACAGAGTAGTTTTTCCCAAAGAAGAAAATTAAAATAATTATACAGAAGTTTATAAATGTAATTCAAGTAAATATTTCCAGAAATAAAAATTATTTGGGTTTACAGACTAAAAGGACATATTGTGGCCTAGACAAATTTGACTCATGTGGTCTACCCTAGCATATCGTCTCATAAAATCGCTCAACTTCAAAGTAGGCTTGTTTGGTTAAATAGGCAAGACAATCAAGTTACATATGGAGAAAACAATCAGGCTGGCTTACATTACTTTACAGTAACATTTAATGGTATAAGATAATGGATGTCCAAACCATCTGTAGTTTTATCATAATGCCAACAAATAATTTCTAATTTCTACTACAGACCAGAAATTAAGAATAATTACTACTATAAAACTTTCTTAAAGTATTTAAATAATAAATTAAAAGCATTATCTCTAAATAATTGAAGATAAATATGTATTGCATTTTATTACAAATCAAAGGTATAAAAATGTGGATAATAAGTATAACTTTTTGCACAATGCAAAATTTAAATATTTAGCTGAGTAAGTTGGAAGAGGAAGGTGGGAGGAAAGTTATGTTAGTACACAGATTTATCTCTTAACAGATGAGAGTTAAAGACAAATTGATAAATCAAATAAATGAGCTTTACATATATTTAACAATAAAAATACATCTTTTAAAATAACATAATCTTAAATTGAATGAAGAAGCAGAAGGAGGGAAAATTAAAAATGCTAATTTTTATTTTTGCTTTAAAAAAGATGTAATAGGTGCTGTAAAAGCAGTATAGGATTCTGATACACAAAGTTATGGTTACAGAGGTAAATAGGTAATAACACTTAAAACTGCTATAGAACAAAAATGTGATGTGGTTGTAAGTAAATGCTTTACTTCATCTAATCTTCATTTTTAAAAGAAGAAAAAAGTAAACCAAAAATGAGCAAAAAAAAATTTATAATATGTTATCATATTTCTAGTTTGCTTAGAAATACTCCAAGGCATAGAAGGTTAAGTAAGTTGTACAAAGTCACATAGCCAATGAGAGCCAACTAGGTGGCAAATAAGCAGCATGTGAACAGACATTCTTCCTACAAAGGGTAGAGTTTGTATTTTTCTTTTAAATATTGGAATATATAAATGCAATTCTTGTCTGTGTTCAACTTTTAGCTTTTTATTAAATATAAACATTTTAATATACATGAACTTAATATTTTGCCTTTCTACTTAATGGATATGATCTTTCTAATGCAATTACTCTGTATTTTAAAGTTTCTAGTATACTTCAGATATGCACACTTTTAACACAGTAACCTTGTAATATTTGAAATTATGGAAATGATACTGTGCAAAAATGAATTTAATCTCAATTTGAAATTGATCTTTACAACAAAAATATTTTTGGTAAAAACCAAAAATGTAGTGACACAGTGCGTTTATATCAAAATCAATATTCTTAACCAATAAGCTACACTGTCTTTCATAATACAAAGCCTCAAGCTGGGCTTTGAATGGCACATCTATAAGCAATTAATCTGGAAAAAATAAATAAATAAATGAAATGATAGGCTAAGTTTTATGAGGTAGATGCAAACAAACAAAAAAGTAAGAGATCATGATATTAATACCAGACAAGATTAAATTTAGAAAAACAAAATCATTAAACATAATACACACATTAATATGGTGTAATTAATTTAGCTGATTACTTCATTTTGGGAAATGCATTTGCCAGTTTTAAATGTGTCTGCTATTAAAACTTAAAGTATATAAACATATGATTAAATGCATTATATTTAAAACAAGAGGCAAGTACTTGCCTACCAAAGTAGGCCTCTGGGCCTCTTAGAAATGTTTGTTAAGTCCACTGCAGTTATCTTTCTGGACTAAGATGGCTCATTCTTTTAGGTTGTGAAGTACCCTAGTCCAGCTGGGTGGCTGAGAACCAGCTAGCGCTGGGGGTTGCCCCTAATTTCTCCAGGAGTGAGTTTGGGAAACAGCCTGGGCTTCGGGGAGTAGTTTATATTTTCAAATTCTCACCTACACACTAAAATTTTTCTGTAACCCTAAAATCAATATCCACCGTGCATTCACAGACATGCACAGATTGGCAAAACATTTGAGCCAGCAGATACATACTTCTTCAGCTACAGTCCGTTGTGGTGATTCTCTGCTTTCTTGTTTCAGTTCTCACACCATAAACAAGTATTCTTTTTGTGGTCTACTTAGTGCCATGTTTTTCACATTTTTACACTTTTTGTTGGTAATTCTACAGTTTAAAATAGTCCCTAAACATTGTGTTGAAGTGCTGTCTAGTGTTCCTAAAGCCATGTAGGCTGGCATGTGCTTTATGGAGAAAATGAATGCGTTAGATAAGGTTCATTAGGGTATAATGTCTTGTATTATTGGCTGTGAGTTCAGTGTTAATGAATCAACAGTGTATATCAAATCACGTCTTCTAAAACAGAAACAAACATACAACAAAGTTATGTATTAATTCATTGAGAAAATGTTGTGACCAGAGGCTCTCAGGAACATAACCCTATATATCCCTTAAGACCAATAGTTCAGTTTAGGGTTCAACAATTCAGTGTTCACAGCAACTTCACAGAATGTATTATAAATATGAGAATCAACTATATATCAACAGAACAGAATAGAAATACCAGAAATACAGTATTTTTTAAATAACTAATTGACTTTTTTGTATTTTAATTTTATTTTTAAATTGACAAATAATTGTACATATTCATAGGGGATATGGTTTGTCTTCTCCCCACCCAAATCTCACCTTGAATTGTAGTTCTCATAATCCCCACGTGTTGTGGGAGGGACCCAATGGGAGGTAATTGAATCAGGGGGACGGTTACACATATGCTGCTGGTCTTGTGATGGTGAGTGAGTTCTCACGAGATCTGATGTTTTTATAAGGGGCTTTTCCCTCTTTGCTCACCACATCTCCTTCCTGCCATCATTTGAAAAAGGACACATTTGCTTTCTCTTCTGCTGTGAGTCAATTAAACCTCTTTAGAAAAGTGAGCCAATTAAACCTCTTTCCTTCATAAATTACCGAGTTTCAGGAAGTTCTTTATAGTGCATGAGAAGGGACTAATACTGTAAATTGGTACCAGGTAGTGGGGCACTGCTGTAAAGGTACCTGAAAAAGTGGAAGCAACTTTGGAATTGGGTAACAGCCAGAGGTTGGAACAGTTTCAAAGGCTCAGAAGAAGACAGGAAGATGTGAAAAAGTTTGGAACATCCTAGAGGCTTGAATGGCTTTTGCCAAAATGCTGATAGTGATATGTACAATGAAGTCCAGGCTGAGGTGGTCTCGAATGGAGATGAAGGACTTGTTGGTAACTAGAATAAAGGTGACCATTGCTATGTTTTAGCAAAGAGACTGGCAGCATTTTGCCCCTGCCTCAGAGATCTGTGGAACTTTGAACTTGAGAGTGATGTTTTAGGTTATCTGGTTGGAGAAATTTCTAGACAGCAAAGTGTTCAAGATGTGACTTGGGTGCTATTAAAAGCATTCAGTGTTATGTATCCACAAAGATAAGGCTTAGAATTGGAAGCAAAGCAGAGCATAAAAGTTTCAAAAAATTGCAGCCTGATGATACAATAGAAAAGAAAAACCATTTTCTGTGGAGACAAGCCAGCTACAGAAATTTGCATAAGTAACAAGGAACCAAATGTTAATTGCCAAAACAAAGGAAAAAATGTCTCCAGGGCATGTCGGAGGTCTTCACAGCAGCCCCACCCATCACAGGCCTGGAGACCTAAGAGGGAAAAATGGTTTAGTGGGTCAAAGCCTTGATGTTTTATGCAGTCTCAGGACTTGGTGCCCTGCATCCCAGCCATGGCTAAAAGAGACCAATGTAGCATTTGGGCTGTTGCTTCAGATGTTGCAAGCCCCAAACCTTGGCACCTTACATGTGGTGTTGGGCCTGTGGGTGCACAGAAGTCAAGAATTGAGGTTTGGGAACCTCCACCTAGATTTCAGAGGATGTATGGAAGCTCCTGAATGTCCAGGCAGAAGTTTGCTGCAGGGGTGACAGCCCTCATGAAGAACCTCTGCTAGGGCAATGCAGAAGGGAAAGATGGGTTGGAACCCCCACACACAGCGTCCCCACTGGGGTGCTGCCTAGTGGAGCTGTGGCTCCAGACCGCAGAATGGTAGATCCACAGACAACTTGCACTATGCACCTGGAAAAGCTGCAGACACTCAATGGCATCCTGTGAAAGCAGTCAGGAGGGAGGCTGTGCCCTGCAAAGCCACAGGGGTGGAGATGTTCAAAGCTGTGGGAGCTGTAACACTCCCCACGAGGGTCTGCAGCTTCACTCCTGAAGTCAGTGAGACCACAAACCCACTGGGAGGAACAAACAAACTCCGGATGAGCCACCTTTAAGAGCTGTAACACTCACTGCAAAGGTCTGCGGCTTCACTCCTGAAGTCAGTGAGACCACAAACCCACCAGGAGGAATAAAGAACTCTGGATGCACCACCTTTAAGAGCTGTAACACTCACTGCAAAGACCTGTGGCTTCACACCTGAAGTCAGTGAGACCACAAACCCACCAGAAGGAAGAAACTCCAGACACATATGAACATCTGAAGGAAAAAACTCCAGACACACCATCTTTAAGAACTGTACACTTACCACAAGGGTCCGCGACTTCATTCTTGAAGTCAGCAAGACCAAGAACCCACCGGAAGGAACCAATTCCAGACACAGAATGATATGGTTTGTCTGTGTCCCCACCCAAATCTCATCTTGAATTGTAGTTCCCATAATCCCCATGTGTCATGGGAGGGACCCAGTTGGAGGTAATTGAATCATGGGGACAGTTAACCCATGTTGCTATTCTTGTGATAGTGAGTGAATTCTCATAAGATCTGGTGGTTTTATAAGGGGCTTTTCCCTCTTTCCTCACCACTTCTCCTTCCCACCATCATGTGAAAAAGGACATGTTTGCTTCTCCTTCCACCATGATTGTAAGCTTCCTGAGGCCTCCCAGCCTTGCATAACTGCGAGTCACTTAAACCTCTTTCCTTTATACATTACCCAGTCTTGGGCAGTTCTTTAGAGCAGCATGAGAATGTATTAATACAATGGGTGCATAATAGTGTTTTGATACACAGTGTATAGTAATCAGATGAGGGTAATTAGCATATCCATCATCTCAGACACCATATCATTGAGTTGGGAATGTTCAATATCCTCCTTCTACCTATTTGAAACTATATGTTTTCATCTTTAGTCATCCTACAGTGGTATAGAACACTAGAATTTATCCTACCTATCTAGCTATTATTTTGTATCCTTTAACAAACTCTGTTATCCTGCCCTTCCCACTACCTTTCCAGACTCTAGTATCCTCTTTTCTACTTTTTACTTCTATGAGATCAAGTTTTTTTAGCTCTCACATAGTTAGTTGATTTTTGACCAAGACTTTTTCAATTACAAAGAGAAACGGTTTTATTTTTTTCAATAAATTGTTCTAGAGAAATTGAATATCTCACATTAAAAAATATTTATTTTTAATATTACCTCATATCATACACAAAAATCAATCTGAGATGGGGCAGAAAGCTAAATACAAAAACTAGAAGACTATCTTTAAGAGTTTTGCCAAGCAAATAATTTTTTGGACAAGATCCGATATGCATTAATCATAAAAAGGAAAAATAAAAGTAAATTAAACATAATCAAAATTAAATTATTTCCTGAAAAACTGATTCCGAAAATGAATACAGAATACAAAAAATAGGAGAAAATATTTGGAATATTTGTACATGGCAATATATAAAGAACTCCTGCATCTCCAATAATTGAAAGACCAGAAAACAAAACAAACAAAACCCTCATCACCAAAAGCAAGAATTTAAAGTTGGGTCAAATACTTAAGCAACCACTCAAACAATTAGATATTGAAATGATCATAAGCACATAAACAGGCACTCTGCATCCTTAGTTACTAAGGAAATGCAAATTAAAGCCAGAATGCAGAACCATTGTATACTTCCTGGAATGGATAAAATTAAGAAGACTGATAAGACAGAATTGATCTTCTCTCTGCTTACTGTCCCATCTTTATCTTTACCAACTCCTCAAAGAAATATTCTCCGTGTATCCTATCTGAAACAGCTCCTCTCCAAACTTAATTTTCTTAACATTCTTATCAAATATTAAATTATATTACTTCATTATTGGCTTCCTGGTATACTTTATACTCCCAATCTAGATTGTAGGCTGAAGGCCAAGACTTTGACTGTCTTGTGCTTTACTGTGTGTATTATATAAATCTGGTGCTAGAGCAGAACCTGGCATGGCAAAAGTTCAATAAGTGAAACTTTTCGTCTTCTGATCCTACCTACTGGTAATTTAAATCTCTTTAACACTCTTTTGATTTTATTACATTATTTTTCTAGTGCACCTAGAAAATCACTGCTATAAATAATACCTATTGCTAACAATTAATAGAAAAAACCATTAAAAGACAAATCTTATAAGAAACTTATTTTAAAATACTCCCACAATACATAACTTTAAATAATATAATAACATATTAACCCCAATATAAATAATGCATTACCATTTCCTAGACAAATTAAGCAAAATAAAAATTCATTAGAAGAAAAGTGCTAAAATTGTATCTAGAATAGAGGTTAAATACATGTTAAAAGCAAGAGTTTGGGGGAATTCTATTTCCAACATTTATCAGCCATTGTTCTTTCTCAGTTAACGTTCCAAGCCTCAGTATTCATGCCAAGTAAGTTAAAGAAATGACACACCTATCTCTTAGAATTACAAACAACATCAGAAGGATTAAAACCTATAAAGCACAAATACAGCATTAATTATATGACTTGATTAGATTACAATTGTAATGAAAATTAATTGTTCGAAAATATTTTAATGCTCTATTGTAAAATTCTATATTACTTTAACATTTCTACCTTAACACCTTTATACAGTAATTACTTTTCAAACAACTGCCTTGGAACATAAAACACATCTATTATCAAACAACAACAAAAAAGGCATAGTCAGATACCTAAACAATTGGAAAAGTTGAAGAAGCCTGAATTTAAGCATTTACTTTTTTTGTCACCAGGCAGTGCCTTTGAAGATGTATGTAACATATCTGCAGGACAAAGTTATATCCAGCTGTTTGCTGAAATAATTATCATTTTGGCTTCTCTTTAATTAATTATATAGCACAAAGAAAAAATAATTATATGAAACAGCCAAGGATTTGTGTAAGAGTTTAAACAGTAAAGACAATTTGAAGTAGATTATTAGCCCATATATCTATCCAGGAAGCTTTAGATTAATATCTTGAAACGTTTGGTTTGTGATGAAATAGGTCAGTTCTTGAGTTGAGACTTCTTTGGTACTGTAAGAAGATTCAAAGAGCAGAGTTTAAGAGAATATGAAGACGACATCCATCAACATTGGAATCAGTCTTGGTGGGTAAAAACTGGAGAGCTGACCGGGCACGGTAGCTCACACCTGTAATCCCAGCACTTCGGGAGGCCAAGGCAGGTGGATCACCTGAGGTCTGGAGTTCGAGACCAGCCTGGCAAACATGGTGAAACCCCATCTCTACTAAAAATACAAAAAATTAGCCGGGCATGGTGGTGAGCGCCTGTAACCTCAGGTACTCGGGAGGCTGAGGCAAGAGAATCGCTTGAACCTAGGGGGCAGAGGTTGCAGTGAGCCGAGATCGTGCCATTGCACTCCAGCCTAGGCAAGAAGAGCAAAACTGTCTCAAAAAAAAAAAGTAAAAACAAAACAAAAAATGTTGGGGAGGTATGAAGAAAATAAAATAAAACAAAAATCCACAGTAGTGATTTCTACATAGCATTTATTGTATATAGCATTATATATTTGTAAGTATTAATACATCTACATAACATTATATATGTATATGTATTACATATATATAAACTTTTTTGTATGTATATACATATATATACAGAGAGAGAATGAGAGAGAGCACATATATATGAAGGGGAGGGAGCATGACAGATTTGTTACATGGATATACTGCATAATGGTGAGGTTTGGACTTCTGGTGTATCCATCACCCAAATAGGAAACATTGTACCTAATCAGTAATTTTATAACCCTCAGCCCCCTCTCATTCTTCTCACTTTTAGAGTCCCCAGTGTCTATTACTTCCATCTGTATGTCTATGTGTAACCATTGGTTAGCTCCCACTTATGAGTGAGAACATGCAGTATTTAATTTTCAGTTTCTGATTACTTCATTTAAGATAATGGTCTCCAGCTGCATCATGTAGGTGCAGTACACATGATTCCATTCCTTTTTTTGGCCATATAGTATTCCATTGTGTATATATGCCACATTTTCCTCATCCAGTCATCCACTGATGAACACTTCATCCACTGATGAATTCATCCACTGATGAATTCAATGATTTTGCTATTGTGAATAGTGCTGCAATAAACATAGTAGTGCGGGTGGCTTTTTGATACAATGATTATTTTTCTTTGGGTAGATATCTAGTGGTGGAGCTGCTGGGTCTAATGGTAGTTATATTTTCAGTTATTAGTGAAATCTCCATACTGCTTTCCATAGAGGTTGTACTAATTTGCAATCCCATCAACAGTGCATAAGCATTCTTCCCCTTTTTTTCTGCGTCTTCACCAACATATCTTGCTTTTTTGACTTTTTAATAATAGATATTCTGATTGGTATGAGATGGTATCTCACTGTAGTTTTAGCATTTCTCTGATGATTTAGTGATAATGAATATTTTTTAATTTGTTAGCCACTTGCATGTCTTCTTTTGAGAAATATCTGTTCATGTCCTTTTCTTACTTTTTAATGGAGTTATTTGTTGTTTTGTTGTTGAGTTTTTGGATTCCTTGTTGAGTTTGTATATTGGCCCTTTGTCAGATGCATAGTTTGCAAATATTTTCTCCCTTTTGGTAGGTTGATTGTTTATTGTGTTGATTATTTCTTTTGCTATGTAGAGGGTTTGTTATAGTTTGATTGAGTCCCATTTGTCCATTTTTGGTTTTATTGCACTTGCTTTTACAGTCTTAGCCATAAATTCTTTGCCTAGGCCAATGTCCAGAAGATTTTTTCTTAGATTTTCTTCTACAATTTTTAGAGTTTCAGTATTTACATTTCAGTATTTAATATATCTTGAGTTGGTTTTTGTATATGGTAAAAGATAGGGGTCTAGATTCATTCTTTTGTATAGGGCTAGCCAATTTTTCCAGCATCATTTTTAAATAGGGTGTTCTTTCCTCATTATATATTTTTGTTGACTTTATCAAAGATTGGTTAGTTGTAGGTATGTAATTTTATTTCTGGGTTCTCTATTCTGTTTGATTGATCTATGTCTCCATTTTGTACAAGCACCATGCTATTTTGATTACTATTGCCTTGTAGCATAATTTGAAGTCAAGTAATGTGATGCCTCCAGCTTTGCTATTTTTGCTTAGGATTGCTTTGACTGTTATGGCTCTCTTTTGGTTCCTTATTAATCTTAGGATTTTTTTTCTAAATCTGTGAAAAATGATATTGGTAAATTATAGAAATTGCATTGAATCTATATATTGCTTTGGGTAGCATGGTTATTTTAACAATGTTGATTATTTTAGTCGATGAGCATGGGATATTTTTCCATTTGTTTGTGTCATATTTGATTTATTTCATTAGTGTTTTGTAGTTCTCCTTGTACATATTTTTCACCTCTTTGGTTAAATATATTCCTAGGTACTTTAGTTTTTTGTGGCTATTGTCAATGGGATTGCATTTTTGAGTTCATTCTCAGCTTAAGCGTTATTGCTGTATAGAAATACTACTGATTGTTGTATGTTGATTTTGCATCCTGAAACTGTAATGAAGTCATTTATCAAATCTAGTAGTCTTTTAGAGTAGTCTTATGATTAGAGTAGTCTTATGATTTTCTAATTATAAGATCATGTAATCAGGGAATAAAGATAATTTGACTTCCTCTTTTCTAATTTGGAAGCCCTGCATTGTTTCTCCTACCTGGTTACTTGGTTAGGATTTCAAGCACTATGTTGAACAAGACTGATAAGATTGGGCACTCTTGTATTATTCCAGTTCTTAGGCAAAAGGCATTCAACTTTTCTATATCCAGTCTGATGTTGGCTGTGGGTGTGCTCTGTATGCCTTTTATTATTTTGAGGTATGTTCCTCAATGCCTAGTTTGTTGAGCATTTTATCATGAAGAAATGTTGGATTTTATTGAATGCTTTTTCTGCATTGAGACAACCATATGGTTTTTGTTTTAAGTTATGTTTATGTGGTGAATCACACTTATTGATTAATGTATGCCAACTCATCCTTGTATTTCTGGAATAAACCCCATTTGATAATGATGTATTATCTTTTTCATGTGCTATTGATTTTGGTTTGCTAATATTTTGTTGAGGACATTTGCATCTATATTAATCAGAAATACAACCCTGTAGTTTTATTTTGTGGTTGTGTCCTTGACTAATTTTGGCATCACGGTGAATTGATTTTGTAGAATGAGTTGGATAGAAATCTCTTCTCAATTTTTTGGAATAATTTCAGAAAGATTTGTACCAGCTCTCCTGTGTGTGTATAGTAACATTTGCCTGTGAATTCATCAGGTCCTGGGCTTTTTATGCTTGGGAGATTTTTATAAAATAACTTATTCGATTCCATTCCTTGCTATTTGTCTGGTCAAGATTTCAGTTACATCCTGGTTCAATCTTGGAAGGGTGTATGTCTCCAGGAATTTTCAATTTTCTCAAGGTTTTCTAGTTTGTGCACATGGGGATGCTCATGATAATCTCTGATGATCTTTGGTATATCTGTGGTATTGGTTATAATGCCACCTTTATCCTTTCTGATTATGTTTATTTACGTATCCTCTATTTTTTCTTGGTTGATCTAGCTATCAGTCTATCAATTTTGTTTAGGTTTTCATAGAGTCAACTTTTTGCTTCATTGATCCTTTTTATCATTTTTGTTGTTGTTGTTTCATTCTCATTTACTTCTACTCAGGTATTTGTTATTTCTTATCTCCTGCTAGCTCTGGGTTTGGTTTGTTCTTGTTTATCCAGTTTCCTGAGATGTAATGTTAGGTTGTTAATTTGAGATATTTCCTTCCATCTGTTTAATTTAGACATTTAATGCTTTAAACTTTTTCCTCTTAGCACTTCTTTGGTTGTATCCCAAAAGTTTTGAATGTTTCAGCTCCATTTTTTTATTTCAATTTTTTTTATTTCTTCATCATTCCCCCAAAGATCATCCAGGATCAAGTTGTTTAGTTTCCATGTATTAGTAAAGTTTTGAAAGTTCCTCTTATTATTGACTTCTAATGTTATGCCACTTTTGTCTGAAAAGATATTTGATATTATTTTAATTCTTTTTAACTTCATTGAGATTTATTTTATGGCCAACCACGTGGTCTATTTTGAAGAATGTTCCATGTGCAGATAAGAAAAGTGTATATTCTGCAAGTGTTTGATAGATATCTGTAAATGTCTATTAGGTCTGTTTGGTATAGAGTCCAGTTTAAATCCAGAGATTCTTTGTTGATTTTCTGCCTCAATGATGTCTTAGTGTTATCAGTGTGGTGTTGAAGTTCCTCACTGTTATTGTATTACTGTTTCTCTTTTCTTAAGTCTAGTAGTGTTTGTTTTATAAGTCTGGGTGCATGTATATTGAAAACAATTATGTCTTCTTACCGAATTGAACACTTCCTCATTATATAATGACCTTCTTTGTCTAAATTTTACTGTTGTTGATTTAAAGTCTGTTTTATCTAAGTATAGCTACTCCCACTCATTTTTGTTTTCCATCATGTAGTGTACATTTTTCCACCCCTTTACTTTGAATCTGTAGGTGTCTTTAACCATTAGGTGAGTCTCTTATAGCCAACAAATGTTTGGAACATGTTTTGTTTGCTTGTTTGTTTTCTTAACCCAATTTGCCTGTCTGTATGTTTTAAGTGATGCATGTAGGCCATTGATGTTCAAGGTTAATACTGATGTTTGAACTTTTGTTCCTGTCATAATGCTGCTACCCAGTTGCTTCGTAGTCTCAATTGTGTAATTGCTTTATAGGATTTGTGAGCTTTGAACTTATGTGTGCTTTTATAATGGCAAATATCACCTTTTCATTTCCACATTTAGAATTCCTTTGTGTATTTCTTGTAGGATTAGCCTAGTGGTGACACATTTCTTTAGCTTTTGCTTCTCTGGGAATGACTTTGTTTCTTCTTCATCTATAAAGCTTAGTTTGTCCGGATATGAAATTATTGGCAGGCATGTTTTTTATTTAAGAAGGCTGAAGATAGTGCGGCAATCTCTTCTGGCTTGTTCTGTACCCACTTACAGTTTATGCTGTATGTCTGATGGAACTTCCTTTATAAGTGATTAGACACTTTTCTCCAGATACTTTTAGGATTTTTTCCTTCACTTTGATGTTGGGTAAACCGATGGCTATATGCTTTGATGAGGTTAGTCTTGCAGAGAATCTGCCAGGTGGTCTTTGAGTTCTAGTGTCTGAATGTCTAATTCTTTCCCTAACCAGGGAGCTTTTCCTGAATTGTGTAAAATACATTTCCTAAGCCTTTTTTGTCTCCTTCTTCGCAAGAATGTGTACTTAATATGTCTGGGTCACTTTACATAATCCCATATTTCTTGAAGGCTTTGTTCATTTTTTTATTTTTTTTATTTTATGTATTTATTTATTTATTTTTGCCTGACTAGGTTAATTTTAAGGACTGGTCTTCAATCTCTAAAATTTTTCTTCTGCTTGATTTAGTCTATTGTTAAAACTTTCATATTTTGTGATTCCTTCAATGAATTTTTTATTCCTAGAAGTTCTGTATTTTTTTAAATATCCATTTCTTCAGTATTTTTTTCATTCATATCCTGAATTGTTTTCCTGATTTCTTTCTGTTGGTTTTCAACTTTCTCATTGACCTCATTGAGCTTTCTTACAATCTGCATTTTGACTTATTTATCTGTCATTTCAGAATTTTCATTTTGATTAGGATTTATTGCTAGAGAGCTATTGTGATCTTTTGGGTGTCGAGATATTTTGGGTTTTTGTGCTGTTAGAGTTCTTGCACTGATCCTAATCATCTGGAAAACCTGTCACTTGTTATTTTTTAATTTACTTTCATTTGGATGAGACAATTCCCCCTTTGAGGGTGTGACTGTAATGTCTATTGTGTATGATCATTTGGCTTCAATTTTCTGTGACTTTAGGGTGCCAAGGCCATATATGAGTTCCTTGGTTATAGGTAGCTTTAGGACAGTGGTCTTCTCTAATGTGGATTATTGTAGCCATGTACTGAGCATGTGAGCTGGCTCACTATCTTCTGTGGGGTTTCAAGTGTGGAGGTCTCGGGAAGCTTATCTCATTCGCCAGCACTATGCCTTTCTGTCAACCGATTTTTAACTTGGTTGTGCAATTACAGAATTGCCCAACCAATCTGTTGTCCGGTAGGTGGCACTGAGGAGTAAAAGCCAGCTTGCCCACAAATTCCCCAAAGATGAACAGAAGCACATATGCTGACATGGGTGGCAGAGGGAGCACATGGTAGGATGTGCTGAGGTCTTGGAACTCTTCTCTCAGTATTCCACTCAGGCTATGATCATTCACCTGTAACTTTGGTTCTTCTTTCTGAAGAGAACAGGCATCTGATGTCTGTAATCAGCCATCTTGGGGGAATTTTTTTTTTTTTAAACCAACATAACATCTTAACTGCCCATTAAAACATCTTTACTTCTAAACCAGATATGCTTTTAAAAATCATCATTTAAAATTAATGTTTCCAATTTTCCTGTTGTATCTGGCATCTTTTGCTCTTTTAGGGGCACCAATTCATCTTGAGACATGCAGTACAGATATGTTTTAGTGTCAACAAACCGCTGAAAGTAAACAGTAATTTCTTAGAAAAACAGCTACAATCGAGATTTTTGAAAGACACATATTAACAATTGTGTGTTCCAGTGTTTCATAGTCTTGAAAGTAACAGATTTTGATCAACTATT
This sequence comes from Homo sapiens, assembly GCF_000001405.40. Classification (NCBI taxonomy): domain Eukaryota; kingdom Metazoa; phylum Chordata; class Mammalia; order Primates; family Hominidae; genus Homo; species Homo sapiens. The sequence continues at coordinate 104,800,098 of NC_000005.10, read as the reverse complement.
ATCACTGTTTGAAATCTAGTCTATAGAGACCCCCATGTACCAAAAAACTTCATTGAATGTACATTTATACAAAAATATAGATTACATGGAAACAATGAAGCCAACCTAAATGCCCAACATGCGCACACACATTTGCTTTAATAGATGTAAGATATTGTAAGTAATAAAATATTATGCAAATATTATTACTCTATGACTTTTTAAAAGTAATCTAGCAAAGCATATGTTGAAGTTGTTAGTAAAGTAAAAGAAACAAACAAGTAAATATAGATTATGACTATAAATACATTAAAATGTTTATAGGAAAAAGAATGGAGGAGAATACATGAAAAAGTAAATTATACTTTATTATGCATGAGTTATTATAAATTTATTTTAGATAGCTTATTTATATATGAAGTCGATTCACGATGCACTGATTACAAACTCGTGTGAATCTGGTGAGACACAACACCAGTGCGTACAAGTTACACAAAGTGGATGTATTACTTATAAGTAGATAGCAAGGGACAACGGAGGCTTAGGATTTATTGTGAGCTGGTCTCCCAAGGCTGAGGAAAGCAGCTTAGTGTGGTTGGAGTCTTGACTGTGAGTGCCCCACTTGCACTGCAGCTGAGGGATCATGAAGGGCAAACCCAAGGGTGACATACATCAGGGGCGACATGACATGCTGCTAAAACCTGGAGGAACATTCTGCTTCTAAGGGAGAGAAGAATAGATCCCAGATCGTTCTCACCAGTACAGCCCCATCTCAGGATTTTGCAGTCCAGCACATTCTACAATTTCTTGAGAACTACAAACAAGAAAAGAGAGGAGAACTGAGTTGGTCCAAGGCTACCTAGAGAATTGTCCTGCAATTGCAAGAATTACTACGCAAATATGCATACTAATGCATATTTGACCAGTGAGAATGTCTTATCACTTATAATTTTAGTGGTATGAAAAATTAATTTGATAATGAAGACATTCTTATAAATCTTACCTTATTATATAATAAAAGCATTTAAAATTTTGTTAAAAAACCTAATGAAGTATTTTACTAAATGGTATGTGAAGTAAATTAAATAGAAGAAACTTGCTTTTGCTCTTAAGATAATTACAGTCTTTTTGAAAAGACGAATATGACTTTGGAAATAATATCAAGAAAGCCGTAAAGCTGTACATAGCTCACAAACAAAACAGATAAGCAAGAGGATTTCTTATTAAGATATTTTAATTAACTTTATAAAGTCTCCATACCATTGAAGAAAAAAGAGGAAGATGGACTAATTACAAGTCTGAACACTTGTAGTCGGGAGAAGTAGCACGGAGACGGGAAAGAATACATTATGCATGGTGAATGATAACAGATCTAGTCTAAATGCAGTGCTCTGAAGAGGGCAAGTCATTTTCACAAACAGAAAGCAGTATATAAAATTCAGAGAGAAAATTACTTTTCCATTTCCTACATGTGATATATAAAGAGAGACATTTATATGTAAATAAATAGAGTAAACCTTAAACTGTTATGCTAACACTATTGACAACATATCATAAAATTTACTAAAATAAAAATGTAAAGGATGAAAGTTGAAATCACAGAAGAAATTAATCCTGGATCTAGGAGAGGAGCATTTGCTATTCAGAATCCTTACATTCCAGCAGAGTTCTCATATTTCTCTGTAAATAAATTGCCATAAAATTTGGCTTGAGCTTATAAATACCAATAATACAAAAGGTCAAATATGAAAGGCCTGGGCTTTCCTGATTTGATTAGTATGTTCTTCCTTTAAACTATGGGAAATATACTCTTTTGAAGAAAAAGGGGCTATGTCTACCAAGTTATTTTGAGACACTATACGTTTTAGTGTCAACAAACTGCTGAAAGTAAACAGTAATTTCTTAGAAAAACATCTACAATATATTACGTGTTTTATTTTTGTATATCCTTTATTATTTTTTAGTTGTTACTTAAACATAAGATGCCATTGACAATTTACTTTTATTAAAAAGGAAATGCATCAAAGAATTCAAAAGATTAGACAATTAGTAAGTTTTTCTCTATTACTTCAGATTTATGGTAATATATTCCCAAAAAATAATTCTGCTAACAGTTTCTTTTAAATATTCTTCCACAAATATTCTTCATATATGAAAACTAATGTGCATTCATTTATAAATTTATACTTTTACAGAAAGGGAACATATACTATAAACGATACCCTCTTCCACTATTCCTTTTTAGATCTACATAACTAGCAGATCATTCATATCATTGATATTGATCCACCTTACACTTCAAAAGGAATCAAAATAACTATGTATTATTTTGTCTAATTTTATGAAGTTATCTTGGATTATTCAATTGGTACCTATTAATGGATTTTTAAAAATATCTGTCTTTTGCTATTACATAATATTCATTAAGATCATCTCTATTCTTTATTATTTTTTTTTTGTCTTCCATGCAGTCCAAATTGTCTTACTTTTTCTGTACAGACACAGCCTATCTGTAGAATAAGTCAACACCAGTAGAATTTTGGGATTGAAATTAAGGTGTATTTTAAATGTGGATACACATTTTATCAACACTTTTTGAATAATCATTTCTCCATAAACTCAGGACATTGTGTATTACTAAACTTATGATTATTGCTGTAATTGATGAAGACTGTTTTGTGGTGTAATGTGTCTAGCTGAAGAATTTTTATGGGCTTTTTTTTTTTTTTTTTTTTTTTTTGAGACAGGGTCTCATTCTGACACCCAGGCTGGAGTGCAGTAGCATGATCACAGCTCACTGCAGCCTCAACCTCCCAGCCTCCTCTGGAGCTAGGACTACAGGCACACACTACCATGGCAGGCTGATTTTTGTGGTTTTTTATAGAGACAGGGTTTCATCATGTTTCCCTGGCTGGTCTCAAAGTCCTGGACTCAACCAATCCTCCTGTTTCGGCCTCTGAAAGTGTTGGGATTACAGGCATGAACCATCATGACTGGCAAAGTTTTATATTTTTAATCTGTAAATTTTTATTTTTTAATAAACTATATGTTCATGTCGATTTCACCATTGAATGGTATTTTATCTGTTTATTTTTAAGAAAATATGTCTTTGTGAAATTGATGATTTAGATATTTTTCTGAGTCATTTTAATAATTTGTTTATATTTGGAAAATTCATAATTATGACATCTTAAATTATTTGCTTAAAAATATAATTTCAAGTTACAGGCCCTGCTTAGAAAGTGACTCCTTATCTAAATATACATAAAAAGTAATTATCCTATATATTCCTCTAGTAGCCTTCTACTTTCATTTTTAACTTTAAATTATTATTGACCTGGAATTTAATATTGTATAAGAAGTGAAGTAGGCATCTATCTATATTTTGTTTTGTTCATACATCTATCATGAACCAGAAGGCTGAAACTCATGTATTAAAATAACCACTTTCTACTTCCCTCACAATTTGAAATAACTTGACATTAACCTACTAAGTTCATATAGGAATTTGGGGTTATTTCATGTCTCTCTATTCTATTTCATGATTTGCTTTAAAGTACAAGGTGATAGGAAATGCTTTAATTAAGTTTTAAGTATCTATCTGACATTTTGAAATGTAAATTCCTACTAAATACTCCTCTATAAAATTTTGTGTAGATTATTTTATATGCCTATTTTTCCATATATACTTTAAGTACCTTTTGTCTAGTTCACACACAAAAAGCCTGTTAACATTTATTGTGATCATAATGTAGTTCTAAGTTAATTTAGGGAGAAAATATGTCTTCATAAAACCATCACTGTTGTCAAATTTTACTTCATTATAATCAACAAAGTTAAACACTCTGCTATGCATATACCTACAAGCTGTAAGTTTATTAGTTGCAACAGGAAGCCCCTGAGATGCGTTAAAACAGTAAAGCATTTAGCCCTGTGAATGAAAAGTCTCAGTTAAATAAATATACACAAACTTGGCCTTATATAAACAAACAATGAACGATGCCCAGAAGTTTTTGAAATTCTCTAAGATACATTTTCTTAAATTTATTACTGTAAACTACTAGATTTTAAAATATCAACAAGATTGCAGTTAATACCTGATTTAAGATTTATAACATCTAATACTAGTGGACTATTTTCCTTAATATTGCCACAGTCAATCTTCTAGAGCTATTTCATAAAATATTTTTATATTTGTTAATACATTTTATTTTTAAAACTTTCTAATATTGGTATATCAGGAAACATCATTTTCATTTATAGACAAAACACTGAGGCTTTTAGAAATAAAATTTCTTAGGCAAAAAGTTAATTAGGTAGCTAACATGGACTATAAATTTCAGTTATTTTGATTTCTGATTCAATGTAATCATATTCAGTATTGAATATTTCGGAGTCTGTACTTCAAAACAATTTTCATTTCACCAATTTTGGTCATTATTTGTGTGTGTGTGTGTGTGTGTGTGCATGTGTGTGTGTGTCTTTCTGTTTGTTTTTAGGGGTTTTTTGTTTGTTTCTGAATTTTTTTTGCTTGTATATGTGTTAAAACGAAAATAAGAAAAATCAGTATTGATGAGAAAATATAAGCTTGAGAACATCAAGAGCAAACAAAAGTTTATTGTTATCATTATTATAGGGACTTGACTTTAAACGTCATTTATCCTTTTTGTTTCCTCTTTGGAACAATATGAGTAACTGTTTTCAATTTCTAAGGAGTTTCCTTGGGGTGTAAGGATATTTGTCCACTTAAGATGCAAAGTTATAAAGAACTCTAATACGAAAAGACCTCCCCATTACAGAGGAAACAGAGTAAGATAAATAAGCAGGAAATCTGAGAAAGTGTGTTTGCCCAATAATAAAAAGGAATGGGGGTTCAAATGGAAGGAGTAAAAGAAATAGAGCACATCAGCTGTGGATGTAGCCTCTAAATTTCACTACAATATCCATGTGTCCTGTAATGATTGCCTTGTTCAAAATCTGCATTTCTAGCAAATATTGACTGAACATTTTATCCTAACTTGAGAACTTTTATTAACTTTGGGAGAGAGAATTCTGAGGGCTTGATGATGATTCAATCTTAAGGAAAAATGAAGACAGTAGAGGCAAATGATCTTTGAAATCCAGGACAAGTGTGGCAGGACAAGCCACAGACAAAACCCCTCAGACACTGAGTTAAAGAAGGAAGGGCTTTATTCGGCCGGGAGCTTCAGCAAGACTCACGTCTCCAACAACTGAGCTCCCCGAGTGAGCAATTCCTGTCCCTTTTAAGGGCTCACAAATCTAAGGGGGTCCACATGAGAGGGTCGTGATCAATTGAGCAAGCAGGGGGTACGTGACCGGGGGCTGCATGCACCGGTAATTAGAACGGAACGGAACAGAACAGGACAGGGATTTTCACGGTCCTTTTCTATACAATGTCTGTAATCTATAGATAACATAACCGATTAGGTCAGGGGTCGGTCTTTAACTACCAGGCCCAGGTTGTGGCGCCAGGCTGTCTGCTTATGGATTTCATTTCTGCCTTTTAGTTTTTACTTATTCTTTCTTCGGAGGCAGAAATTTGGCATAAGACAATATGAGGGGTGGTCTCCTCCCTTACAAGAAGTTACAGAAAATCATCTCACTGAGCTCATGAAGAAATGGAAGCTGTTACTTAGAGCAGCTCCGGAAGAAAAAAAAATAACTTGCCACCTCAGAAGCAAGGGCTCCTTTCTCCCTCCCCTGGAAATCTGCTCTTGTGTTAATTCATCAACTTTCTTTCTGATTTGAACTTTCTTTCTGATTTGAACTTTCTTAGACATACGATCCATCACTCTCTATTCTCTGCTAAAATAACACATGGCTTCTTTGTAGTCTTGGCATCTTTCACTTTATTGCTTCTACCATAAACAGTATTATTATTTTTTAAGTGTATAAGGGCAAAGTGAAGGGAGAGTGGTAGTATCAAAAGAAAAATCATACAGAATAAAGTTTAAAAATTGACAAAGACTTTATTCAAGACTCTTGCAAAAATGGAACAAGTCTAGAACTCAGTCGGAGTTATACTGAATTGAAAAAGAGAGTTGTAAAGAGTTTAAGAGCTAAGGTGGGAGGAACTATAGGCCACCTGTGTTTGTTAATTGGCCTTAAACTAAAGAAAAATAAACTTTCTCTTATCTTTATGACAGGAGATAGTTTTACAGTTTGGAGCAAGGCTCTGTAGAATGCAGGCTCTTACCATCCCAGAGAAACTGGGAGATCAGGGCACTATCTGTCTTGATGATTGCATTTCAAAGGAGTGCCTCCCAGGTCCTTGAGAAACATTTCTGGGTTGTAAACCTTGCAAGAGCTTTTAAAAATATTTACATCTCAAAGAAGCAGAAAAAGAATTCACAATTACAAGTTTTCTAAAGTAAATTCTCTAAGGAAAGAGAGGTCAAGAGCCTAAAGTCAAAAAGAAGCCTGGTTAAAGTTTAGTCAAGCTGAGGTGAACATTAAGGCCATCTAGATCAGGAGGCATAATCTCTCATGGGTGTTAACCTATGTACATATGTTAGGTTTTTGATGATTTTTAATGCAGTTTTTTAACATTGCTTCAGGGTAAAAAGAATCATTTCCCTATGTAAACCCATATAACTTATTTTAGGTACTATTATGTTTCATACTATAGCACATTTCCAAGAATTATTTTTATTTTCCTCTGGGATATCAGAGTGCACACGTGGAATCTCAGGGTAAAAATGTTCTAAATTAGGTGCTAGTATAAAGTGTTGTAGGAGAGGCTCATGCATTTTGCACGCTGGAAATGCAAATACTGGAATCTACCCCTACATTATTTCTGGTTCCTGCCTGCTCATATCTCTTGGCAATTGCACCACTCTCCTGCCTCTTTCCCACATGCCTGTCTCAGATTTTAGCTATATTAGGCAAGTTGTGGTTAAAATGGTTAGTCACTAGCTAGTGACATGTGCTACTGTGGAGGAGAAATTTCACATTAAATTCCCAAATGGATCCTGAACTTTTCTGTGTCTAGGATGGCAGCCTTGGATCCAAGTAACAACGCCTAGTGTGTTATTCTGTGCAAAGCCTTGCTCGATCTGCACTAAGCATAATTATTAACTTAAGTACCTACTTGGAAGGGGTTTTGGGTTTGGCACCCTTGGTAAGTATTAGTTAATTTTCTCAGTTGCCGTTCTAAAGAGAAAGATTTTCAACATCCTTTGAGAAGAATGGACTTCCTTGAAATGAAGAATCAATTCAGGAGGTTAGAAATAGAGGAGTACAGAAGGAAAAGCAATTGTGAAATTTCTTAGAAGGAGTGGAGAATGAGACATTGGGATACAAAGGCATTATAAACGTTTATGCATACACGCATACACACGTGTACACGCACATATATATGTATACACATAAATATATCTAAATTCCTAACTTCCTAATATTAACTAATATTCCTAATATTAATAATAGGCTCTTCCTTACTTGTCATAAATAAAGCCACACTTAGACTGAGAAAATAGTACTCACTATCACCATCAGCAAGATACACTGATCATTAGGCTTATTGACCTGATTTCCAGAGTATCAAAACACAAACACGGAAACTAATATGAATATGGAGTTTGTCCAGAAAAATAAATGTGTGTCCCTAGTGTGAACATGTGTGCCTATAATCCAGTGGTTATAATGGGTGCTAATGTTTGAATGTGTCCTATGAGTTCATGTGTTGTAAAATTAATCCCCAATGCAGCATTGTTGAAAAGTGGTACCTTTCAGAGGTGATTTGGTCATGAGGGTTCTGCCTTCATGAATGGAATAATGGTCTTATCTCAGGAGTGGGTTACTTATCCAGAGAGATGGTTCTTGATAAAAGGATAAGCTCAGCCCCCCTCCTTCTTTCTCCTATGTGCTTTCTTGCCTTTCTGCCTGTTGACAAAGGATAACACAGTAAGAAGGTCCTCACCAGATGTGGGCCCCTCCACTTTACACTGCCAAGCCCCCAGAACTGTGCAAATGAATTTCTGTTCTTTACAAATTACCCAGTCTCTGGTATTCTGTTACAGCAGCACAAAATGAACTAAGGAAATGGGGTTGTATGTAGTAATCACCTGGGCAAATTTTGAATGACACACAGCAGAATGCCATTCCTACTCTATATAAGCGTTTCTTACATAATGCAGTTCATTGTATTTTCCAAAAGTTCCTCCCGCTATTATGATGCTTCCACTGGCTAAGAATTACTGGTTTGAGTTAGCTATTTCTATAAATACTGAAGTAAAAATTTGTCAAGTGGATACTATTCAGTGTTCATTATGGCAAGAAACCATATGAAGGCTTTTTTCTCTTGAAGTATTCCCTCGATGTTCATACATTGTGAATCAAAACAAGATATACTCATCCAAAATACCATCAAGTTATCATAAGCCACATCAACCAAGCTTAAAAAATGTCTTCACAGTAATTTGGAATCATAATCCCATTGTAATATTTTTTATAGAAAACTACTACTGTCATATTTTTTACGGAAAAAAAATCCAGAATTGATAACCAAAATCTAAATTAGGTGATTATAAATCACAGCTCTTAACAAGAATTTTATAATGTACACGCAATGGATCATCTAGGAAAACATATTCTTATAAAAACCTATGAAACAAATGCATTTATTTTACCAGGGGATAATTTTAAATTGGTTTAATTTTGTAAAGTCCAGAAATAACTATGTATTAATTTAAAGTAAAATTAATTGCCTAGAGGCCAATGTTCCTCTATTGAAACAAACTCAGGGATAACAAATGATTAATATGCGAGATAAATAATTCATACATTTACTTAAACATTTATTAAGCACCTACCAAGTACAGATTGCTAAGTAAAATTGTGTTAAAACCCATTTCCTATAAAAGATTTTGTATCCTCTGCCTTCAAGAGTTATATTCTAGTAAATAAACATGTTTTCAAATTTTAACATCACTATAGTTTATGATATAGATAATATTATCAAGTGCAAAGAAAATACATATTTAACACAGAAGAGTTGTTTTACATACACTTTCAGTGAAAAAGTAATCATGAGAAACTTGACAAAATTAAAATAAATTTTGTATTTTATTATAGAGGTAGAAAGTTAAAAAATTAAATATATAATTTATATTAATTTACATTAAATTCTATTAATTACAATTTATATTTATAAAACTGATACAGCTAAAAATTAGTTCCAAGTTTTCATTGAAAAAATGGTATTAGAAGCATTTACAATATTTTTAGCAAGAATAGTACATACTAGTGGAAAATAACTAACCTAGGAATTTACTATGAAAATGCAATACAGGTTGCCATGTAACTATTTATATGTAACTATTTACATAGACTGAGTTTGCAGCAGCAGATAGAGATTTTAAAAAGAATGAATCCCCAGTTATCTCTGATTCAAGGAATTGTCAGAATTTTACATATTAAAACAAACCACCTCCAAAATGTTTTATCTGTAAAAAATGTTCTAAACAATCTTCAATCATCTCATTTTTCTCAATACTGATCAATTATTATGATTCTGCAAATTTGAGTGACTCTCAATGAATACACTTGGGATATTCAGTGTCTGTCAGTTCAAACTTGCCTGTTCCCTGCTTTGTTTTTCTGGGCTAAATCTGCATAAATGGCTCAAGGGGTTGTGCATTAGAAACTTATATTTTATGGGAAAAAAACACATATTCTATAATTTTTATTTAAAAATAAAAATATCTTCAAAAAACAATCATTTCCTTTATTAAAGATAATAGATTTTCAGTGTTGTTGCTCAAAGAAAAGAATTGCCATATAATACTGATATTGCAATTTGAGTGACATCTCAAATTACTTCCATAAATTTCAATCTAAATAGAAGCATCAGGCCGAGGAGTCCTCAAAATTAATTATGCCATAAGAGGTACCCTTGAAATCTGTATATAAAGAGGGTGCATTTTCTAAAACAGAAATGTTGGTTGAGAAAGGTAAAATTGAAAGGAAAAGTATAAGAACATAGATTTCACCTATTTCAGAAATACCTGCTAGCTAGAGTAGTCTCAAGAAAAGACACAATAATGAGGTGAAAAGAAAGCTACTACAGTCAGCAAAATTAATACAGCTTGGAAATTAAAGATAATATAACTGAAAATTTCAAACTTGGCATTTTCTCAATGCTGAATCTTAGTAGTGAGAATTATAAATATATGCCAAGGATGTTAAGTGCTTTTAGAAATCAAAGTTTATGCAAAGTCTTCCAAGGTTAGGCAGAAATTTTTTATTATCAGTGAAAAGTTTCCTGAAATAGATGCCAATGTTTGAAATCTAACTGAGATGAAAGAGAGAAATTAAACTGCAATAGAGAAATCAGGATTTTAAGAAAAACACAGAAAATTTAGCTAATCCTCCTAGGTCAGTGGCATTTATTTAGGCCCCTAACATAGAACGTCTGGCTTCTCTAACCAGTTTTCTAAAATAACTATCAGACTCTCCTCTTGAGTCTTTTCTGTGACTGTTTTCTTCCTTTCTTGTACTGTAATTTATCTTGCACATGATCTCTGCACATGATCTCTGAATTAATGTCCCTTAGGTCCTTTCATTCTGTTAGTGTTCAAAAAATCTACAACAGCTCCCAGTTGTCTTCCTAAGCAGATTTAAATTTTATTCTGTCTTTTCTTTTCTTTTTTTTTTTCATTTCTCTGCATTATTTTTATCTCCCACTTAGACAAGGCTATTTTCCACTACTCCCAAGTATGGACTTTTCTCTAGAGTTCATATTGTCATTCTGTGTACAATGTACTTGCCTATTATAACATTTCTCAACCGGCTTCCTTGCTGAAACCCATCTTCTCTCCTTCATAAGCTGAAATTCTTCCTATCCATTCTTTAAGCTTCATCTTAAATTCTACTTATTGACACTTTTCATGTTTATTTTTTATAGTGTTTGGCAGTTATACTATTTGCTCTGAGTAATTTATAATGTAGGTGTTTATCGTCTTGTTTTTCACTAACTTTTGTTCATTGAATCTTAAAACATACATAAGACAGTAAGCTACTGAATGACATGAATTACATCTTATGTTTTTATACTATAGAATAGACAGTACATAGATGAAGGTATTTTGCCTCATTTAATAAAAGTGCAATTCAAGAAGTATTATTAAAATACATGTTGTACAATGAAGGATAACAAATTAGAAATAAGTGAAGGAATTGAGAATAAAGGCAATGTGGTAGTTTTCTAGGTGACTTAAAAACAATAGAAATTGGCTGGGCATAGTGGTTCTTGCCTGTAATCCTAGCACTTTGGGAGTGCTAGAATAGCATTGGAAAGACCTCCATGATTCAGTTACCTCCCCAGGGTCCCTCCCACAACATGTGGCAGTGGTGCATGCCTGTAATCACAGCTACTGGGGAGGCTGAGGCAGGAGAATCATTTGAATCCAGGAGGCAGAGGTTGTGTGAGCCGAGATCACACCACTGTACTCCAGCCTGGGCAACAGAGCTGGACTTCGTCTCAAAAACAAAAAAATATAAATTTATTGACCCGTGATCTGTTTGACTAAAACACCAGGTAACTATTTCACCTGCCAACATTATTATTTCCTACAATACAGATAATTTATGTTTTTGTTTTCCCATATATTTTCTGAACCTATCTTGCCCTACTCCATATGGAGATCAGGCCCATGGGGGTGGCTGGTTGGGGGTAAGAGGGAAGATAACCAACAAATTGTTTTTCCTAGGCTTCTGGGCTAATTGAATTTAGTTTAGTCATCCTTTTATTATTTCCTGACTTCCATTTTCCATTAAGATCTCAGCTGTCAGTTATATATCTTTTTCATTAAATGTTATACATCATTTTTCCCCTCCAGCTTCTTTTAATATCATCACTTGGTCTTTGATTTTCAGCTATTTGATTATAATACACCTAGGTATTTTTTTCTTTGTATTTTTCCTACTTCAATTCTCTGGCAATATCTTTCAACTGACATGGGAAGTCATTCACCATGATTTTTTCCAGTTTTCTTTTTTTTTTTTCTAACTGTCTGCATTCTCCTCTGAGAACCCGCCCCCGCCCCACCCCCCACCGCCTATTTTTTTTTTTTACCATGTTCTGCATATCTCTTATGCTTTGTGTGTTTTATGTGTCTACTCTTTTTTCTCTCTCTGTTTTAGTTTCTGTATTTTTCTAATACTGTATTTCTGAGTTCAATGCATGTTCTAGGCAATGTATGGTTCTACTATTTATCACATTGATGAGACCCACTTAACTCTTCTTTGTATAAAATATATAAACATTCTATTAATATTCTCCATCTATTTAATCCCCATTGTTTTCCCTTTTCTCTTTTTCTACTGTGTATAAATATCTGTGTTTTGAAGTCCTTATAGAACAGCTACAATAATTATATCATATCTGGGCCTGCTCTGTTTACAGACTACTGTATCTCTTTATTACATATAATTCATTACTATTAGGTCATATGACTGTTGATTTTATATCTTATCTCACCTATTGGGTATGATACGTTGTAGAGACACTGGATTATGTTGCCTTCTACATCTCCTAGGCATATTTGTAGGGCATGGATCTTAACCCTAGGATCTTTTTCTTCATTTTACAGCATGGTTTTCCTTTTACCAGAAGCCCTGGGTTTCACTAAAATAGCTTATTTTTTTACTGAGCTTGAATTCCAGTATCTTTGTAGGGTTTTGCATCTACTAGAAGGAAAGTAACTAGAAAAGAAGAATATGACATATTTATTGCTTATCAAACATCATCCAAACTAGTGAGCCAAATATACAGTATTTTATAGAGTTTTGTGGCTCCTTCTTCATAACAATTTTCTCTTGGACTCCTGAAACTCAAGTCAGAATGGCAGCAATGAATACAATTTCATTTTTTTCTAGCCAGTGATTGTATTAGTCTGTTTTCACACTACTGATAAAGACATATCCAAGATGGGGAAGAAAAAGAGGTTTAATTGGACTTACAGTTCCACATGGCTGGGGCATTATGGTAGGAGGTGAAAGGCACTTCTTACATGACAGTGCCAAGAGAAAAATGAGGAAGAAGCAAATGCAGAAACCCTTGATGAACCCATCAGATCTCATGACACTTATTAACTATCATGAAAATAGCAGGGGAAATACCAGCCCCCATGATTCAATTACCACCCCACAGGTCCCTCCAACAACACGTGGGAATTCTGAGAGATACAATTCAAGTTGAGATTTAGGTGGGGGGACAGCCAAACCATAACATTCTGCCCCTGGCCTCTCTCAATCTCATGACCTTACATTTCAAAACCAATCATGCCTTTCCAACAGTCCACCGAAGTCTTAACTCATTTCAGCATTAACCCAAAAGTCCACAGTCCAAAGCCTCATCTGACACAAGGCAAGTCCCTTCTGCCTATGAGCCTTTAAATACAAAAGCAAGCTAGTTACATCCTAGATACAATAAGGGTACAGGTATTGGGTGAATACAGTGATTTTAAATGGGAGAAATTGGCCAAAACAAAGGGGTTACAGGGCCAATGCAAGTCCAAAATTCAGCAGGGCAGTCAAAATTTTAAAGCTCCAAAACAATCTCCTTTGACTCCATGTCTCACATCCAGGTCACATTGATGCAAGAGGTGGGTTCCCATGGTTTTGGGTAGCTCCGCCTCTGTGATTTGGAGGGTACAGCCTACCTCCCAGCTGCTTTCATGGGCTGGTATTAAATATCTGCAGCTTTTCCAGGTGCACAGTGCAAGCTGTCAGTGGATCTACCATTCTGGGGTAGGCCTTCTTCTCACAACTCCACTAGGTAGTGCCCCAGTAGGGACTCTGTGTGGGGGCTCCAATCCCACATTTCCTTTCTGCACTGCCCTAGCAGAGGTTTTATATGAGGGCACCACCCCTGTAGCAAACTTTTGCCTGGGCATCCAGGCATTTACATAAATCTTCAGAAATCTAAGTGGAGGTTCCCAAACTTCAATTCTTGACTTCTATGTACTTGCAGGCTCAACACTACATGGAAGGTGCCTGAGTGTGGGGCTTCCACCCTCTGAAGCTGCAGCCTGAGCTGTCTGTTGGCCCCTTTCAGCCATGGCTGGAGCAGCTGGGACTAAGAGCACAAAGTCCTTAGGCTGCACACAGCACGGGGACCCTGGGCCTGGCCCATGAAACCACTTTTTCTTCCTGGGCCTCTGGGCCTGTGATGGGACGGGCTGCCATGAAGGTCTCTGACAGGTCCTGGAGACATTTTCCCAGTGGTCTTGGGGATTAACATTAGGCTCCTTGATATTTATGCAAATTTCTGCAGCTGGCTTTAATTTATCCCCAGAAAATGGGTTTTTCTTTTTTATCACAGTCAGGCTGCAAATTTTCCAAACTTTTATGCTCTTCTTCCCTTATAAAACTGAATGCCTTTAACAGAACCCAAGTCACCTCTTGATTGTTTTGCTGCTTAGAAATTTCTCCTGACACATACCCTAAATCACCTCTCTCAAGTTCAGAATTCCACAAATCTCTATGGCAGGGGCAAAATGCTGTCAATCTCTTTGCTAAAACATAACAAGAGTCACCTTCACTCCAGTTCTCAAGAAGTTCTTCATCTCCATCTGAGACCACCTCAGCCTGGACCTTATTGTCCATATCACTATCAATGGTTTAGGCATAGCTATTCCAAAAGTCCCTAGGAAGTTCCAAATTTTCCCACAATTTGTGGTCTTCTTCTGAACCTTTGAAACTGTTCCAACCTTTGCCTGTTACCTAGTTCTAAGTCGCTTCCACATTATCAGGTATCTTTTCAGCAACCCCCCACTCCTGGTACCTATTCACGGTGTTAGTCCATTTTCACACTGCTGATAAAGACATACCTGAGACTGGGAAGAAAAAAAGCTTAATTGGACATACAATTCCACATGGCTGGGGAGGCCTCAGAATCAAGGCAGGCAGCAAAAAGCACTTCTTACATGGTGGTGGCAAGAAAAAATGAGGAAGAAGCATAAGCAGAAACCCCTGATAAATCCATAAGATCTTCTGAGACTTACTATCATAAGAATAGCATGGGAAAGACCTCCATGATTCAGTTACCTCCCCAGGGTCCCTCCCACAACATGTGGCAATTCTGGGAGATACAATTCAAGTTGAGATTTGGGCGGGGACACAGCCAAACCATATCAGTGATATTGCCATTTTCTGTTTGAATTCTATTTACCTGCACTGTGATTTTGGAAGTGCTCCTAGACAGAAAGAAAGCCAGAGTGCAAGACTGATAGTTCACTTTATGTGCTTCTCTTCTCTCAAGGACTCTCAACTGCATTAATTTCCCAGTGCCTGTTTGAAGTGTTTACATAAGCTTTCTATTGTTGTTGTTGTCATTATTATTATTATTACTTAGTTACTAAGTGGATAGAATAAGTAAAATAGCATCTGCATGGACAGTGCTGGGGTGTGCTTTTCTTGTAACTCCAAAATTTCATGGGACAGATGTTTCCTTGAAGAGAAGTTGAATATTGTCTAAATGTAATGCAGTCAAATCTGTGCATGGAATGAAAGTGAAATTTACAAACTAGGAGGAAAAAATATGGTATAGGTATTTATTGCTTATGAAACATCACCCATATTTTCTAATTTCTTGCTGATATGGTTTGGCTGTGTCCCCACCCAAATCTCACCTTGAATTGTAATAATCCTCACATGTCAAGGGCTGGGCCATATGGAGATAATTAAATCATGGGGGCAGTTTTCCCCATACTGTTCTTGTGGTAGTGACTAAGTCTCACGAGATCTGCTGGTTTTATAAATGGGAGTGCCTCTGCACAAGCTCTCTTGCCTGCTACCATGTAAGATGTGAATTTGCTCCTTATTCACCTTCCGCCATAATTCTGAGGCCTCCCCAGCCACGTGGAACTGTGAGTCAATTAAACCTCTTTCCTTTATAAGTTACCCAATTTCGGGTATGTTTTTAATAGCAGTGTGAGAACAGACTAACATACTTGCTTTGGGATTTGTGCCAATCCTGGCAAAGAGATATGAGCAGAAATAATATAATAAAATATATGAGCAAAAATAATATAATAAAAGTCTCTGTAAAATTCTCATAAGAACTCTTCCCTTTGAAGCTCTTGATATGACAAGAAAATTCTTGAGTCACTAGTTAGCAGAAATCAACCAAGCAGCATTGGACTACATGTGAATAAAAACCATTCTTTTTTTTTTTTTAAATTGAGATATAATTAATCATTTTAAAGTATACAACTCAGTGATTTTTTTTAGAAATATGTTAACAACTTGTACATCTAGATGGATGGTGTACAAAAGAGTGGTTTGTCATATATTTTTACTTTTCTGTGGGTTTGTAAATTTTTTTTATTATACTGTAAGTTCTGGGATACATGTGCAGAATGTGCAGGTTTGTGATATAGGTATACACGTTCCATGGTGGTTTGTTGCACTCATCAACCTGTCAACTACATTAGGCATTTCTCCTAATGCTATGCCTCCCCCAGCCCCCCACCCCCCAACAGGCCCCAGTGCATGATGTTCCCCTCCCTGTGTCCACGTGTTGTCATTGTTCAACTCCCACTTATGAGTGAGAACATGCAATTTTTGGTTTTCTGATCCTGTGTTAGTTTGCTAAGAATGATGGTTTCCAGCTTCATCCATGTCCCTGCAAAGGACATGAACTAATCCCTTTTTAATGGCTGCATAGTATTCCATGATATATATGTGCCACATCTTCTTTACCCAGTCTACCATTGATGGGCGTTTGGGTTGGTTCTAAGTCTTTACTATTGTGAATAGTGCTGCAATAAACTTATGTGTGCATATGTCATTATAGTAGAATGATTTATAATCCTTTGGGTATATACCCAGTAATGGGATGGCTGGGTCAAATGGTATTACTGGTTCTATATCCTTGAGGAACTGCTACACTGTCTTCCACAATGGTTGAACTAATTTACACGCCACCAACAGTGTAAAAGTGTTATTTCTCCACATCCTCTCCAGCATCTGTTGTTTCCCGAATTTTTAATGATTGGCATTCCAACTGGTGTGAGATGGTATCTCATTGTGATTTTGATTTACATTTTTCTAATGACCAATGATGATGAGCTTTTTTTAATATGTGTGTTGGCCACATAAATGTCTTCTTTTGAGAAGTGTATGTTCATATCCTTCACCCACTTTTTGATGGGGTTGTTTGAAAAACCATTTTTTTACTGTGTTTTATCACTGAGATTTCAAGATTTATTTTGGAAACACAGCACATTCATGAGAGTACCATAATTAATGCAGAAACTCTGGATAAATTCTGGATACAGTTATTTCAATTATTAAGCATATTTTCTCACTAGATTCAGAAAGGCCTGACCAAAGGAGAAAAGAATAATGGTTGTTTGTTTTCTTTTTTAATAAAAAAAACAGTAACCAAAAAAATACTGTTTGTGGAGCAGCAGTGCGTTTAAGTCTTTCTGAGTTTCCCAAGAAAATAGACACCAGGAATAATATGTTAAGAAAGAAACAAGTAAATAAGTAAAACATCAAAATTATTTTGAACAAATGTAGGTAAAAAGGTAGCATTAAAAAGTTCCAAATTCCATTGATCTGTGCCAAACTACCAACATAAACAACACCTTTGTATATAATTAACAGCATGTGAGAAACTAGAAAGAAGTTAAAATAATTTCTGGCAGCTCTGATGTTGGTATACCCAGAAACTGCTAAAAATGATTCATTCAGAAAGCAAGAGAAGACACTCTTGAGTAGAAGTCAGATGGAACAATCTGAGGAAAATAGCTAAACAACAGCAGAGGAGGCTTTGCTCTCTCCATTTCAAGGTGGGTTTGAGGGAAGTCAAGAGTGTTAGTGCTGAGATTGTCTGGGTGTCATGGAAGTTTGAAATCAACCAGCCAGAGAAGGTTTCTTCAAGGAGAAAGCCCATGCTAAAGAGAAACTGTTGGGAATAGAATACAAATTCAGCAAGAAAAAAATTCTAACAGGAAGAGAGAAACATAGAAAGAGAGACAGAAAATATTGATTACAATGAAGAAGGGGGAAAAAAAGAAGGTTCTCAAATAGTACTTGAACTAACTTGTTGATGCTTCACTATAGAAAGCTCTGGAGTCATAAAGCTATGAAAGTTATTCTGGCAGATTCGCATACTGGGTAATTTAATTTGAAAAATACTTAAAAAAACCCCATCTCGTGTAAATATTTATAATACAATAGGATGTAGATGAATTCCATACAAACTCAATCCAGGTAAAAAGAAAATTGTGAGCAAAATAAACTATTTTCAAACAGCAAAGACATACCAAAATAACATGACCTTCCGACTTAACATTTTTTTTGGTGGGAAGACTAGCTTAATATTTCAAAATAAGCAAGGAAATTAATTTATGAAAAAAGAATAAATGAGAACTAGAAAAAAAATTTTTAAATTATGTCAGTAAGGAACTTCTGAACTCTCTCAGAGTTGAGAAATGATTTAGAAATAAATTTCAAAAGTGAAGACAAAACTAAATAGAAAATGAAAATTAATACATATTCTAAATAATATGGTAAAAGAAATAGGCAGTAGAAAATAGAAAAAATGAAATTAAAATCAAGCAAAAATAAAGAAAGACGTAAATGAGGGAGGAATTGAAAGAAAAAAAGATAGGGAAAGTAGTTCTAATACATGTATTAAAAGACAAAATGAAAACAAAAGCGAGAGCTAAGAATAAATATTAAAAACTGCAATTCAATAAATTTTTTTCCGAAATAAGATAAGAATTATGTCTTCCTATTGAAAAGGAATACCATGCCTCTGAAAAACTTTTCCCAGGCATCCAAAGCCAACACATATTATGGTAAAATGATTTGACTTAAGCTTCAAATGATTTCACAAGTGAATTACTTTAAAGAACTTTAAAGATAATCCTAGTACAACTTCAACAATTTTAAAGCATAAATAAAAGGAACAAACTTCAAAAATTCTTGTGATGAGGTGAATGTAACATTGATTATAAAACCTGATAAAAATTGCACAAAAGAGGAAACTGTAAAACAATTTTTCATGTGAATATTAATAAAAAATTTCAATTTGTAAATGTAATATAATTGCAATATAAACACCATTTTTGAGCTAGAAAAGTTTATTGCAAAGCTCATGTGAATGGACAAACAAACAAGAATAGAGTGATTATAAAAATTGTGAAAAGGGTATATGCCAGCCATGTCCTATATGAAATGTATTATGTATCTCTATCATTAAGACAGTAAGATATTATACCATGAATGGGCCAGAATAGCACATCTGGAAATGGACACATTTGCAAATATAAATTTAGTATATCATAAAGGTTGCATCAGAAATCGGTGAATAAATATGTACTTTATAATAAGTGGTATTGGGATAATGGCATAGTTATATGAAGAAAACAGAATTATTTTCTTACTGCATATACAAATATTAGAAGAAACATGTATGGATTCATCTATAAATCTAAAAGTAGGTAAAATAGTCTTACCTGTGACTCACAATATAGAAGCAATAAAAGAGTTAATTTTAGTTAGGTAACTTGTCAAAAATATCTATGACAAATAAATATTATGATCAACAATGACAAATGACAAAATAGTGAAACATATTTGTAACAAAAATGTTTAAAGTCCATCAAGAATCATTAAATAGGATTTTATAATACAGTAATTTTGTAATACAGACAATTTAGATACATCCTAAGGACAAAAAGAAATGCAAGGTGTTGCTTTAGCAGCACATATACAAAAATTAGAATGATACAGAGATTAGCATGATGCCTGACCAATAAGGACATGCAAATTGTGAAATGTTTTATATTTTTCTGTACACTTAAAAATGGTTAAAGTGGTAAATTTTATGTTGTATATATTTTGCCATACTTAAATACATATAAATATGAAAAATTTTTAAAATGGTATGGGAAATAAAAAAGTGTCAGGCAAGGACATCTTCGAATGTTTTCAGTAATCATAATTTCAGTAATAATAATGGTATTGGTTTCACTATAAGTTTATATTGATACTAAAAAAGTAAAATGACAAACTATATCAGTCACAGTAATAACAATGAGAATAAAAACCAGACATGATCATCCATTGATGTGACACAGCTGAAAGCTTACAACTCCTCCTATGAAGTGTTCTTATTAAAAAGTAGGACATAAATTATTAGATTAACACTGTAGTTTTTCACAGGAAATAAAGAGGTCTGCAGACCATCTTAAGTGTCACAAAAGGTTACAATACACAATGAGCAAAATCAATTAGCAAAATCTTAAATATGCCAAATTATATAGAGTCAATGCCATGAGTTTCTTTATTGAATAAATTGTAAAAAAATAAAATAAAACTATACCAATTTACTGCAATGTGTATACTCTCCTGATTCAAACAAACTGACTCTAATTTAAAAATACTGTGAGATATTGGAGGACTTGTGAACACTGCACTTCTTATAACATTAAAGAATCATAGCTATCTACCTTAGGAATAATAAAAATATGGAAATAACTATTTTTAAAGTTTCTTACAGATACATACTGAAGGATCTGTAAATGCAATAATATGTTATCTACATTGGACTAAAGAAATACCTAGGGTTGGGTATGGGATGAAGAGTAGATATAGACTTAGAGCAAAATATATTCACTGTGTTGAAACTGAATATTGGATTCATAAAGATTCATTTTTCTGCCTAGTGTTTCCCAGCTTCCTGTCTGTATCATTATTTAGAACTTTCTTTTGAGATTGGCTGCACTAGGTTAATCTTGGGTAGCCTTATGTGTCCGAGGTCAGCATGTGTATACATATGGGGGCAGGCAGAACTAACTGGTCTGGGTGACCTTGCCTGAGATGGTTCTTTTACATGTGTTTTTTCATTCATACCAATATGTTTCACTTGATAATCTCACGGTTTCCAGAGAGAGTAGAAAAGTCTTGGGTGTCTTGGGTGTCTTGGGTCTAGCTTCTGATCTTACACAACATCAATCCTGCTCGATTTTATAGGACATAGTAAATTATAAGGATGAGCACCAATTCAACAGAAAGGATATACTTTCTTGTTATAGGAAATGAAATGATTTTGAAGTCTACATAGCGAGTGAATAAATATGTCATCAGCCTGTATCCTATCACCTAAACTTCTAACATTTCCTGCCATTTTCTTCATACACTATAATAATATGTATATATTCTTCATATATATAATATATATTTACACACACATACACATACATACACACACAATCAATCTTGACAAGTTATAATTCAAAGGCTATAGAATAAACTCTTAAACTTGGGTTATGTAATAAATTTAGTCAGTGTTGACAACTAACTTGTGTAATTAGTCCAAATTAAGAGCTTTTACTTACAGTTTCTGAGGTATTGCAAAAAGAAAAAGGTATTTTGTACAAAATGCTTTAGATTGTGAATAAATTGTTTTAGCCTAAAAGTAAATTTTAAGAAAAAGTTGTTTTATGAAAGTGAGCCTCAAAAGTATATGGAATAGCATTTATTCTGAGTGAAAAAAAATTATAAAAGTTCCTTTGCCATAAGCAATTTGTGTGACCATGGATATTTCTAAAATATAAAGTTATTTTTTTATTAGATAACATGTAACAGGTAAAATAAAATCACATGCTTATATAGTGCTCACTGTAGGCTAAAAAATATCCTAAGTAATTTACATATGTTATATATTTTAATCCTTATAACACTACTATTGGTAGGTCTAATAACCTCTATTTTACATATAAGAAAATAGTGGCGCAGAGATGTTAATAACTCTTTAAGGTAACATATATTATGAGATAGAGCCAGGATTTGAACTCAGGCAGTCTAGCTCCAGAGTAAAAGCCTGTTTTGGCAGAGACTGAGATGAAGCTTTATTTGGGAATATTGTCCAGGGTACAAAATTGTGCGAGGGTACTGAGTCTAGAATTCTACCAGTATCTCGGTAGGTCACTGGCTTTGATACGATAATAAAATCAGGTATTCCTTCCTTTAGGGGAAGGCATTTTATTCATTGTCCTGTCTCCCAGCTCTCATCAGCCAAGGGTAGCCTGAAGGATGTTAAAATCCTTACATTTCTGGATGGCTCATGAATGTATCTCAGTAGTTTCACTTAGGCATCACAAATATTAGAGGCACTTGAAATGGTCCCTAACAAGACAAGATGAGGTTGCATTTAAGTAAAACTAAAACCTGTGTTCATCTAGTTAACTTTTCTAGACAGTAGGATCTTGAAATGAGGCATAGACAGAAACAAGGTTCTAAATTTCCTTTAAATTTAGAACATAAAAAAGGTGATCTAAAATAATAGCTATGTTGTCAATGTATTTTCATGAGATTAATTTAAAATAAAAGCTATGAGATGTGTTGAATGCATAAATCATATTGATTATTAAATGTAAATAAATACATAGTTATTTTCTCCTAGTCTTTTCTGAATCTCTTATTCAATATGCAAATGACTTGGGACTAAAACTAATCATGAAATATATTACTTTCCTTATGAGAACTATAAATCAAAGAGGGAAGACTGCTCCTTATCAAAAAAAAAAAAAAAGAAAAGAAAGGTGCATGGAGGGAGCATGTACTGCCTTTAGGCTAATTGGTTCAGACTCCAGAAATGTAGTACGCCATACCTTATCTCCAGTTAGAGATAAGAGATATTTTAATATCCAAAGCCTTATCGTATTACCTTCTAAAATGCAAATAGATAAAGGTTATTATTAAATAAAAGAAAATTGACTGCGTCCTCCTCTTCTACATAGAAGGAGGACATTTTGTGAAGAACGTGTAGAGATTAATTAGACATATAAAGGGTTACTCTCTCTTTCAGCATATAGACATACATTATATATAGAAATGTATTCTATCAAAGGAAAGAGGCCAGGTTTTCTGTCCTTCAGAGCGTACTAAGTGTTTGGAGGAACAGATCTGAACAGACCTGAACAATAGCTAAGATAGACAACCTTCTTCAATAACTCAAGCTGCCTCCACAATGGATTCAAAGTGCCTTCAACCTTAGGCACATTAAACATCCCTGGATGCAACAGCCTGTTTTAAAGAAGGCAGAAATTTTTTAATTGTGGTTTGGCTTACCCTCAAGTTAAGTTAGTGAATCTTAGAAGAATGAGAATAAAATATCAGGCTTTCTTTCTAGGTCAAAGTGAAGCTACAGAAAAATAGTAGCTATGATTTAAAAATGCTCTCTTTGTGCTTGGTTGATACTGCCTGGAAAATAATTGCTTGAAGAAGAGGAAAAACATTTAAAAGTTAATCAAACTATTTATGAAAACTCCTTTTGTTTTTAAAAAGGACAAATAACAATATAGGAGAATGGCTTCATTAAATTTATCAATCAACAAGCTAAAAGGCCAGCTGTGGTCCTTGCACTGCATGCCAAAAGGCATTCAAAAGTATCAAATGACATTATGTTTTCAGTATTAGTGTAATCTGAATTTAGTCCTAGCTACATTCATTTGAGATAGTGTTCCCATGTTTCCTTACATACCTTTTTCTTTCTCTCTAATTATCTTTCCAGGTTGTTTTCTTAGAGGGGAATATATTTCTGATGAAAATTAATTTTCAACAATAAAATATTATGTGTGCATTTTTATTTTCAAATTTAACATTAAGAAACTCACTAAAAAAGAAAAAAAGGCTTTAGAAATTTGCTGTGTTTTCCTCAAATTAAGCTTCAGTTAAAACCATCGCTCCATTTGTGAGTATGTTATTAACAATAAATGAAATTGATAGCAATGCCTTGTTCCATCATGAGACTTCTGCTTAGGGTTTGTTAGCTCTTCAATGCATTTGTATTTAGAAACAATTTTTAAATATTGTGCTTCAGATAGCACAAATGTGCTATAAGACTTTAGTAATAAATGGTGAGTTTAAATGTTGAAAACAAAGTGTGTATCTTCTTAGCTGTCATGAAGGAATTATGTGAATATCATAATTACATGATTGCTTATAACACTTTTAAGGAAATCTGAAGATATAATATTTATTTTCCAAACATTTTTGTAGTGAAAATATTTAACACTTTAAAAAGTGGAGAGTAGTATAATGAACCCTTATAAAGCCATCACCCAAGCTCAAAATTAGCCAACTTGTGGTGAATCATTTAAAATCTATACTCCCCCAACTTCTACTACTGTATTATTTTGAAGTAAAATTGATACATATTATATCATTCATAATTATTATAGTCAATAATATAATTTTAAATGTCATCTCTTTCATAGACTTTGAGAATCCCAACAGAATTCATAGAATTTTCTAGGCACTTAAACAATTTAATGAATATAAATATCTGGGATAATTTCTGGTATGATAAAAGATTAAAATATTTTCAAATTGAGCAATGTTATCAATGAGTATCTTTAATACGTTAATAATATATAATTATGTTGTGTGCATAATCAAAACATTATATTTGGTTGACTCACAAATATAAGTTGCTTTGACAAAGAAGAAGAGATATATTACATTTATATTGTAACTTCTGCTCAAGATGTCAGACGAAACCCATATAAGACGTCATTCTTGATTCTCACACACAGAAATGCTGTATTAAATATATTGAACATAGATATTTGGGGATTTAAGCACCTATGTTGGGAGTAATTGGATGTAGTCAGTGCTATCCTTAGTGAAATACTCTAATTTTCTTTTTTTTTGCATAAATCAGAAAGTATGGACAAAAATAATCTACAAAAAGGAGACAAACTAAAGTGAGTTAGCAATCCCAAGTCCAACTGGCAAGAAAATGTTACTTAAAAAAAATGAGAAAACCAAGTATTATACATGAAGATGTACTGGGACCCACATGAACTAATAGGGACAGTAGGCAGAGAAATTCTAGGCAGAAAAGGGCAGGGTGCCCGGTGAGGGCCCCCGCCCTCAAGCCTGGAACTGTAGCCCAAAGTGAAAACTTTACATCCCTCTTTTCCCACTCGAATGTTGCCTTTTCCAAAATTACCTTGGCCCACTCCATCCTCCATCCTGTACCCATAGAAACCCCAGGCTCCACTGGCAGAGAGCAGAGAAGAAGAGAAGAGAAGCAGCAGCTGAACATTGGAGAGAAGAAGCTTGACTTCAGAGAGATAGCTTGATGGTGGGACTTTGGAGAAGAGCCTGGCCAGAGATGGCTGGACTTCAGGGGAAGAACACCTTCCCGCTCCATCCTCTTTCCAGCTCCTCTTCCCACGGAGAGCCACTTCCATCAGCAATAAAATCCCCTGTGTTTACTATCCTTCATTTCGTTTGTGCAACTTGATTTTTCCTGGTTGCTGGACAAGAGCTCGAGATACCGAAGGCTGTCACGCTGACCCTCTGCCCTCACTAAAAGGCCACTGAGCTGTTAAACACTTAAGCTATCTGTGGATGGCAAAGCTAAAACAGCACTGCCTATAATACTCCTTTTGGTGTTTTGAGGAGTCATATGTACTCCCATAGATGCTGCCACGGGGCCTGCATGAAGTTTTGCTCCTGTTGCCACCCAGAATCACTCGCCCCAGCTCCTGCACCCACTCAGCTGTGTTCGCCCTCCTGCGAGGAGTAGAGTGTGGTGGGTCCGAGCTAGTGAAGCCGGCTGAAGCAACCGGCTAGCTCCAGTGCCTGCATTTCAGTTTCTGCCTGCAAAGCAGTCAGGAAAATTGTCCTGCTTCAAAACTAAACGTATGGATATTAAACCCAGGCTGAGGTAACTCCATGTGACTGGCTAAAAAAAACAAAAACAAAAAAAATTTATTTAAAGATAATTGCTTAATCTAGATCACAGGTATATCTGAGATTTTCATGGATGAAAATTCCTACTGATTTGATATCCATAGGCAATTTTTTTTAAACACGTGACACAATTCACCTATGTGTGGTAACATTATGAGAAAACAGCTGAAAATTCAGATTATGAAGACTTTATTCTTAAAACATGTGAAATAAATAAATAAATAAATAAATAATTGGACTACATGAGCTGATACTCATGTAGTTGGTGTTGGAACATCAGTTGTGAAATATCAGTTGTGAACAATAATCTTGTGTAGCGTTTGGGGAAAGCTCCACTGGAAAAATCTCAACACATTTCTTTAGGTTTACAAAGAAAGGCCATGGCATCTACAGAGAATAATTATACGCCATTTGAAAACCAATTCCTGAATTTCTATTAGGCTCTGATAAAGATGGAATTCCTTAGTATTAGACACTAGTTGCCCGTGTATCCAGAACTGCTCATTATGACCTCAGCACTTTCAGAACTTCAAAGACTTAGTGCTCAGGGGATATAAAAATAATGCATTGTATGCCGGAAGGGATAAATCTGGGGCTGAGTACAAGCAAAACAAGACCAAAGGAAGCTACCTGAGCAGGTATTCCAGATACTCATGTCATACACCAAGGTTGTACCAGTGCCCCTTTCTCTGTGACACATCCATCCACTGGAAACTTTCGTACAACTAGCTGAAAGAAGAGAAACATCCTATTTCATGGTATGTGGTTGTAGAGCAGAAGCAACTTAGAAAAACAGTGGAGAGGGAACATTGTCCCAGAGGGCAGAGCTTCTGGCAGTGTACTTGGTTGTTCACTTTGTGTGAAAAGAAATATAGTCCCAAATTAGAATATATATGGACAAATTGACAGAAGCAAATGGCCTGGCCAGTTGTTGAAAGGACTGGAAAAGAAGCATTTGGAAAATCTGGGACAAAGAGGGTTACAGTAGGAGGATGTGCATGGTTATACTTGAGTTGGTATGAAGTGTGAAGATTTTTGTATTACAGGTAAATTTCTACCAAAACATGTCCACTATGGTAGAGTCCCACCCATCACACACACACAGACACACACACACACAGACGCAAACACACACACACAAATAAGTGTACTTAGTTGATGTTAGCCAGACTTTGTCGTTGGCAACCCCAGTGTGGAACAACAGTCACATAAATGAAGGGGCTACAGTAGCAGAGATGGAGGCTATGCATGGGGCACTATAGCATGGACTCCCTTTTAGCAATCCTGACCCAGTTAGTGCCACTTCTCAGTAACAAACTTAGCAGCAACAAAAAGCAAATGACATTAATTTGTTCTGCTCCTCAAGGAGACCAACTGAATACTTCACAAGTTGACTACATTGGACTTCTTTCAGCTGGGAAGGTCTAATGGTTTGTTTCCACAGGAATAGATATATAATTAAGGGGTATGTTTGTATTTTATGCCTGTAAGATCTCAATCAGCACTACTGTCTAAGGGCTCACAAAGTATTACATCTGCCAAAAGGGATATGTTATGACCTTATAACAGACCAGAGGACACATTTTACAGTAAAAGATGTTTGAGAGTTGGTGTGGGGAAAAACCAATGTTCTAATACAGTCCTTATTTATTCAACAAAAACCAAAAGAGCCCATTTGTTGAGTAAATAAGGGTTCTATTAGAGCATTGGAATGGCCAGTTAAATGCAGAACTGAAGCACCAGCTCAGTGGTATTACCTTGCCAGGATTGGGCATCATCAAGACATAGTGTACATATTGAATTAAAAAGTTTCATATAAAATGGTGCCCTCTATCAGAAGATTACATAGGTTCAAGAACCAAAGAGTGGAAGTATGAATATTGCTGCTTACCATCACTTCCAGTGGTCCATTTTGAGAATGAGTACATCCTCTTTCCACAATTCTGGAATCAGCAGGGATAAAAGTTCTGTTTTTTAAAGGGGGCATACTTCCTCTTGGTAATACAGGAAGGGTCATATTGAATCATACGGGGCAATTAACACCTAGACATTTAGCGCTTCTACGTCCACAAACCAATAGGCAAGAACCACAGTCAACATCACGGCAGAGTTATATCCTTTGATACATATAGCATCTATTTTCATTGTGTCTTTAGATGAACAGAAGTGTGTGTGTGTGTGTGTTTGTGTGTGTGTGTGTGTGTGTGTCTTTCCTTATGTGTCAATAATAAAATTGCAAACAACCCAGTTTAAAAAACACAAGCAAACAACCCGAACAACCCAATTAAAAAAAAAAAAAAACTTGAATAGGTACTTTACAAACGAAGATTTGGAAATGGCCAATAAACCCAAAAAACTAGTCAGTATTATTAAATCACAAAATAATGTATATTAAGCCAAACTACATTCTTACCAAAATAGATAAAATTTTAAAAACTGAGAATACAAACTGCTGGATTGAATAAGAAACAACTTGAACTTTCATACATTGCTGGTGTGGCTGTAAAAAGGTACAACTATTTTGGAAATAAGTTTGAATTTTTGTGACAAGTTAAACATATACCTAACCTAGAATCCACAACTCCAATTCTAGGAATTAATCCAAGAGGAAAGAAAATGTACATATGCAAAACTTGAACAATAATATTTGTAACAGCTTTACTCATAATAGTTAGAAACCAACAGCAACCTAAGTGTTCATCTACACCAAATGGGTAAAAATTCAATGAAATAATCCTCAGCAATAAAAAGGAATAAACTACTAATACATGCAAAATGAATGAATCTCAAAAACATAATGCTAATTGGAAGAAGCCAGACAGAAAAGAGGACATATTATATTTTTCATTTAGTATGATGTTCTAAAACAAGGAAGACTATGGATGGTAAATGAAACCAGAGCTGTGATTACCTGGAGATGAGGAGTATGAATTGACTGGGAAGTGACCTAAGGGATCTTGCTGATGAAAATGTTCTATACTTAGACAGATGTTTGGATTATATTAGTGTAGGCAGTTGTGAATACTCATGGAAATTTACTCTTAACATATGTACCTTTCACTTTAGGTAAATCATGCATACATTGTTAAAAAATGTTGTCACTGAGTATTATTTGCTAGACTATGTTAAGTGCAGTAAAACTATAAATTTCTGAAAAGAGAGATAGGAATTGTTTAATAGATTCATCCTCCTCCACAAAGCATATTAGAATATTGACTTTTTAAAGATAAACTCTTAAAAGAATAATAATTCTTTCAAAAATAAACATGGAAGCAACAATTCACTTTAACGAGATTGAAATGTTGTTATTGAGTACAGATAAGTAATCATCTTGCCAAAATGCAAAGTTTCATATTTCTGTTTCAGTGTCCCTGGAGGCCCTCCTCATTTTAAATGTTTAATTGAGGTCATAAGGAAAATAACATCTTTCAATGTAATTTGCAGAGGTGTTCCAATAAAAACCACAAACTCTCTCAACATCAGTAAACTTAAAGGCTAATTTCTGATTTCTCATCAATAGCTTATGTATCAACAATGCTGCCCCCACCACCATTTAAAATAAATTTAGTCTGACAACTGTGAGCATGAGAAAATAGTCATTATGATTTTATTCATCTCTCTATTTTTAACAAAACATTGAGGAACTCCAAAGACCATTTTTATTCCTTTGATATCTATTAGTTCTCTGAAAATCTGTTTCTCCTACCTCCTTTAAGTTGCTATTTTTGACAAATCATTTTTCATTTTCTCCTGTCTTCAGAGATCTGTTCATACTCTTCTGTTTATTTATGGTGCTTGGGAAAATGAGGAAATTGTTGTATTGCAAAAGAAATACTGTCTTGAAATATTTCACTGGAGTGGAAACTGTTAAGATATAGTTTCATCTAGTATATGTTAAAATACAAACAATAAAAAATAGAAGATTTCAAAATAATATCTCCATCACTCTTCTTCCTATCATTTATCCTATCTGTCAGTGCTGACTACTAACAGTGCATCTTGCTAAATGGCATATGATAGACACTTTAGATACATTGAGGGACTGACAAAATATTTAACAAGAATATTTGGCTAAGCCATTATTCTTAGAAAAGTAGGCATGGCATTGTCCATATGAAAGTTTAATGGACTTTAAAATAATCTCATGCTGAAGTAATGAAAAAAGAGCACTGTGTGTACCAAAAGATACAAGTTAAAAATCTGGACAATTTCTTTTAAAAATAGCACAAAGGACACAATTCCATTATTTTATGCTCACTTTGCTTTTTAAATGCAGATGTTACATCAACATGGTGACACAAAGCAAAATGTATAATTTAGTAGCCAGAAAAGATACAAGCTCAACTACAGCATGAAGTAGCCTCTAAAAGTTCACATTAAAATTTTGTAAAGAGTCAAACCTTCATGTCTATGTAATTAAAACAGGATGGTCTACTAATTCAGTCCTTTGCGTTATGCTGCATTTTAAAAAAGGTTATTTGGAATTATTATGACATATATTCAGCAAATAAAAAAATGCTTCTAAAAACGTATTTTAGTAAATACATAGAAAAAGTATATGAATATAATTTGCTATGCAAATAAATCATTGTGTGAAGAACATAGTAAATTTTTAGAACGACCATATTCTATGTGCATCATGATTTCATGAATGTTAGCTTGCCCACTCTAGTGAAACCTCCTTGTAGGAAAGTGTATAAACTCATGAGTTGCACATCATCTACTCAACATTAATTTGATCAAATGACTATAATAGAGAACTAAGAGAAAAAATATAGCACTAATGGTAGCCATAAAAATGACTGGTTTCCAATCCTGTGGAATTTATGGGCATGCTTTCCATGTGATATGAAAGTGAGGGCATGAACCCTAAGAGCATACATAACTAGAATACAGGAGCTCAATCAAATGTACGCAGTCTTTAAGGAAGATGCCTCGTTTGTCCACTCACAAGAAAAGCTTATCTTGAATTAAGCACTTACATTGTGACAGTATTAGGCAATGGAGTTGGCTAAACATTATATTTTAATTTATTTTAGTAAGTAAAAATTTTAAATTCAAGATAAATATAAAATAGGCAAGGTACTTCAGTAATATAAAAGGGAGAGTAATTAAATGAGTCTGAGGGGAATGAGAAAAAAAACTTCATAGAGATGTTAGTGATATCTACCTTACTATATTATTTCTAAGAGAGTATACATAGAATATCATTAAGTCCATCAACTAGTCAAAAACTAAACTTAGCAGTTATTATGCGAATATATACTTGTCCGTCGGAAATGTGCACAACATAACATTATAAAGCAATCTAGTAGTAATCAACAAGCATAGGAAGACAGAACCAAAAAAGGTTTTAAAAATGATTAGTAGTAGTATATAAAAAAATAACTAGAACTGAGGCCTCATACTGCTTCTGCTACTAACCGCATAGCAGAATAACAATGCAGAATACATTATATGGCAAGTGAGTTAAACTTAGCTAAAATCTTACTGCTGTAAGTCCTCACTAAAAATCATTGATAGGTTCTTAGAAACAGCAACTTTAAGCAAAATAAAGTACAGGGAAACCAGTTTCACCACAGGCTAAGTGATATAAACAAGGGTTAAGTTCCTACAGTACAATTCTGGTCACAGAAACATCACTAATGTTCTAAATAAAAATCCAAAACACTTTAATGTAAAACACTGAAGTAAATGTAAACTATACATACGTTTAAGAAAGATTAATAAAAACAAGTAAGATAATTATTTACCCAATATTTTGGGAATCAATGAGAAACTTCACACTTGTTTTAACTGGGACAAGTTAAAACTGTTTTAACTGTGCACAGTTAGACACGTGCACAGCTTATACACAACCTAATGGATGCAGCTTTGGGATGTTTGAGGAAACCAGGGTACCCAGAGTAAACTCATGCAGACATGAGGAAAACATGCAAACTCCATACAGACAGTAGCCTCAGCCAATAATTGACTTTTCTCATCAATGTATAACCAAACGACAATGAAACAAAGTTATTCAAAGACCTGCTGTATCTATACCTATAATGTAAATACACTGAGTCAGATCATCTCTGGATTTTCTTTTTGCTCTAAAAAAACTTGACCTACAAGCAACATATTTAGACACAGAAAGAATGGTCAGTGCTAGAGATATTTGGTTAAGAAAATAACCTTTTAGTGGAATTTTGTGAGAAATTTTGAAGAAAATTGGAAGAAGGACTACATTGTTTACCTTGAAAAGAGCAATGAGAGCCATACTTATTACAGAGAAAATTCTAAATTGGTTGATTTGGATGGAACATCCAGAAAGTGGATGAAGCAAATGCTATTATTGTTGCGAATTATAGAATATAAAGCATAAAAAGATGAAAATAAGAGTAATTAGAGGTGAAAAACATAGAAATAAGAGCTCTAATTGAGATAAAATTAAAACATCACAAGCTTCTGTGAAGTTATCTCCCAAAATGTTGTAGCCTAACATTTGGAACATTATTCACTACAACTAACATCTTAGAAAATATATCTAGCCTCTTGATGTTTACACCAAATTAGTAGAAAAGAAGCCAACTTTAGTTTTAATATGTTTAGGTTTTGAATATTTTTCTCTTCCAAGCAATAAAACAATCACTAGAGAGGGTGTAGCAATTTTAAAGATTCTCAGCAAAGGTCATGTCATTTTTAATTTATTATATCGTCATCACAAACCTGTTATGCATTTAACTACCTTACATTAAAGATGACATTTACACATTGCAGTCTTACAGTATATTGCCTCTACCTTCATCCCCCAAAATGGTAAGTCTATGAGTCAATAAAATGGTTTCTTTCAAGGAAGAACATCCTTCTTTGGAGATTAAGAGATATACACATATTTGATTATGAAAAGGAGGCCTCTGGGAGAAAACTTGAAAAAACTGAGACTAGATGAAGTGTTCTTCATCAGGAATTTGAAAATAAGGGGCAAATTGACAAGGGAGGCAGTCTAGAAACATGGGAGAACAGGAATCCAAATAAAAAACAAATCAAATTCCCTCAGGATCACAGGGTCAAAGGATACTTTTTAGAGAGATATCTAGTCCTCTTTTCATGTTGCCTGCTTTTTTGTGCTACCCTAATTACTGCAAATAATTCCAAAAAAACAAAGGTGCCATAAATGTAGTATCTAAGAGTAAAAAAGGGACTTCAAAGGTAGGAGACAATAAACATACAAGGAAATTGACATTCGGTTGAAAAATGACAACAGAACTAGAGATGATTAAGCACAAGTTCCCCAAGCTTCTCTATAAAGAAGAGCAAGGTTTCTGTTTGCCTTTGGAAACGAATTGGGTGTGTGTCAGTTGTCCATTGCTGCGTTGCAACTCACTACAAATTTAGAAGCTTAAAACAACACAAATGTGTTAATATTTCACAATTTCTGTGTCAGTAATCTGGCATAGCATGGTTGCTCTGATTATGGTTTCACAAGTTTGAAATCAAGGTGTCAGCCAGAGCTGATATCTCATCTGAGACTTCATTGTCTTAAAGCTCATTCAGGTCATGGCAGAATTCAGTTCCTTGAGGTTATAGAACTAATGTCACTATTTTCTTGTATATTGACTCCAGGCGGTTCTGAACTCCTAAAGCCTTCCTCTTGTTGCTTTGAATCACTGATTTTCTCTCTGATGTGTAGACCCAGATTTAAAAGGCTCATGTGATTAAGTCAGCTCACCCAGATAATCTTCTTTTCTTAAAACCGACTGTGCCATATAACATAATCTAATCATCAGAGTGAAATCTCATTATATTCACTGGTCTTGTCCAGTTTAAAAGAAAAGGGATTATACAGGGCATGAACACCAGGGGTGGGAAATTTTTAGTACATCTTCAAATTTTCTTACCATAGGTGTTCAATCCAATTTTTACTTTAGTTTTATATGTCTGGACAACTCCCAGGAAATTGCAACACTTGGGATTACCCAGGGATTAAGACCTCTATTATATATAAGTAAAGAAATTTATTCAATTTTTCTAACACAATCTTTCCATATTTTGGCTTCTGTTTCTCATTATATTAATAGATACCTCAAACTTGAAATTTATTTTAAAGAAAAATGTTCAATATGTATTATGATTTTCCAATCACAGAATTTTGAAAAACAAGTTTGTCTGTGACTTTTAACATAATTTTAAGTTTCCCCAGAAAAGATAGATATGAAAGAATAAATACCCTCAATTTTCTAAGAAGCAAGAGAGTGACACAAACTTACGGTAAAGAACTGGAGTTGTGGAAACACCTTGATCTTAGAAGATATGCTTTAGTGGGAATCGGAAAACTTTTTTTTTTCATAAAGGGCAGATAGTAAATATTTCAGGAAAGCCAAGAGGTAAAATCAAGGGTATAAGTAGATGCTTAAATGAAAAAAAAGAAGTTTCCATACAATTTTTAATTGATGAAATTCAAATTTCATTTCTGAACACTAAAATTTAAATTTTACATAATCGTCATATGCCACAAAATATATTTTTGCCTCTTTTAAAACAATTTAAATAGGTAAAAAAAAAAATTGTAGTACATTAGCTATATAAAAACAGACAGTAGCCCAAACTTAGTTTGTGGGCCATTATATATATAATATATATATTATGTATATATATACTCCTTATTTCTGTAGTTTTACTGAATGCTGCTCTAGAGTTCTTTTACAGAGGTCACTTTTGGCCCCATTAATAGCTAAATCCTTATTTTTTTTACTCTTAAGGACTCTCTCTTTCTCTGTATATACATATACATGTATGTGTACATACATATATACATACATACATACATATATATACACAATTATAGCCAGATTTTTCTTGTTTCTGTTAACTACCATTTGAACTTTTAAATTCTCCCACTTATTTCCACAGTCATTACCTCATTTAATTTCATGTAACTAGATTTAGACAAAAGAAATCATTATAATGTAGATAGATTACATCCCCAATGATTTTTTTTTTGGTTCCAAAGGGACTTGGTTCTATTATCTCTTACAATTAAATGTATTATACTATGTATCAGTAATAATAGTCTCTAAAATTTATGATGTTCTTACTTTGTATGTTTTCTGTAACTAACACATTAAGATTTGTAATGAGAAAAATGGTATTTTGTTGATGTAATGTTTGAATACCAGTTCTTGGAATTTTAACAGTAGTATTCTGTGTTCTGCAAAGCCAGAAGTTAGATGACTGGAATTTACACATTGTGCATTTTGGACTGTTAGAGAGAATATGTGCTAAAAGAGTCCTTGATAGTCTAGCTAGCCCATAATCTAAAATCATTTTTTTGCTCTAAAATATTTTTACAAAATGATTTATTCAAAAATTGATAGCTATTGTACCAAAAGGGTATTTTTGAGTTCATATGCAATAATGTTTCAAAAGATTAAATTATGTTCTGTACACCTTGAACCCATGTGTGTTGTTAAATACCTTTCTTGGAAAGTAAACATCAATGTTTGATGGAAGCTTGTAACATTAAAACCAGATGAAAAACAGGTTTTTATTCTATACTTTTTCTAAAGCAGTATTTATGATTACTTTTTTGACAAACTAGCATTTCATAAATACTTCAAAATAGCATTTTTAGGTTTCCAGCAAGCTTCTTGGGAAAAGGTTTTAAACTTTTGACCCAACAAAGATTTCTAGACTGAAAACACCTTACCATCTTTTCTCACTTACCGTTGAGGTAGTGATGGGCAAGGTGGCTACCGGGGAGAACTCAGCTTTTTTTGAATTAAACTAAAGAGATTCCTGATAGATAAGGAACTACATAATCAAAGCAAAAGACAGCTGTTATCTCCTCAGCCCTGGGGAAGAACTAAAGGACTTCTAAGAAATTGAATCCCAAAAATGAGACAGTTCACGAACATCTTTGAACTTGACAAAAGAAAGGAGCGCTTCTCTTAATTTAGGTATTGAAAGGGGAAGTGTGAAGGTGGTAAGTCAATGTCTAGGAAATAATAGAATGAACAATTCTGACTCTGAGAGTAATCTTTTCAGAGTATGACACACAGAATCTCTTCAAGCTAAAAAACAAACAAACCAAAAAAAACTATACTTATTAAAACTCCATTTAATATAACAGTGTTTTTTTTTCTCATGGCTGAAAAATACAGGTTGTCATTAAGCTGTGGTTCTTTTAAAACAGTATTCCGTATTTATTTAAATGCTATAAATGCTCATATCCCTATTTCTAGTAGAAGACTAAAATATTTAGCTTTAGCATTTTATTTATTTCAGTGTAGAAAGCTTTTAAGATTTCTAATTGTTGTTATTCACAACATCATTTGGTATGCTGAATAGATTTTTTAGATTACAGATTCACAAATTACAGTATGAAGGCCAAATCCAGTTGTACGTTGTTTTTGTAAAGTTTTATTGAAACACAGTCATACCCATTCCTTTATCATTGCCTGCATATGCTTTCCCGCTACAACTACAGAGTTGAGCAGTTGTTTCAGAGACTATATTGCCCACAAAGGTCTAAAATAAGTATTATCTGGACATTTCCAGGAAAAGATTGCTGACCCTTGAATCTTTTAGATGATCAAAGCTGTTTCCAAACAAATATGTCTACTACTTCAAGTGTTGATAATTCGAAAAACATATAGCAAATAAAAAATTAAATAAAACTTTTAAGTTTATCATGTGACGCTCAAAGATTGCCTAACCAAAGAGAACATTTTGTAGTGCCTCATAATATTAACAAACTGCTGTCTTAGGTACCATAAGCAGCTGATTTATTAAAAGTGACTTGTGCAGTCAATATCTGGAATGAAACAGCCAGTTTCATCTTGTCCAATTTTTACATTACTCTTCATTTTCCCTGAGAACTACATAGCTGAAACACTTTTAGTAAAGCACTTCCTTGTAAAATGATCAGTTGTATCTGTCACCAGGAAGAAATGCATTTTCCTGCTTTATTACAGCCATCTGCATCTTTCATTTTCTTTTAATTCAGTCACTGGAGCCCTAATGATCGCAGCCATTTCAGGAAATGCCATCAATTACAGTGAGGAGCTCATTCAGAAGTGAAAGATGAGTTCCATTCTCTGTTACTTAGAGGTCAGTGATCATTCCCCAACCTCTTCATAGTGAACAAATAGTACAGTAACTTTCACAGGCTCCCTTCATTTTTCTCAAGTCTGCTTCTTTATGACTTTTTGTAGACCTTGGTTATAATAACTTCATATGTTTGATGCTGGCAACCCTAAGACAAGCCTGACCCAATCATTTTCCTTGCATCCACCATGATAAATTCAATAATATATAAGTCTGGCTTTCAGAAAGAATATTTTGAAGAACAGGTATTGTTAAGGTGGCATGTAAAAAATTCCAAAGCAGACATAGTTTGTAAAATTTATATTCAAAAGTTTCCAAAGTAGTAATTGTTTTTCATCAATTAACTTTATATTGCTTTCTATAAAATAATCATCTTGAAGGATTTACTATAATTATGCAATATTCAGATACTAATTTTACATACCCTAACTAAAACACTTTTAATAATTAGGAATACAAATCAATTGTCAATATTCTGTTTGGTGGCAAAAGGATTTATATGACTTATACAAAACCAAAAACAGATATTTGTAGCTGTTTTACATAGTCACTTAAAGCTAGAAACAACCAAGATGCCTTTCAATGGGTAAATGGATAAACAAACTGTGATATATTCATATAGCAGAATATTATTCAACAATATTTGAAGAGAATGAGCTAGTAAGCCATAAAAAGACATGAAGGAATCTTAAAGGCATATTACTAAGTGAAAGAGCCATTTAAAAGGCTACATATTGTATCATACCAATTACATGATATTCTGAAAAATAAAAAACTAAAGAGATGGTTAGATGATCACTAGTTGCCGAGGAATTGAGGGAGGGAAAGATTGTTAAGTAAATGAAGCAAGGATATTTTAAGGTGGTGAAATTATTCTGTGTGATATTGTATTAGGGAGTATATGACACTATTCTTATTGTCAAAACCCATAGAACTATATAGTATATAGAGTTAATCTTAATGCACCCAAATTAGGAAAATATAACCACTTAGTAAGTCAGAGGATCCCAGATTGAAATGCAAAACTTGACAAAATATAAATATACGATAAATGCATAAAATTACCTTACTGAAGAGAGTTGGGGAAATGGTGCTTACCTATATAACTTTGGAAATTGAGTCTGTAAAAATAAAGATAAAAGAAATTGTACTTAAGAACTATACTTCAGTTGATAAAATTGTTTCCCTTAGGGGAGGACGATAATAATTCTTGTACTTCTATATTGGTATATAGATGAGAACAATTAAGTAAATGGATGGTGGATAGTGGGGCCAGGTTTCACACTTTATATATATATATCTATATATGTAGTATGTGTGTGTGAGTATGCATATGTGTGTGTGCATATATATATATATAGTGTGTGTGTGTTTGTGTATACACACACAGAGTATATATACACGTATGTATATATATATCTTTTTTTTTTCTTTCTCTGTCAGCTGAAAGGGCCTTGAAGCAATAATAGCTAAGAAAATTAAGATGATTCACAAGAGAATGACAAAAAGCAAAAACTAAGGGAGAGTCAAGCAACTCATCCTAGATAGAAATCTTTGAACAGCTATTTAAAAATGGGATAAATGGGCCAGGCACGAAGGGTGACACCTGTAATCCTGGCACTTTGAGAAGCCTAAGTGTGTGGATCGCTTGAGGCCAGGATTTCGAGACCAGCCTGGCCAAAATGATGAAACCCCATCTCTACTAAAAATACAAAAATTAGCCAGGCGTGGTGGTACATGCCTGTAATCCCTGCTACTCAGGGGGTTGAGACAAAAGAATCTCTTAAACCCGGGAGGCAGAGGTTGAATTGAACAGAGTTTGCACCACAGCACTCCAGCCTGGATGACAGAGTGAGACTCCGTCTGAGAAAAAAAAAAAAAAAAAGGGATACATGAAGTGAAAACTGAGACATCGATAGGGTACACACTCTTTTTGTTTTGGATTCTAATGAGAAATTCACTGTAATTCTTATCCTTCATCCTATATAGATATGGTGTTTTTTCATCCTGTATAGATAAGGTGTTTTTATCTCTGATTTCCTTCAAGACTTTCCTTTTGTCTTTGATTTTCTGCATTATAGATATTTTGATATTTGTCCTGTTTCTCTGGACCTCCTGGATCTGTGGTTTGATGTCATTAATTTTAATAAAAATCCTATGTCATTATTACTTCAAATATTTATTTTGTCTCTCTTTTCCTAATATTCCTACATGCATATGTTACTCTTTTTGTAATTGTTCCCACAGTCTTTGAATATTTTGTTTCATCTTTCTAAATGTTTTCTATTTGCATTTCAGTTTTGAAAGTATCTGTTGACATGTCTTCAAGCTAATTGATATTTCCTTGGCCATGTCCAATCTACAGATGAGCTCATTAAATGCATTGTTAATTTCTCCTACAGTATTTTTTATTTCTAGCATTTCCTTTTGTCTCTTAGGGTTTCCATTTCTTTGCTTACATTACCCATCTGCTCTGGCATGTGGTTCTTTTTTTTTTCATTAGAGCCCTTAGGATATTAATCATAATTATTTTAAATAGCTAGGCTAACTACTCTAAAATCTCTGCCATTTTTGAATCTGGCTCTGACGTTTGTCCTTTCTCTTAAAACTGTGTTTTTTGTGTCTTAGTATGCTTTTTGATTTTTTTGTTGTTTTTACTGAAAGCAGGATATGATGTACTAGGTAAAAGGAACTGAGGTATAAAGGTCTTTAGTGTGAGGTTTTATGTTTTGCTGGCTAGGTGTTAGTCTGTGTTTACCATTCGCTATACCTACAGGTATCAGAGGCTAAAATTTCCTCTGATGTCCTTGTTTTTGTTTCCCTTTTTTTCTTTGAGTTTCCAAAGAAATTTCTTAAGTAGCCTGATACTTGCAATTTTTTTAGTTGTAATCTTCTATTATTATATAGAAGCCTATTGATATAGTTGTAAGGTGTGAGGTGAGGGAAAGTATACTACAGTTCTGCAATTAGATCTCAGTCTTTCGGTAAGACTGTTTATTCATTAGTGCCCAGCTATTTGGTTGTATTTTGTTTTGTCTTCTCCGTAAGTGGGACAGGAAGACTAGAGAGGGATGGAGATGGGTATCTTCCTTCACATGGATGCCTAGAGTGGACTGGGGTTGAGTA
The DNA here is from genome assembly GCF_000001405.40 of Homo sapiens. Taxonomy (NCBI): domain Eukaryota; kingdom Metazoa; phylum Chordata; class Mammalia; order Primates; family Hominidae; genus Homo; species Homo sapiens. Next base: position 104,760,156 of record NC_000005.10, on the reverse strand, counting down.
TTTTCCTTTCCCCACGTTGCTTAGGCCTTGGGAAAACCCCACTCAATTTGTGTTTAGTAAAATCCTTTCCCTTGATTGCAGGCTTTGTTAAGGAAAAGAGAAGCTCTTAGTTTATTTCAAAATGGCTGCTTTTTCCCTCCCAGTGCCAGAGACATGGTATTGGGGCTTTTTATCTGCTCTTCACTGAGTCAACCTGGTAGAGCTCTTGGAGGCAAAACAGACACAAATGTGGTGACCTTCTTAAGATGGGGCCCCACCAAAATTTTAAGACTCATTTTATATTGTAAACCAAAAGTATCTGAGACAGGTCTCAATCAATTTAGAGAGTTCATTTTGCCAAGTGACACAGTCTCAGGATGTCCTAACAACATGTGCCCAAGGTGGTTGGGGTACAGCTTGGTTTTATACATTTTAGGGAGATATGCAACATCAATCAATACATGTAAGATGTACCTTGCATGTATGGTACATATTTCTGGTTTGGTCCAGAAAGGCAGGCTGACTGGAAGCAGGGGCTTTCATGTCACAGGTAGATTTAAATATTTTATGATTAGCAATTGCTTGGAAGAGTTATTACCAATAGAAAGAAATGTCTGGATTACAATAAGGGATTGTAGAGACCAAGCAAGGTTTTATCATGCAGATGAAGCCTCCACTTAGCAGGCTTCACAGAGAATAGACTGTAAATGTTTCTTATCAGACTTAAAGAGCCTGTTCTATCAGTAATTCCAAAAGGGAGGAGAGTATAATGAGGCATGTCCAGCTATCCCTTCCCATCATGGCCTGAACTAGTTTTTCAGGTTAACTTTGGAATGCCTTGGCTGAGAGGAGCACTTGAAAATTTATTTTTGGTTTACAGCATATACGGAACTTCCAGCAATTCATTAATTACAGTTCTTTTCTTTTTCTTTTTTCTTTCTTTTTCTCCTATCCTGGTCTGGCTCTGACTGTGGTTTCTCTTTCTGGACTTTTGCTCTAATAAAATGTGATTCTCTATATCTACCTTTCTGTCCCCCCAGTTTTGGTGGGGATGGACAACAGTTTGCTCTGTGACCTCAATTCTCTGATGAATCGAAGTAGAGTTGCTTATTTTCAGTTTGCTCTCCTTTTTTTTTTGCATCTAGGACATGTTTGATGACTTCCAAGTTTCTTACATGTTGGACCCTAAATTCACTTTAGTGAATTCATCATGAGGAAATAATTAAGTATAGTCCTATATAAGCAAAATATTATTAATCACAGTATTAAAAATGATAAAATGTAGATTAAACACACTGTAGAATTTAAAGTGATAATGCATGTTTATATTTTGAAATGAGAAGTGAGAAACTGCAGATACAAACAAGTGAGAAATGGCAATTACAAAAGTGTACAGTCCCATTTTTCTAAATGTTATGGAAAAATGTGCATATATTAATACAAAAACTTTAGCAGAAGTCATCATTTGTTAGGACAATAATAAGTTACATTTTTATCTTAATTTCCTTATATCTGTAGCAAACATAGAGTAAAAATAAATAAAATAGTTAAGTTTATCTTAATAACAGATTTGTTTACAAAGAAAGCTATTTATTTAAACTTAATTACTGAGTGCTTTGCATATATGACAACTTGAGCTAGGCGATACTAAAAGGAAACAAATAAGAGTACACATGTCCTCATGGATCCCCCTATCTTCTGAAAAATGGAGATACACTGAATATTAATGAACTAATGAGCAAAAGAGAAAAATTCTATCTCTTTTATGCATATTTGAGAGGCATCTATCATACTAAGACATTTTTTATCTGCTTTAGAAAGTTACCTCTCAGAAGTGATGTCATCTATGAGTTTTGAGCAGATTTTTGTCAGATTTTTGTGTGTAGAGAGAAAAAAATGCATGTGAGTATATGCGTATGGTTGTCTTCTTTGTTATTATGCTGTTACTTGTTTGCTGTCATTTTCCTAAAATATTGATGAAAAAATTAAGGTAAGTCATTGTATTATCAATCATAGAAGGCTGACTACATCCTCTTGTGTGATTAAATCTGTTAAATTGCTGATTCAGTAATAGTTAAAGACTTTAACATACTTATGGAGAAAAATAATCCATAGGTTAATGGAGGAATATTTTCATTTTGATATTGTAAAATTTATAAATAATACAATTATTTTTATTACTTTATTTGTTTTGTTTTGTTTTTAACTCATTTTCTTCATATTCTTCTGCCCTCTCCAACAATTTTAAACTTTATAAGAGCCCTAAATAAATAAATCACAACCTATCTCTAAACTACAATACAGTTTACATAAATTTACATAAATTCTTACTGATAAATTGAGGAAATAGCTCTAGAATAGCTAATATCATACCCTAGCAGTAGAACAGCTGATCTTTATTTAGATTAAATTTTCTCAAATTACAGGAAGGATTATCATACTTTTAACACAATTAAGTTGAAATTTTTTTTATGTTTAGCTACAGATATATAAAAATGGTATCGATTTTAGAAGAGGAAAAAAATAATTCTGGCTATATCAATTTGTCCTCCATGGATTTTCCTCTTTTCACCATTAGTAGTAATTTTTCACAATCTTTAAAATTAATAATTTATTTCATATTATTAGTTAATAATTTAATGTAAAATTTTATATGAGCTATATAAATATGTAGGAATAATAAGAACTATAAAAAATAGTGACTGTATTTTAGCATTGGGTTTTTAAAAAAAGCAACAAATTTTATTTTTGGTTCAGACAATGAGTCCCCAGATATTCTGCTACTTCCAGACTGACTGCTAGTAAAGAAATAAATTGGGTTAGAACTCCAGCTGACTAAGTACTATATTCAGCACTTCAGAGTACAGACTACATCCATAATAAATGACTTTAATTTAAATGTGATTTCTAACAAAAATCATTTTACCATTCTGACCGTATATATAGTAGTTCCTTAGGATAACAATTGTTTCTAATAATTTAAAACTTTGAACCTGCTGGCATGAACTTTATTTCCAGCACAGTACAATATGAAACATTTAAATTGGGCAAAGTCAGAGGTATATTATAAGATTCTCTGTGTCTCTGTGTCTCTTTCTCCCCCCCCCCCCCCCTCCATTCTCTTCCTCTCTCTTTTTTCTTCTGTCTCTCCATTTCACAAGTTTTGAATGATAAGTGTGAATGTTGGGAAACCAAGATAGATATTTTGGGATGTAAATGTAAATTCTCATTAACTCTTTCAAAAATACTTGTCAACTAGAGGCTCCAAAATATAAAGGGGATTAACTGATGTATCTTGCCCTCTGGGAGAACATGGTTCAAAAGGGAACATAATGATGCCTATAATAGTTTTACATGTGGTAGACAATTATTTCAGTTCCAAGGAGAGTATACACATTTTAAAAGGGGGGATTCGGAGGAGTAAGAAAATTTGTTTAGCTGATGAGATTAGAGAAAAATACATTGAGCATATAATGGTTAAATTAGATTTCTAAGGTTACTGAAGAAAGAATTTCTTTAGAGTGATTGTAGCCTGAACATGGAAACATGACTGGGACCTTTAGGCACATATAGGAAATATAATTCAATTTGTGTGTGAATGTTTACACAAAATAATGGGTCAATAAAATAAGAAAATAGCTCATACTCTAATTAAATACATTGGCTATATCACCATTAAAAAGTATGTTTCAACAAAAAAATCCAAATAAATCTTCCTACTTTCTTGTTGTTTTTGATGTTACTGCTTTCTTGCCACCTTGAATAATTCTATAAATACTATCATCCCAAATTCTTGCAAACACAAGATTATTACAGAAACTAAATAGTGTACCATTTCTGTATGAAAACAAAAACATAAAAAAATTTTGATAACTAAAATGGATTTATATCATTTCTATCTAATTATTTACATTTTTAAATAACTATAGATGCACAGGAAATATAGCATATAATTATTTAATATTTAAAGTTAAAATAATTCCAATAAATAACTATTTGAGGACTGGGTCCTCAACCTACACATTTCCAAATAAGAGATCTATGAATTCCAAATCCTAATCATCTTAAAAGTGGCTCTAGAGAGCACTATACCATTTTATGACATCATTGGAATCCTCTTTAATTTGTCTGCTGGCTATACAGTTTTCACGTATTTATTTATTTATTTATTTATTTATTTATTTATTTATTTATTTGTTGCTACATAGCAGAAGTCTACGAGTAGCAATCTGGATGGAAAAATAGGCTATAGAAATTTCCCTGAGTTTGCATATCCAAACCAATTTTGAATTTTTTATGTATAATATGTTTATTTGGAGTAGCCTAGGGAATTGATGGAGTTTAATAGGGAATGAAAACCTATTCAGGTTAGTACTTGGAAATACCATTGTCCATTCACTCAACTCATATGTAGTGAATGCTAACTGTGATCCAGGCACTATGATAGTACACTATCATATGAAGATATAGTAACATAAAAAAAAATAAAGTCTACTATGTCCCAAGGAGACATTGAATATTTGAGGAAGAGAGAACATTCAACAAGAATAAATAGCACTTTTAAATGAAAATAATATGATGGAACAAAAAATACAATATTGGAACACAGATATAAAAATATTTTATGAACCCCAGACCCTACAGAATTGGATATGCCGGCCTAACACTATCATTCCCTTTTCAACTGCATCAAAATTATGTATTCCTAGAGTTGGAAAGTTACTTGAGGATCAAAAGAATTACTAGTTGAAAGGAGAGAATTTTATATCATCTGAACATTAAATAATACTCTCCGAGCTCTCAGCTGGAAATTGCTTACAGTTCCAGAGTACATACTGGTGACTGGCAATTACAACTGCATCCTAGAAAGTACTTCTTTGCTATCTTCACCATATACATAGGAAAATTTGCAGTTCAAAAATATTCGAGGTGGTCGTCTACATAAATAAAGCTGACAAAGTATGTGAAATTATAAAATAGTTCTACCATAAGTGTTAATTAGGTCCTGTCAGTATATTTGCCTATGTGGAGACATGATAATATAGCTGTAGGTCTACTGGTTAAATTGATGCAGTGAAAGTATAGACTTAAAACTAAGGATGACATTGAATCAAAATATTTGTTGTAAGGAGTTGGCTGAGGTGGCTATTACAAATTTTGTATTTTAATAGGACAATAGATTATATTGGATGTAGATGAAGTTTGGGCAGAATCAGGGATCAATGGCTCCATCTAAATTGTTGCACCAAAACACAGACATACACCTGCTTTTAGATTTGAAGAGTGAATCCTCTCTGGAAAATGTAGCAACTACTCAAAAAAGGTTGGAGGACCAACACTTCTAAGAAGCAGGAGGTGGGTGTTGTAATTCAAATTACATGCTAATTCTCATTGATCAGCCTATTTAAATGGTAATGAGGCATAGATAGTGCTTCTGGTCCCTGTGTTTGAAACTCTGTGCAGAGCAGTCTATAAGCAAGAAAAAATACTGCTCCTTGCTTGAAAAGTTGTGGTTGCTTTAGGGGTATGTGATTGTAAAATATAATTAACTTCCAGCCCTCTGACCTGTGGAGAAGGAGATCCTATCAAGAATTTTTAGGACTACGGGTACAACCAGCTGTTACCATCCTTCCAATGTCACCGTTAGCTGACCAGGGCTGTATTCTTCTGTAAACCAGAAAGAACAGACACAGCTATCACTGCCACTTTTGTGGTGGAGATGGATGACCACATCACACATCATTCTTAGCAGAGTGCGGAGGAAGTCTGATTGCTTTTCCTGTTCAGCAAAATCTTAACTATACAATATGGATGCAAAGTATTGATTCAGGAAACAAAGCAAAATTAAGATGCAATCATTTAGAAAATGAAATGTTGTATAAAAGGAGGTTATGGCCTAATAGGGAAGGAAGGATGTAAATATGTTTAATACATGGTAGCAAGCAATGCCTGTCAACAAAAATGTAAGAAAAGGTGCCAGGGAACATCAGAGAAGCAAGAAATTGCTTGAGGCTGGATGATAGGAAGCACTTATCTGAAATGCTAGTATGTGAAATAGGTGTTGAAAACTGCACAGAACGTGAGAATTGAGAAATAGCTGGAGAAGGAGTGGAAGACATTTGATATCTAACAGAGTAGGAATCAGCTTATGAAAGCCTCTTGGAAGCTATGTGCCAAGAAATAAATACGGCCTGTTGCTCAGGGTGACCTTGAAATATTTGGGGGAGTAATTAAAATAATTTTTATCAAATAACTGTTATTTATTTTATCAAATAACAGTTATTTGATAGAGTTAATGATGAATAGATAAATTGTAAAATAAGTGTGTGTGCCTCAATTTTTTATCATTTGTTTATAATTTTATAATTATTATTCAATTCATACTCAGTACTTATGTTTGTTTCATTCATAGGAAATAACTAATTTTTTTTTTGTTTTTTAAATGTTTACTGTCAGGCAATGTATTAAGCACTTAATCTACATTTAACACATACAAAGTCCAGTAAGCTATCACAATAAAACATACATTTTGCTAACCCTGAGAAAAGCCAATGTTATGTTATCGATCATTTTGAATAAAATAATTTGAATGATTTTCTGGAAGATAATCTGGAGCCAACTTGACTGTTAGAAGTGATGAACAGAAACTTCTGGGAGGTTAGATTATAACAGGGGCAGCTATTGTGCTTGTTCTCAGCCCCAAATCCTCAAATCAGATATTTAAAGTCACAAGATCCTTTAACCAGTCTAATTACTATGCTAATAATATTAGCAAATTCTTCCCCTCTTATAACTATGTTAATTTAATCTAGTACCTTTTTTCCCCTAGAAAATTCTCTATTAAATATAAAATTTTGAAATGTCTTTTTTAGAAGTATATTTCCCTAGTGGCAAATTTAAATGAAACTTTGGACAACATGCTCACAAATATTCTGTCTTGAGAAGTTGCTTTAACATATTTAAAGAAAAACCACATACGTCTTTATGTGGTTAGTTTCTTCACAAAAATACACAAAAATATATTCTCATTAAGTACAACACAATCCTTTAATAGTCTCTTTTGGCCATTACTGTCAATCTTTATATTTCTGTTGTATCACAAGTACTCCAAAATCTTCTCAACAATTTCAATAAAGAAATAATGACCCTCCCACTGGACTACAGCTTATAAGGTTCTCCATTATTTCACCTGTCAGTTCTCTGGCTCAGCTCTTTTTAATGTGCATCAATTTAGTTCTTCTTGCTTCTTCCAATCCTCCCACTTGACAATGGCCCAGACTCTTCACAATAATGAAGAGCACAAGAGCTGATTAACAAATAAGAACTCTTTCCTCCTTCTCCTTGAATACTCACATAATAAATAGTTTTAGTTTTCTAGCATATGTCTGGCTAGATATTTTTCATCCTCTGCCAAGAGAGATGTAAAGTATAATTTTCAAAATAGTAACATTGTTACTCTCATGCAAATATAAAATGAATGTGTGTCTAAGGTTTTATTCAACTCATTAAACAAAAAGAAAACCAGTAAAATATATTTAAAACACACACACACACATAAGTTCAAAGAATATTTGAGGAACTGGGTATTTATGATCAATCTAGCATAAAATTGTTGGGTTAGATACAAACCTGTTTAATGTCCTACCCTTGGGGTTATCTTTCCCATCAAAATTAATTACTTGCATCTTTTCCAGAAAAAAATCTGCAAGTTAAACTCACTCCTACAGAGTTGTGGAATAGTCCAGTCAATATAAAATAAATGAAAGGTTCAAACTCAGAACCACAATGAAAGAACACACAGGAATTTCTTCTGCTTATTTCCAACATTCAGATAATTTTTTTAAAAACTCAAGTTCTTCCCATTTACAGACATTTCCTACTTTTTCTCACCCTTCTCTTGAGTACAGGGTTTCCTCTCTGGCACTATAAGGTTGCTGTCATGGTAAGTTTAGATATTTCTATCAAAATTTTTCCTGAGACACCAGAGTTGTGATAGCTGAGAATTGACTCAGAGTCCTGAGATGACTGTGCCAGCATTGTCTCAATTGCTTTCCATTCTAGAGTTTCTGCCCCTTGAAACATGAGAAAAATAATACATTCCTCAGCTTTTTTTATTCTTTCCACATTTTGGACCAACGCTTAACATTCTGGTTTATATATACTGAAATTATTATAAGGCCACCTTTTACCCCCTGTGATTCTGAGAAACACAGTACTGTATATCTGATTGTTCACCATAATCGTATTTGTAAAAAATATATATATCATACTAAAAGCAAATTACGGGACAAACTCCAACCTGAGAAAACAGTTATGTTAAATTAATTGTATTTTGATGGTAAGGTAGGGGGAGGTAATGGAGGTGAACAAATCTATGACTGCGGATGGAAAACTTGTTAATCCTCTCTCACTAGAATCTTGCTAATTGAGCTCTTACCTGTTGCATTTTTATACCCCAAATATGCCCTGACATCTCTGTCCTGAGCTGAATTATTTATTGTTACTTCCTGAGTAGAGCCACGAGGCTTCATTTTTTTCTCCCCGATTCCAAGTAGCTACAGAAAAGAATTAAAATTCAAGGGCACTCATAGTTCCTGATGAATTATAATAATGTTGGATAAGTTGTTGCAAAAGATTCCTCCAGATACATGTCCAGGCATTTCTTATTCCCAGAGCCGAGTTTTTTTGTCTGATATTAGATAGCTTAAGTGTATTATTCATTAGCAATTTTATGCACTTGTTGAATCTTTATTACAACATTTTAATGTCTTTCCTAATATTATCAATTTTCTAAAGATATAGAAACTGAGGGGCAAAAATGTTAAATAGATTAACCCTACATCACTATGAGAGAGCTAAGATTAAAATTTGGATTTTCTTGTCAAAGGTGAATAGAAAAAAGTTTGAGTTACTTTAGTATCCCACTGTCTTATATCATAAAGGTTTTAAATATTTCAAAATATATCATAAACTTGATTTTAAATAAGGTAAAATTATTGGTTAATATGGGTGAGATATATAACATGAACAAATCACAACTACAAACTTTATTTCCTAAGCTACTAAATATGATACTATATCTGTCAATTTTTAAAACTAAAGAACAACAAAACGTATATTATAAATATACAAATACTGAAGATGTACTGATTTTATCTTTATATTAAAAAGATAACTGTTTTAATTTATATGTTTCAGTATTTTGCTAATATTTTGTATGATGCTGCATGTTTTTTGTAAAAAAAACCCACTAAATTATGCACACAAAAAGTGTCGGTTTAATAAATTTAAATGTCTTATTTTTTTTTCTAGGAAAATAACTTTGAATATTTGTTTGGTGGTTTGTTAACTGTGTTCCAGATCAGAGATGTTGCTTTGTTCTTGTTGTTTTGATTGATTTGGTTTTGATTTAGCATTTCCAATTTTGGGTCTGCTTTCAAATTTATGAAAAAATAATTATGTGATCTTTATATAAATATTATTACAGCTTGTGATAGTACAGGCCTGTGGAGTCAATAGTACTTCATATTTGTGAAATACTTTAAAAGATCACCTCTACTTTGAAGAAAATATGGAGCTGAATTAAATGACCTTGAAAGTTTCTTCTAGTTCTCAGATACAATACTAACCAATTGGCCATTTATATATTGTGTATGATTTATAGGAAGTGACCCTTAATATTTTTGACTTATGGTATGTGGTTGCCTGTAGTTGAATAACCGATAATTACATATTACAGGTTATTATATTATTATTAATAATATATTGAATATATATTGAGTGACCTATATTATTATATATTATTATAGGTCATTCAACTGTATATTCAACAGTATTATTATATATTATATAATTCATAATAACTAATAACATTAACCATTATTAATATTATTAATAATGATTAAAATATATCTAGTATATATAATTATTATATATCGAATATATGTTGAATAACCTATAACAATATAGGTTTTATTCAACTCATTAAACAAAAAGAAAGTCAGTAAAATATATTAAAAAAAGAAACAGGTGATAAGTACTTTGGGGCTCATTATACTACTCTGTCTACTTTTACTTATGTTTAAAATTATCCATAATTTGTGGAGAGGGGAAGGTGAACTAAACATGAAATTACAATATTCTGAAACAACTTATTATGCTTTAACAAATAGCGATTTAGCATTTCATGAAATGTTTTATAAAAGATTTTCAATTAAAAAAATAAAATAAAATAAAAGATAAATACATTATATTTAAAATATAATAATATAGATTATTCAACAGTATAGTCAAGAGTATTATTCAACAGCATTATTATTAATACTTTTCCTGTTATAATCCCCATCCCAGAGGTATTGTATTATTATTTTATAACATTATTACATAAAAAACTTATATTGTTGTTTACATAAACAAATATTAAATTAAATATATATTATACTGTTGGCTATCAATAATTTATGTTACTGTCACCAAAGAAATTGAGAGATTAAAAGAGGGTGTACCAGAATATATTCACTCTGGACAATGGACATATATATAGACACATATATATTGGACATATGGAAATACATATATAAACATATATATTATATGTGTATATATAAAATACATATATACACAAACATACATATAATATATATGTATGTTTCTATATGTATATCCATATGTCCAATATACATATATGTTTCTATATATATCTCCATATGTTCATATATATGTTTCTATATATTTGTCCATTGTCCAGAGTTAGTATATTCTGGTACACTTTCTTTTAATCTATTTCTTTGGTGACAGTAACATAAATTGTTGATGGACATATGGACATATATAAGAACATACATATATACATACATATATATGTGGAAACATACATATATACATACATATGTGTAAATATATTTATACATATATGTGTATATATTTATGCATACATAATGTATGTATATATTTATACATATATAATATATGGGTATATATGTATGTTTCCATATATGTATTGGTTTATATGTATATATACACATATATTATATATGTGTGTGTATATATGTATGTTTCTATATATATGTCCATATGTCCGTATTTACAGAAAGTTGTTTTTGTGCAGATGGCATGTCCACATGTATACCCATGTATATTTCTTTCTTGTATCTGCCTCTAGTGTTGTACTTAGTTTGTATATATGTATAAGTGTGTATTTATGTATATTTCTATATATATATGTATGTGTATATATGTTTCTATACATATGTCCATATGTCCATATATACAAAAAGTTGTTTTTGTGAAGATGGGCATGTCCACATGTATATCCATTTATATTTCTTTCTTGTGTATGCTTTAATGTTGTACTTAGTTTGTATAATTTTTTTTTTTTTTTTTTTTTGAGACTGAGTCTCGCTCTTTCGCCCAGGCTGGACTGCAGTGGAGCCATCTAGGCACACTGCAAGCTCCGCCTCCCGGGTTCACACCATTCTCCTGCCTCAGCCTCCCGAGTAGCTGGGACTACAGGTGACCGCCACCGTGCCCAGCTAATTTTTTGCATTTTTAGTAGAGACGGGGTTTCACCATGTTAGCCAAGATGGTCTTGATCTCCTGACCTCATGATCCGCCCACCTTGGCCTATAATGTTAAACAAGAAAAAATTGCTATTTTAGAGAAAATTTTAGGGAATAAACATTTAAGACAGTTTGGATGTTCACCTGAATTTTTCTTGACAATGCTTAAAACTTTGAACTCAAAATTATTCAATGTTAGTTTATAGCTATAGTGACTACCCACATATACATATATGTGTACATATACATATGTGTGTTCATATACGTGTGTGTGTGTGTGCATGTAAATTTTTTAGTTGTTTTCTGCTGTGTGTCAGTATGGAGTTAACCAGAAATGGTTTTACAGGAATAATGGACTATATCTGTACTATTGGAGGTCTGTTGTAGTAGTCTGTTTTCACACTGCTGATAAAGACATACCTGAGACTGGGAAGAAAAAGTGGTTTAATGGACTTACAGTTCCACATGGCTGGGGAGGCCTCAAAATCATGGCAGAAGGCAAGGAGGAGCAAGTCACGTCTTACATGGATGGTGGGAGGCAAAGAGAAAGAACTTGTGCAGGGGAACTCCTCTTTATAAAACCATCAGATCTCATAAGACTTATTCACTATCATGAGAACAGCACAAGAAAGACCTGCCCCCATGAATCAATTACTTCCCACCTGGTCCCTCCCACAACGTGTGGGGATTGTGGGAATTACAATTCAAAATGAGATTTGGGTGGGGACACAGAGCCAAACCGTTATCATTCTGCCCCTGGCCCGTCCAAATCTCATGTCCTTACATTTCAAAACCAATCATGCCTTTCCAACAGTCCCCCAAAGTCTTAATTCATTTCAGCATTAAACCAAAAGTCCACAGTCCAAAGTCTCATCTGAGAAAAGGCAAGTCCATTCCACCTATGAGCCTGTAAAATCAAAAGCAAGCTAGTTACTTCCTAGATACAATGGGGGTACAGATATTGGGTAAATACGCCATTTTAAATGGGAGAAATTGGCCAAAATACAGGTGCACTGTAACAAAGGGGTTACAGGGCCCATGCAAGTCCAAAATCTAGCTGGGCAGGCAAATTTTAAAGCTCCAAAATGATCTCCTTTGACTCCAGGTCTCACATCCAAGTCACACTGATGCAAAAGGTGAGTTCCCATGGTCTTAGGCAGCTCCACCCCTGTGGCTTTGCAAGGTGCAGCCTTCCTCCCAGCTGCTTTCAGAGTCTGGCCATTGAATATCTGTGGTTTTTCCAGGTGCACTGTGCAAGCTGTTGATGGATCTACCATTCTGGGGGCTGAAGGATGGTGGTGGCCCTCTTCTCACACCTCCCCTAGGTGGTGCCCCAGTAGGGACTCTGTATGGGGGCTCCGACCCTACATTTCCCTTCCACATTGCCCGAGCAGAGGTTCTCCATGAGGGCCCTGCCCCTGCAGCAAACTTTTGTCTGAGCATCCAGGCATTTCCTCACATTTTCTGAAATCTAGGTGGAGGTTCCCAAACCTCAATTCTTGGCTTCTGTGTAGGAAGTAGTAGGAAGAGTCTCAGTTTGTAGCACAGCTTTAAGAAAGTTTTGATAAAGTTGATGGGAGTCCTTGAGCAGCCACTCCTGTTAGAGGAGTTCTGCAGAAATGGGCCTTCCTTACTATCACCCTATGCTCAGCCATTGGCTGGGAGCAGCCAGTGAAAGTCATAGTCTCAGCATGAATGTGGTGAAAAATGAAGAGTACAGAAGTCCATCACTTATATTTCCCACAGCAGGAGAGCTGAGTAGAATCTTAAGTGTCTGCCACAGTCCACCCCTTGTGCCATCATATGGTTTGGCTGTGTCCCCACCCAAATCTCATCTTAAATTATAATTCCCATAAATCCCTTATTTTGTGGGAGGAACCAGGTGGGAGGTAATTGAATCTTGGGGGCGGGTTTTCCCATGCTGTTCTCATGACAATGAATAAGTCTCATGAGATCTGATGGTTTTATAAAGGACAGATCCCCTGCAAATGCTTGCTTTCCTGCCACCACGTGAGACGTGCCTTCGCTCCTCTTTTGCTTTCTGCCATGACTGTGAGGCCTCCCCAGCCATGTGGAACTGTGAGTCCATTAAACCTCTTTTTCTTTATAAATTACTCAGTCTTGTGTATTTCTTCATAGCATTATGAAAATGAGCTAATACGTACCATAAAATCACTTCCGAATTTAGCTTTGGGGAGCACATCCTCCTTGGTTCTTTCAGGCCTCACTTGCTGAGGGGAAAATACAGATGGTAAGTGGAGTAAGCTACAGCCCTCTACTATGTGATAGCTGATGGTAAGCATCATAGCCTGATCAGCTTCAGTAACAGGAACACTTTCCTCCTCTGGGCCTCACCCAAAGCTGGCCGCAATCAGTGCCATCTGTTATATGGGCGAGATAGCATTCTGAGGTGCAGAATATGTTGCCTTCAAACCCCTAAGAGGGTTACCATGTAAGGTGCTTCCCTCTTCGTAATAAAGGATGAAAGATGAGTCAATTTTCCTTTTCTCTTGTGGGGTTTTTTTGACACATCCTGAACACTGGACTCTGAAAACATCACTAAAGTAGCATGTTCCTGAATCTTTGATGGTTTATGTCCTATAATATGTAACACTTATATCTTACTAAGGCTGCCAGTGAACTAACTTCCTTTTGCTTATGCTGTCTGATCACCTTAATGTCATTGATGTGAGGAATTCATTGGATATTTGATGGAATCCCCAGGCTATTCAGTTTAGACTATAACAGAAGTTATAAAAGAGGGTAAAAAGAATTAATGTACCTCTGAAACCAAACTTCAAATAAACATTCTTTACTTTCTCATATGAACATGAACTTATAAAAATCCTGTCTTATTATCAGAAGGTAAAATAATCCATTCTCCATGTCAATAACTATATGCCATTGTATATGCCATGTACCTGAAACCTTATTAAATTATTCTAGTAATGGTGACTGTCAGCAAAGCATCCACAACTATAGCAGCCACATGGTTAAGTCTACAGTAGTCTATAATCATTCTCTAGATCTATACAGTTGTTTGTAGGGGAAGACTAGTAAATTAATGCAGATATAATAAAAATGACCTCCCCTATAACCTTTAGATCTTTAGTGGTAGTAATAACCTGCAACATCCTTCTGGGGATGTGATATTTGTTTTGACTCAATCTTAGCTGGAGGGAGGATGGCATTTCAAGAGGTGGCAAGTGGTCCTTCTTCACAGTCATATCTCTCATTCTGCAAGCCAAAGACTCAATGTGAGTATTACTCCAACTGCATAGTCAAGTCCAATTTGTATTTGGGTACCTGGAAAACAACTACTGGGTGGATCCATGGACACAGTGGGCCATTGTGGGTTAGATTTTAGTCAGTGCTCCATTTATTTCCTATTATACTTAAGCCTCCAATCTTACATAGGGTCAATGATGACACATTAAGACTTTAGTTGTCAATGTCAAGTTACACTCAGGCTCTGTCCAACTGTCTTCAAATATATGAGTATTTCCCATTCTTTAGTGTACAGTGTTATGAATAGGGAAATCATCACAACTTCTGATGTTCTGTAGTGTTGCATGGTGCTTCTTCCTATGAACCTGACCACCTCTTCAGTCATTGGCTTCCAAATCTAAAACTTAGCACAGGTCTGAGAACTCAGCAAGTAATCACGACTTCTTTTGAAAAATTACAGATTCAGAATGTGTATGTTCATATCTATTTCATGGATACATTGCATAATGGGAGGTTTGGGCTTCTCATGTCACCCAAATAGTGACCATTGTACCAAATAAATAATTTTTCAACTCTCATCTCTTTCCTACCCTCCCCACTTTTGGAGTTCCCAGTGTCTATTATTTCCATATTTGTGTCTATGTATACCCATTGTTTAGCTCCCACTTGTAAGTGAGAACATATGATATTTGATTTTCTGTTTTTAAGTTATTTCACTTAGGATAATGGCATCCAGCTCTATGTATATTACTGAAAAGACATGATTTCATTCTTTTTTATAGCTGCATAATATTCCATGGTGTATATATACCACATTCTTTTCCCAGTCATCAATCACTGGACGCTTAAGTTGAGTAATGGCTTTTTATTGAGGGTGAGTGTGCCAAACCTCTGTGTCTTGATTTTTGTTTTCTTCTGTTTTTTTGTTTTGTTTTGTTTTGTTTTTTATTTTTGTTTTGTTTTGTTTTGCTTTGTTTTTGGAAGGGGAGTTGTAGATGTCAAGCAGCCTCCTTGTGGTCTGCCCATCTATTTTGCCTTTAGAGGCTTCCTGCTCTTTTAATCATCCCAGCTCCCTGTAAGTCAAGCTCCCTTGGCTGCCTATGTGACCTTGCTGGACATCAGAGTAATTGCCTTCCCTGCTTTCTGGTGCTCAACTTTTATACCTGGCCTCTAATATTTTGGGGCGTCATTATCTCATAGGTATTACAAAGCTCAAATCTGAGAAAACCTTGTCTACCATCAACCCTGACCTACAGAGGAGAGGCACCCCCAAGCTTATTAGTGATCCTGTCTCCGTCTTATTGGCACATCCTGATGGCCTTGATCTCTAGTTCTTCCTGTGGAGCATAACCATATGGTAGGTCTTCAGGCCTCACATAATAAATCCATTCCACGTTCCCAAGTGCTTCAGCCTCTTTATTCCTTTCACTGTTTTCTTCCAGAGCGACTCAAGAATTTCCATTTTGCTTAGTATTAGCCATCACTTTCTCCAGGTTTCTAAGAATAACACTTACAGAGAGTTTTCCTCATTTTTTAGGTTCTTTGCCAAGATGTTAAGACCAAAGTCGGAGAGTGAACCCCATGTCAATGAATTCTTGTTTTTCTGATCTTACATTCCATCACTTTGATCCAGTACTCTCAAAATGCAATCACAGTTGTACATGTCTTCTCCTGTCAATAAACGCTACCTTAGTACTGCAGTTCCTTAAGTGTGTTGTTTCTTTCTTTTCTTATCAGGCCCAGAACACACTTAACGTAGATCATGGTAACTTTCAACTCTAGTTTTCAACCTAGTAGGAAGGAGAAATGGGACTGTGTAGTATTTTAAAGTTTTATAGTCTTTTTCTTTCTTTTTTTTTTTTTTTAGACAGAGTCTTGCTATGTAATCCAGGATGGAGTGCAGTGGTCAGTGGTGCAATCACAGATTACTGCAACCTCTGCCTCCCAGGTTCAAGTGATCCTTTCACCTCAGTCTCCTGAGTAGCTGGTACTACAGCATACATCACCACGCCCAGCAAAGTTTTGTAGTTTTTAGTAGTGATAGGGTTTCATCATGTTGCCCAGGTTAGTCTCCAACTCCTGGGCTTAAGTGATTCACCCACATAGGCCTCCCCAAATGCTGGGATTACAGGTGCAAGTCACTCTACCCAGGCTGGGTCTTATAGTCTAATAAAGGAGTGAAAGAACTAGTTTACTGCACAAAAGTGAACTATTTCTCCAAGCTCTGCCAGTTCAAGGGTGTCTATAAGTCATCATCTACATGGACACTTGTCTAGATATTCCCATCCCAAGCTTCAGAGTCCCAGATTGTCTTAACCAGGGCCTTGATTTTAGCACAAAAACACCTGTCTTGAAGGACTTTCAGATGTCTCTGAAGTTATGCAAATATAATTATCAAATTTTCAATTTGCTGCTGTATCTGTTCTTCTCCAGGAGATCTGGATATCTATTTAAGCCAGCAAAAAGACCCTCTGGTGCTCACATTTTGCTGTTAAATGCTTGTTTACATCCATCAGTTTCTCATTATTTCTCTGCAAGGCACCAACATAATATAGAAGTCCTTGTCTTTTTGATGCTGCCTCGTAAACTCTTATCTTTCAAATGCCTGAATTATTGCATTTGAAAGGGTATTTTATTCCATTGGAACATATTTTCATGTCTCAAGTGGTGAAATCAATAGCAATTAGGGTACCATCTTGTGCCAGAGACTGTCTATGCCTCACCTACCACTTAGGATGACATCCATTTTACCTGTGGGCAGGTGATTGATCCTGTCTCCAATTCCCATCTTGCCACCTATTTTTGGACCTCTTTCAGTATCAATTGTCTTAGTTCAGATCCTCTAACAAAAGATGCTCATAAGAGTTTATCTATGCAAGAGATTTATTGAGGAAACACATGTAAAATAAAATGGGGATTGCAGAGCCAGAGAAGGAATAAGACAGGTCTGACTTCTGGAAAAACAGTAGCAAAGAGGTAAGATTAGGAACAGTCTCAGACTGTAGCACATCTCTAAGAAAGACTTGCTCACATCAATAGAATGTCCTTGAACCAAAGTCAGTGGTCAGAGAAGACATATTTTGCAGGAATAGATCTGCCGTTGTATCAATGCTTGGATCATCTCAAGAGAAGCATGATCTTGGCATAAACACTGGTAGATTCAGAGAACAGAAACAGGGCTATGAATCAACTATTTTTTCTGCAGCAGAAAGTCTCTATGTTGTATTTTCATGACTTCCATAGAAAACATAAACGTTTGTGCTGGGTTTTCAGAAGCTATAGCAGGTGGAATGTGAAATGGGAAGCTGTCAAAGTGCAAATGCATGGACATGTGAAGCAGAGTTATGATTAGGAAGTATAAGTAGAGCCAGTATTAGTGATGTGTAACTTTTGAGTGGGATTAGAAGTGAAGGAGATTAAGTCAGAGGCTCAGCTAGAGGCAAGATAATCATGGAGAGTGGAAATACAATGTGAAATGAACACTTGAGCAATTACTTATTTCTGGAGCAAAATCTTTGTGAAACTTGGTTTTGCTAAGTGTATAAAGACATATCTTTAATTAAGCTACCATAAATACTCAATAACTAGGGCTCTCACATTTGCTTGAATAGTTTTTGCATTGTTTGAGGTTGTCTAGCTGAGGAGGTAAAGGAAACTGAGATTGGTTCAAGCCGTATGACATGGTGCAAGGCTACACCTACCTGGAAGGAAGGATGCACAAAGATGCCATCCACTTAAGAAAGCCCTATGCTTGCTCAGAGAGTGTCATTTTTCTTTTTGTCACTGGAAACACAGCATTAGGCTAGTAATGAATTATTACCATCACTTATTAAAGTTCTTTCCATAGAATATACTTGAGTTTGGAATTCTTTGATATATGTCTCCTCCTCCTCCGCCTCCTCCTCCTTCTCCTCCTCTTCCTCCTTCTGTTCTTCTTCCTCCTCCTCCTCCTCCTTCTCCTGCTCCTCAATACTAGGGCTTTAAAGTATAGTACAAATTCCAGAGAGTCAGGATCACGTAATATACAGATGAGTGACCATCAGAATGACTTCAGACAGATCTACATAGGATGTATGAGTTTCTGAATTTAAAAATGTGAAAATGTATTATCTTGTGTCACAAGTTGAGCCATCACATCAATGCTTCTGGAATTTAACTCACTGAAGATAAGGTACATGGTCTATAATTTAGTCATTTCAATGACAACACAAGATTTTCAGACCTTTCTGTTGCTACTACATTTATACAGAGTACTTTTTCCACCTTTATAAAGATAATCATCACTATAATATTCTATGATATAGTTAACTGTATTTAATGTATTTTCCAAGATGATGGATAAATAATCAAGCTTTTTAAAAATTCTATAGCTGTATTACCATTTTAAAATAAATATAAACTACTCTTTATCACCACTGATGTCTCAAGACTAGCAGATAAAAGATTGGCTATAATGTATTATATGACATCATAATATTTATTTCCTAAAATGTTACTACCAAAGTAGATACAAATATTATGCATCATATTATTTTGGTGTCTTTTTTGTGGTACTCCTGCCTGTGAAAAGATCACATATTCCCACTCTGCTGTAATGTATCACGGCCATGAGACTTAGTTTGGTGTATGTCAGTGCCAAGTAGAATATTATTTTTAAATGCCAAATCTTGGTTTAAAATATCCCTGTCCTGTGATATAGTGATTGACAATACTCCAAATGGAAACTGCTTTATTAAAATGGATCCCAGAGTAAGTACCTGTGAAATAGGGTCTCAGTTGGTATATAACGTGATGAAAAAATAAAAAGAATTTAGCTTATACTCAAATTTAAATACTTAAAAATATCTATTTTCAACATGGGCAAAATCACCAAACAAAATATCCTAATTTGTAATGAAAATTGACCAAAAAGTATTGGTCAGGATTCCATCTTGATAGAGTTGCACCAACCCAGAGAAAGTATATATTGATTATAATAGATTTTGCCTCAAAGTAGTAGAAAATGTGTCTAACTCTAGCTCACACTTCAACTCTTAACAGCTGTGTTGCAGTTATCTGCAACACATGGCTAGCTAGCAATTAATGGTTTGGACAAAGAGTCTACATTTACTCTAGTAGTGTTTAAAATATTTGAGTGCACAAACCTTATCAGAACTATCACAGTTATACCTTATCACCCTCAAGCAAGTGGCTAGTCTGAGGCAATGGTATTGACTATGAAAGATGCCCTACCGTGATGGTTAGAGAAGACTACTGACAGGATTTTCAGATTTCTTTTTGTTGAACCTGTTATCCTACGTTGAAAAGCATGAGTGGAATATGCTGACTAATACATAGCTCAGTGTCTCAAAAAATGCTGGTTTAAACTTTAGCCAGATTTAAGGGAAAAAATAGTGCCTATTTGCTCATTGCTTTTTCTGTGTCAACATTGTTAGTTGGTCGTTAAAAGATATCCTGGAGTGAAAACAAGTAAGTTCACAACCACTAACTTAATAGTCATGATCAAGAGTGCAAATTAGCTAGGGTAAAGTTCCAATGTTCCTCACTACAAAAGCTCTAGAAGAAAAATAAAAATACCCATATATCGAATGGAAAGTAAGCTGTATAAATAACATTTTACCATAGGGAAAGGCATTTGTGAAACCGTGCTTACTGCAAAAGCCTAGAATATTTGTTGACAAAATAAATAGCTGACTAATAGTTTTTGAATAAAGAAAATTAATGTCCTTGAAGAAAGAATATTACTTCTTTTTCAGGGTGGATATCCTCCTCCACTGAATGCAAACTATTAAGTAATGAAAAGACAGCACTCCAAGCAATATAGATTTATAGGCCAACCTGGCAATCAAGGGTAACTGACATGAAAATGGATTGCTTCACATTTTAATTACAAAGGTATTAGCCCCATATAATGTTTCTTACAACAGAAGGTCTATTAATGGTTTTTCCATCTTACTGATTAACCATATTACCTTCTAGATACTCTTCAGTACCATAAATTGAAGAAAACACTAACTTTTTGTGGCTACTGTAATTGTCAAAGTATAATTACCTGTGTTTTCTCACCTACGTATTTGAGATAGAGACAAAACCAAGTAAGTTAATCCACTTATAATAAAAATGTCTTCTGAGAATATATTTGTGCTACCTTTTCTGAGGATAACTGTGGTTCAATATTGGTGATTGGGGTTCTTAAATTTTCTTTAATTTCATATGATATTTTAATAAAAAGCTAGCTTAGTTTTGAAAGTAAAACATTATTGTCCGTGAGACTTCCTTTTTCCTTCTCTGTATTTTAAAAGTTCATCTATATATTCAGTTTACTACTGTTACTACTTTAAACATGGACTGTCCTCACCCCTATTATAGAAGAGATCTTAGAAATAGTGACCTTTAGTTGTATTTTTAAATGACCTGTGTCTTTTCTAAAACTGAACTCTCATATGAGTTCTTTCTGTAAATGGATGGCAAGTTAAGTTTAGCAATTTAGTCATGAATTCAGACATAAAATAATTGTTTCATAAATTTCATTATGCTGTGGCATCAAACCAATAAATACAGCCCACACAAGACGTTTTAAGTCACTTACTAAAGACTAGACTTTTCAACTCTATGGCCTTAAAATTGATGGCCTCAATTCTCCACTTGCCTTGTAACCCTGATGGAGCTGATACAAGCATGATCCTCCTCGATAGTAGAAGTGCTATGCTTAAATTAAGTCCTGTGATGGTGCAGAACAAGTCATATATTTAAGTGAAACTGTTTCTCGGGTGAATAAGATACCTTGACATGTCAATGGAATATGAAACTCAATTTCACAAGATTTTTCTAGTGCCAAAAGAGATTTAAGTAGAGCTATCATTTTTAGTCTTAACAGAAAGAATAAGTCTTCCTCTATAGACCTCTGCATTCCTTGCTTCTAAAATTTAATTTTATCATTCCTTATAAAGCCCATTATTCTTTAGGCCTTCATGAAAGCAAAATTATATTTCATCATTGATTTGTTTCCTGTTTCCACTTTTAGAAACTCTTTATTACTTCCAATCATTCCACTGTTCATCCCTCCACCAAATTTAAGGTTCTCTTAAACTAACCAGACAGTTTTCGTAGACCTGAGTTCATTAAAGGAAAAAAAATGGAGGCTTACAGCATTTTTAAACTTATGTTATCTTAAGAAGGCTAATAAATAATTCTACAATCAGTGAAACACATGTTAGAAACATGCCCAGCTGAGTAAAATTGAGACCATTTTCCCTCAAAAATAGCATCAAAATCCCAAGAGGACTCAAAAAATTGAGAAAAAAAAAAGCCACAAATCAGTTTCTAAAAAGTTCTGAGTAGGTAATGAGAGTTTTTCTGCAGTAAGAATTTTAAAATGAATTGAAATTTTTCTTTAATTATTCCAAAATCATTGTGTTATTGTGTCATCATTGTTTATTTCCTAAAGAGTGATTATTTCATGAAGTATTATATAGTGCTTCAAACTTTTAAGTACCTTTTATTCCCAATCTTCTGTGATAACTCTCAAGTGTCTTTAGCTAAGAGCCATTCTTCCACTTATTACACCAGACATTGGTTCATTTGCCCAAATCAAACTTCAGATGTTCTCTGCTTATTTTTAATCAAAATTGGAATCAACATGCCTTCCCCAAAAGTGCTCACTAATCAACCTGCAAGTAATCAAATTAATATGTATACAAACTATCAGATATTCTTTAAGTAGAAAGAAACTAGTGCAATTTCAATGCACTAAAGAGAGCAGAAAAATATTTCACAGTAGAGAAGAGTGGAGAGCGTATGTATATGATTTTTTAAACTGAATTCCCTTCATTAATTAGCATATATTAAGGAACCTCACATTACTTTAGAGCATTACCATTTGGGGCAATGAGTTCATGGGCTGATGTTATGCCACTGCACATCACTGCATCTTATTTCTTTTTAATTTCTTTGATAACTAACATTTTTATAAATTCAAGATGTTTTAATTGTAGGATATACATGCCAATAATGTGATAATAAAGGTTCAAGGGAAATAAAAATGGTGGAGCTGATCCTGGTGGTGTTAGTGTAATTATCAAGTAGAAGAGGTGGTGTTTTTTTATAGTTCAATTAAAGTTTGATCTCTCATTACCTTTAATTACATCTGCCTTTTCTAGTGTGTCTTTTTATCCTGGAAGCACTTTGAGAGAGAAAAAGAAATCATTGAATAATATTCATCTGTAATTCCATGAATTCTCATTGTTGTTTTCACAGTATATCACCCAAGCCAGCACTAGCTTTAGATCAGTCATTGCCGAGAGGTCCATGCACAGATTAAATCTCTTGTTCAGCTAGATATTCAAACTTCACTGCTATTTCTGATGTATGTTGACAAATAGAAGAACACAGTCATATTTTGTTTTACTGTGCTTTGCTTTAGTTCACCTCATAGATACAGTGTTTTGTTTGTTTGTTTGTTTTGTTTTATTTTCAGATTGAAGCTTTGTGGCAACTCTGTGAACAGCAAGTCTGTCAGTGCCATTTTTCCAATAGCATGTGCCTACTATGTGTCTGTGTATGTCATTTTGTTAATTTCTGCAACATTTCAAACTTTTGTATTATTATTATATTTGTTATGGTGATTTGCGATCAGTGGTTTTTGATGTTATTACTGTATTTGTTTTGGGACACCACAAACCACATCCATACAAGACAGCAAATTTAGTCAATAATTATGTATATTCTGACTGCTCCATCTACAGGATGTTCACTGATCTCTCTTTCCCTTCTTAGGCCTCCCTAATTCCTGAGACACAACAATATTGAAATTAGCCCAATTAATAACCTATAATGTCCTTTAAGTTTTCAAGTGAAAGAGTCACATGTATCTCATCTTAAATAAAAATCCAGTAATGATTAAGCTTAGTGAGAAGGATGTGTTGAAAGCCGAGATAGTTCGAAAGCAAGGCCTCTTGCACCATTTAGCCAAGTTGTGAATGCAAAGGGAAAGTTCTTGAAGAAAATTTAAAATGCTACTCCAGTGAACACATAAGTGATAAGAAAAATAAACAGCCTTATTGCTGATATGGGGAAAGTTTGAGTGGTCTGGATAGAAGATCAAACCAGCCACAAAATTCCCTTAAGCTATAGCCTAATCCAGAGCAAAGCCTGGTGAGAAAGCTACAGAAGAAAAGTTTGAAGCTAACAAAAGATTGGTTCATGAGGTTTCGGGAATAAAGCCATCTCCAGAGCTTATAACTGCAGGGTGAAGCAGCAAGTGCTGATGTAGAAGCTCAGCAAGTTATCCAGAAAATCTAACTAAGGAAATTGATGAAAGTGGCCACACTAAACAGGTTTTCAATGAAGATGAAACAGCCTTATATTTGAAGTATTGGAAAAAGATGCCATCTCAGACTTTCATATCTATAGAGAAGTCAGTGGCTTGCTTCAAAGCTTCAAAGGACAGCTTGAACTTGTTGGGGCTAACACAGTTGGTGACTTCAAGTTCAAACCAAAGCTCATTGACTATTCCACAAATCTTGGGGCCCTTAAGAACTATGCTAAATCAATTCTCTCTGTGCTTCATAAATAGAATAAGAAAGCCTGGATGACAGCACATCCATTTACAGCATGGTTTACTGAATATTTTAAGCCCACTGTTGACATCTACTGCTCAGAAAAAAAAAAAGTTCCTTTCTCAAAATATTACTGCTCATTGACAATGCACCTGGTCATCCAATTGCTCCGATGGGGATGTACAAAGATATTAATCTTGTTTTCATGCCTGTTAACATCCATTCTGCAGCCCACAGTTAGAGGAGCAATTTTGCCTTTCTAGGATTATTGAAGAAGTATGTTTTGTAAGCCTATGGCAGCCGTGAATAGGGATTACTCTGGTGGGTCTGGGCAAAATACATTGAAACCCTCTGGAAAATATTCACCATTCTAAATGCCATTAAGAACATTCATGATTCATGAAAGGAGGTCAAAATACCAACAGTAACAGGAGTTTGAACGATGTTGAGTCTAACCCTCAGGGATGACTTTGAAGGCTGTAGGACTATAGTGGAGGAAGTAAGTGTGATGTGTTAGAAATACTAAGAGCATAGCTGGGTGTGGTGGCTTACACCTGTAAATCCAGCACTTTGGGAGGCTGAGGTGGGTGGATTATGAGGTCAAGAGATCGAGACCATCCTGGCCAATATGGTGAAACCCTGTCTCTACTAAAAATACAAAAATCAGCTGGGCATGGTGGAACTTGCCTGTAGTCCCAACTACTCTAGAGGCTGAGGCAGGACAACCTCTTGAACCCTGGAGGCGGTTGCAGTAAGCCGAGATCACGCCACTTCACTCCAGCCTGGGAGACAGAGTGAGACTCTGTCTCCAAACAAACAAACAAACAAACAAACAAAACAAAGAGTAAAAATACTAGAAGTGGAGCCTGAAGCTGTGACTCAATTGCTACAATCTTGGGACTAAACTTGAACAAATGAGGAGTTGCGTCTTATGGATGAGCAAAGAGGGTGGTTTCTTGAGAAGAAATCTACTCTTGGTGAAGACATTATGAACAATGTTGAAACGATCACACAGGATTTAGAATATTACATACACTTAGTTGATAAGGAAGTGGCAGTGTTTGAGACGATATACTGCAATTTTAAAAGAAGTTCTACCTTGGGTAAAATACTATCAAATAGTATTGCATGCTTCAGAGAAATCTCACGTGAAAGAAAGAGCCAATCCATGCAGCAAACTTCATTGTTCTTTCATTTACAAAAATACCACAGTCACCCCAAGCTTCAACAACCACCTTCCTGCTCAGTCAGCAGCCATTAACATCAAGGCAAGACCCTCAAATAGCAGAAAGATCACAGCTCATTGAAGGTTCTGATGATTGTTAGTACTTTTTAGCAATAAAATACTTTAACTTAAGGTATATACATTGGTATTTTAGACATAATGCTACTGCATGCTTTTGTATGCACTGAGAAATGAAAAATTTTGTATGACTCAATTTACTGTAATATTAACCAAACCACTGAAATAAATATCTCCAAGTTATTCGCAATACCTCCATGTTATGCCTGCATCGCTGAAAATTAGATTGTCTGCATTGTTTATTGATTTCCTAGTCCCTTGATAACTTGCCCACTGCCCCCTACAGGATATCCAAAATCTGTTTCACACATTTCTTCCCATGGAATCCTTGAAGGGCTATACTTGATTGAGTGTGACTGGTAATAGTGTAAGCCAAGGAACTTGCTCTGGGAATGTGTGTTCTGTGAAGACAATATCATGTACTTGTGTTGTGCAGAGTTCCTGACTATTGTACAGTTTAGACAGAAAAATTTTAAAGGCTCATTTGTTTCTTTAATATTTTAAATCCCCTTCACAGTGAAATTCCATTCAATTGGAAGGCTCGGCACAGGAAGCAAAACAGATTTCACAGTGACAATGAGTATTGGCTTTATGATGAGAAATTATATAATCCAATTACCACTATCAGTTCACGGCTCACTGGGACTATAAACTCTTATATCTCCTTCCAATTGTCTATTTGGTTTATATGCCTTTCCTTTTATTTCATTTCCCAACAGATTATTATGTCATAATCCTTAGCTACTTTTTGTGGATTATATTTATAACATCTACAAGGCCCAGCTTCCAAGAATAATGTCATATATCTTACAATGTATATTTGTAAAGGTACAATGCTAAAAGCATATGCTAACATATCAGAGAAAACTATGCATACTCACATAAACTGCAAGGACTAGCTTGCACTTCTCTTTGTATTTTTTCCTGCCTCAATTATTTATGGCCTGTTCAGCACATCTTTATTTCTACCATCTGCTTAGTATCCCAGTTACGGAGCAGAAATTGTTTTAATTAGACTTGTCATAGGTGATTCACTAGTTGCTTGAAAAGTTGAAAAGTAATACCTAGGCTAGATTCTGCCAACTTTAACCCTCCATGACTGTTTATTTTTTTCTTGGCTTTTTAAAATAGAACATATTTCTCCATTAAAGATAAATGTGAGCCCGATTCCATTCTTGGCAATATAGTATTCTGTTGTTGGGGTTGGATTACAATCATTATGTTATAAATTCTGCAAGATGACTAATACTAAATAGCTATTTCCTGCCAACAACTTAAAATAGTGGATATTGTATAGCTGAACACAAACTAAAGCATGAAGGTTTTTCTTCAAAGGATGTGCAAATTCACCATGAACTGCATCCAAATGTAAATGACAGGAGAGTTATAATCTGTTCTAAATGTATGTATACTACTTCTTATTTAAACTAATTAACATGGCAATACTTTAAAGTAAAAGTAGATATTTATGTTAGATAGATATCTATGAATTAACAATTATGTTCATCAAATTTATATGGACCACAAAGAGTAAATGGTGTTAGAGAGTTTAAATTGGATAATGCTGTCAGTTGCAACATGACCTGTAAAAGACAGAAATATTTCAACCTCTAGCATTTCTCTCCTTCTTTTTTTTTAATTGAGATGAAATTCACATAATGTACAGCCAACCCCTTTAAAATATACATTCAATGGCATTTAATTCATACAAAATGTTGTGCAACCATCACTTCTTTCTAGCTTCCAAACATTTTTATCACCCACAAAGGAAACTCCATATACCTTAAAGCACAATATCCTACTTCTCTCTCATCAGTGCCTTGCAACTACTAATCTACTTTCTGTCCCTATAGATTTACCTTTTTGGGATGTATCATAAAAATAATATTATGCTATATTTAACGTTTTGTATCTGTCTTTTTTCACTTAGCACAATGCTTTGGAGGTTCATTCATATCCACGATGTAATATATATATTAGTAACTCATTTTTGTTTTATAGCTGAATTATATTCTATTTTGTGAATATACCACATTTTGTTTATCCATTCATCTATTAATGGGCATTTGGATTGCTTCCAGCTTTTGGCTGTTGTGCATAGTGCTGCCATGAACATTTGTGGGAAATAATTATTTGAATACCTATTTTCAATTATTTTGAGCCCTACATACCTAGAACTGAAATTGCTAGGTCATATGGGAATTCTGTGTTTAACTTTATTTTGTTACCCATGTTTTATAGATGTAGAAACTAAGTCTTAATTTCAGTAATATACACAGTATTGGTCAAAAGTTTCAGCAAGATTATGTTTAAAGTCCACTCTAAATCTGAAATTCTATTATTCTAAAATTCAAGACATTCCACGAGGTAGATTCCTCATATACCTTTATTTTCACAGATGTGAAAGAAAACAACATCTCCAAGTCATCTAGCTATGCTGCACCTGCCCATTTCTTGTTGCTTTTTCTTATAACCTGGAGTAACTTAATATAAATCTATGCCTATTTATTTTTCTTAATCTCAACCCCAAAACTTGTGGTTAAATTTGTTGGTGGGACAAAGGAAACAGTTGAACAAGCTCAGACTATTCAAATGATAAGAGCTAAGAATAGAGAAGTCAATGGAAGACTAAAATGTAAACACTTCTTTCAAGACAGGAATTATGATAAACTAAACTTAAAGTTGTGAGTATTGAAAAGAGTGAGGATATAACATGCGTGGCCCAGAATTATGAATTAATGGAAAATGTGAAGGGACACAGTGCAGGCTCAACTCCTACAGCTGGCATAGTTTCTGTGTTTTTCTATTTTTCACTCAGGTTATTTTCCACACTAACTTGATTTTTGGACCATCTCCCTGCTAAACACTTCACATTTCAGTTCCTCTCTGAGCCTTTAGCGGAGATTAAAGTAGCAGTTAAAGCTGGCTATGCCCAACAGTCAAGGCAAATTTTGTTTACAAGATGCTTCCTGTTACAGTGTTTGTATTATCTAAAAAACAGGCAATAAAATCTATGAACTGGAAACCTTCTCTTGTTGTAAACGACTGTTTTAATCAGTATCTTCTGCTGAATAATCTTTCAAGGGCAGTCCAATTTTGATATTAAGAAAGTTATCTGAAACCAGTCTCTAAGTATTTATTGAATTAATGATCAAACACTCAGAACACTGTTGGGCCCCCCAGTGGATACAAAAGTAGTATAAAAAGTCCCTGCTTGTGAGAATTTAACATCTATTTGTGGGGACAAATTAAGCCAATCTTTTTCAAATGGGGAATTAATATGTATGGTTCTGGTATTATGAGATCAAAGTTGGAGAAAACCTGGACCTAGTGTACTTTAATTTGGTGTCATGAAAGAACTAGAACTTAAATTGAGCCTCAAAGAATTTTGAAAGTGTGAAATTATAGGAGAGATAAAAAAGAAAATGATAAAGACAATATGGATAACAGAGAAAGAGTTGACTGAGATTCATGCGAAGTAACAATGGATGAAAATGTACAAAATACACTTAAGGCCTTGCAAGCTGAACAGAGTGGCTTAACTCATTGAGGAAGTCATTGTAGCTTAATGAACTAAGAATGAAATGAGATTGATTTTGCATATACTCATGATGGATATAATTACAAAATTGTTTCCAGAGATAACCGGGAAGCCTGGAGATTACAACTTGATGTAGTCCAAGGATAAAGAGATGAGATTCTAAATGAGGCAGTGGTAATGAAGTGGAATATAAAAGGAAGGAAAGATATAGTTTACATTTAATATGAGTGATATTCATGGTAGCTTTTCCCTATTTTTCACCTCATCAACTTGTTGGTATTGGATATGAGTAAATTGAGAGGTTTTATGACCACCTTTGAAATTGGAAAGTACTGTGGGTAATTCTGTTTTCCTTCATACCATGGTATCATGTCCCCAACTCGTTACTGTTGCTATTTTGCTTTTGTTATCTGGAGATAGAGAGCCCACTTTTCACCAGGCAGACTGCTTATTAATGCTCATGTTGCCCTCAGTTCCTCTCTTGGCCCCACAGACTTCTATAGGCTTACATTGCTGCTGACTTTTAAATACTTTTAGTTACTTTTCAAAATCCAATAGTAACATGCAAAATTTTTCTCTGGTTTTGATGTAGAAAGAAGTCTTGAATGTTTTGTGGTATCGTCATCATCTTTCTTCCTTAATCGTATCTTTTGTTTTCTATCCAGAATCATCTTTCCTCCAGTTCAGTATCTCCTTCAAATCTTCCCACCCAGTCTGCCAAAGATCTTTCCCTGAAGTCAGCCCCACTCCTAACTACCTCTGCATGTTTTTGTACTATAGTTTTATAACAGTGTTGGTGGTAATTTTTTAAAAGGCCTCTGTTCTTAGAATACTCATATACACTTGCCTTTTTCTTTAAGAACTTAAAATATCTCTTTGAGGGAAGGCTGGTGTGCAAATGTCAAGTGCTTTCTTATGTAGTAATTTGAGACTAAATGAGAAGAAAAAAAAACCTCTAGCAATATTGAACATCATTTAGAAAAAAAATCATGTTTAACTAGATCAAGCAATTTCAGCTTTCTTTCTTTTTTTTGAGAGCTTTTCTCATATTAAACTATTCTGATAAACTCTGGCAATGAGAAGAAAAGGAAGATGTTAAAAGCTACAGCCAATAGGAGCTCCTCATTTTGGAAATAATTTTTGCTTTCAAGAATCAATACCAAAAATGTTCCTGTGAAAACTCTATGATTTAGCAGTCACAAAAAAACTGTATTTTCTCCATTTTGCAGATTTTTTTCAATGCTGTTCTGGTTGAAAGCTTGATGGTCTAATAAAGTTGTCATATACAATCTGAGTGTACAACTACAGAAACACTGATTTTGTAGAAAAGCATTCTGAGAACATAGGCATTACTTAATATAGAGTACTGTAAGAAATTATGTCTTTTTATTAGACATTTAAATAATATATATTTTGAAGTTCAAAGTTCATATCTATAAGAGTATCAGTACTTTCTTCAAGTTGTAATAACACTGAAATAAGTATAGAATCTCAGCTTTCAGACTCATTAAATTGAGATATTAAAAAAAACTTTTCACAAATAAATTTCAGTGTAATCTTGTGAGGCATCAATAGTTACAGTAATGTCATGTAAGAATCTTCATTACTTTAAGAAAAATTTGCAGAACAAGTAAAGAAGCCTTCAAAGTCTTTAGACAATTGGATATCAATACTACCATGCCAAACAGAAATGAATAAAGGCTTAATCTAAATTATTTGTGGCAATATTACTGCTATTAGGACTTAGGGTTATCCCTAGCCCCTTTTCCTATTGCACAGCCTCACCTATTTTCTTCCAGCTAGACAATTCACACACATTCTTTTCTCTGCAGGACATATTTTTTTAGCTTGACTCCTCATCTTGCATTCTGTTTAATGCTACTTCTTCCTCAGAGAAGCCCTCACTCAATCTCCAGATTAATTATTATTTGTCAATAGCTCTGTGCTCTGTAGACTGTTAAATCTATGAGGACTAAAAGGAAGTCAGCTTTTGAGCTCCATAGCTGGCACGGGGTACATTTTCCATAAATACGTGTTGAGTGAATATTTAACACATAACCAGCATATTGCTATTGTCATCATTTTTCAGTTTCATTTTGTCCCTAGAATTATTTATGAATGGAAGTTTATAGAGATAAATGCCAGAGTTTTTCAACTTTCTTTAAGAATATGGATCTTTTAGCATTTGGCAGCAGAAATAGTCAGAAGTAGGCAGAAGGGGGTGTACATTTCCCCTGATTAACTTACTATACATAACTTTTATTGGCACAGTAAAATCTGTTGTATTTTAAAAAAACAACTCAAAGATAGAATAATGAATAACAATATAATTGGATTAATGTGGGTGGACTAATTTGTTTTATCATCACTTAAAGGACACTTTGTTTTTAGATGTTCT
Source organism: Homo sapiens (assembly GCF_000001405.40). Taxonomy (NCBI): domain Eukaryota; kingdom Metazoa; phylum Chordata; class Mammalia; order Primates; family Hominidae; genus Homo; species Homo sapiens. Next base: position 104,728,592 of record NC_000005.10, on the reverse strand, counting down.
AGAAGTGTGGTGTTCACATTTGCCCCCTTTGCTACTTAAATCCAGTTTGTTTCTAGATTTTCTGATCATTTTAATTTGGTTTATTATATTTTACCATATGACAAGCCTGAATATTTCCTTTCCCAACACATACCTACTTTTCTCATTAGAATATGAGACCAGTCAAGTTCTGAGTCTATGACTATTTTGCTTACCAGAGCCCACCATGAGCCTTAAACGAAGTAGAGGCTCAATAATTGTAGAAATGGTAGTGTATATTTCATGCAAAGCAGAGGAAATAGACTAAAAAAAAAGAAACTTTTTGGGAAAACTCTTCAACTTTGCAGAGGGGGCCATTTAGATCAGTCATCAGGAAGACACACTTGCAGGAGGCGAGGCCAAGGATCTGGTAAAGTGATTGTATCATTGAAGAAATGGCATTAGATTACTCTGCAACCTAAGCCAAAACTTAAAAGAGTTTAGCTCGTAAGGTTTCAGAAATCTCAGCATGGGCTCAATGTAGAGCAGACTATTCATTCATTCTATCCTTCAGCAACTCTTTATCAACCATCTATCATTAGATTCAGTTCTAGTTTGGGGTTACAACTGACCGTTATTGCTGTTACAAATATAAACTGATTATATATTTAATGCACAAATTACTAAATACTTCAAATGTAGTCCGAGCAACCCACATACCTTCCAAAAATTGTACTGTATCCATGTTGTTCTGGGTTTCATTGCTCCTTTGGCCTGACCCTGCCCTGTTCTGTCAAAGAAGATGGGAGAAACACTACCTTGTGGATTGAAGGCTTTATCTTATTTAGTTTCCTTTTCCTGGAGCCAAATACAAGCCTTGGCACACAAATGGAGCTCAGTAAATGTGACTTTATAAGCAATGAAATTTTCTAGTCCAGCTCAGTTAATCAATTCTCTGTGTAACCTTGAGGAAATCATGTTTCTCTCTAGTCTAAGTTTCTTTATCTAATAGGTAGAATATATGTCTACTTTATAGTTTTTTTCTCTTTTTGAGGAATAAATAATTGTGGAAATGGTTTGGTACAAAACTTGGAGCATAGTAATTACACAGAAACTTTCCTCTAATATTTTATTAGAAATAATATTAACACTTTCATAATTACTAAGTTTCCATATCAAAGATTTATTTTAAAGATAAAATTAAATTCTGAATGTGATTTCTAAAACAAATTCTAAAAAGCAATTGATTATTCTGAAGCAGGTGACTCATGAATCACACTTTGAAAACCCTGACTTTAAGACATGTTATCGAAACTCTGAAGGATACCACTCAATTGAATTCTTTCCATGGAGTCTAAAACACCACTGGGTAGTAAGTGAAGCAATTGAATGGATTCATTAATTCTGTCAGATGACTAGGGAACCAGGTGGTGCCTGCCACCTATGATTGACACAGCAGCAAATACAATCCACCACAATGACGGCCCTGCAGTACTTTCCCAGCTAGAGTAGACTGTCTAATTTCAACTTTTGTAGAATAAAAAATTTAATCTCGCATTTTATCAATACATTTTTTTAATGCAAAGAAAAAAATATAGGTGGGCCAGAAATAGCAGTTGGTACCTTTTAACATTCTTAAAGAGAGAAGAAATAACATTGGCTACGTATTATTTTTAAGTACTTTAGACACTTTATGTATAATTTTATCAGGATGGAGGCTGATTCAGTTATAACTTAATAAAATATAAAAAATAGTAATAACTACCTTTTATGCAGTATATAATGTGCCAAGAACACTATGTTATTTAAATTGTATTATATTATTTAATAATTTGTATAATATTATTTGGTATATAGTAGTATTATCTATTTTGTACCAAAAATTAAAATTAAGAACCAGAACAAAATTAAAAATCCCTAATGTCAAATATTTGGTTACTAAATGGTAGATATGATACAAAAAATAAAAACAAGTATCAGTGACATTCAAATCTCAGATTCTTACTATAGCCTTGCATTGGCCCAAAGGAATAGTGATGCTTAAATGTATGTTACTAAAAGACTGTTTATAAGTAATCATTAAGTAATCATTGGGGATTTTTTTTCTGTTTAAAAAACATGATTTCTAAAATCTTGAGATATATTAAAACTGCAAAAGTGGCTATATAATCAACATGTACATTCTTGAATTTGTGAATTGACTGATTTGTCAGATTTATCATTTTTTTCCGTGTATTTCATTCAAACTTTCTAACAAGATCATACTCATGAAAACAACATGACAGTTCTGACAGGCATCTGTTTACTTCTCAGTTTGTTTCCTTGTTCTGATTCACTGGTCTGAAGAATTCTGGATTTAAGTAGCAAAGGGGGCAAATGTGAACAGCACACTAAACTTCTCATCTTATTAGAACTCTTATTGTTACATACCCTCGGTTGCATTTTCAGGATGTAAATGAAATTATTCCAGAATCACTGCCTTTTAAAACTCATTATGGGGGAGAATGAATGTTACTGCATGTTGAACACACCCAAGGGTAGATGAGGAATCAATGAGTTATCACCAGCCCGCAATATTACCTAATTCATTAGGCCAATGAAATAAAATAGAGAAAAAACAAAAATAGCTGATAGAACAAAGAGAGCAACATAAATTATGAAAAATTACATATGAATAAAAAATACTGAATTTTATCAATACACAGGCTCCTGACAGGTAAATTCATTTTTCTCTCATCACTACTTTATGTATTCTCAGCGGAGTTATACACTTTGATTAAAAGAGTAAAAATAAAAAGATTTTAATATTAAATGTTTTTGACAGCTTTTATGTGGAAAAATTACATCAATATAGATTGGTATCATGGAATTTTACATAAAAATTGTGGTGGGATGTCCTGGAATTAGAGGCCACTCTCTATCTCCTGCATTTTTGTAACTAAGTGGATTCCATGTTGTGAAAGCTGATGCTTAGAAAGAGTAAAGATTTAATTATTCGTACTCTGCTGTACTTACAGAATTTAAAACCTGGATGAATTCTTGGAAACTCCTCTTTTATTACCCCTTTAGGTATAGAGAAGAAAACTGAGGTCCTGAAGGTAAAATGACTTGTTTGAATTAATTGACACAATACTTCTTAAACTATAGCCTTCTTGTTCCTATGCTAGCTAGCATTTTCCAAAGAGTGACCCATAGAAATTTTGTCATACCAGATTCTTTAAGGAAATACAAAGATATGCCAATTCATGACTCTCATTTGAAGTAACCATTCACTATATATATAAAATATAGATTATTTTAATAGGTAAGATGTTCCCATGGAGTAAATATAAAAACACTTAACAATAGACCTCGCACAGTGGCTCACTCCTGTAATCCCAGCACTTTGGGAGGCCAAAGCAGGCGGATCACAAGGTCAGGAGTTTGAGACCAGCCTGGCAAACATGGTGAAACACCGTCTCTACTAAAAATACAAAAATTAGCTGGGCGTGATGGCAGGCACCTGTTATCGCAGCTACTCGGGAGGCCGAGGCAGGAGAATTGCTTGAACCTGGGAGGCGGAGGTTGTGGTGAGCTGAGATGGTGCCACTGGACTCCAGCCTGGGCAACAGAGTGAGACTCCATCTTAAAAAAACAAAAACAAACAAACAAAAAACCACTTAACAATAAAAATCTCTCTTCTACCATAAACTTAATTTGCTTAGTTACCTAGATTCCCCTCCATGCTCAACTATAGATACTATTGTTGCTAATGTCTTAGGTATTTTCCTAGAGTGCCTTTATATCAAAGCAAATATAAATATATATTTTGTTTTACCACTCTTACACAAACAGTGGCTAGTGATTAAAATGTCGTGCACTCTTACTTTTTTCACTAACTATAAGTTTTGAATTATATAATAACTATAACTTTTGATTTTTTTAAAAATGTGGTGCACTCTTACTTTTTTCACTAACTATAATTTTTGAATTATATAATAACTATAACTTTTGCTTTTTTTTGCTATGTCTGATAGATTGTTCCCTACTAATACACAGAGAGCTTCCACTTTGTTTTATACAGATATGTACATAACTTTTGCTAGCGTGCATGTACTGAGCATTTATGTTATCTCCAACTTTTTGCTAATGCATATGGTTGACCATAAAAACCACTGTACAGTTTATCGTTAGGTACTTACATGGATATATCTAGAAAAAATTCTAGAAGTAGGATATCTGGGTTAAACGTATATGCATTTGCACTTTTGTAATCTATAGAGGTTGTACTGATAATGTATGAGAGTATCCTGTTTCTCCACAGGTACATAATTGACACATATTAGGATTTTCTAATCATAGTTTCTAAAAAAGGATATTTAGGCACTGTTTTAATAGGCCGTTTTCTTATTAGAATTGAGGTTAACTAGCTTATCGTATGTTTAAGAGCCATTTTTCTCTTTTGCTGTGAACTTCCTAGTCAAAATTAAAATTTATTTTTCATTCTTACTAACCATCTTGTTATATATTTGTAATTCTTATATATTAGAGAGAATAGAACTTTGTATTTGACAGAAATTGGGAGTATTGTCTTGTCCTCAGTTTATCATTATGCTTTGAATCTGCCTATAAATTTTTGTTAATGCAAACTTTTAAAAAATGTGCTATTTCTCTCTCTGTCTCTCTACATATATATATATACACACAAACACAAATATATATATGTATATGCTGCTGGACTTAAATCATTAGAAAGGATTTCCTGATTAGATTAAATCTTTGACTCATTTTTAATTTACCTCATTGTAAGGTGTCAGATTTATATTAATCCTATTTTCTTGCTCAGATGTCTGTCCCTTTGTCAGAGTCTGATATAATAAATAACATATTTTCCTACTGAGCTGAGATGCTATGTTAATCACTTACTACATTCTCATATGTGATTGGGCCTATTTATGATTTTTATTTTCTTCTATTGTCCTCCCTGAAAGCTTATGTCTTAACACTATACTTATCTAATTATTAGAAATTTATAATGTTTTATTACATGAAACAATTAGGATGTATACATTATTTTTCAAAAATTTCTCTAATTTTCTTAGTTGTTTTTTCACATAAAATTTAGAATTAGTTTGTTTAGTAAAATAAATAAACAGCCAACTAGTGTTTGGTATTTTCATGGGTATCATATTAAATTTATGAATTACCTAAAAAATAATTATGATCTATTTTAATATGTCTTTCTTTTCAAGAACGTCTTGTTTTTTTCAAGATTTCTTTTGTTTTAGTGAGAATTCTTCATGTTGTACACACTCCTAAATATGTCATTAATATTTTAAGTTGGAAATTTCTTGCAGTATATTGTATGTGGAAATTATTAATTTATATACAGTAATTTTACATAACAAAGTCTTTTTTTCTTTTATTATTATACTTTAAGTTTTAAGGTACATGTGCACATTGTGCAGGTTAGTTACATATGTATACATGTGCCATGCTGGTGCGCTGCACCCACTAACTCGTCATCTAGCATTAGGTATATCTCCCAATGCTATCCCTCCCCCCTCCCCCCACCCCACAACAGTCCCCAGAGTGTGATGTTCCCCTTCCTGTGTCCATGTGATCTCATTGTTCAATTCCCACCTATGAGTGAGAATATGCGGTGTTTGGTTTTTTGTTCTTGCGACAGTTTACTGAGAATGATGATTTCCAATTTCATCCATGTCCCTACAAAGGACATGAACTCATCATTTTTTATGGCTGCATAGTATTCCATGGTGTATATGTGCCACATTTTCTTAATCCAGTCTATCAGTGTTGGACATTTGGGTTGGTTCCAAGTCTTTGCTATTGTGAATAGTGCCGCAATAAACATACGTGTGCATGTGTCTTTATAGCAGCGTGATTTATAGTCCTTTGGGTATATACCCAGTAATGGGATGGCTGGGTCAAACGGTATTTCTAGTTCTAGATCCCTGAGGAATCTCCACACTGACTTCCACAATGGTTGAACTAGTTTACAGTCCCACCAACAGTGTAAAAGTGTTCCTATTTCTCCACATCCTCTCCAGCACCTGTTGTTTCCTGACTTTTTAATGATTGCCATTCTAACTGGTGTGAGATGGTATCTCATTGTGGTTTTGATTTGCATTTCTCTGATGGCCAGTGATGATGAGCATTTTTTCATGTGTTTTTTGGCTGCATAAATGTCTTCTTTTGAGAAGTGTCTGTTCATGTCCTTTGCCCACTTTTTGATGGGGTTGTTTGTTTTTTTCTTGTAAATTTGTTTGAGTTCATTGTAGATTCTGGATATTAGCCCTTTGTCAGATGAGTAGGTTGCGAAAATTTTCTCCCATTTTGTAGGTTGCCTGTTCGTTCTGATGGTAGTTTCTTTTGCTGTGCAGAAGCTCTTTAGTTTCTTTAGATCCCATTTGTCACTTTTGTCTTTGTTGCCATTGCTTTTGGTGTTTTAGACATGAAGTCCTTGCCCACGCCTATGTCCTGAATGGTATTGCCTAGGTTTTCTTCTAGGGTTTTTATGGTTTTAGGTCTAACATTTAAGTCTTTAATCCATCTTGAATTGATTTTTGTATAAGGTGTAAGGAAGGGATCCAGTTTCAGCTTTCTACATATGGCTAGCCAGTTTTCCCAGCACCATTTATTAAATAGGGAATCCTTTCCCCATTGCTTGTTTTTCTCAGGTTTGTCAAAGATCAGATAGTTGTAGATATGTGGCGTTATTTCTGAGGGCTCTGTTCTGTTCCATTGGTCTATATCTCTGTTTTGGTACCAGTACCATGCTGTTTTGGTTACTGTAGCCTTGTAGTATAGTTTGAAGTCAGGTAGCACGATGCCTCCAGCTTTGTTCTTTTGGCTTAGGATTGACTTGGCGATGCGGGCTCTTTTTTGGTTCCATATGAACTTTAAAGTAGTTTTTTCCAATTCTGTGAAGAAAGGCATTGGTAGCTTGATGGGGATGGCATTGAATCTGTAAATTACCTTGGGCAGTATGGCCATTTTCACGATATTGATTCTTCCTACCCATGAGCATGGAATGTTCTTCTATTTGTTTGTATCCTCCTTTATTTCCTTGAGCAGTGGCTTGTAGTTCTCCTTGAAGAGGTCCTTCACATCCCTTGTAAGTTGGATTCCTAGGTATTTTATTCTCTTTGAAGCAATTGTGAATGGGAGTTCCCTCATGATTTGGCTCTCTGTTTGTCTGTTGTTGGTTTCTAAGAATGCTTGTGATTTTTGTACATTGATTTTGTATCCTGAGACTTTGCTGAAGTTGCTTATCAGCTTAAGGAGATTTTGGGCTGAGACAATGGGGTTTTCTAGATATACAATCATGTCGTCTGCAAACAGGAACAATCTGACTTCCTCTTTTCCTAATTGAATACCCTTTATTTCCTTCTCCTGCCTAATTGCCCTGGCCAGAACTTCCAACACTGTGTTGAATAGGAGTGGTGAGAGAGGGCATCCCTGTGTTGTGCCAGTTTTCAAAGGGAATGCTTCCAGTTTTTGCCCATTCTATATGATATTGGCTGTGGGTTTGTCATAGATAGCTCTTATTATTTTGAAAAACGTCTCATCAATACCTAATTTATTGAGAGTTTTTAGCATGAAAGGTTGTTGAATTTTGTCAAAGGCCTTTTCTGCATCTATTGAGATAATCATGTGGTTTTTGTCTTTGGCTCTGTTTATATGCTGGATTACATTTATTGATTTGTGTATATTGAACCAGCCTTGCATCCCAGGGATGAAGCCCACTTGATCATGATGGATAAGCTTTTTGATGTGCTGCTGGATTCATTTTGCCAGCATTTTATTGAGGATTTTTGCATCAATGTTCATCAAGGATATTGGTCTAAAATTCTCTTTTTTTGTTGTGTCTCTGCCAGGCTTTGGTATCAGAATGATGCTGGCCTCATAAAATGAGTTAGGGAGGATTCCCTCTTTTTCTATTGATTGGAATAGTTTCAGAAGGAATGGTACCAGTTCCTCCTTGTACCTCTGGTAGAATTCAGCTGTGAATCCATCTGGTCCTGGACTCTTTTTTGTTGGTAAGCTATTGATTATTGCCACAATTTCAGATCCTGTTATTGGTCTATTCAGAGATTCAACTTCTTCCCGGTTTAGTCTTGGGAGAGTGTATGTGTCGAGGAATTTATCCATTTCTTCTAGATTTTCTAGTTTATTTGTGTAGAGGTGTTTGTAGTATTCTCTGATGGTAGTTTGTATTTCTGTGGGATCGGTGGTGATATCCCCTTTATCATTTTTTATTGTGTCTATTTGATTCTTCTCTCTTTTTTTCTTTATTAGTCTTGCTAGCGGTCTATCTATTTTGTTGATCCTTTCAAAAAACCAGCTCCTGGATTCATTAATTTTTGGAAGAGTTTTTTGTGTCTCTATTTCCTTCAGTTCTGCTCTGATTTTAGTTATTTCTTGCCTTCTGCTAGCTTTTGAATGTGTTTGCTCTTGCTTTTCTAGTTCTTTTAATTGTGATGTTAGGGTGTCAATTTTGGATCTTTCCTGCTTTCTCTTGTGGGCATTTAGAGCTATAAGTTTCCCTCTACACACTGCTTTGAATGCGTCCCAGAGATTCTGGTATGTTGTATCTTTGTTCTCGTTGATTTCAAAGAACATCTTTATTTCTGCCTTCATTTCGTTATGTACCCAGTAGTCATTCAGGAGCAGGTTGTTCAGTTTCCATGTAGTTGAGCGGTTTTGAGTGAGAATCTTAATCCTGAGTTCTAGTTTGATTGCACTGTGGTCTGAGAGATAGTTTGTTATAATTTCTGTTCTTTTACATTTGCTGAGGAGAGCTTTACTTCCAAGTATGTGGTCAATTTTGGAATAGGTGTGGTGTGGTGCTGAAAAAAATGTATATTCTGTTGATTTGGGGTGGAGAGTTCTGTAGATGTCTATTAGGTCCGCTTGTTGCAGAGCTGAGTTCAATTCCTGGGTATACTTGTTGACTTTCTGTCTCGTTGATCTGTCTAATGTTGACAGTGGGGTGTTAAAGTCTCCCATTATTAATGTGTGGGAGTCTAAGTCTCTTTGTAGGTCACTCAGGACTTGCTTTATGAATCTTGTTGCTCCTGTATTGGGTGCATATATATTTAGGATAGTTAGCCCTTCTTGTTGAATTGATCCCTTTACCATTATGTAATGGCCTTCTTTGTCTCTTTTGATCTTTGTTGGTTTAAAGTCTCTTTTATCAGAGACTAGGATTGCAACCCCTGCCTTTTTGTTTTCCATTTGCTGGGTAGATCTTCCTCCATCCTTTTATTTTGAGCCTATGTGTGTCTCTGCATGTGAGATGGGTTTCCTGAATACAGCACACTGATGGGTCTTGACTCTTTATCCAATTTGCCAGTCTGTGTCTTTTCATTGGAGCATTTAGCCATTTACATTTAAAGTTAATATTGTTATGTGTGAATTTGATCCTCTCATGATGATGTTAGCTGGTGATTTTGCTCGTTAGTTGATGCAGTTTCTTCCTAGTCTCGATGGTCTTTACATTTTGGCATGATTTTGCAGCGGCTGGTACCAGTTGTTCCTTTCCATGTTTAGCGCTTCCTTCAGGAGCTCTTTTAGGGCAGGCCTGGTGGTGACAAAATCTCTCAGCATTTGCTTGTCTGTAAAGTATTTTATTTCCCCTTCACTTATGAAGCTTAGTTTGGCTGGATATGAAATTCTGGGTTGAAAATTCTTTTCTTTAAGAATGTTGAATGTTGGCCCCCACTCTCTTCTGGCTTGTAGGGTTTCTGCCGAGAGATCCACTGTTAGTCTGATGGGCTTCCCTTTGAGGGTAACCCGACCTTTCTCTCTGGCTGCCCTTAACATTTTTTCCTTCATTTCAACTTTGGTGAATCTGACAATTATGTGTGTTGGAGTTGCCCTTCTCGAGGAGTATCTTTGTGGTGTTCTCTGTATTTCCTGAATCTGAACATTGGCCTGCCTTGCTAGATTGGGGAAGTTCTCCTGGATAATATCCTGCGGAGTGTTTTCCAACTTGGTTCCATTCTCCCCATCACTTTCAGGCACACCAATCAGACGTAGATTTGGTCTTTTCACATAGTCCCATATTTCTTGGAGGGTTTGCTCATTTCTTTTTATTCTTTTTTCTCTAAACTTCCCTTCTCATTTCATTTCATTCATTTCATTTTCCATTGCTGATACCTTTTCTTCCAGTTGATCGCATCGGCTCCTGAGGCTTCTGCATTCTTCACATAGTTCTCAAGCCTTGGTTTTCAGCTCCATCAGCTCCTTTAAGCACTTCTCTGTATTGGTTATTCTAGTTATACATTCTTCTAAATTTTTTTCAAAGTTTTCAACTTCTTTGCCTGTGGTTTGAATGTCCTCCCGTAGCTCAGAGTAATTTGATCGTCTGAAGCCTTCTTCTCTCAGCTCGTCAAAGTCGTTCTCCGACCGGCTTTGTTCTGTTGCTGGTGAGGAACTGCGTTCCTTTGGAGGAGGACAGGCGCTCTGCTTTTTAGAGTTTCCAGTTTTTCTGTTCTGTTTTTTCCCCATCTTTGTGGTTTTATCTACTTTTGGTCTTTGATGATGGTGATGTACAGATGGGTTTTTGGTGTGGATGTCCTTTCTGTTTGTTAGTTTTCCTTCTAACAGACAGGACCCTCAGCTGCAGGTCTGTTGGAGTACCCTGTCAAGTGAGGTGTCAGTGTGCCCCTCCTGGGGGGTACTTCCCAGTTAGGCTGCTCGGGGGTCACATGAGGAGGCAGTCTGCCCGTTCTCAGATCTCCAGCTGCGTACTGGGAGAACCACTGCTTTCTTCAAAGCTCAGATAGAAATGCAGAAATCACCCGTCTTCTGCGTCGCTCATGCTGGGAGCTGTAGACGGGAGCTGTTCCTATTCGGCCATCTTGGCTCCTCCCCTAACAAAGTCTTATAACATCATTTTATTTTGGGATTAGTGTTTTAGCTGATTCTCTTGGGACTTCCGGGCATACAATTGTGTCATTCACATGTAAATCATCTTACTTTTTTTTCTACAAAGTTTTTCTCTTTTGAGTTGACTTGTATTAAATACAATATTTAATAACAGCAATGAGAGTAGGCATTTGTCATTCATTTTTTACGTTAATAGAAATGCCTTTAATATTTTCCCATAAAACATGATGATGGCTTTGGGCCTGAGAATACTCTATTTTATAAAGTAAAATATTTTATGTATATACATATATATATTCTTTTTTATTTTTATCCAAAATTTTGCTGAATTTTTAGTTTCTATAGAGATCATATATTTTTTATAAATATTAATATTTTATATTATATTAATAGTGATAACTAATATTAAAACATTCTTAAGTTCCTGAAAAAAAACTTATTATGAGGGCTGTCATTTTAATAAGCTGTATATTAATATTACATTAAGAATTTTCTTATACCAAATATAAAAGTGCTCTGATTTTTTTTTGGTAAAGTTATAGTCAGGTTTTTTTATCAAGATTATACTCATTTGTACGGAATTTGGAAAAATTTCTCCTTTAGGATAATTTAATTGTCTTTTAAGTAAGCCTTCAGTTGACACAAACACCTCAATTTACTATTATAGTACATCTATTTTGTTTTCTACTTAATAAAGATAAACTATAATTTAATTGGCAATCAGAGTGGTTCTGCTTTTTTATTAACATCTAAGCCAGTTTTGGACACCAGGAAATTATCTTTCTAAGTGGCATTATGGGAATATTAAAAGAACTCATCCCTTTTTAACCCACACTTTAAGTTAACTCCTAAAGAGGGGAATGGGAGAAATACATGCATCCACTTAATATTTACCATGGTAGATAAGAAAGGAAGAGGGGATTTAATATTATTCAATGATGACTTAAAAGAAAATGGCTCTAAACTCTGTAACTGAAAACGGAGTAGATATTTCTGTTAACTTGTTTAATTAATCAGTGAGTTGTAAAGTTAATTCATCATTCAAATAATCAGAGTTTTTTTTTTTTTTTTCAAGTTTTACGGCCCCTACATTTTGAGAACCCAACTGCATCTGAGAACCAAACTTCTTGGAAATTCTAAAGGGCATGCCATAGGCAGCCTAGCTACTTTAACAGAGCATTTCAATCAGTTTTTCTCCACGGTTTGGCCAAATAATTAGTATGTTTCCTGGCAACACATTGAGAAAGAAAGCTGGTATAGAATCTTCCTAACAATGGACCAAGATGAGAGAAGAAGCCAGTCATATCCATTTCTCAACCTTCGGTCTTCTTGCATATGGGGGAAAGGTGTGTCCTCAATTTCAAATATGTTTGAAGATTTAACTATCACTCATGCTTAGAAATTTTAATTTTTGGATTGATACTTTGTTTTACTCAGGAATGATCAGAAAAGTTTTAAACTGCACGATTACAATTCACAAAAAGAGGAAAAACCAGTTTTAATTAGTAAATTTAACCAGAAATTGAGCTTCATGATATTTAAAGGGATGGTGGGTTTTATGATTACTCCTCATAGATTCTGTCTGTTCAAGTTTTTAATTACTAGATCTGACATTTTGCATGAGTTTGTTCATTTGACAGGATCTGGACATTTAAAAATAAAACTAAAAAAAAATTGTTCGATATACAAAGATACAAAACCAACTTCTAAGTTTGCCTTTTGGGTTTTCCAGATAGTCCTTTAAAGCAATTTATTTTCAACATTTCTCTAGACATCAATCTTCAAATTATTCAAGTAATGGACAATGCTGTTTAACAATGTGTTTTGGCTCTGATACTAGCTTGATTTCTTGGGGGTAGTGTGGCAAATACTGATTTGAATGCTATAAGAGATTATTTTAAAAGTGTACTGTATATACTTTTAGCTTCCTCAGATACAAATCTTTATCAGGAAAGATATAGCAGTAACTGTAGACTTTATAGGATGCTCATAAATCGGTATACATTTTTATTCATTTCTCTGTATAAGCATACTTTGGTAATGATGAATAAAAATTTCTGTTCTCTGTTATTTTGTGGAGCTGTGGCTGACCATGTATGAGAAAGCACATCTAACCCGTCATGTATTTTGGCAAGGAAAATATTCACCATTGTAGTCAGGAGCAGGCCACTGAGAAAAAAATCAATCCCTTTATTGTTTGGATAGTATAACTCAGCTGGTATGGCCATAATGTCCAAACACTTAGATTTGAGCAGGAAACTGACAACAATGAAAATGCTATTGTTACAATGCATAGGAAAAACCTATATTGAAAATACTGTTGATGGAGATTTAGGTGAAGCTGTTTCCTGACTCATTCCATTTTTAAAAAAATCAATAGCTCTGTTGTATCCAACAGAGGAGTTAGCAGGAAGGATAGGATTATAGATGAGAGTTTTGAATATTTCAAAACAGTGAGGCAAGTGAAACTCTCATACATGTTAGCAGGAGTGTAACTAGCTCTACTTCCTTGTAAAGCACTCTCACATTCACTTATCATCATTTCGATGGACATATTCCTTGACTCAGAAAATGTACTTCTTAAAACATACACTGTAGGTGCAATCACGCATATTCATGAAGAAATGAGCTTAAAAACATTCATCGCGGCTGGGCGCAGTGGCTCACGACTGTAATCCCAGCACTTCGGGAAGCCGAGGCGGGCAGATCATGAGGTCGAGAGATCAAGACCATCCTGGCCAACATGGTGAAAACCCGTCTCAACTAAAAATACAAAAATTAGCTGGGCATGGTGGTTGCCTGTAGTCCCAGCTACTCTGGAGGCTGAGGCAGGAGAATTGCTTGAACCCGGGAGGCAGAGGTTGCAGTGAGCCAAGATCGCGCCACTGCACTCCAGCCTGGCGACAGAGGGAGACTCCATCTCAATAAAAACAAAAAACAGAACAAAACAAAACAAACAAGAAAAAAAAATTAGCTGTGTGTGGTGGCATGCGCCATAGTCCTAGCTACTCAAGAGGCTGAGGCAGGAGAATCACTTGAATCCAGGAGGTGGAGGTTGCAGTGAACGGAGATCATGCCACTGCACTCCAGCCTGGCAACACAGAGAAACTCTGTCACAGAATCAACATCACCACCACCAAAAAAAAAAAAAAAAAAAAAAAAAAAATCCATCACAGGATTTTTATTATAGCAAAATTTGAGAAAATCCCAAATGTCATTAGGAGAACATAGGTTGAATAAATTATAGTAATTCATAAAAGAGAATGCTATCTTCTGCACACTGGGGAAAAAAGGGACCACTCACTACAAACTGATATTCGACAAACTTTAAGCTATTTTGTGAAGTGAAAATAAGAGCGATAAATATGAATATATGCCTATATAGTATAATAGAATAGTACAGCCTATCTCTACAAGGAATCCCAAAAAGCTGCTAGCAGGCCTCTGATCAGAGTAATTCGGAGACTGGAAAACTGGGAAGAAACGGAGGGACTGGAAGGAAGAAACACAGCTGAAAGGGACTTCTATGCTTTAAACCCTGTTTGATTGGTGAGAACTGACATGTCAATCCTCTGAATAAACACTAAGAGAAAAGAGCCTTTAGTCAGTCACCTAATTTTTGTTGAACATCTGTCTTATATAGACATATATTTAATCTGATTCCCTTGTCTTTTCAGCAGAATTATAAAAATCTCCCTGAAGTACACATTCTTTCAGCTACCTTTTTTATTAAGAGGGACAAGAAAAAATAGTCAAAAAACCATTGTTCTCCAACAGTGTTCTTTATTTATGTTCACTGAAATCTTGCTGGACGATCACCTCAATTTGACAGAAAACACTTTGGTATCTGATGTGGTGCTTACAGGCTGACAGAACTTGAGAAGGAGAGAACTGCTTCACCGTCACCTCTGATGCTGAACACATTCTGAAGGTTCAATGTGACAATTGAGGTTGATGCTCCCTGATTATTCTTTTGTCTTCTCAAGTTGCTATGGAGCCCATAGTGATATTCAAAGACAATCAGCTTTTCAAGAGTGATGTAAACAAACACTAGAATTACTATGATAAGGCAATTATTCCAACTTTATTGAATTTACCACTAGAACCAGTATTGGATCCTTTGATATGATCTGATGTGGGAAAGCCCGTCTTTTAACAAAAGCTGTTTCTGTTATTTTTGTTTTTGCTGTTGTTTTAATCCAAGATGTCTAACTAGAGACATTGGATGCCAGTTGTCTACAGAGAGAAGAACCAAAATTGCAAGTGAATAATCATGGTCTGAGTGAAATACTGAAGGAACAGTGCCAGAACCTATCCGAGAATGCATGGGAAGAATCTGGGGTGCAGAAAAAGAAGGAAGCAAGAGTTTAGCAGTGATTGACCCCTGTGGAACTCAGAGTCCAGTAGAAAGGGCAGGTGGGGGTGTATTTTGCTCTCCTAACTCCTTCAGGAGACTGCTGACTGCCAAACTATTTGATAGCACCTCTTTCTTTGCTAGCCCAAGTATTGTTGTGGGTGGCAATTTGGGAACTTCTTGAGGGCAGAATGCTGGGTGGCCAGCTGGCATAAGTTCACTCACTTTCCCCCAACACCTGAGCTGAGGTAGAGGGCACCATACTGGTTGTGCATCAATTGTGTGCCTCTATCCTGCCCAGGAATTCTCAGCCCTTATGTCTTTGCATCACTATATCTTCCACAAATATTTCCCAGAATTATTTTAGACTGTGACAACTGCAAAGGGCTGGTGGGACCCTGGGGTGCTGCATGTTCCTAGAGTTCAACCCTCAGCATAGGCTGCCTCTAGGGGAAGCATGCAGCATACCAAAGCACCCTCTGGGAGAAAGGAAACGAAATTGTGCGCTCTCTTCTGCCAGAGATCTCTCCGCTTGTGAGAAGAAGGTAAATGCATCCCTCCCAGCAGAGACATGGGTACAGTTCTGGGCTCTACAGGAAAAGAGTACAGTTCTACACCAACAGAAAGGTGGCACCAGTGCCCAGGAGCAGACATGGATACGGGAACTTCTATCTACGCCCGACCCACTGCTGCACATATGGCCATAGCTGTTTCCACTGGGGTTTGGGATGGATGCACCTAGGAAAACATGTCCAAGGTTATGGGGGGCGGTGGCTGCACCCTACTGGCAGTGTGCCCACCAGCCAGGACTTGCATGAAGGGTGAGGCAGGAAGTGGGACAGAGTGGCAGACACCCCAAAAAGGTCCCACTAGCCCTCTAGCAATGGATTCTAAGCAAAATGAAAATTGTGAAATGACCGATAAAAAATGTAAAATATGAATTGTAAGGAAGCTCAATGAGATCCAAAGGAAAGTTGAAAACCAACACAAAGAAATTAAAAAAAAAAAGCAAATCAGGATATGAATGAAAAATTTACTAAAGAGATAGATTAAAAAAAAAACAGAACTAGACATGAAAAATTTATTGAAGGAATTACAAAATATAGTCAAAAGCTTTAACAATAGGCAGACCAGACCAAACAGAAGAGTGTCAGAGCTTAGATAGGCCTTTTGAATTAACCCAGTCAGAAATAACTAAAAAAGAATTCTAAGAAATGAACACAGCTTCGAAGAAATATGGAATTATGTAAAGTGACCAAACCTACTAGTTATAGGTATTCCTGAGGGAGAAAAAAAAAAAAAGTAACAAGCTTAGAAAACCTATTTGAGGGACTATTTCTGAAGTACTTCCCTGGTCTTGCTACAGAGTTACATATTCAGATACAAGAAGCTCAAGGAACACCTGGGAGATACTTTGCAAGATGAACCTCATCAAGGAATATAGTCATCAGACTATCTAAAGTCAATATGAAGGAAAAAGCTCTAAAAGCAGCAAAAGAGAAGCATCTAATAACTTATAAATGAAATCTTATCAGATTAACAGTGCACTTCATAGCAGAAACCTTACAAGCCAGGATCCTATTTTGTCCTCTAAAAAGAAAACAAACAGACAAACAAAAAACCTTCCAGTCAATAATTTTGTAGCTTGACAAACCAAGCTTTATATTTGTAGAAATAAAGTATTTCTCAGACAAGCAAATGCTGAGGGAATTCATCTCCCCTGGCCTGGTTCTACAAGAAATGCTCAAAGGAGTTCTAAACATGGAAATGAAAGGATGATACTTCCTGTCCTAAACGCACATTAAAAGTATAAAACTCACAGATCGTATAAAGCAATTATACCATTGAGACTAAAAAGCTGTTTATTTGCCACACACGACTACCTATATCACTGACCCAAACTTTGAAGTGCTATCTGCTTCAATTTCCAGGCAAATAGACTGTTTGTACACTCAGTACCTTACCCATTTGGCATTCCCTTCATTTTCTCCATAGATCCAAAATAAGCCTTTTCATTGACTTGCTTTCTGTTGATTTCCAACCCATTTCTTTGATCTGTATCTGTAAGCTTTTCTAAATCTAGGAATTGGCTGAATATAACGCAGGATGGACTGAGTTGTACACCAGAATTCAGGATAAGATGCTCAGATTTACTAAATAAGTTCTGGCCTACTTATGTGGGCTATGATTCCAATAACAGTTTAATTTTCAAAGACTTCATTACATTGTTTTGATTTGCCTGGTTCATGTGGTACTACTGGTGCTCCTCTGGCCCCTGCTGATGCTGTCTACAGAGGCAGAAAGGTGGCCTCTGTGTGGCCACTTACTTGGTGTATTCTGAAGGAGGAAAGGAGTCCCTGGACCGTGGTGTAAAAAAACTTCCCTGTTAGATGCTTGTTGTGACAGCTCAATCTTTGTCTGTTGGGGATGGATAGTGGCTCCCCAACTGCTTGTTGTGATGTGATCTTCTGCTGTGTTTTTTTTTTTTTCTTTTTTTGAGGCAGAATCTCACTCTGTCACTCAGGCTGGAGTGCAGTGGCGCAATCTCGGCTCCCTGCAACCTCCACTTCCCAGGTTCAAGCGATTCTCCTGCCTCAGCCTCCCGAGTAGCTGAGACTACAGGTGTGTGCCACCATGCCTGGCTAATTTTTTGTATTTTTAGTAGAGACGGTTTTTCACCATGTTAGCCAGGATGGTCTCGATCTCTTGGCCTTGAGATCCTCCCGCCTCGGCCTCCCAAAGTGCTGGGATTACAGGCGTGAGCAACTGCGACCGGCCTCTGCTCTATTTTTTATTTCTAATTTGAGTTTGAGGTTTCTCTCCTGAGAGTGGATATAAAGTATAACCTCGACAGGGCTTCAGGGAGATTGTTTTGTATGTTTAGAGTGTGCCCTTCATGGGATACCTCTATCCTGGAGAACAGTCTAATACCTAAGTGTCAACCTTTGACTAGGTGTCCCTCTCAAAGAAAACTTGTTTATTCTGGAAGACCCTTTCGTGGCTTTTGCCTGACCTGTGTCCAGTTTATTTCTACCCATATAGTCACTGTCTAACAGAGCCCTAACTTGGAAAGAAGTTAGGTTCAGGTGTGTTGGTCGGATAAAACACAGAGGAAGCAAGACAACAAAACACATAAAATAACAGAAGCAGTTTTATTACTGACAGTTCCCAGAGAGAAGTTGGGTGGCATACCTTGCAGGTCCAGCAGGAAGGGGGGCTGCTTTCTGGGACATGCACTCTCAACAGGCAGGTGGGGAGAAAGTTAAAGAGAGAGGGGTCTGTTGGATGAAGCCTTTGTTGGGGTTCCAAGCATTACCCAAGCAGGCTTTCCTCAGGGAATTTTAATTGGGTTTTGAACGAGTAGGTATGAGATCCTTGGAGACACACTGTGACTGAGAGGTGATCCCTGAGGCACATCTGCACAGTCCACACAGGATATGGAAGTGAGTGAGACAAATCAAGTAAGTTTGATCTAGCTGTCTCATAGGAAACTGATCACCAGGATGTGGTTGTATAAGGTAGATATCTGGATTGTCAATATTGAGGAACTGGGAGAAGGCAGAGACCTGGAAACTGTCAAGGGTGACTAAGTCCTGCTTTTGGCATGAGAAAATTAAACCTATATTCAAAATGGATCCTGAGGCAACATAAAACTATAATAATTCACTACATCTCCCTGGAGGTTTCTCTCTCCTCCCCGGTGATCCCATCAGCTTCTCCAGCATCTCTAGGTCCAGTAGGGAATTCACAGGACTAGTAAGGAAAGAGAGTATTCACTCTGACTACTTATTGTTAGTGGTGCTCCCAATCAATTTCCCTTGCTAAATATGCCAGGGCTAACATGGTGTTTTATGTACAGTTCCCACTTTGCCTGAGAGAGAGAAATGGGCCTGCCTGGAATGCCTTCTGTTTCTAGTTTGAGTGTTGGAAAATCTCGGACCCAGATGACCATTTTCTGCAGTGCTTGGATCCCAAATCAGTTTGCATTCTGCCTACCACCCTTTTGTTTCCTTCTCCCCTACTTCTGGGGTTTTTAGTTGTACATAGCAGTTACAATTAGGGGAAAATGTGTCTATGCCTTCTTGTTCTGTAACTGAGGTTTCAATAAATGTTAGGCCACACAGTAGCCTATATAGGCCACACAGTTAGCACCTCTATAGATGCTCCTTAGAGTCCTCTCCTGGAATATAAATGCACAGCATGCTAAAAATAAACTTCCAAAGATATTTGATACTATAATGTTATTGACATTCTTTGTTTATAGAGAACCATATTCTAGGAACTTCTAGAAAATTCAAGGGTTTAGCCTTGTAAGGTAAGTACAGGTAAATGTGGAACAGCCTTTCTGGTTACCCTCAAGAGAACAGCTACTGGGTTTCCTAATTCCCGTAAGTTAAGATATACCTATTTGCCTAAACCTGAGATCATTTCCTGATAATAGTATTTGTCTGAATACTTAAATCACTGTAGTCAAGTTGTATATAGACTATTTAGATTGTTGATCATACTTAATCTTTTATCTTTTAATCCTTCAGAATCATAAATTATTTCTTTTTATGTTTTTAGACAGTGTTGCTCTGTTGCCCAGGCTGGAGTGCAATGGCACAATCTCGGCTCACTGCAACCTGGGAGGCTCACTGCCTCCCAGGTTTAAACTATTCTCCTGCCTCAGCCTCCTGAGTAGCTGGGATTACAGGCACCCTCCACCATACCTGGCTAATTTTTGTATTTTTAGGAGAGGTTGGGTTGGCCAGTCTGGTCTTGAGCTCCTGACCTCAAGTGATCCACCCACCTCAGCCTCCAAAAGTGCTGGGATTACAGGCATAAGCCACCGTGACCAGCCAGAATCATAAATTATTTCTTAATATTTAACCCAAGTTCCTAGTCTCTTAATGAAAAGAAAGTCTTCCTGTCTAGACATTCTTTTCCTATCAAGTAGAAGTCAATGAAGTAGGTAGTGAATTAACTACCAAAAATGTCACTTTTATCATGAGTCCTGTTCAGACCTCTAAATACTAAATAAACAAAATTAGTATAAAATGGACCCAAGCTATACTTTGTTTCAAAACGTTTATCTATGAGGCAGCTGAAAGTGTTTTATTATTTTACAAATGAGCCAGGAGTTTGTCTCATAGTCAGCTTTTCATCCTGTCATTTTTATCTACATCAAACAGAAGGTGCTAGTATTGTTTTATATAACATACCGGAAAGCTCAAGATGAATGTGATAGTCAGAGAGATTCAGAGAGGCTGACATAGTTTCCAAAAGAAGAAACTATAAAGAGGCTGGCTTCTACGTGAAGTCACTGCAATAAAGAAGGATACTGGGTATGATAATAAAAGAAACATTGCAAACATGCCAAGAGAATTTTAGTATTCTATTTTGCACCTGAAACTAGAATATTATAAAATTGGATTTAGGAAAAGGCAACATTAGAATACAAAAGTAAGTATTTAAAATGGTTTAAATCTATTTTGGCATATTTTATCTTATTATCCTCATAAATAACTTAATTTCTACATGTTCTGCATTTTCCTTTTACTTCCCTATTTCTAGACAGCTTTAACCTGGTATGTTCCATCATCATGGGTCATTCTGTTTACGCATTTAGCTCAGAAGAACTCAGGAAAGGGAAAGTGAATTCATATTTAATGATCACCTACTATGTACCAGCAACTGGGTTCACCGATATTTCCCCTCCTCCTCCTCCTCCTCCTCTTCCTCCTCCTCCTCCTCATTCTCCTTCCTCCTCCTCCTTCTTCTTCTTCTTCTTCTCCTTAAGACAACAAAAATGAAACTCAGAGATGTCTAATAATTACTCATTGACTTCACAACCAAAAGTGGAGAAATTCAGATGAAAATCTAATTGTCTAGTTCAAAGACCATGCTTTTTTCTTTAAACAGTATACTGTTTCCATATTTCACCCCAGTCACATAATTAACTAATTTATTGATCCTCAAAATTATTTTTAGTCCCTATTAACTGTGAAATAAGTATTGCAGAATTTCCTTGCTTATAAGTGGTATGTATTTGGTGATAGTCTGAGATTAGTACATAATTGTTTGACATTTAGTTACTATTTTAACAAACATTCATTAAACAACTTCTAAATCACATACATCATGTTAGAGATATAATGAGAAATACATTTTAATCCCATCACAAGAGATTTCATTATGTAATATCAAAGAATTTATCAACAAAGAATGCTATTATTCAAGGAGAGCTCTAAGAAATTTTATTTGAGCACTGAGAAAAAATTATTTTGAGGCATGCAAATATCATGAAGAAAGTAACATTCGGGTTAAGTTTTGAAAGATGAGTATGCATAGAATATAGCGAAAGGGTGATTCAAGCAGATAGGAAAATACAAGCAAAGGCCCTAAAAATTAAATTACATGATGTAATTCAGACGTAGCCGGTTTTTTTGTTTGTTTGTTTTTTTTTCTTCTTCTTCTCCTGGGGCCAGGGAATCATAGGAGAAAGTGAAAGAAGAAAGACTGGAGAGATAAGTTGTGGCCACATTATAAAGGGCATTGCGTGTCTAATGAACTGTGATGACTTTAGAGGGAGTCTTTGAAGGATTTTAAGCAGATAACTATCATAATTTTATGGGTAGCTTCCTACTTTTATACATAGTGGCTCTTATTCAAGGTACTATGATGTTTGTGTCATCACATTGCAATGCTTTTATGCTAACAATGAGTTAGCAAATATTTTCCTTTAAAAAATAAATTAGTAATTCTATAAGACTATCACTTTAAGTGTTTCTCACTCAGACACTCAGACATGCTTTCTAATGTAGGAGAAAAAGAGATTATAGTTATCTAGGTGTTGTGCATGACCAGCAGTGTATTTTATCAAAACAACATTTATTATTTGGGATCCTAGACAATGTGTCTCATATGTACATGATTGAAATATTACTGTAGGAAAGAGAAAAATATAAAAACCACTCCAGTAGAATAGTGAAGGTATAAAATAGCAAATCAGATGAGAACAATGATTTTCATTACTAAACATGATTTCTTGTCCTCTAAGCTTAGTTGTACCCTATTGTGAGGTCTTCTTTTTCATCCAAGGCAGCAAGAGTAGCCAGTTTTCCAGGGCAGGGAAGAGAGTTGTCAAGTCCTTGGCTCTTGCCACTGCCCTAGAAAGTATCATCTAACACTAGTATCTCTGAGATGACTGGCAGTCACTCAGACCCACAGACTGTCCAGTCTGCATCTGCTGATTTCTCTTGAACACCTTATATAGCCTGTAACCAGAATATTTATAAATTTTTCTTGTTTTGTCTTTAGCATGGGGACAATTGTCTCTACTATCAGTACGTAATGTTTCTGGACCTCAGACATTGGTCAGTTCCCCAATTGACCGCTCTAGGTGAAGAGTCTGTATCACCCTCTATGCTGCCTCCATTACAGATAAAAAGGGGATCTTGGACCCATAGCAATGAATTAGTGGTGTGAAAGATGTCACTTGGAGCTGCCTAAAGTGATCGTAGACAAGATAAATGAAAATCCTTTACTGCACCCAGATAATGTGGAAAACATTTTGCCACACTTACCCAGCACTCTACTGAATAAAACTACTTTTTACATAACAAGGAGGTCCTTTTTCCTTTTAATTTTCAGTTCCACAGGCTACTCTGTCTGTCATGGACTGCATCCTTTCCACAGTGAAGAGAATGAACCATTGTGGTAATTGAAGAGGAATTTCCCCGTGTTTTTAAATCCACGTATATTCGATTAGCATTTTTACAAGTAAATAGATAGTAATTAGCAGGTAAACTTTGGAGAGAAGCTACAAGGTTCACTGAATACCTTACAAAAATCAGTTCTTCCGATACGGTGATTGGCTAGTTATGCCACATTGATCTCTGGAAAGTTTTTCAAGAGAAATGTAGATCTTATTTATATTAGTGATATTTTACTGATGCTGCCAAAATAATGGCATTCATTTTGGAGCGATGAAGTAGAATAAGCTTTTAAAGGATAAGCCCCTTTTTACCTTGATAAATAGAATTAGGTCATGGAGGGTTGGATTTGAGAGGAACCACAGTGATAATATCAGGCAGTCTTAAAACTCATAGGAGTAGATATTGAGAGAGAAAGTGGTGAAATGGTTGGGAATATGAACCAGGAAACCAGACTATAAAACGAGTTGGATTTTAATCCATACTAAAATCCATGTAACACTGAGCACATGACAATCACTGTGTACCTCAATTTCTTTTATTTAAAATGGGGATGATCAGTAACAGTGGCTGGCCAATGAAGTAGTTTTAGGGTTGCAAAATAAAATATAGGATACCAAGTTACATTTGAATTTCAGAAAAACAAGTAGTATTTATTAGTGTATACACGCCCAAAATAGCATGGGACATACCTGTAATTAAAAAAAAAAGAAAAAGTTGCTGAGCATGGTGGCTCACTCCAGTAATCCCAGAACTTTGGGAGGCGAAGGCAGGTGGATCGCTTGAACCCAGAAGTCCGAGACCAACCTGGGACAACATGGTGAAACCCTGTCTCTATGAAAAATACAAAATTAGCCACCCCTGTAATCCCAGCTACTCATGAGGCTGAGGCTGAGGAATCACTTGAACTTGGGAGGTCGAGGCTGCAGTGAGCCATGATTGTGCCACTGTACTCCAGCCTAGATGAGAGAGTGAGACCCTGTGTCAAAAATTAATTAATTAATAAGCTGTTTATCTGAAAATCAAATGTTACTAGGCATCCACTACTTTTATTTGCTAAATCTGGCAATTTATAAGGATTAAGTGACACAAGGCATAGAAAGTCCTTAAGGAAAATTCCTAGAGATGCAGCAATGGTGAGTTCAGGAAAAGCTATTTATATATCTTTTGAATAATACAAAAAAAATTTATCTACTAAGATCAAAAAATGGTAATAATCTGAATTCATGACTTTCATAAGGCCACATTACTATTTTATTACTTCTCTGATAAATTATATTCAACATTGATTAAAATAGAGAAGAAATATCTATATATCCAGTCAGTACCTTTTCTTAATTAGTAATCTGTATGAACCCAGAAAAGAACAGGTTTTAATGTCAGATAGATTTGTACAGAATATTAGATGAAAGCGAGGTACATTAACATACCAACAAAAATCGAGTGTTTTAAATCCAAAGAATGACTCTTAGTTATTCGCTTTTTGTGGGTTATAGCCTAAGATTATTCATTCTATACTTATTACTTCCTATTTGTTAGCATTGATAAACAAAACTCGATCTCAATTACATGTAATAGCCCCCAGAAACAGTTGCATCCTATTTTCTCATTTTAGAAGATGATACTCAATTCATATGCTTCAGTTCTTCCAGCCTTGTGAAATCTAGTAGATTAATTGTACAGAACTGGCATTGTGGTTAATAATAATATTTTCTTTTCATTCCTAAAAGGGCAATTTAGGAGGCAGTCTGAGGTATCAAAAGTTATTAAAGGTGATAACACACATAAAAATACCTAAGGTTGGGGAGATATATATATATACACATATATGATATATATACACATATATGTAATTATTATATATAGTACATATTATATAATATAAATTATAATATGTAATTTATAATTATAATTATGTAATTATATAAAATATATGTATTAATTTATAATTATAATATACTATATAATATATAATATATAACATGTAATATAATATATACTTTATATACAATAATATATATGTTATACGATAATATGTAATACATATTATACAATATATAATATGTATTATACAATTATATATTATGTATTATACAATAATATATAATATAAAATTGATATGTGTTCTATATAAAATATATAATATATAATTTATATATAATTATATAACATAATCATATAGTAATATCTATAATATATAATTTATAATTCTATGTATTGGGGATACACATATACATATCTAATTATTATATATAGATTATTAAATAATCTGTATTATAGTATATATAGAGAGATTATTATTAAAACGAGAAATATTTGAACACAGAGAATCTTAGAGAAGAAATTTTGTGGGGGCTGGAGAGATAAAGAGAGGTGTGTCTTACCCTCCACTCTCCCCAATCCCCGAACGGCCATGAAATGATAGCCTTGGTCCAGTTAACAGGAAGGGGACTGACACATCCAGAAAAACAGTTTTGTTCATTTTTGTTGTGGTAGCAACTGAAGTTCTGGAAATTTTATGTCTAGAGAAAGACATGGCATATATGGCCTATTTGTTAACACCATGAACTTAGTTATGCTCAGGAGTAGGTTCAGCAGAAACACTGTAGTGTTTTATTTAACCTGAGTGTCCAAATTATCCCAAGTGCCCTGAATTAGAAATCAAAGTTCTAACTTTAGCGCGGTGGCTGGAGTACAGTAAATGGTCAATATATATTAGGTTTCTTTCCTTTCCTCTCCTTTACAACATGGAGAGGAAATTCATGGAAAACTTTATCTAATTAAATTAAAAGTATATGATATTTGGTCTAACAGTTATTGAACATGTAACATACTCTGGATTATTGGTTATATTTTTATAGACGTTGTTTCTCATTACTACAAAATCTTCCTAAATATATGTTGTTTCTTCTAGTTTGATGAGCAAATCAAAAATTGGCAACATAACTAATGAGACCAAAATCTCTCAGTAAGGAATTGGAAAAGCCAGATTCAAACAGCAGGACTACCCCACTCAAGTCCACTTTTTTCCATTTCATCACCCCATGCTATCCTTAGTTTGGCAACGTGTTTTACAATTTTGAAAATTAACAAATGGAAAAGTCGTTTAGAGGAAAGAAAGATTTTTGTAATCTGATGAAGGCTAAAGCCTTTACTTGAACACTGAATTTTTTATTTCATAACACATGAAATTTTTATTGCCTTATAGAAAGCCAACCATAAAGACAAATAATGGGCTAAATTGCCATAGTGATAAGTTATTTGTTGAATAAGCAATGACATGCACACCACAAATGTCATACCCACAGTCATAGTGACTCATGATGAATTTCTAAATAAGATCTAGATAAAAATATTAGAATAGGAAGGCAAAACCAAATGTTTTTATTGGAATACCTATTTGAAGAAGTCCTGGAATTCACCTGTAAAAATTCAGATATCATTCTTCTTGCCCATTTTTCAGATTTTAAGATTATAAATAAATTTGTAATTTTGGTATAATACAAAGCATGTAGATGATTATTTTAGCAAGATTGATCATATGAATTAACCAATTTAAAATTTCTTCATTAATGATATACATACAATGGATGCACAATTTTAATTAAAATTGAAGGGGAACATCACACATCAGGGCCTGTTGTGGAGTAGGGGGAGGGGGGAGGGATAGAATTTGGGGATATACCTAATGTTAAATGACGATACTGGGTGCAGCACACCAACATGACACATGTATACATATGTAAATAACCTGCACATTGTACACATGTACCCTAAAACTTAAAGTATAATAAAAAATAAAATAAAATATCTGAAGGGTTTTAAAGCTATCACAAACATTTAAATGCAGGCATAGACATATATGGAACTATTTCTGGAGAAACTACTAACATAACTTTTTGTCTGAATTGAAGACTTATATCAAATGGCTAGTTTTACTGATTTTTTTTCTGTAAAAATTGACTAGTTTTGTCCTCAAATAATGAAGTAAATATTATGGCATAGGTACAATCTTATCTCACTCAACTCTGAAACTGCACAAAATAAGAATAAAGAATTTGCATTGAGCATGGAGACATTAATGTGATTTGATTAATTTTCTCATGTTAGTGTCTCATATGAGGAAGAAAAAGGCTGGCATATTTTTTCTTGCTTTCTTAACTGTACTTATTTTCAAAATTACGTTTTTCATCAATGACTGATAAAAATGATCACATCCTGACTTAAAATGTTTTATTGAGTGAAACTTTCTGCGGGCACCAATTAGACATTTTCGCATTTCAAGAAGGCTTTGCCATTCCCATCACACCAATTTTAAAAGGCACATTATTTACCTTCTATACCTGGTCCTATTATCATTGCCACAGCTACCTCATTTCCTCAGATCTAAGAGTGTGAAATCTCACTGTCTCCTCCCAGGAAAACTGTTCCACTGAAGTATGCATAAGTGGAAAAGAAAGCAAGATGGCAAATCTTCCACAAGAGTTGTTTTTATTCCTTCAAAACAAGAAGGAGTTAATTCATGGAGAAAATGTTAAGACAAAGGTGTTATAAATATGGTCATAAATCAATAATCCTTCACAAAGAAGGTTCACATGAAAAAATCACACACACACACACACAAACATACACACATACAGAATAAAGCACTTCTGTTTAAAGAAGAATAAACCAATCTTATTATTTTCATGAGATTTCTATTGACTACACAGAATAGAGCACGTAGACCTTAGATGACTGCTCACTTCCAACTGAGCTGGTACTTTCAGTAGCAGAGTACGTCAGTAAGTGTACTCTATACTATTTAATTCGCCATGTGACTTCCTGATTCATTTTCCCCTGCAATGTTAAGTAATTTTAACTTTAAAGGAATTGTAGGAAATAATTCAGGAGATGGCACAAAATGTCTTTGTCCTTCATTTCTTTGTCAGTATTATGTTTGGCATATATCAATGGGGAAGAAAAGCTAAGAACCTATCTGGCTGTGAGTAATTTCATTCTCTCACTACTAAAGTATTGAAATTGTCTGACTCCTTTTCTTCTCTTCTCTTTTTACCATCTAAACTTTTCGTGTTTTGGAGAAAAAAAAATTCAAGAATAAATTTACATGGAGAAGCTAGAAACAAAGAACAACTAAACGTCTAAAGTAGTCTCTATGTATGTATTTCATTCCATCTTATTTCCTCCAAGTACCAAACATTATGTTATTTTCTTCTATGTAGCAATTCAATGAAAAAAATGAGACACCAGTGTATAAATATAAAAAAGAACACATTATTTTTTTTTATTAAACTTTTAAAACTTTTATTCTGCTTCAATTGTGAAAACCTACTAAGGTATGCATGTAAAATAACTCATGTGGGGTCACACTAAATTCATCTTATGAATTCAGTTTAGCTTAATGGTGTTCTCACCTGTGAACAAGACATCTTTGTATTCTGATCTCAAGCCCTGACTTAAACATTTTTCCATAACTCTAAGAAATTGTCAAGAATTTGTGAGCATCCATTCTTATTATCATCAGTCTCCACTCACCACCATGGACACTTAAGAGATGTATCTCTTTATCCTTTTGCTTTTTAAGGGTCTTCTGTGTTCTGTAACCATAGAAATAGAAAAGGGGTGGGTATCAATAATACAGTTTCTATAGAGATAGGAAGCATCAAATAGACTCCCTGGCTTTGTCCTTTGTCTCATGTTTTGAATTTTTAGAGAGCCAAATGCATGTGTCTTCTAGTGAATGTCCTTTTCCACAAAATTTTATAAAATACTTTTGCATTTTATCCTTTATATATTCTAAAAGTGTTTTTTGTTTGTTTGTTTGTTTTTGCTTTTTTTGTTGTTTTTATTAGAGGTTACCTGTCAAACTCAGTGTTCTTCCATGTGTTTTACAGTAACTTCAAAAAGAGATTTTTTTATCTGAAAGTATAAGGAAACTATAAAACATGCTGAACTTATAATAAAATGTGAGTGAATTATAGTAGTTTCCATGTCAATAAATCCTTTTACTCAGGTGGCACTTAGCAACGTACTGCCCTATAACTTGCCCAGATAAGATAATACCTGAGTTTTTATTTATCCTAGCAGTTGTATTTCAACTCAAGCAGCACATTGAAGACCCTGGATGGTGTAATTAGTTTCAGAAACCTCAGGTTTAAAGCACGCATTGGTCTACACTCACAAGTTAAGGCTAAAGACACATTCCTCAACAAGTGGGAAGGAAAGAGAAAGTAACCACATTCATATAAATGCTGTTTATGCTCAAGGTTCTGTAGTATAGTCTCTCTCTCTCTCTCTCTCCCCCCTCTCCATCCTCTCTCTCTCTCTCTCCCCCAACCCTACCTCAAGTTCTCTGCACGGGGGTGGTGAGGGGGAGTGGGTGCAGCCTAAACTCCAAATGTCTGGAGGTCTGCTTGGGCGTGGAGTAGAAAGGGCCCCACTTCACCATGGTCTCTGTAGAGGAAAATCTGGGTTGTTCAGGCTGCTGATCTGAGTGAGTGGGTGCTCTGACTGGCTGGAGATCTGCCTAAGTGTGGAGTGGATAAAGATTCAGTGCACCACAGTGTCCGCATGGCGAGGGTGAGGTGGCTCAGGCTGCAGAGCCAGTTGAGCAGGTGCTCCAAGTGCCTGGAGATTTGTCTGGGCTTGAAGTTGAGAGGGACCCTCTGTAACAGGATCTCTGCACAGGAAGGGTAGGGTGACTCAGACTGCTAGTTCATGTGAGTGAATACTCCAAATGCCTGGAGATGTGCCTGGATGTGGAACAGAGAGGGTCCCTCTGCACCATGATCCATGCACAGAAACGGTGGGTGTCTCAGGCTGCTGATCCAGGCAAGGGAGCACTCCGAATGTCTGGAGTTCTGTGTGGATGTGGAACAGGGAGGGTCCTGCTTCAGCGGGATCTATGCCCAGGAAGGATAGGAGCTCATGCTGCAGGCCCAGGCAGGCAGGTGCTCTGAATGCCTAGAAATCTGCCTGGGTGTGGAGCAGAGAGGGTTGCAATGCACCATAATCTATGCACAGAAAGAGTGGGTATCTCAGGCTGCTGATCTAGGCAAGGTGGCACTCCAAATGCCTGAAATTCTGCATAGGGGAGGAGTGGAGAGGGCTCTGCTGCACCAGGATATCCGGGGAGCAGAATGGAGCACCCAGCAAGGACACACCCAGACCGGTTACTGGTCATCAAGCTGGCCCTGGCTGCATGTCTTATAATCTAGGAGAAACCAGAGCTGTAGCAGCTCTCCTTCCGCTCCAGGCCTGTGATGGGGGACAGCACAGTTCTAGCGCCTAGTCCTCAGGCACTTTCCAGAGCAAGTGCTCCAATCTCTGGCCTGAGATTACAATGCTGGTATGGGCACACTGCCAGGTCACCAAATAATGGCTTTGTGCCTGGCTTTGCGCCTGGCTGCGTATGTGTCTGGATTAAAAATGCCATCCTGCTCTAGGTCCTAGGTTGGGGGAAATGCCTGCAGCTTTTCCTAGAGTCTTTCCTTCTCAGGGTCTCCAAGCCGCCTCCCAAGTTACCTCCGTGGCTTAGGAGAAACGCAGTGTTCTCTTTTGTCCTGGGTTGCTCAGATCCCCAATGGAAAGGTGAATTATGAGGGAGGCTCTCTGACTCTCTCACATAATGACTTCACTCACTTTTATCAGCCAGATGCCTTCGCAGGGGCTGTTTGCCCACATTCTCCTCCCCAGGGTTTGGGATGTCCTTCATGATTCTGGTGGATTCCCATTTCCGTTCTTGAATTAAAGCTCACAGAGTTGATCGTTAGGCACTATCTTGCTATTTTCAAATGGCTTAGGCATCCTAAAAGCTTCTAATCTGCCATCTTTGGGGAAAAAAAACACAAATATTTTTGAACTAGGGAATTTTGAATGTGCAACTGTATAATTTATGACATAAAATGTTTCAATATTAAAACTCTGGTGTTCTGTAGCCAAGAAGTGTGTTTACTGGTTTACTGGTACAACACACTAAGTAACATGACAGCTGTAGTTTTTGCCCAATGGATGATTCATTTTTGGCTCAGACTTCTTTTAAAAGGTGCTTTCCCCATGATTTTCCTCATCATTACAAGGAAAGGAAGGTGAACAGGGGGACAAAATAATAGCTTCCTAGTGCTATAAAACACAGCACAATTCTATAGCAGATATTGTTAACTATATTTGAGACAGAGGATCTGTATAACTGCTGGGAAATTAAAAATAGAAATAGATAATATAAATAATATGTTCTTACTTGAAGCATGAACATTTTTCACATATGAAACTATTCTCCTCAAAACAAAAAGTCAACTCCTGATAAACAAGAGCAAACTCAAACATCATGCTACACAGAAAATGGTAGGCTAAACCTAGACCAGAAGAGAAATTTTGATGGAACAAGAAAAGAAACAATTTTCTTAAAAATAATCAACTAGCTATAATTTTCCCTATTCCTGGGGAATAGAAAGGTTACTAGGGGAACAATGAAAGTTTAAAAGTTGGACCCTATAACACCTTATTTATAGTCCCTAAAATATGTATTTTTGTTTAAACATACTGGCTTATAAATTTCATATAATTATAATTATTTTAAATATACCAGGTTATTTTCAATTAATTCACTTCTAACTTTACAAAGCCCTAAGCAAAGGAAGCTTCTAGTGATGACAAATGAAGTTCCCATCAGGACTGCAACATCCTGTGTGGTCCCCAAATGGACTTGCTAGTGAGAGCAAGAGAAATTGGAAAATTCGCATCCCACAAAGCTTATCAAAATAGAAATCGGAAACACATTTTCTCTAATGATTTTGGCCTATTTATTACCTCATAGTCAGATACTTTATATAGAGTCAAGTCTGACCCCTAAATAAATTTCAGTTTCATCATCTGTAGAATGGGTAGAGTAATAGAAACTTCAACATATGATTGGGATTCCTGTCTAGTTTAATACTTGTCCTGGACAAACGTTTTCTGATATGAACAATAAATGACATGGTAACTCTACAATTATGAGAAAAACAAAACACTTTCAAATAGCCTTAGTTTACAAATTTCCTCTTTTCCTAGGGATTAAACCTCTATTGATTAATTTCCCTTTTCTGAACTGAAACTCTGCCAAGATCCAAATACAAAGAACATTCCCTTATTTATGTGTTCAAGAAGTGTTTAAATGTTTAATGGGAGCTAATATGTGCACAACGTGAAATATGACATCAGCAATTCACAAGAAGCTCACAGACTAGTACATAGTTGGCCATTTGTCACTGTAATTTGGGAAGCAAGGTTTCCACAACTACTAAAAGAAGCAACAATTTTTATACATCTGGAAAGTTTCATTCAAACTGTAGTTTAACACTTTTGACTACACTCACAACAGCAATAATAGATAGAGTTATATAGTACTTGTCTTGAGGACAAATTGCTTCAATTATTTTATTCTGAGAAACAATGAGAACCAGTCTGATATTAGGGCAGTTATGAAAAACAACATCGTTTTCATTCTTCAGACTATTTCACTGATCATAGAGGCCTTCTCACAATGCACTTTTAGTAAGGTCGTCTTAAATACTTATTTTTTTCCTACAATATCTGGTCATTTTTGTACTTTATTTTTGTGATATGTCTTATAATGTGAGATAGTATTTCTTCCTCCAAAAGCTGCATGTGTGTGGAGCAAATTTGTGTTAGTGTTCTCTAAGGTTTTCTATACCTACAAAATATAAGGAAGATTCTTATCTAAAATGTTGTCTACAGTGATGCTAAACATCACTAGGGCCACAACAAATGCATTTCTGTACCTTTCTTTCATCAAAAACCACAAGGGCAGGCTTTAAAAAGCAGAAGATAATGAGAGTTTTCAATGGCTTCTGTAGGCCCAGTCTAGAAGGCTATAGTAAACTGAAGCACTGTACTGTGCCCAAATAAATTTCATGGCACCTTTAAATTTTTAGTGTAATCCATGCAATGTAAAGATTGTTCATTTTGATATCCACTCTTGTGACAAGTGAAATTGCCATTTTTTGATTTCCACTGCTTGCAGACATGAATAGATACTCAAAAGGAAATACAAATGAACAAAAACGTGATTGTACCACATATGCTTTAATTAAGATTATCCGTGTAATTTGCATCATTTGTTTAAATTGTTTACAGTCAATTTGTATTTTCTCTTCACTGACCAAGATGGCCTTAATGTTCCCCTCAGTTTGATTACATTTTATATAGTTTTCTCTTTACTCTATTCCTCCCTTCCCTTTTCTTTTTTCTTTTCTTTCTTTTTTTCTTTTTCTTTTTTTTTTTTTTTTCTTTTTTGAGATGGAGTCTCACTCTATTGCCCAGGCTGGAGTTCAGTGGTGCAACCTCGGCTCACTGCAACCTCTGCCTCCCAGGTTCAAGTGATTCTC
Organism: Homo sapiens; assembly: GCF_000001405.40. NCBI lineage: Eukaryota > Metazoa > Chordata > Mammalia > Primates > Hominidae > Homo > Homo sapiens. The sequence continues at coordinate 104,695,299 of NC_000005.10, read as the reverse complement.
ATGTCTCAGACTCCCTAGTAGCTGGGACTACAGGCACCTGACACCATGCCCAGCTAATTTTTTGTATTTTTAGTAGAGATGGGGTTTCACCATGTTGACCAGTCTGGTCTCGAACTCCTGACCTCAGATGATCCACCTGCCTTGACCTCCCAAAGTACTGGGATTACAGGCGTGAGCCACCAAGCCTGGCCTGACTTCCCTTTTCTTAGAGATTTTACTTTAGAAAACTTGTAATTTTTTTCTCTTCCCCTTTAAGATGTAAATCATTTTAAAGCTTTCTTGCCAGTTTTCTTTGGGTAATGCCAAGTAGCAAACACAGGTGGCTTATATAATTCACCACACCCCAGCTCATAACTCTCCAGCTCTTATTTTCAGAGTGGTTGAGCTGTGATGGGCTTCTAGCCTCTCTCCCATATTGCAGTATTCTTGAATTAAGCCATTTTTGTCCATTCAACTTCACCACCCTGCCCTATGTACTTCACAAGGTATATAGTTGATATGGTTTGGATTTGTTTCCCTGTCCAAATCTTGTGTTGAAGTGTAATCCCCATTGTTGGAGGAGAGGGTTGTCAGGGGGTGATAGGATCATGGAGGTGGATTTCCCCTTGCTGTTCTTGTGATAGTGAGTGAGTTCTCACGAGATCTGGTTGTTGAAAAGTGTGTAGTACCTCTCTTTTCACTTTCTTCCTCATACTCCAGCCATGTAGGAAGTTATCAGCCTCTTTTTTTGCCTTCTACCATGATTGTAAGTTTCCTGAGGCCTCCCCAGCTATGTAACCTGTACAGTCTGGGAAACAGTGAGTCAGTTAAACCTCTTTTGTTTATAAATTTACCCAGTCTCAGGTAGTTCTTTATAGCAATGTGAGAATGGACTAATACAATAGTATATAAGTAACTTAAAGTACACGTTATTCTTATTTACATATTAAAGTTTTATTAAGCTCATGGGCCTGTACCTAGCATTGTGCATAGCCAAAAGCATATTTCCAGAAATTATTTGCTGAGAGAACAGTTAGGTGCTTCTAGTCAGGGCCAGTTTTGTTATATGATGACCAGGGTGAATTATGGTAAATGAATTATTCAGGTGTGTTCAATTAGTAGCACTGTATAGAAACTAGACTTTATATTTTTTAATTAGATGGAAGACTGATTTTGCAACAACTTTTTTACAATTTAATACAAATTGAAAAGTGTTTAATGAATCTGATGCCATTACTCTAAATATTTTATACATTGAATTAAAAGTAAAAAGTATCTTCAGTCCTTGCTTTTCTTTCTTATAATTTCCATGCACTACAATTCTTGTGCTTTCACTGGTGTGGTAATTGCTTTCATCTGTGAACAGTTAAAAAACCCTGTCCATTTCTCTTCAATAACCACATAATTTGAAAATGAATCATTAGATTACCTCAAGTAGACTGAAAACTAATACTTCTGTATATGTATTCAATAGTCTTTCTGCTCAGAACCAGAAGGTAGATAGCGGTAGCTGTTTTGTAAAACCTTTTATTTCAGTAGCCTCTCTGTGTTCAACTCTTTATGATAGAATAAATCCATTTAGCATAGTTCACAAAAAATAGAGTCAGGAGAAGGGTTTACCTTGGAAAGACCAAAGCAAGTCACAGGATTCCTTTTCTTCCTATACAACAAGACATCACATTTCTCTTGATAATTTTGGAAAATAGGCCAATTTTCTCATAGTAACACTGCTCCACTTATATATTTATTTGATTTTAATTTAACTAATGAAAAAGTCCACAACTATTTTTGGCTCTGAAGTTTTTTTTTGATTGGGCTTGAACATAATTTTACCTCATGTTGAGAAAGAATTGGCTGCAGAAACAAACTTGAAGCAGACAGAGAAAATGCATTTTAGGTCAATATGTCCATTTGGTAAACATTTTTCTGAAGGAAAATGAGAAGTCAACTATATATTTCTAATTACCTTTATTTAAGGTAGATATTCTGGTGAGAATTTACAATACTATTTTTATTTGTTTTAATTACAAAGGCCTTTTAACGTTCAATTTATGGTAATATTGTGATTTAATCTTTTAAAAATTTGAAAGAATCTTTACTGACAGATTCTAGCGTAAGGAAGCAAAACACTGCTTCAACAAAAGCAGTATTCTCTTGAGAATTCTCTTGTTTAGGGAACACACTTTATTAGACACTGTGGTTACACAAAGGTACGATCTTACTTTCCTTTCTGAAAAGGAAAGTTTGGGCCAAATTAGGGAAATGAGTCTGTATAATATGTAAAAGTTTTTCAACTTCCTAGGCAAAAATTATAATGCCAAATGAATTTTCTTTTCTGATGGGGTTTCCACATATGAGGACGACTTCTGTGTAAGAAGTCAGGTAAGGAAAAAAGTAGCTAATAAGGACACTTTTGTGGAAAGCTAGGGTTCCTCATTATAAAGAAATGATAGACTGTTATTTTACCTTTTCTTTTCCTCCCACCCCTTCAGGTAAAGTTTTATTTAGTACCATACTTTGGCATTTAGAAAAATAAACAAAGAGCTCTGTTTACAATGGGGATGAGTAGTTTAGAGACAGGGATAGCATGTTATTTGAAGTTAGTGTAGCTGAGAGTAAAGGTGCAAAGTCAGACCAGGATAGATTATGAAAAGGAAAATATTCCCTGGAGGTGTGTGAAACACATGGAAGACGACTGAACTTTTAGTCTTCATGCAGATAGAGCTCTTGGGCTGCAGTAACTGGCTATTTAATGGAGTGGTACCCCTGGCTGAACTACAGAAAGAAAAAATAAGAACACAAGGGATCACAGAATAAAAGATGACATTATACTGTGGATAAAAATATTAATTGAAAGTACCTTCATTTTGTCCTCAACTTCTGTAAGGCATGTGGCATCATAATCACCTTTTTATCAATCACGATTTTTACAAATTGAAGCATGAAGAGGGAAGGTACATAAGAGAGAAAAAATCACAAAGAGTGGTGATGGAGTGGAATCCGCACGAAGGCCAATGCCTCTAGGAGTCATAAAAATTAAGGACTGAAAATTACATCCGTGAATGTAAGAAAAATTCTTCAAATCTAAATAATAATGTTCACCCATCCTAACCCCAAAACTGTTCATTACAACTGGCCTCAACTACTTTTTCTAATATAAATTTAGGCGGTTTTGCAGATCAGCCTGGTATGTTAATTTTCAACCAGAAGATTTGACTAATATTCCTGTTTGGATTTTGTTTGTTGAGGATCTTGTAAAGCCAACTAGAGTAGTGGAAGCTCCTTGATAGCTGATCGCTGTAACGGAGTACTCACTTAGGAGTCATTCGAAGTTGCTTTGCAGTTAGGGCTTTAGGCAAAAAGAGGTAAATATTCGCTGATGTTATGAATATTCTGGCAGTGCAAATAAAGAGGGTCCTTCAAAATGTGCTGGGATTCCAAGGTAAGTCTTAGACTATTTCTTTTCTAATTAGAATATACTAAAGGTAGAAGAATAAAGAAGAGCCTATATTTAACTCCAGCATATTTACATCCTAATCAGCTCTGTTAAGATGTTAAATTTTACTTGATGTGATATTAATTATGTGTTATCCACATATTTTAATATTTCAAATTTAGAATTGCTTTTTACCACTAATAGTTTCAACATCAGAAAAATACATACACATTATTTAACTTTCCAAAACCTGATTCCATAAACATAGAAAATAGAATCATACTATTGCTTTCATGTAAATTATAATTGTTCACTTTTACTTACCCTGTAAATAGCTATAGATCATTAAGTATTATTATATAAATATTTGTAATTAGCATCAGTAGTTTCCTGCATATCAATGGAGGCCTATGAAGTTATTTAAAATCTTTGTTTTTAAATTTGGCTAAATATGCTCCCTTTTATTTTTTCCAGTTTGTTTATCTGAATCCCAAGTTTTAACTATAGGCATCAAGCACAAATGTTGCTAGAGGAATAAGACATACTTAAATTATCTATTTGGACCTGGAGTAATCAAAGGTCTTCTACAGTACTCTAGCCTACTTTAAAAAGGTTATCAGAAGAGAATACATATCTTGAAAGTATAATCCATTCTAACATAAAAAATATTTACAATTGGCTATGTAGTGGAATTACTACAAAATGATTAATTTTTGATGTATGGAACATCTTATTAACTCACTTGATAATGTTTATTGAGCTACTTCTTTTATTTTTGAGACAGAATCTCACTCTATCACCCAGGCTGGAGTGCAGTCACACGATCTCAGCTCACTCCAATCTCTGCCTCCAGGGTTCAAGCAATTCTCCTGCCTCAGCCTCCTGAGTAGCTGGGATTACAGGCACCCACCACCACGCCCGGCTAATTTTTGTATTTTTAGTAGAGACGGGGTTTCACCATGTTGGCCAGTCTGGTCCCAAACTCCTGACCTCAGGTGATCTGCCTGCCTCGGCCTCACAAAATACTGGGATTACAGCCGTGAGCCACTGCTCCCAGACTATTGAGCTACTTCTATCTGCCCTATATTATATCACAGCTGAGTTCATAGTGTAATAGAAGATGCAGTCAAAAGAAAGAAAAAAAAATGAGTTAAGGGGCTTGTATGTGAGATCAAAATAATCAGGTGAAAGCTGGAGGCATGGGAAGGGTTAAATGGTTGTATTTGTTTTTCCTGTTCAGGATGGGATAAACAATAAATAATTAGAATGAATAGAACTTGTTCCAGCTTTAGTATTTAGGTAACTTTGCTCTTATCAACTACTGCATAATTAAACAGAAAATATAAATATAATTTTCACTATAACATTCCTGAAAGTGAGGTCACGGCTTTCATTCTCCCTCTGTCCCTTTTCATGTATCAATGCAAAATCTTTAAGTAATTTAGAGCATCACTACATCACGGTATAATTCTTATTATCTTTTAAATCATGACATATTGTTAAGTCCAGCAGTGAGAAGTTAGGGTCAAATAGTCTGATAGGACGTTCAGACTATTTGAAAGTAGAGTTCCTGAGTTGGAATCTTTTCACACTTTCTAGCTACATAATTTAAGGCAAGTCATTACACTCCTTGGCACCTCTCCTTAAAATGAAGAATGGTACACATGCCTAGTTAAATGAATGATTTATTTGAAATCACTGTATACAGTCTAAAGTAATGAATAGATTTTGATTACAATATTGACAAATTTATATAATGAATATGACTTGGGGACCCTGTCCCAACTGAATATGAAAATAAATATTTTTGTACTCTGTGAAATTTCATGGCGAAGCCTATAGAGAAAAATTTTAAAGAAGGAATAAATATTACAGAACGTGAAGACCTACATGGCTTTAGAGTGTACCCCCGCCCCACCCACCCCATCACTGGATATACTCTGGCATGCTCATAAACGAGAAAGAAAAAACTCATTTTTGAATACTTAAGAATGTTGGCAAGGTATAAGAGATGTATTGGAAATAAAATCTTGTATAAAGACTTTAAGATGAAAATGCCTCTATTTTAAGTAGTTAAAAATGTCAGGACATGTGAAGGACAAGAATAGACTGAATAGATTAACATGTTAACAGCTTTGTGGAGTATGAAAAAGTGTCTGAAATGTATTGATTGGTGGCACATATCAGATCAGAAAATATTGGAAGGGCACATTAGGCTAAAATGTTGATATATTCAAGGTTAATATAGTTTGCAACTCATAAGACAGGTTGTGTATTACACAGAAAGTAAGGAATGTCATAACTGAGATCAAAGTGAATTACGCTTATTCTAATTTAATTCTTCACACAGTGTTTAAGTATAACAAATTGACAGCAAAAGCAGGCATTGGACAACACTTTAATGGACAGCTGAATTCAAAGAATCTCTCATTTTGGAAGTTTTGGCTGTAGTTCTCACAGAAATTAGAAAATCTAAATTGTCTTGAAAGAAACCAGACAACTTTTTTTATGTTCGACAAAATTAGGTACTGGTCCAGAAAAATAGCTGTTCATAGACTTACAGAATTTAAACTTAGTACCTTCGTTTCTCAGCAACTATAAAATAATTTAGGCTATCTTAGTAGGGCTTATGATATGATATCACATATTAGAATTGTGTCATCTTCAAAAAACTTAGAATTAGGTTTCTAGTTTATATGGGTAGATCCAGATAGCTCAAGGGGTTGAGCTGTGGAGTATAAATTGTGATCTAAAGGCAGATTTGGGAAATTCCAAATAAGCCAGAAATAGTATCAGGGATAAAGTAAACAAGGAATCTACGACAACATGTTATTTTAGATAAAAATTCATGGGAAGTTCAATAGAAAAAACAACTTTTTTTAATACCATGAAATAAGAATTGTCGCTTTGTATTGCTTTTGTATAGCTAGTTCATGAATGTCTAAATGATATTGTTCCAAGAATCAGTTTGCCAGAGTAGTCATGAGCATAAACTTGCACCTGGACCTTCATGCTTTGTGTCTTCACCCTAACCTCCCCAGTCACTATTGACTGGACCAGTGATCCTTGTATTAGATCTTTGTAATAGATGCTAGAATTCAGCCACCTATGATGAGTTTGAAGATGTACTTTGGGGTTCATGGAAAAAGCAACATAAGCTTAAATGTAGACTGTTTAGAAGTTTGTCTTGGGCAGCTGGTGGTCTTTCTCAATGATGTCATGGTCTTCATGTCTGCCTATAATATAAAATAAAAATAACAAAAATTAAAACTACCAAGGAATAAATCTTCAACCACCTAAGACTGATGAGACTGTGTGAATGCTATTATAAACCATGACAACAAAATCTTTAGCCAAAAATGTGAAAGTTGTTCAGCTTTATTTTTTAACTCTAAAGCTTTGTGTAATGTTCCACAATGCTTCACTTCATATGATAATACCCCACATCATTATGAATTCAAACAGAGAATAAGAAGGTTTATGAAAAGAAGAATAACAATTTAAGTATAATTGTTCCCTATTTAAAGGAGATTCAAGAAAATCATCTTTAAATAAACATTTGACTATTTAATTGTGCATTTCCCTAATCCTTGTTTTATTTGGAATAAAGCTTACACATGATAAATCTCTAATTGCTAAATATATTGAGCAAAAATGGTTGGGAAAATATTTGATAATTTGATTCATTGTTTATTACAATTCTGTGCTTTAAAAAAGGATTCTAAAATCATCATATTTGCTCTCTAACTATACTAGGTGACCTACAGATCATTTCAAAGTGATACTTTTTATAATTCAATATATTAAAAAAGAAAACTTCACTGCACCTTAGAACTGGTTAATATGCAGTCCTGAAATATTATGGACAAAAATGCACACCCAATTATATCTTTATTTGTGGGTCTCAAAGAACCCAAACATATATAGTGTTTTGATTCTCCCAGTTTTTAAGATTTTGATGTTTAGAAGTATATCTTAAGAAATATACTTTGCTTTCAAATCATTATCTAAAATATCTACATGTTCAGTGTCATTTATTTAAAATTTCCCATTTATTTTTAGAAATTTTCCACTAAGTTTAAATGTAAGGTATTTACTCATCTTATATGAAAAATAAATAACCACAAGCATTCTTTATAATCTATATAGATAATATACATAAAACAGATAATAGCTGGGTGCCAGCACTTTGGGATGCTGAGGCAGGTAGATCACCTGAGGTCAGGAGTTCGAAACCAGCCTGACCAACATGGTGAAACCCCATCTCCACTAAAAATAAAAAAAATTAGCCGGGCATGGTGGTGGATGCCTGTAATCCCAGCTACTTGGGAGGCTGAGGCAGGAGAATTCCTTGAACCCGGGAGACGGAGGTTGCAGTGAGCCGAGGTCACGCCACTGCACTCCAGCCTGGGTAATGCAGCAAGAGTTCGTCTCAAAAATAAATAAATAAATAAATAAATAAATAAATAAATAAATAATAAAACATAAATAACTAAAATGAATTCTTAAATTTCATTGCAGAAGTTTAGATGTACAAAATAAATACAAATTACCTTCACCAGTTTTTCACACTTTCCATAGTGCAAATCCATTCCAGATATCATTAGGTATACACACTGTGCTAATATTGGATACTTGACAGCAATGATTGTAAAGTTTATCCTATTTGTGCACTCATACTTTCATTTGTTGGCCATTTTTACTCTGGAACCCTTAATTTCCCTAAGTTCTTCCACTATGTAACTATGGTTTTCATCACTTCGGCATGACCAGTCTTCTCTGATATGGGCCACTTCAGGTTCAACATGTCATGCTCCAGTGCTTTGTTCCTTCCTGTTTCCTGCTTCCAGGTGCATACCCCTGACTCTCAATTCAATTTCCTCGCCACATTGTCCCAATCTCCAGCTTGCTCATTATGAGACTTAATGTATTCATTTTTGTATGATCCTTCAGCTACCACTTCCTCACCTCCCACTTATATAGTTCCTGGATACACATGGATAAAACAGTAACTTAGTTGCTAACTATTCAATGTTTGGTTAGTTCATTTTATTTGTTGATTTGGGGCATTGTATAAGAGAAATAATGTAACATAATGTTTAAGGGTATGAGATTTGCCGTTTAAAATAAATCTGTATTTGAGATCTGCCTCTACTTACTTGCTGTGTGGTATTAGGGACTTTACTTAATTTCTATAAGCCTCTGTTTTCTCTAATGTACGAGTAGGAGAGAAGTTTAATTTATTTCTTAAAGTCATTGTAAGGATTCAGTCAGATGATAGATTTAAGAATTTAATACATAAGTGGGAAAATACAAGAATTTCAAAGTGAAAAGAACTGCTATACAGAATGATAACACTCTTGTCATGATTATGGTATAATATGGTATACTTCTAAAACCAGTAGTTTAATACTTTATTGCTTCAGTCAGGATATGCTAAGTTATGCTACCATAATAAATACATGCAAAAAGCTCAAAGGGTTAAAAAATGATTTATTTTTCAGACATGGTACATGTCCATTTCAGGTCAGCTACAGAACTCTGCTCTGTGTCATCATGTTCTCTCTCTGGACCTGATGATGACACAACAGCCACTATCTAGAACACACAAATCACCATTTCAAAAGTAAAGAACAGTGCACATTGTCAGTGTGCTTGCACTTAAAACTTCTTGCGCCAAACTGGCATGCTTCACTTCTCACATTTCATTGGCTGGAACCAGTCACATAATCACATTTAAAGGTGGCAGGAAAACCCAATCCTGCTATTCACCTAAAAAGAGGGAGAAAATATAATTTTGATGGACAGCATTAATCTGTCATAATTATCATGCTTCCTTCCTCCCAGTTACTACAATAAGAATAAGAGAAAACCTCTCTTAATTTATAAGGTAAGGTCCCAAGGAGCACTCTTCTCAGAGTCAAAAACTTCTTTCAGTTAGCTTTACTTTGAAATATTCCTGAAACAAGAGTACTCATGCTGAACAGTGAGATAGACCTCTGATTCCTAATGCCACTCTGTAGAATCCGACCTTCTAGATGATAGGAAGAAGGTCTAGTTACAGCCCACAATTTTATTCAAGGATTCTCTTAGTTGAGACTGTATCAGGGTCATTTGTTTTATTTCATTTTGTCTTTAACATACACATGGTTAGGCTTCACAGAAGAACTAAGAAGAATATCAAACAGGATCCCACTGGGTTGTCAAAAACTAAAAGTACCACCTTATTCAAAGGTAGAAATCAATTTACTTTGATTTTTAATTCATTTCTAACAAGATTCTTAGACACATGTAAAAGACATACGTGAATGAAAAATGTAGAAGAATTTTCCTAAAATTGTGAGTGCATATCTCACACACACACACACACACACAAATATATGCATATATGCTCTCTACATGTATATAAAATATATATAAAATTAAAATCTAATATAAACATGTATATACTTCTTTAGTTATTCCTAATGTATTTTATTTATGCTTATAAACCTTGGGAAACTAAATGTAGAAATGGGACTAAAATATTACATATTTGTTAATCATATTTATCATAAAAAGTATATATTTTTCTCTTTTTTTAAATAAGCATAGATGATAGGATTTTATCATATCAAGAATGCTAAGTACATTAGTGAAGTCCTTATACAGTGACAACAACATTTTTTTTAATTTAAAAAACATTTTATTTCAATAGGTTTTTGGGGAACAGGTGATGTTTGGTTACATGAATAATTTATTTAGTGGTGATTTCTGAGATTTTGGTGCTCCCATCACCCAAGCAGTGTACACGCTACCCAATGTATAGCCTTTTATCCTTCACCCCCTCCCACCCTTTCCCCAAAGTCCCCAAAGTCCATTTTATCATTCTTATACCTTTGCATCCTCATAGCTTAGCTCTCATTTATGAGTGAGAACATAGGGTGTTTGGTTTTCCATTCCTGAGTTACTTCACTTAGAATAATGGTCTCCATGGTCTCCATTTCTATCCAGCTTGCTTTGAATGCCATTATTTAATTTCTTTTTAGGGCTGAGTAGTATTCCATGGTGTGTGTGTGTGTGTGTGTGTGTGTGTGTGTGTGTGGGCATATACATATTTCATTTATAGTGAGATTTTTAGACACATATAAAAGACATACGTGAATGAAAAATATAGAATTTTCCTAAAATTGCAAGTGAATCTCTGTTTCTTTCTCTCTCTCTCTCTCTCACACACACACACACACACAATTTTCTTTTATACATCACATTTTCTTTATCCACTCATTGATTGATGGGCATTTCGGCCAGTTCCACATTTTTGCAATTGCAAATTGTGCTGCTATAAACATGTGAGTGCAAGTATCTTTTTCTTACAATGACTTTTTTTCCTCTGGGTAGATACCCAGTAGTCAGATTGCTGGATCAAATGGCAGATCTACTTTTAGTTTTTTAAGGAATCTCCACACTGTTTTTCATAGTGGTTATACTAGTTTACATTCTCACCAGCAGTCTAAAAGTGCTCCTTCTTCACCACATCCATGCCAACATCTATTTCTTTTTTTTTTTATTTTTTAATTGTGGCCATTCTTGCAGGAGTAAGGTGGTATTGCATTGTGGTTTTGATTTTCATTTCCGTGATTATTAGTGATGTTGAGCATTTTTTCATGTTTGTTGGCCATTTATATATCTTCTCTTGAGAATTCTGTTCATGTCCTTAGCCCACTTTTTGATGGAATTGTTTGTTTTTTACTTCCTGATTTATTTGAGTTCCTTGTAGATTCTGGTTATTAGTCATTTGTCAGATGTATAAATTGTGAAGATTGTCTTCCATTCTGTGGGTTGTCTGTGTTACTGTGCTGATTGCTTCTTTTGCTGTGCAGAAGCTTTTTGGTTTAACTAAGTCCCATCTATTTATCTTTGTTTTTGTTGCATTTGCTTTTGGGCTCTTGGTCATGAAGTCTTTGCCTAAGCCAGTTTCTAGAAGCATTTCCCCAGTGTTATTTTCTAGAATTTTTATGATTTCAGGTCTTAGATTTAAGTCTTTGATCCATCTTAAGTTGATTTTTGTATAAGGTGAGAGATGAGGATCCAGTTTCATTCTCCTACATGTGGCTTGCCAATGATCCCAGCACCATGTGTTGAATAGGGTGTCCTTTCCCCGCTTTATGTTTTTGTTTGAAGTCATGTAGTGTGATACCTCCAGATTTTTTCTTTTTGCTTAGTCTTGCTTTGGCTATGTGGTCTTGTTTTTAGTTTCATAAGAATTTTAGGATTGCTCTTTATACCTCTGTGAATAATGATATTGGTATTTTGATGGGTATTTCATTGGATTTGTAGATGGCTTTCGGCAGTATGCTCATTTTCATAATATTGATTCTACCCACCCATGAGCATGAAATGTGTTTCCATCTGTTTGTGTCATTTATGATTTCTTTCAGCAGTGTTTTGTAGTTTTTCTTGTAGAGGTCTTTCACCTCCTTGGTTAGGTATATTCCTAAGTATTTTATATTATTGTTGCAGCCATTATAAAAGGGGTTCAGTTCTTGATTTGATTCTCAACTTGGTCACTGTTTGTGTATAGCAGGGCTACTGATACATGTACATTAATTTTGTATCCTGAAAGTTTGCTGAGTTCTTTTATCTGTTCTAAGAGCTTTTTAGATGAGCCTTTAGGGTTTTCTAGGAATTCAATCATATCATCAGCAAACAGTGACAGTTTGCCTTCCTCTTTACTGATTTGGATGCCCTTTATTTCTTTCTCTTGTCTGATTGCTCTGGCTAGGAGTTCCAGCACTATACTGAATAGAAGTGGTGAAAGTGGGCATCCTTGTCCTGTTCCAGTTCTCAGGGGGAATTCTTTCAACATTTCCCTGTTCAGTATAATGTTGGCTCTGTGTTTGTCATACACGGCTTTTATTACATTAAAGTATGTCCCTTCCATGCCGATTTTGCTGAGGGTTTTAATCATAAAGGGTTGCTGGATTTTGTCAAATGCTTTTTATGCATCTATTGAGATGATCATGTGATTTTTATTTTTAATTCTGTTTATCACATTTATTGAAGTACATATGTTAAAACATCCCCACATTTCAGGTATTAAGTCCACTTGATCATGGTGGATTATCTTTTTGATATGCTGTTGGATTCTGTTAGCTAGTATTTTGTTGAGGATTTTTGCATCTGTATTCATTAGGGATATTGGTCTGTAGTTTTCTTTTTTTTGTTATGTCCGTTCCTGGTTTTCGTATTAGGGTGATACTGGCTTCATAGAATGATTTAGGGAAGATTCTCTGTTTCTCTAGCTTGTGGAATAGTGTCAATAGGATTGGTACCAATTCTTCTTTGAATGTCTAATAGAATTCAGCTGTGAATCTGTCTGGTCCTGGACATTCTTGTTGACAATTTTATTTTAGTACCATTTCAATCTCACTGCGTGCTATTGGTTTGTTCAATGTTTCTATTTCTTCCTGGTTTAATCTAGGAGGGTTGTATATTTCCAGGAATTTATCCATCTCTTCTAGGTTTTCTAGTTTATGCATGTAAATGTGCTCATAGTAGTCTTGAATGATCTTCTGTATTTCTGTTCTATCAGTTGTAACATCTACCATTTTGTTTTTAATTGAGTTCATTTGGATCTTCTCTATTCTTGGTTAATCTTGCTAATGACCTATCAATTTTATTTATCTTTTCAAAGAACCTGTTTTTTGTTGCATTTATCTTTTTTTTTTTTTCAATTTCATTTAGTTCTGCTCTGATGTTTGTTATTTTTTTTTTTTCTGCTTCGTTTGGATTTGGTTTGTTCTTGTTTCTCTAGTTCCTGACATGTGACCTTAGATTGACTATTTGTGCTCTCTCAGACTTTGTGATATAGGCATTTAATGCTATGAACGTTCCTCTTTGCATCGCCTTTGCTGTATCCCAGAGGTTTTGATAGGTTTTGTCATTATTATCATTCAGTTAAAAGACTTATTAAATTTCCATCTTGATTTCATTGTTGACCCAATGATCAATTAGGAGCAGGTTATTTAATTTTCATGTACTTGCATAGTTTTGAGGGTTCCTTTTGGAGTTGATTTCTGTATTAGTCCATTTTCACACTGCTGATAAAGACATAACTGAGACTGGGCAATTTACAAAAGAAAGAGATTTAATTGGACTTACAGTTCCACAAAGCTGGAGAAGCCTCACACTTATGGCAGAAGGCAAGGAAGAGCAAGTCACATCTTACAATGATGATGGCAGGCAAAGAGACAGGAGCCCTTGTAGGGAAACTCCCCCTTATAATGCCATCAGATCTCATGAGACTTATTTGCTATCATGAGAAGAGTATGGGAAAGACCTGCCTCTATTATTCAACTACCTCCCACCAGGTCTGTCCCACAACACGTGGGAATTCAAGATGAGATTTGGTTGGGGACACAGCCAAATTATATCATTCTGCTCCTGACCCCTCTCAAATCTCATGTCCTCACATTTCAAAACCAATCATGGCTTCACAACAGTCCCCCAAAGTCTTAAATAATTTCAGCATTAACTCAAAAGTCCACAGTCCAGTGTTTCATCTGAGACAAGGCAAGTCCCTTCTGCCTATAAGCCTGTACATTCAAAAGCAAATTAGTTACTTCCTAGATACAATGGGGGTACAGACATGGGGTAAATACAGCCATTCCAAATAGGAGAAATTGGCCTAAACAAAGGGCTACAAGCCCTGTGCAAGTCCAAAATCCAGCAGGACAGTCAAATCTTAAGCCCCAAAATGATCTCCTTAGACTTCATGTCTCACATCAAGGTCACACTGATGCAAGACTTGGGTTCCCATGGTCTTGGGAAGCTCCACCCCTGTGGCTTTGTAGGGTATAGCACCCCTCCTGGCTACCTTCGTGGCCTGGCATTGAGTGTCTGGGGCTTTCCCAGGTGCATGGTGCAAGCTGTCAGTGGATCTACCATTCTAGGGTCTGGAGGATGGTGGCCCTCTTCTCGCAGCTCCACTAGGCAGTGCCCAAGTAGGGACTCTGTATGGTGGCTCCGACTCTACGTTTCTCTTCCTCACTTCCTTAGCAGAGGTTCTTCACGAGGGCACTGCTCCTGCAGTAAACTTCTGCCTGGGCATCCAGGGATTTCCATACATCTTCTGAAATCTAGGTGGAGGTTCCCAAATCTCAGTTCTTGACTTCTGTGCACCCACAGGCTCAACACCACGTGGAAGCTGCCAAGGCTTGGAGCTTCCACCCTCTGAGGCAACAGCCTGCGTTGTACCTTGGCTCCTTTTAGTCATGGCAGGAGTAGCTGAGAGGCAGGGTACCTGGTCCCTAGACTGCACACAGCATGGGGACCCTGGGCCTGGCCCACAAAACCATTTTCTCCTAGGCCTCCAGGCTTGTGATGGGAGGGGCTGCCATGAAGACCTCTGACATACCCTGGAGACATTTTCCCCATTGTCTTGGTGATTAACATTCGACTCCTTGTTACTTATGCAAATTTATGCAGCAGGCTTGATTTTCTCCTCAGAAAATGGAATTTTCTTTTCTATCTCATTGTCAGTCTGCAAATTTTCCAAACTTTTATGCTCTGTTTCCCTTTTAAAACTGAATGCTTTATTTTATTTTATTATTATTATTTTTAAGATGGAGTTTCACTCTTGTTGTACAGGCTGGAGTGCAATGAAATAATCTCTGCTCACTGCAACCTCTGCCTGCCGGGTTCAGGCAATTCTTCTGCCTCAGCCTCCTGAGTAGCTGGGATTATAGGCACCCATCACCATGCCCAGCTAATTTTTGTATTTTTGGTATAGATGAGGTTTCATCATGTTGTCCAGGCTAGTCTCAGGCTCCTGACCTCAGCTTATCCACTTGCTTTGGCCCCCCAAAGTGCCGACATTATAGGCATGAGCCAGCATGCCCAGCCCAAAACTGAATGCTTTTAACAGCACCCAAGTCACCTCTTGAATGCCTTGCTGCTTAGAAATTTCTTCCACCAGATACCCTAAATTATGTTTCTCACTTTCAAAGTTCCACAGATCTCTAGGGCAGGGGCAAAATGCCACCAGTCTCTTTGCTAAAACATAACAAGAGTCACCTTTGCTCCAGTTCCTGAGGAGTTCCTCATCTCCACTGAGACCACCTCAGTCTCAATTTCATTGTCCATATCATTATCAACATTTTGGTCAAAGCCATTGAACAAGTCTCTAGGGAATTACAAACTTTCCCACATTTTCCTGTCTTCTTCTGATCCCTCCAAACTGTTCTAACCTCTGCCTATTAACCAGTTCCAAAGCCGCTTCCACATTTTGGGGTATTTTTTTCAGCAGCATCCCACTGTACTGGTACCAATTTACTGTATTAGTTCATTTTTATTCTGCTGATAAAGACATACCGAGACTGGGTAATTTGCAAGAGAAAGAGGTTTAATTGGACCTATAGTTTCACATAGATGGGGGAATCCTCACAATCATGGTGGAAGGCAAGGGAGGGCAAGTCACATTTTATATGGATGGCAGCAGGCAAAGAGGAGAGGAGTTTGTGTAGGGAAATTCCCCCTTATAATACCAACAGATCTCATGAGACTTATTTGCTATCATGAGAACAGGATGGGAAAGACAGACCTCTATTATTCAATTACCTCACAATGGGTCCCTCCCACAACATGTAGGAATTCAAGATGAGATTTGGGTGGGGACACAGTCAAACCATATCAATTTTCAATTTTATTCTTGTGGTCTGAGAGAGTACTTGATATAACTTTGATTTTCTTATATTGATTGAGATTTGTTTTGTGGCCTATCATATGGTCTGTTTTGGAGAATGTTCCATGTGCTGATGAATAGAATGAGTATTCTGCAGTTGTAGGGTAGAATGTTCCATAAATATCTGTTAACCTCATTTGTTTGAAGGTATAGTTTAAGTTCGTTGTTTCTTTGTTGACTTTCTGTCTTGATTACCTGTCTAGTGCTCTCCATGGAGTACTGAAGCCCCCCACTATTATTGTGTTGCTGTCTATGTCATTTCTTAGATCTAGCAGTAAATGTTTTATAAATTTGAGAGCTCCAGTGTTAGGTGCATATATATTTAGGATCGTGATAGTTTCCTGTTGGACAAGTCTTTTCATCATGTAATGTCTCTCTTTGCCTTTTTTTACTGCTGTTGCTTTAAACTTTGTTTTGTCTGATAGCTACTCCTGCTTGCTTATGGTGTATATTTGCATGGAATATCTTTTTCCACACCTTTACCTTAAGTTTATGTGAGTCCTTATGTGTCGGGTGAGTCTCTTAAAGACAGCATATATTTGATTGGTGGATTGTTATCCATTCTGTCATCCTGTATCTGTTAAGTGGAGCATTTAAGCCATTTACATTTAACATTAGTATTGAGATATGAGGTACCATTCTATTACTTATGCTATTTGTTGCATGAGTACCTTGGGTTTTTTTATTGTGTTGTTGTTTTTTGGTCCTGGGAGATTTATGCATTAAGGAGCTTCTTTTTTGATGTACTTCAAGGATTTATTTCAAGATCTAGTGCTCCTTTTAGCAGTTCTTGTAATGCTGGCTTGGTAATGGCAAATTTGCTCAGCATTTGTTTGTCTAAAAAAGACTGTGTCTTTCCTTCATTTATGAAGCTTAGTTTTGCTGGATCTAAAATTCTTGGCTGATAATCATTTTGTTTAGGAGGTTAAAGATAGGACCCCATTCCCTTTTAGCTTGTAGGGATCTGCTGAGAAATCCGCTGTTAAACTGATAGGTTTTCCTTTATAGATTACCCAAGGCTTTTTCCTTGCAACTCTTTAGATTCTTTCATTTTTCTTAACTTTAGATAACCTGATGAGCATGTGCCCAGGCAATGATCTTTTTGCAATGAATTTCCCAGGTGTCCTTTGAGCTTGTTGTTTTAGGATATCTAGATCTCTAGCAAAGCTGGGAAAGCTTTCCATGATTATCCCCTCAAATATGTTTTCCAAATGTTTAGATTTATCTTCTTCCTCCAGAACACCAATTATTCTTAGGTTTGGTCATTTAACATAATTCCAAATTTCTTGAAGGCTTTATTCATTTTGAAAAATTTTTTCTTTGTCTTTGTTGTGTTGGATTAATTCAAAAGCCTTGTCTTCAAGCTCTGAAGTTTTTTCTTCTACCTGTTCAATTCTATTGCTGAGACTTTCCAGTGTATTTGCATTTCTTTATGTGTGGTCTTCATTTCCAGAAGTTGTGATTGTTTCTTATTTATGGTAACTATTTCCCTGGAGATTTTTTCTTCCATATCCTGTAACATTTTAAAACTTTATTTAAGTTGGTATTCATCTTTCTCTGGTGCCTCCTTGAGTAGCTTAATAATTAGCCTTCTGAATTTTTTTTTCTGGCAATCCAGAGATTTCTTCTTGGTTTCGGTCCATTGCTGGTGAGCTGATTTGATCTTTTGGCGGTATTAAAGAACCATGTTTTGTCATATTACCAGCATTGTTTTTTGGTTCCTTCTTATTTGGATAGACTATGTCAGAGGGAAAATCTGGGACTCAAGTGCTGCTGTTCAGATTCTTTTGTCCCACAGGGTGCTTCCTTACTGTGGTGCTGTCCCTCTTCCCCTAGGGTTGTAGCTTCCTGAGAGCCAAACTGCAGTGATTGTTATTTCTCTTCTGGATCTAGCCATCCAACAGAGCTACTAGGTGTTCGTCTGGTACTGGGGAGTATCTACAAAAAGTCGTGACATCCTGATCCATCTTCAGGTCTCTCAGCCATATATACCAGCACCTGCTCCAGGGGAGGTAGCACAGGAGTGAAGTGAACTCTGTGAGGTTCCTTGGTATTTTTGTTTATGGCTCTAGTTTTGTGTGGTTGGCCTCCAGCCAGGAAGTAGCACTTTCAAGACAGCATCACCTGTGGTAGTATAGGGAGGATGCGAGCTTGCTCTAGGGTCAGCTGGATAAGTACTTGGTTTCTCAGGCAGTGGGCAGGGCCATAGAGCTGCCAAGAGATTACGTCCTTTGTCTTTGACTACCAGGGTGGGTAGAGAAAGACCATCAGGTGGGGGCAGTTTTGGGCATGTCTGAGCTCAGACTTTCCTCTGGCAGGGCTTGCTGTCGCTGCTGTTGAGGATGGGGGTGTGGTTCTCAGGCCATTGGAACTATGTTCCTAAGATTATGGCTGCCTATGCTGAATTTTACAGGTAGCCAAGGAAGTGGGGGACAACTGGCATTTACAGGCCTCACCCAGCTCCCACACAGCCTACAAGGCTGGTCGCACTCCCATTGTGCCCCACACAACACCAAGTTTATTATCAGGCAGTGAGTGAGCAGGGTTGAGAACTTGTCGCAGGCTATAAGCCTTCCTGCTAAGAAAGCAAGCAGGACTTTCAGGTTTTGCACCTCCCCGCCTGCCATGGCTTCTGTTCTCCTTTCTGAACTCTTGGTTTGCCCCCTCCCCCAGGTTTTGTCCAGGAAACTTCTCGTTTGGTTAAAATTGTTACTAAGGTCAGCTGGAAGTTTCCTTCTCCCTGTGATCTTTCCCTAATTCTCCTGGTAGCCCTCCCAAAGGACGTCTATGAGACAAAGTCACAAATGTTTCTCTGGGCACTGAGAGTGCCCACAGGGCTCTTGCTGCTGCTTCCTCTACACCTTTGTTTCACTGGGCTCTATAAATTCATATCAGCTCCAGGTGAGGTCAAATCCATCTCCTGCGACCTGGACCTTTAGCTTTCCCAGTGAGGATGTGCGTTTCGAGGCGGCAGATGATCTCCCTTTCACACCTTCACACTTTGGGCACTCACAGTTTTTTGGCTGTCTCCTTGAGCCTGCAGCAGCAATTCACTTCCTTCAAAGCGTCCATGGATTTTCTCAGCTTTCCTGGGATGTTCCTGCAGTAGGTCATGGACCTAAAGTTCATGATGTGCCTCCACCACAGGCTGCTCTGTCTATCCAAGTAGGGGCTTCAAATTAATTCTGTCTCCTATCCATCATTTTCTCCCCTAATTCCCTCAAAAAGTGTATATTTTTCTATAGCAGAATGTTGTAAGCATTTAGCACATGTAAATCAAGTACATTTTCATAATGAGTTTTTTCTTGATTTATCTATTTACATGATTTAAGATGAAGCAACCGCCATCTAGGAAGGTCACTCAGCACTTATAATCTTATAGTATGGTAATATAAGTTTAATTTTTTAAAAACTTGAGCTTTCAATGACTGTTCTGTTTCCTTTTAAAGTTAAGAGTGCCAAATTATTTGATCCAGGTATCATACATGCACAATTACTCTTAGTGGATTAGGCTAAGATATATTCATGTAGATAAGGATTAGGGCCAATAATGGGCAAAAGAAAGTCTACATATTGGTAGTGGTCAAAACAAGTTGGAGCCAAACCTGGGTCTTTCCAGAATAAAATATCAGATTGGATTTATTGATTCACATTGATAAAGTCAGAGACTGCTGTAAGCACCATGTGTAGTTCCAGACAGAGATAATTGTTTAAACATCCCTTAGAGAAATAGTAAATTACTAACACTATATGGAAAGCCCTAAGAGGTATATCACAATCAATCAACTTGTGACCTTATATCATCAGAATTCTTCAAAATATTCATTGAAGGTTGCCATATGATAAAATTTAAAACAAACAAACTCAGTCTCAGAGAGGTTTTCTAACTTTCATACAGTTTTCAGCTAGTAAATGGTGAGGCCAGAATCTGATGCCAAGATTTGTCTATCATTAAGGACAAGTTTCTTCCTGACCTCTGAAACAACACAGAGAGACACCAGCCCCATGCTGCCTATGCCCAATTATTTATTACTTGCATACCCAAAACATGGCATAGTGACTTGCTTATAGTAAGTTGAATGTTTGTGGTGATGATGTAAAGAAAGAAAATATATATCATTCCTTCCTACTTATCTATGCCACTCAGAAGATAGCAAAATTCTATTTAAGGCAAAATTAACCATGTAGCTTGATGATTCATTTCTGATAAAAAATACTAGACATCTCTCTCTTTTTTATTTCTGTTCCTTTAATGCCTATATTTCTGAAGAGGTACTTTCTTCAGCTACCTGGTTTGAGGGAAGGAGTAGAACACATACAAGGGAGAATAAGGCAAGGAGCCCTCTTACCCATTTCAAAAGAATAGTTTTGCTTTTGCCTCTCTGTTTTTGCCTCTCACATATAAGGTTCTCTGTATTTATAAAAGAGTTTGGTGGGAAAAAGACAAAGCCACCGAAATAACATATTTTATCTTTATGTGGTCTAGTGAGATACATATTGTTATTATTTTAATCTCATAAATTACGCACCAGAAGGCCATAGAGAATCAATATTTTACTCCAAATCACACAAATGGGATGTAAAATAATTAGGTTCAAAAATCTCAAAAAATCAGATTCTAGAATCTGTGCTCTTAAACACAGACCACTCACAATATTGCTTGGCATAATATAAGTACTCAATAAACACTTTATTGTTGTCTTGCTTTTCCTCAACATTTTATGGTATTAGTTTTCTTCAACTACCATACAGAGGATGTTTTCTACTTTGATCGGATATTGAAAGATAAAAATGATTTCACTTTAAAATTGTAGAGTAAATGACTATGTAAGTCTATCCATTCTGACTACTGCAAAATGAGGATGAAAAAATCAGATACCTTTTATAATTTATTGTATGATGAATTTTGTTGTTTAATAAAATAAATATATTCAACATGGAAAAATAGGGCCCCAAATCAGAGGAAAAGACAGAATGAACTTGATTGATTAGTAAGTATCAAATAAATTAATTAAAAAATAAAACAAGGGTAGTCACAGTGGCTCACACCTGTAATCCCAGCACTTTGGTGGTGGCTTAGGCGGGAGGATTACTTAAGCCCAAGAAATTGAGGCTGCAGTGAGGTATGATTGTGCCACTGCACTTCAGCTTGGGTGACAGAGCAAAACCCTCTCTCTAAAAGAAAAAAATAAAAATCATAAATAAAACAAGTTTTAATATATGGACAGGCAAAACAGACCAAAAATTTAAGTAATGATTTATGCCTTGCAACATTCTTTGAGAAAATAAAAACGGTGTAAGCCACTCAGCTCATTTTATAGTGTTAGTATACTTTGATTTCAAATTACATATATTAGTCTATTGATTACATTACAATTGGGGATAAAAAAAATCAAAGCCAGAAGTTTATGCAACTGAGGTTTAATCATGCTACATGCTCATTGAGGATTGGCTGGGGATTCACTCACAAGAACAGCACATTTGTTTCAAGATAAATTTATCAAATAGAGTAACTAACCAATATTTGGGGAAAAGTAAAGTTCATATTTATATAGAGAAACAAATTTATATTGCAAAGGACATATTGCTTATTCAATCAGTGGGGTGAGGGAACAATAAGAATTATGTACGTTAACAACGTATGTGCAACAAGAGCAACTCTCTCCATTACATATGAGAACAATAAAATAAAATAACACATTAAAACTTTTAAATTATGTATGTTGGATAGGGAAGTAAAATAGATAAGAAGGTTAGTGAAAATATTATATTTTCATGAACAGTTATTTTAAAACTAGTTGTATTCAATAATGTATGGAAATGTTTCCATATCAACTAATATTTATGTATAATTTTATTTCAATTACTAAATAGTTTTTCATTATATTGAGATCATAATACACCAACACATAACTGATGAAAATATATTTCCTTTTTTAAGAAAAAACAATGTCACAACGTACATTCTTTTAACTATATATTTTCACAGATTGTTTTATGCTATGCAAAAATTATACACATTTGTTTATCAGTATTAACAGCTTTTTGGTGGAGTCATTAGGTTTTTCTAAATATAGGATCTTGTCATCTGTGAGCAAGGGCAATTTGACTTCTTCCTTTCCAATTTGAATGCACTTTATTTCTTTCTCTTGCCTAATTGCTCTGGCTTGGACTTCCAGTACTATGTTAAATGAAAGTGCTAAAAGTGCACATCTTTGTCTTGTTCCAGATCTTACAGGAAAGGGAAATTGCCTGAAAGTAGCTTCTTAATTGCTAAAATAATACTAAAATGCATAAAGGAAAGCAATAAACTTCATTTATTAAACACAGGCTGGACATTGGTTTTATTCTGAATTCTTGAAATTAAATTTGACCTTCCTGGCTTACAGCTGGAATCCAGGTCCAATTGTGTGAATCCTATCACAGTGCTGCAGAAGAATGCACAATTCTCATCTACCCATGAGGTGATGAATACTTGAGAAATCTGGGATATTTTGTAGAAGTGTGCAGGAATGGTTTTAGCTGTCAAATAATTTACTCCTCTAACCTTATACCTGTGTAAGTATGGTCTAACCATCTTTCTTTTAAACAGATCTGATTTTAGGTTAAATTTAAGTGGCTAGTACCTCTTAATCTTGTTCACTAATGGGGAAGCTATCATACAATCATTTATCAACAGATACTTAGAACTTTTTATATCTACTATTTTCCTTGTGTTGTTTCATATTCCTTATATAGCCTTCATTTTCATTTTCACCTGCCATCTCCCCGCTCCCCAAAAAGTTATTGATAAGAAATGCGCTGTCTTGAAAAGTCTGAAAGCGTATTTTATAAACAACTTTAGAATATTTTACTTGAAAACAGCCAGACATCTAGCTGATAGTTTGCCTTTTGGATTAGAAAGCAATGAAACTTGGTTCCTCCTTCATATTCTACATAACACTCTGACAGCTCTCTCCCAAATACCCAGCCCATGGAGACTTCACTTTTTGTTGTGGATGTTTGCTTATAGAAAGACTATTGTTGCAAAGTGTTTTAAATTTTCATCTTTTTCTGGAAAGGACAAGAAAACAATAAAATTTAATATAGTGATAGTTTTTCTTTGGATCAT
Source organism: Homo sapiens (assembly GCF_000001405.40). Classification (NCBI taxonomy): domain Eukaryota; kingdom Metazoa; phylum Chordata; class Mammalia; order Primates; family Hominidae; genus Homo; species Homo sapiens. The sequence continues at coordinate 104,672,049 of NC_000005.10, read as the reverse complement.
ATAACAAATAAAACAGGGATACATGGCATACCCATTTGTTTTTGTTGTTGTTGTTTTTATTTTGGAGACAGAATCTCTGTCTGTTGCCCAGGCTGCAGTGCAGTGGCCCCATCATAGCTCTCCATAGCCTCAAATTTTTAGGCTCAAACAATCCTCCTGACTCAGCTTCCTAAGTAGTTGAGACTACAGGCATATGCCATCATGCCCAGCTCACTTTATTTTGTTTTTATAAAGATAGGATCTTATTATGTGGCTCAGGCTGATCTCAAACTCCTGGGCCCAAGCAATCCTCCTGCCTCAGCCTCCCAAAGGGCTGACATTACACGAGTGAGTGACTGTGACTGGCCCCCATTAGTTTTTGAAAATCACATTTTTAAACACTGCACAACATAAGTAAGAATTTTACTTTCAGTTCAACTTTAACATCATCAGAATAAATCATCAGAAAAATACACTAGAGAAAGGTGATAGTTAAAAGGCATTTAGTACTTCCATATTAGATTGCTATAAATCTTTATTATTGTTTACTATTATGTTACTCTTAGTTAATATTAGACACTTTTAAGGCTTTTTTGAAGGACATTTAAGGCAATGCATTTTCCTTAGTTTTCTATGAGCTCTTCACATTTTCACAAATGCTTCATGTCAGCTATTGAATTTTATCTTAATGCTTGCAAATTTCATTTTATTCTCTCTCTTTATTTAGAAGAAATTGGTTTAACAATTTCATTTACTTCTGTGATGCAAATATGAGATTGTCTTATTTTGGAATACATCTGGTCAATTAGCTGCTATATGGATAACTAAGCCAACTTTATTTGATTTTGGATTCCTATGTAGATATATAATTGCTTGTCAGTGGCTTCAATTGACTCTCAGAAACTATTTTTGAACTTGATATATTTGTTTCAAGCCCTCAACTGGCCCTTCATAAGATCTATTGTAATTGAACTATTATTGAATCTCATCATAGCACACATTTTTCTTTTCAGGTACATAAGCTAATCCACATGTGGCTATGATTTGTTTGATTTTTTTATTACTTACATCTGCCCTATCTCTAAAGTTTATCTCTTTTATCTTTGCTATTAATTGGAAAGTAAAGTGAATCTTTATTCCACTACAGACATAGAAGGCATTGAATAGATAAATGAGATTTTAGACTAGCTTCTAGAAACATAATTATTTTAATCATATCTAAATGTATCCATATTGTCAGTTAACATGAAAAACTATTAATAATAATTCATTTTAATTGAGTTTGTATAATCCATTGGTATTTGGCAACACTGCTATTTTCTATAAGGTAAATGTACTTGTTTCTTTTTTATCTCATCTAATTGCAAAGTCCTTTTTAGCTTTAAATATAATTCTCTTACTACATTGAAAAATCTCTCAACCTCTAAGCTTGGAAAAGAATTTCATTTTTATAACAAAAATAGCCTCTAACAACCTTAAACTTTACCTATGCTTCCTACCTCAATTCCTTCTACCATGGGGACCTTATTCAATTATCTACAGTCACTCCTGAATCTTTAATTTCTCTTTCTCTAGTAGCTCTTTGTTTGGATTATTATTAACCTTTAAAGAACAACAATAACAAAAGCAAAAAAGTGAAAATTTCCCTTTCTCTTATTAACCACATGGCCTACTATCATTTTTTGTCTTCTTTCTGCCAAAAGCTAAAAATAATAATTGAAACTCAGGGCCTTCTTCTCAACAAGTCTTATTTTACTCCCAAACTTTAATAAAACTCCTCTCTCCAAGGTTGGCAGTTAGGTCTTAAATGCCATCTTATAATAGATACATTTCAAGGGAGGTAGCACTGTAAATGCTTAATAGCGTGGTTGCTGGGACCAGAATTCCTATATTTAAATCTCAGCTCCACCATTTCTCTCCTCACTGTCATTGTTTGTAAAATAAAGACATCATATTATTTATTTCATTAGATTTTTAAAAGTTTCATGTGATAATGTGTAAATAAAGCATTTATACTAAGGCCTATAACATGATTCAATATAGGAAATCATTAGCTATTGTTATTATTTAAAACTTCATTTTGGCATGTTTCTTTATCTCAAATGATCTTCCTGGATTGTTCATATGCATCACTTCTCATCTTCTAATCTCCGTGCTAATACCACATACAGTAAAGCCTACCTAGTTCACTCCATGTAGAGTATTTTTGCACTTGCCCCCAATCCAGACTCTATCTATCACTGTAATCTGTAATACTATTTTATATTATTGTTTTATTGCTTATTACTCTTATTATTAATGCTATATACTTATTGTCGATGTATTATTTAATGTCAATCTTCATAGCAATATTCTTGATAGAAATGGGATATATGAAAGCCTGTCTCTTAGGTTAATGAGGTTAAGGACTACCTCCAGCATATAATGGGCTTTCTAGAAATACCTGTTGAACTTAAAAATATTCACTATTCCTATTATGTGATATATCAGCTCCATTCAAATTGTTCCCAACTTCCAGAATGTAACGTGGAAATTTTTCCATTCTAGCAAAACTGTACGGATGAAAAATTTTAAGTCAAACAAATTACCACTTAAAATGTCCCTGCATTGTCCTAAGGGCACACAGAAAATGAAAAATAAAATAAAATATGAAAGCAACCTGAATCTTTTTTTTTTTTTTGAGACGGAGTCTCGCTCTTTTCTCCCAGGCCGGACTGCAGTGGCGCTATCTCGGCTCACTGCAAGCTCCGCCTCCCGGGTTCATGCCATTCTCCTGCCTCAGCCTCCTGAGTAGCTGGGATTGCAGGCGCCCGCCACCACGCCCCGCTAATTTTTTTGTATTTTTAGTAGAGACGGGGTTTCACCGTGTTAGCCAGGATGGTCTCGATCTCCTGACCTTGTGATCCGCCCGCCTCAGCCTCCCAAAGTGCTGGGATTACAGGTGTGAGCCACAGCACCCGGCCCTGAATCTTGATAAAACAATGAGGGTCTGTGGCACTTGGCCAAAGGCTAGCTCCCTCCCTCACCGCATCCCCCAGCTCAGCATATCAAAACTCCACTCTAGACATGTGTGGACAAAACCTGCAACTCCTTTTCCCTCAGATTCCACTCAAAGAATACAATATTATCAGCCTAAACTGAGTGGCAGAGAGGCCAACTCTCAAAAACAAAGTTTATTCGGGAATAGCATAGGATTGCAATCTAGGATTCACATATTATGGCAGCCCCTAGGTACATCCCAGAGTGTTGTGGCAAGAGGAAGCTTTTAAAGACAAAAAGGAGGAATCCATGCAAGCTGTTTTGAAAGAAAGATCATTTGTTACAAGAGCTTATTGCAGGAGGTAAAATCTGTTCATTGATGGTACTGATTGTTACTTGAAGAGGGTCTTCATAGAAGTGGTTTAACTAAAAATTCCAGTTAGAAAAGTTCTCCTTGGCAGCTTCTGTGACACACATGTATGTATGAGGGCGTTTCCTTCATTGGCTCTCAGCTACATTTTGTTAGGGTTTAAGTTAAGTGACTCCATTTTGGTACTGGCAATTTTAACAGTATCTCATTGGGAGGTGCAGGCTGCAGGCATTTTTCATACCACACCCTCTGTCCTCAATTTCAAGTTGCAAAGGCTATACAAGAGCTAGTGTGGCTACGATATCAGAATTTCACTTCCCCCACTCAGCTACCACTCATAGGACAAGGAGCCTACCCAAGGATCAACAGTCTAAAAATATTGGGGACCTGATTGCTCCTGCCCAGCTTGCATATAGGGCAGAAGTTCCACATAAGCAAAGGCAAGCTGAGAAAGTGAGAGGCTACCTTCCTACCCAGCACCCCATTCATCATAACAGCCTGCTGTCCACCCCCTGCAACTCTGGAGCACTAGCATAAAGATTACAATCAGGGGATGTGGTAATTCATAAAAATAGACAGCTCCAAAGTGCCCCTTAAAAACTTTATTTAAAACAGAGTGTAGAAAATTTCAACCTAAGGGAGTGATTGAAACAGTAATTAAGAGGAGGCTGGTGGATCATTGAGAAGGAGCAACTAAATCATAAGCCAACCAGTTTATTAGAGTTCAAGAAAAAAAAAAGATAGCTAAATAGACCACTCCAGGGGTCAGAATAGACCTCAAAGACTGGCTTCTAAACCTATCTCTGCAAAGGGATCTAAATGTCATTGGATCAGACTAAGATGTAATTTGTGTCCGAGGCCACTTTGGAAATTAAGAGAGCAATCAGTCACAAATTAGCTGAGACTGGACTGAGAATAATACCAAATAAGGCAGATAATCTGAAGAGAAATCAGAGAAAGACACAAAGAAAGCTCTACAAAAACCATCTCATCTCAGGGTGACTACGCACATATCCATGGCAGAACCTCCTGAGAAAGAGCACCAGAGGCTTAACATGCAGGAAATGTGGACATGACTGAAATAGCCAAGTTTCTTTCTCTCTGTTTTTCTCTGTGTGTGTGTGTGTGTGTGTGTGTGTGTGTGTGTGTCTCTCTCTCTCTCTCACACACACACACACACACACACCCCAACAATAAACAAGCCTTGGAGGAAGTTAAGGAAATCAGTATCTAGACCTAGTATATTACCTAGGCCAGGCACGGTGGCTCACACTTGTAATCTCAGCACTTTGGGAGGACAAGGTGGATGTATCACCTGAGGTCAAGAGTTTGAGACCAGCCTGGCCAACATGGTGAAATCCCATCTCTATTAAAAATACAAAAAATTAGCCAGGCGTGGTGGTGGGCACCTATAATCCCAGCTACTTGGGAGGCTGAGGCAGGAGAATTGCTTAAAAATGCTTGAACCCAGGAGGCGGAGGTTGCAGTGAGCTGAGATTGCACCATTGCACTCCAGCCTGGGGGATAGAGGGAGACTGTCTCAAAAAAAAAAAAAAAGAAACAAACACAAAACAAAAATTATATATCTATATATATATATACACACACACACACACACACACCTATATATACACACACACATATGTATATACACATGTATGTATATATACCTATACATATATACACGTATGTATATATACCTATACATATATACACATATGTATATATACCTATATATACACGTATGTATATATACCTATATGTACACATGTATGTATATATACCTATATATATACATGTATGTATGTATATATACCTATATATATACATGTATGTATGTATATATACCTATATATATGCATGTATGTATGTATATATACCTATATATATGCATGTATGTATGTATATATACCTATATATATGCATGTATGTATGTATATATACCTATATATGCATGTATGTATGTATATATACCTATATATGCATGTATGTATGTATATATACCTATATATGCATGTATGTATACATGTGTGTATACGTATGTATACATGTGTGTATACATGTATGTATACATGTATGTATACATGTATGTATACATGTATGTATACATGTATGTATACGTATATATACCTAAAAAGTATAGTTTTCACAAAAATTTATAAGATATACAATGTAATAGGAAAATGTAATCTATATATAAGAATAAATGCAGACAACAGAAATTACCTGTGAGAAGGCCTAGATGCTGATTTAACAGACAAAAATTTCAAAGAATTTATTATAAAAATTTTCAAAAAAACTAAATAAATGCTGCATAGAGAAGTAAAGAAGCTTTGATGGAAATGTTCATCAGAGAATATCAACAAATAAATAGAAATTATGAAAATAAACCAAATTGAAATTTTAGAAATAAAACATACAATAACCAAAATGAAAACAAAAAAATTGCCACAGGGAATCACCAGAATATGTGGACAGGAAGAAGAATCAATAATCTCAAAGACAGCTTGATAGAGATTATGCAATTTGAAGAAAATCAAAAAAAGAATGAAGGAAATGAACATAGACTCAGAGAAATGAGGGACAGCATTAATTACATAAAATATAAATAATGTGAGTACTAGAGAGGAGAGAGAAGGAGCAGAAAAATAGTCTAAGAAATAATGGCTGAATATCTCACAATTTCATAAAAATATTAATTTCACATATGTGAAGCTGAGAAAACTCCTAGTAGGATAAATACAGAGACTCACACCTAAATATATTATAGTGAAAATTAAAGACAAAAACAAAAAGAAAATTTTAAAAGCAACAGAAGAAAAATAACTAGGCATTTACAAAGGAATCCAATAAGATTAACTGCTAACATCCCCACCTAAACAATGAAGGCTTAAAAACAATGAGGTGGTATACACAAAGTGCTAAAAGAAAAAATAAAGAAAACCTCTCAAACAAGAATACAATACACAGAAAATTGTCTTTTAAATATGATGTCAAATATATTCCCAGATTAAAAAAACAAAAAACAAAATCCACAAAATATTAGAGATAATTCATTGCTAACAGACTGGTAGACAATATACTCAGTACATTTTTCCTCCCCTTTTCTTTTAATGAATTTTAAAACAGTTTTATAAATGTTTATGTATTGTTGGGTCTTTAACATATAGAATAACAACATATTTGATTATAAAACTAAAATGTGGGTGAGATTAAAGCTGTATTAGAGGAAGAATATTGACATCAGATGGTAATTTGAGTCCAAAGGAAAAAAGGAAAGGAACCAGAAATAAAAAGAAGAAATGTAATACAGTTGTCCCTCCATATCCACGGATTTGCATCTGTGGATTTAACCAACCATGAATCAAAATTATTTTTTTTTAAATTGTATCTGTACTAAACATATACGGACTTTTTTCTCATGATTATTCCCTAAGTAATACCGTATAACAACTATTTACATAACATTTACATTATGTTAGATATTATGAGTAATTCAGAGATGATTTAAAGTATAGGGAAGGATGTGCATAAGTTATATGCAAATACCACATCCTTTTACATCAGATACTTAAGCATCCATAGATTTTGGTATCTGCAAGAGGTCCTGGAGCCAATTCCCCAATGCTACCAAGGGACAACTATATAGCAAACTATATAAAAATATACTCACTCTCCTTTTTTCTCTCATCTTCTTTAATAGACATGAAATTATAGAAAGCAATAGTTATGCCAATTTATTTTTGCAAATGTAATGTGTTTGTGTGTAAAGGGAAATTGGAATAGAGATAATTTCTTTATTGCACTGGAACTGAGTATAAATCTGAAATAATTTCTCAGAAGTAAAGATGTATATTGTAAGCCCAAGAGCAATCAATGTAAAATGGCAGAATTAAATATATCAATAATAAAATTAAAATAAGGATCAATGAAATTGATGCATCTTTAGCTGCATTAAGGAAATAAAATAAAGAAGAGAATCAAATTATAAAAGAAGGATTAAAATAGGGGCCATTTCTACTGACCTAGTAGAAATAAAAGAAATAGAAAGGAATATCTTGAATAAACGTAGACCAAAATATAAGATAACTAACATGAATATACAAAACCTAGAAAGACAAAAACTACTGAAATGGACTCAAGAAGACATAGACCATCTGAATACACCTTTAAGATGTGAAGTGATTGAATTTTTAATAAAAATAAAATTTCCACAATAAAAAGCCCAAGTGTATATGACTTACCTGGTGAATTTTCAAACTTTTTAAGTGGATTTAAACGAGTTTGTCATATACCATTCCAAAAATGGAAGAGAAAAGAACACCTCTGATATCATTTAGTTATGCCAATATTAAATTAATACCAGAAAAGACAAAGTCATACAAAGAAATCAGCAAAACATTATCTCTTATAAATATAGAAGCAAACAATTTCACACACAAAAAATACGTTTAACCTGCGTCCCACAACACCTATAACCTAAGCAAGGGTATCTTTGTAAAACCTACAACTAACATCATACTAATGGTGAAAGACTGAATGCTTTTCCTTTAAAGTCAGAAACAAGATGCCTGCTCTCATGACTTCTATCTAATATTGTATTGGAGATTCTAAATTGGACAATTAAGCATAAAATGAAACAATACGCATTCAGAGTAGAAAAGAGGTCTATTTGCAGATGACAGGATTTTGTATACAGAAAATCTTAAGAGTTTCACTGTAAAACTATTAGAACTTAGTAAGTGAGTTCATCAAGGTTGCATGATTTAAGATCAATACACAAAAATCAATTGCATTTCTCTAAACTTGTAATGAACAATCCGAAAATGAAGATTAGAAGGCAGTTTCCTTTTTAGTAGCATAAAATAAAATATGAATCACATTTTAACAAAAGAAGTACAAATCTTATTCTAAAATTTTGTAAAACATTATTGAAAGAAATTTAAAATGTAAATATACAGAAAAACATTTCATCTTTATAGAAGACTTTATTTGCTAAAATGCCAATATTACCAAGTTGATCTTCAGATTTAATGTAATTTCTACCAAAATCCTAGCTCATTTTTTTTTGAGAAATTAACAAACTGATCCTTATATTTATATGAAAATTCGAGGACACAAAAATATCCAAAATAATCTTGAAAAACAGCAAAATTGAAGGACTCACACTTCCCAATTTCAAGACTTATTATAAATCTCCAATAATTAAATATTTGGTACCACCACAAGAATAGGTGTATAGATCAATTGAATAGAAATAAACATTCATATTTATAACCAATTGATTTTTGACAAAGATATCAGATAATTAATTGTGGACAGTATAAATGCCCCCAGTGAATTCTACTAAGACAATCGGATATCCATACAGAAAAATTTACTCAAAATGGATCAAAGTCCTAAATGTGGGACTTAAAACTATAAACTTCTTAAGAGGATAAACTCTTAGGGGAAGAATCTTCATGACCTTGGGTTTGAGAAATGATTCTTAGATATGATACCAAAACATAAGCAGCAAAAAAAAAAAGTGATATAAAATGCTCAATATCATTAGCCATCTGAAAAATAGAAATTAAAATCAGGATAAGATACCAGTTTATACCCACTAGGATGGCTATAACTAAAAATACAGGTAAAGGCAAATGTTGGCAAAATGCACAGAAATTGGAAATCTCATACACCGAGGTTTTAATAGAAGATGATGCGGCCACTATAAAAAGCTACCTAGCAGTTCCTTTAAATGTTAGACATGGCTACACATGACCCAGAAATTTCACTGCTAAGTATATATCTCTTACAAATGAAAATATGTTCACACAAAAACTTTTACACACATGTCGGGCATGCTGGCACACACCTGTCATCCTAGCTACCTGGGAGACAGGGGCAGGAGTGTTGCTTGAGCCCAGGAGTTGGAATCCAGCCTGGGCAACATAGCAAGACTCTGTCTCTAAAAAAATACCTTTTTTTTTTTTTTTTTTTTTTTTGAGACGGAGTCTCACTCTGTCACCCAGGCTGCAGTGCAGTGGCACCATTTTGGCTCACGGCAAACTCTGCCTCCTGGGTTGAAGCAATTCTCCTGCCTCAGCCTCCCCAGTAGCTGGGATTACAGGTGTGCACCACCATGCCCAGCCAATTTTTGTATTTTCAGTAGAGACAGCGTTTCACCTTGTTGGTCAGGCTGGTCTTGAACTTCTGACCTCATGATCCACCTGCCTTGGCCTCCCAAAGTGCTGGGATTACAGGCATGAGCCACCACACCTGGTCCCCCAAAATACTTTTTTAACTAAAAAAATTAAAATTCAAAAAACCCTCAACATAAATTTCAATAGCAGTGTTATTCACGTTAGCCTAAAAAGTAGAAATGACCCCAAAGTAGAAACAACTGATGAATGAATAATTTGTAATATACACTTCTGTAAATAGTTAAATAAGCCAGGAAAGATTTTTAAACATTCTGAAATAAACATAGCTTGAGAAAAATAAAATAAAATTATCCATTGGTCTCCAACACTTATTTTCAAACTGACATATTGCTGTGCTTTAAGAACCATATCTAAAGCATTCTATTGATTACCTTTACTTCTCAACTCAACTTCTCTAAAACAGACAGCTTTTCTCCATTTCATCTTGTCTGATTTCCCTCTTTCTTTTACTTGTAACATCAACCCAGATTTGAAATCTTCACAACGACCTTGAATTTCCTCCATTTCTTTGTTCCTTTATTCAGTCATCTACAGTGATTTACTTGTTCTTCTATGTACCTCATCTCTTCTGGTCTGGCTACCAGGACCTTAATCTGCAATCACACTTATAAAATGATATGAATAGTAGAAACATTGTGAAAAGTATAATTGTTTTGGAAATATGCCATATCCAGTTGTATAATTTTATTCCAGCTCAGATACGTTTTGCTTACATTTGGAACCCTTTAATATTCCACCTAAATTTTAACAAGATATTCACATATAAATATCCTTAATGTATTTTATATGGCTGCAATTTTTATTAGTTGAGCTATGTTTACACTGTGAAAAAAATAAACATTTAAAGTTAAAACTTATATCTCAAGTTGATCCTACATTTAAAATATATAAAATCTACAGTTAATGATTATCTTAGTTCCTTTCCTCCTGCTATAATAGAACACTACAGACTGGATAATTTATTAAGCAGAGAAATTTATTTCTCATAGATCTTGAGGGTGGAAAATTGAAGAGCATGGTGCCAGCATCTGGCAAGGGCCTTTGTGCTGCTTCATGACATAGCAAAATGTCAAATAAAGATGTAAGACAGAGAGAGGCACTAGAGTCCAGATTCACTTCATAACAACCCACTCATAATACCTAACCAGCCCCTGTGATGATGCCATTAAGCCATTTGTAAGGGCGCTGCCCTCATGGCAAAATCACCTATTAATAGGCCCCAACTTCCAACACTGTTTATTGCATTGGGAATTAACATTCCAACAGAGGAACTTTTGGGAGACACATTCAAATCATAGTAATGATCAAAACATAATTTAAAATTTTTAAACAATAAATGTGTATCAAAGGAATTTGAATAATAAATCTGATGCTTTCATGTTTAATTTCTCAAACTATTATTTGTCTCAGAACTGCTTGTTTCACATCCCAAAAGATTCTTAACTGAGACTTTTTAATGTCTTTTTCCACTTAGAAACAGAAAGGCACATCTTATAGAAAATAAATGAAACCATGAAATATTAAAGTTTGTTTTGAGAATTCAAACTTACAGTGCGGGCTTGATTTCTCACACCGACATAATTCCTTCAAAGGAAATCGTGTAATACTATAATGTTCTATTCATATGCTAGGTCAGCTTTTAAGACAGATATTGGACTAGTCTAAGAATTAAGGCATTCCTTAATATTTCAGCAAACATCATCAGATTAGTATTACCATGGGCATCTCAGCTCAAATTCAGTCAAACAGAAAGGGTTTAAATGGCCAGAAAAGTTGAGTATATGACCCAAAGAATTGTGTTTCTTAATTAAATCTTCATGGACATATACATTCAAAGATTGCTGGGATATACTAAATTTAGGAGGATAATTCCAACATGTATACAAATGTGAAAAATAAATTTTCCCTAGAATTACTGAAACATGGTGTGTTTGATAACTAAACTGTGATGTTAAACTGGTTATACCAAAACTCCCTAAATTTATTTTGGCATAGGCAATTTATGTAATTTTTTGATTTATTTCTATGAACTATATTCAATCCTTTTTTTATGTATGCCATCTACAGCACACTATAAACAATAATAGCTCTCTTAAAACTTTTGAATGTGAATGTTACCATCTATTCTCGAAATAGTTCTGGGGGATTTTACTGCCCCAGTGTATGTATCTTTCTTTTTATCAAATAGCAATAAGAATAAAGTATCATTTACTATGTTAAGCACTTATAAAAATGCCATTTCCTAGAAGATGCATTGTTATAAATAATGATTCATAAATGCAAAGGAAATATCGTAATTTCAGGAAAATATGATGTAGTGACTAATGAAAGGATTTTTATCACATTAAAAGATTTTGAGAAACCTAGTCCAACTCCTGTTTCAAACTAGCTTTGTTACAATGAGCAAATTACTTCCCAGCTTTTGTCATTTGTTCTGTCTATAAAATAAAGTTGAACAACATCATTTCTAAGGTTTCCTTTGAACTCTAAAATCGTAGGCTGCTTTTTTTCTTGATTTATAATTAATTTCATAAAATGAATGCAAGGTAGTATAGTAAACTAAAAGTAAAATAAATTATGGTAGATGATTGTATTTATTTTCACAATGGCTAAACATTTGAATATTTCAAATTTATTCTACTGATGTATTACAACTCTAAATATTTGCTGCTGAAACTCAATATGAAAGAATGTAAATATGCAAGGAATAGGTTAACTAATCACCTGGTGTGAGATAATGGGTAAACATTGTAAATTCATTATATTTTCAAAGGCTTCACATGCCAGCCTGTTAGCAAATATAGGAACTATGATAAATCACCCTTAGGGTAAGCCTTGATCTTGTCTATCATTGTAAATTAGCTTATCAACAACTCACACTAATGTAGTAATGTCAGTGAAAGATAAATCACAGTTTATGAACTCACTTTTGTTAGGAAACAAAATTAGATACTTTCTAATGCTGACATCGGACTTGATGTTTAATGACATATTAAAAAATCTGGAGGAATGTGTAGTAAATAGAGGAAAATATAATGATTTATGCATTCATATTTTGAGTCTCTATTAGCCCTATCACTGGACATAAATCCAGTTTAATTTCACAATTTTAGATTTCAAAACTCACCTTTCATAAAGTGAGAGTCAAAGTAAAGCCTAGTGACTGTTTTTAACAGATCTGTGTGTGTTTCGCTTTTCTAGTCTTTATTTTTATTTATTTATTTATTATTGATACAAAATATTTTACATATTTACAAAATATTTTACACATTTATGGGGACATGTATTTCTTACATGCATGGAATGTATAATGGTTGAGTGAGGGTATGTGGGGTATCCTTAATTTTGAATATGTATCACTTCTATGTGTTGGTGATATCCTCTCTTCTACTTTGAAATATATAATGCATTGTTGCTAACTATAGTCACCCTATTCTGCTACCAAATATTGGGGCTTATTTATGCTAGCTAACTATATGTTTGTACCCTCTGATCAACTTCTCTCTATCCCCATCTCCTACCCACACACCCTTCCCAGCCTCTGGAATCTATCATGCTATTCTCTATATTCATGAGATCAAGTTTATTAGCTCCCACATATAATTGAGAACATGTAATATCTGTCTTTCTGTGCCTGGCTTATTTCACTTACCATAATGATCTCCAGTTCCATCTCTGTTGCTGGAAATGATATTATATTATTCCTTTATATGGCCAAATTGTATTTCATTGTGTATATACAACACATTTTCTTTAACTATGCATCCATCAACGGACACTTAGGGTGATTCCCTATCTTTTCTGTTGTGAGTGGTGCTGTGATAAACATACAGGTATCCTTTTGGTTTAGAGGTTTCTTTTCCTTTGGATAAATATGCAGTAGTGGGATTGCTAGATTCTATGGTAGTTCTATTTTTAGTTTTTTGAGGAATCTGTATACCGTTTTCCATAGTGGTTGTACTAATCTACACTCCCACCAACCCTGTAGAAGAGTTCATTTTCTCTAAATCCTGGCCAGCACCTGGAATTTTTCATCATTTTAATAATAGCTATTCTAACTGCTGTAAGATGATATCTCATTGTTGTTTTGATTTGCGTTTCTCTGATGATTAGCGATGTTGAACATTTTTTCATATGCCTGTTGGCCATTTGTATGTCTTCTTTTAAGAAACGTCTAGTCATATTTTTAGCCCACTTTTTAATGGGGTTATTTTGTTGTTGTTGTTGAGTTGTTTGAGTTCCTTGTATATTCTAGATATGAATCTCTTGTCTGTTGAATCGTTTTCAAATACTTTCTCCTGCTTGACAGGTTGTTTCTTTTGCTGTGCAGAAACTTTTAAGTTTAATATACTTGGCATTGTATATTTTTCTTACAGTTATCTGTACATTTGAGATCTTAGCCATAAAATCTTTGCTTAAACCAACATCTTCAAGAATTTTCCCTAAGTTTTTTTTAGTAGTTGTATATAGTTTCAAGTCTTATGTTTAAGTCTTTAATACATCTTCAGTTTATTTTTGTGTATGAAGAGAGATAAGAGTCTAGTTTCATTTTGCATGTGGACTATCTAATTTTCCCACCACCATTGATTGAAGACACCATTCTTTCCCACTGAATTTTTATGGTGTCTTATCAAAAATCAGTTGGTTATGAACATGCAAATTTGTTTCTGGATCCTCTATTATATGTTCCACTGGTCTATGTATCTGTTTTCTCTACCAATATCATGGTGTTTAGTTACTATAGCACTGTAATATATTCTGAAGTCAAGTAGTGTGATGCCTTTGTTTATTGTTTTTGCTTGGGATTGTTTTGGCTATCTGTACTCCTTTTTGGTTCCATACAAATTTTAGGATTACTTTTTCTAATTCTGTGAAAAAAATGATGTTGGTATTTCGGTAGGGATTGCATTGAATCTGTAAACTGCTTTGGGATTGTGGCCACTTTAATGATACTAATTCTCCTGCTTTGCTAGCAAAGGATGTATTTCCATTTGTTTGTGTCCTCTTCAATTTCTTTCATCAGTGTTATTTTTAGTTTCCTTGTAGAAATCTTTCATTTCTTGGTTAAATGTATTCCTAAGCATTTATTTCTTTTGGAACTATTCTAAATAAGTTGTCATCTTGATTTCTTTCTCAGCTACTTCATTATTGGTGCATAGAAATACTACTGATTTTTGTATGTTGGTTTTGTGTCTTGCAACTTTGTAGAATTTATTTATCAAATCTAAGAATTTTTATTTCTTAGGTTTATCTACATATAAAATAATATCAGCAAAGAAGGATAATATGCCTTTCTCTTTTTTAATTTGATACATTTCATTAATTTATTTTCTCTTGCATTGACTGCTCTAGCCAGGACTTCCAGTGCTATGTTGAATAAGAGTGGTGAAGATAGCCATCCTAGTCTTGTTCCATATCTTAGAGAGAATGCTTTAAGCTTTTTCTCATTCCGTATGATGTTAGCATTGGGTTTGTTATATATGACTTTTATTATTTTGAGATATATTCCTTCTTTTTCTAGTTTCTTGGGAGTTTTTTTAATCAGAAAGGAAGATTGAATCTTACCAAATGTTTTTCTTCATCTTTTAATATGATCGTATGGCTTTTGTCTTTCATTCATGTGATATATGATGTTTATTAATTTGTATATGTTGAGTTACCCTTGCACTCCTGATATAAATTCCACTTCGTCATGGTGTATTATCTTTTTAATGTTCTGTTGAATTCGGTTTGCTAGTATTTTGTTTAAAATTTTTGTTTCTACATTCTTCAGAGATATTGGCCCATAGCATTTTTATTTTGTTTTTGTTTGGTTTTGGCATCAGGTTAAAGCCAGTCTTGTAAAATGAGTTAGGGAGAGTTCCCTCCTCTTTAATTTTTTTGGAACAGCTTCAGGAGCATTGGTATAAGCTCTTCCTCATATGTTTAATAGATTTTGGCTGTGATTCCCCCCAGTCATGGACTTTTCCTTTTTGGAAGACTTTTTGCTACTGATTCAATCTCACTACTTGCAATTGATCTATTCAGGTTTTCTATTTCTCTCTGATTCAGTCTTGGGAGGTTGTATGTTTCCAGGAATTTACTGATTTTCTCTTGATTTCCCAGTTTGTTAGCATACAGTTGTTCATAATAGTCTTGATGAGCTTTAGTATTTTTGTGGTATTAGCTGTAATGTCTCCTTTTTTCATTTCTGAATTTGTTTATTTGGGTTATATCTCTTCTTTCTTCATTAGTCAAGCTAGTTGTTTATCAATTTTGTTTATTATTTTGAAGAGCAAACTTTTTCTGTCATTGATAGTTTTTATTGCTTTTTTAGTCTTTATTTTATTTAGTTATTCTCTGATATTTATTACTTCTTTCCTTCTACTAATTTTGGATTTTGTTTGTTCTGGCTGTTCTAGTTCCTTGGGGTGTATCATTAGGTTGTTTACTTGAAATATTTCTACTTTTTGATGTAGACATTTATTGCTATAAACTTCCCTCTTACTACTACTTTTGCTGTATCCCACAAGTGTTGGTATGTTGTGTTTCAATTTTCTTTTTTTCTGATATTTAAAAACTGTCTACCTTAATTTCTTCATTGACCCAATGTATTAGTCCATTCTCACACTGCTAATAAAGACATACCCAAGACTGGGTAATTTCTAAAGAAAAGAGGTTTAATTGACTCACAGTTTAGCATGGCTGTGGAGGTCTAAGGGGATTTACAATCATGGCAGAAGGGGAAGCAAACATGTCTTGCTTCACATGGTGGCAGGAGAGAGAAGAATGAGAGCTGAGTAAAGCAGGAAGCCGCTTGTAAAACCATCAGATTTCATGAGAACTTACTCACTATCACAAGAATAGCATGAGGGAAACCAGTCCCATGGTTTAATTATCTCCCACTGAGTCCTTTCCACCACACGTGGGGATTATGGCTATTACAATTCAAGATGAGACTTGGGAGTGGGGACAGCAAAACCATATGATCATTAAGGAGCATATTGTTTACTTTCCATGCATTTGTAGAGTTTCCAAAGTTCCTCTTGGTATTGGTTTCTGGTGTAATTCCATGGTCTGAAAATATACTTCATATAATTTTGATTTTTAAAATTTTTTTGAGACATGTTTTGTGGCCTAACATGTGGTCTATCATGGAAAATGTTTCACATGCTGATGAGAAGAATGTACAATCTGTAGTTGTATACAATTCTCTGTAAATGTTTGTTAGATCCATTTAGTCCAAAGTCTGGATTAAACCTAATGTTTCTTCATTGATTTTCTTTCTAGAGGATTTTTCTAATGCTGAGAAAGGGATGTTGAAGTCTGTCACTGTTATATTGTTATATCTCCCTTTATCTCTAGTAATAATTACTGTATGAATCTGCATGCTCCAGTGTTGGGTGCATATATGTATATTTAGGATCATTCTTTTCTCTTGCTGGATTAATCTCTTTATCATTGTATAATGATCTTTTTTTTTTTTTTTTTACTTTTGTTGCTTAAAAGTCTGTTTTATCTGATATAAACATAGCTACTCCTTTTTTGCTTTGGCTTTTTTTGGTGTGGAATATCTTTTTGCATCCTTTTAGATTGAGTCTATAAGGTTTTTTTTTAACAAGTAAAATGTATTTCTTGTAGATAGTGTATATTTAGATTATGCTTCTTTATCCATCACTCAGGCTATATCTTTTAAACATAGACTTTAATCCATTTACATTTCAGGTTATTATTGATATGTGAGGTTTTGTTTCAATCATATTGTTGTTTTCTGGTTGTTTGTAAATACATTTTTTTCCCTCTCTTGTTGTTTTCACTGTGGTTCCGTGGTTTTCTGTAGTGGCACCATTCAAATCCTTTTTCTTCCTCAGTTGCATCTTTGGTTTGTCAGTGCATTTTATACTTTAATGGGTTTTCATTATGGTAAATGTCATCTTTTCACTTCAAAGTTTAAGATTCTCTTGATCATTTATTTTAATGCCAGTCTAGGGGTAATGAATTCTTTCACCATTTTCTTGTCTGAGAAAGATGTTACATGTCCATTTATGAAGGATAATTTTGCTGGATATAGTATCCCTGGGTGGCAGTTTATTTTATTCTTTCAGCACTTCGAGTACGTCACCCCATTCTTTCCTGGCCTGTAAGATTTCTGCTGAGAAACATGCTGTTGGTCTCATTGGGGTACCTTTATAAGTGACTGGATGCTTTTCCCTTGATACTTTTAGAATTATCTCTTTGTCTGACTTTAGACAGTGTGACTATAATATGCCATAATATAATTCTGTTTAGTTGGGCCCCTGAAAAGAAGACTTTTTACATTATATGTGTTTGGAGGACTTTGAGATTCCTCTATCTAAATGTCTAAGTCTCTTGCTAGATTTGGGGATTTTTTTAATCTATTATTTTATTAAATAGGCTTTCTAACCCTTTCATTGTCTCTTTGCTCTCAGGGACACCAATAATTTGAATATTTGATGATTTTATGTTGTTCCAAATACATGAATGCTTTGCACATTCTTTTTAAATTTATTTTTGCTAATTTTTGTCTGACTGGATTATTTTTAAACACCTGTTTTCAAGTTCTGAGAGTCTTCCTTCTGCTTAATCTAGTCCATTATTGAAGCTTTCAAATATATTTTTATTTCATTCAATGAATTTTTTGATTCCAAAATGTCTGTTTTGTTCTTTTTTAAATATAGACCTCTTCAGTAAATTTTTCATTCATATCCTTGTTTGTCTGATATCTTTGTTTTTTTTTTTTTTTTTTTTTCAGAATTATCTTGTATCTTACTGAGCTTCTTTAAAATCAGTATTTTGAATTCTTTAGGATTTTGTGAATTTCTCTTGGATTGAGTTCTGTTACTGGAGAATGGTTTTATTCCTTTGGAAGTATCATTTTTTTTCCTTTTTAATATTTCTTATGTCCTTACATTGATATGTGCATATCTGGTATAATAGTCATTTCTTCCAATTTTTTGAATTTGCTTTTTTATGGGAGGATTTTTTCCTGAAGACATATATGTGGTTTTGGTTGAATAGGGTACTTTGCCTTTGAATTTGTGCCCATGCAATAGTGTATGTAGTCTCTGTGTTATTTCTTCAGCTGTAAACAGTATCTGTGATTTCCTTGGTGTTTTGGGGTGCACTTATAAGTGGGGGCTGTGATGAAGCTTTTCTGGGACTAGAATACCAGGTGGGCGAGTCTTCAGGCTCCAGTAGCGTCAATGGTTAGCTGAGTGTGCCTGTCCTTGAGCCCCAGAATTGTGTATGCTCACTCTGTTGTTACAGAATCAAAGCAGGCCAGTTCTTAGGCCTCCCAGTGGCTTGCTCATATGCCAGTAGTGACAGCAGTGGGTAGGGGTGGACTGGTTCTTGGGCCCCTGGACAGTGAGTATGAAGTGGACAATTGCGACAGCAGTGTTAAGGCAGCTGGCCTTGGTGCTGGTAGTGGCTGCAATGAGATGGGCAGGCCAGTTCCATGGCCTACTGTTGTCACATGTGGGTGGGTGCCAGCTGTGGTGACATTGGCATGTTTGGTCAACCCACTCTCAGACCCTGAAAGGAAGGTTGAGATGCCAGTGGTGATGGACTGGGGTGGGAGATACTGAACTGTATACTGGGTGGATGGGACTGGGCTGGCAGACTTGCCCACAGGCCACCTGTAAGTGTATTCAAGTGCTAGCTGATAGTCATGGGTGGAGTGGTCCCCACGCTGCTGGCAAAATGCTCAGGTGGAGGCAGTGGTGGCTGCACTGTGTGTCAGTCCCCAGGGAGGGCAGGGCCACTTTCAGTGGGAGTAGCATAGGTAGACAGCTGTGAGGCTTGTGGTTTGCTTGTGTCTGAATCGCACAAAAGACCACAACAGTGGCAGTATGATTAGTCTTTCGGGTGTGTCAAGGTGCCCGGCATTCCTTTCTCCCTCCTTAATCCAGTGGTAGAATCAGCAGCATTGGCCCCAGGGCAGGACACCATCCTTTAAGAGATTAGTTCTCAGAGTGGCACAATGCAGCAGCTGCTCAGGGCTCCAAAGCCTGTAGGGCTCGGTGTGAGCTCTCTCTTTGGAGCAATGCTCTGCATAATTTCTATGTAGCTCCCTATGTTGGTCTCCAGACCCACAAGAGTTGAGTTGCTTTCCTGTGGCTAGGATTGTAAAATTCCATGGAGGGAATGTGGAGCCCTGCAGGGGTCACTCACCCTTTCCCTGTGTCTGGGAACTTTTCCCAGTTCCTGGCCATTCCTGGCTGAGAAGGCTGCCTTGCCTCCCTATCCTTTCCTTTTGTTATTTCCTTTGTTAAATTCACTTCTTCATTAAATTCTGGGGTGTTTTTCTTAGATAATCTATTCCAAATACGAATATCTACTTCCTATTTTGGTTTTCTTTGTGGAAGTAGGGCTTACTGGCTGCATCTAGTTGGCCAAGTTGACCATCTTGCCTTCAGCATCTATACACTTTTCTCATTTTTAAAATGAGAGAATAATGATACTTTACAGCGCAGGAGTGGGAATTAAACGTGATAGTGCTTACAAAAAATTTGCATTATCTGCTCCTTCAATAAATGTTAGCTAAGACCTGGGACATAGCATTGCTTAACATATATTTTATGCATGAGACATAGCATCTTTAGGAAAAACTGCTGGAAGCTGCTTTCCTCAGAAGTAGATTATGGACCCATCAGGCATTTAGAGCTTCACTGGTGCCTTTTCAGGGCAGTACTGATCATGACCCGATCCAGCTTGACTAGATGAAAACAATAAGGCCAGGAATTTTGAGTGACTTGTTTAGCTTACAGAGGCAGAACCAGAACTACTAAGTATTCTGACTCTCATCTTATACCTGTCATCTTTCTTCTGTGTTCTACTTATAATTTAATATACATTAACCACTATAATTTTCAAACGAGGAGAAAAAAATAAAATAGCATTTTCAGATCTCAGCAATAATTTTTAAAATCTGTAGGGAGAACATTACCTCACCTTGAGAACTGAAAAAAACATTTCTCAGTCTGAGGGAATATAGATTTTGTAGTAAGAAAGAATCAGTCTCAGTTTTCTTTATCAGCCTCTCATAATGGTTGTGAGACTCCAGAGAATAGCCAACACTCTGGAGAATGGAAATGGCTGGGAAGTACATCAAAACAGAGAGGCCTATAGGCAGTCTAAGAAAGTCTTCAAGCCTCACGTTTATCTAAAAGTAAAATCAAGCTTTTAGATCTAAGGAGCCCTACCTAAATGATGTTGTAGGCTGAACTCCCCTGTGCCCAGACTCCCCCAAACCTATCTAAGCCAGATCAAGTGCTGCAAGGACTAAACTCTATCCTTGTGCCCTCAAGCATTTGTTTTATTCTTCAGTCTAAGGAACTTTCAGAATAAATCTGGGTCTTTGTTAAGGAGCACCTTGATCTGTATCAGACATTTAGTTATTTGTATATTATTTATTTTCATGGTGAGTTTTACTATCCAACTACAGTATTTCTTTGTTCTAGTAAGTCCATTCTTTCAAAATGTCTTTATGTTGTGTAGCAGATTGTGTTTTCCAAAGATAGCCACAATTCTGTAATGTGACCTTGTCGCTCTCCCTCCACCCCATAAAGAGCTGGAGAATATTTCTCCACTATCTTGAATCCGGGAAGGCCATGTGACTGCTCTGACAATAGAATAAGCAGAAGAGGTGCTGTGCCTGTTTCTGCTCCCTACCTCTTGGAAGCCATCTATTCTGTAAGAATTACGGCTTCTGTTAGAGCCCCACATTGTGAAAAAAAAAAAAAAAGAAAAAAAAACCATGGAAGAACTGTGGAATATAAGATGCCATGGAGACAGAGAGAGAAAGAGAATAAGAGAGAATGAAAGAGAGCAGTAGGACAAGGAGAACCAAGGTGCCAGATATTATGTGCTTGGAAATAATGTTATTACTTTCACATTTCTATACAGTCAGGGCTTTCTAAGCAAAGATTGCTGGGGGCTGGGGAAGAGGGGCAGGTCAGTAAATAGCAACCCTAAAGAAAGAGACCTTCAGAGAGGTTAACAGTTGTATCTCTCAAGAGTCATTTATTTGCATTGCAAATGGTGATGGGCCTAGAAATCTCTTCCTCTCCCTGGAGAGCATTTTATTTATATTCCAGAGAAAAGGCTAGGCCTCTTTCTCTCTCTGTCTCTCTCTCTTTCTCTCTGTAGAAAGGAGGAGGGGGTAGTTACATCAGCAAGTTTTATAAGCTCCAATAATTCATAATTATAAGGTTTCTCTCCTTTGGTTCAAGCCTCTTGAAGGAGCAGGGTATATCTGGCCCTCACTGTGTCAACTGGAAAGATAATCAGGGTGTGGTGAGCTGGTAATAAAATCACTGTGTGAGCCAATAATCATTGTGTTCCCTGATCTAGAAACCTCATGGTGCCAATCAGAATCAATAAATATACATAGAAATAAAAACTTAACAACTATTTTGTTTTGAAACCATTTTGGAAGTGGATCTTTAGGACCCAACTCTCTCAGCTGCCACTACCTGGATCAGAGACAAAGTGCCCAAGTTTGTCCTTTTGAGTCCTTTTCAAATTTCTGACCCAAATAATCATACAAATACAATGATGGGGTGCATAACAACATTTTGATTAATGACAGACCTTAGAAAAAATGGTGGTCCCATAAGATTATAACACTGTATTTTTTGTTGTACCTTTTCTATGTTTAGATACACAAACACCATTGTTCTACTCTTGCCTACAGTATTCAGTACACCAGCATGCAGTGCAGAGCAATAGGCCATATAGCCTTGGTGTGTAGTGGGCCATATGATCTAGATTTGTATAAGTACATTCTATGATGTTCACACAACAACTAAATCCCTTAATGATACATTTCTCAGAAACTATTCCCATTGCTAAGTGTTGCATGACAGTAAAAGTTTGTTTTAAATCGTTCAATTTTGAAGTAGTATTTTACAGAGCAATAAGTAGTTACAAAACTGCAAATGATTTATAAAAATGCTATATAGTCTTATTGTCAAAACATTCTTTTTCCCACTTATTTTAAATTATTACATATTTTTGAATACTAATGACCAGGATTCCTTATAAGAGTAATTTTGTATTGCAACAGAACATTCCACCTCACTTTATCTATTTTATTTTCTGACAATATTTTAAATTTTTTTTCTCACAGATACTTTGCATATTTAGGTAAAATCACCCTTTGATTCTCTCTTTATATTCCACATCTTTCCTTTATCTATGCATGTGTGTGAATGTTTATATGTATAAATGCACATAACTATTATATAAATGCTCTTTTACTCATGTGTTTATTTATGAGTGCATTTGTTTATTGTTTAATGGAGTAATAGCTACATTTTACCATTGTCAAGTAAATGTGATACAACTTGCAAGAGAGACTACATACAGTATTTTGGCATGTATTTCTCAGTTCAGAATGGAGACAAAGCTATCCTTTTGAGTAGTGCAACTAGAGGCACATTTATTTATGGAAAATATGATTGGGCATGTATCTCTAAAAATAGAACCCAGGAAATAATTGGAATAGCATTAATGTCAGTTGCCTTCTTTTCCACATATGGCACTTCTATTATTCTGGTTACTTGACTAACATTTCATTATTACAGCATTATTTTACTAAGGAAATCAATTGCATTAGTTAAAAGTGAAAATGAGGCCTGGCGCGGTGGCTCACGCCTGTAATCTCAGCACTTTGGGATGCCGAGGCAGGCGGATCACGAGGTCAGGAGATCGAGACCATCCTGGCTAACACAGTGAAACCCCGTCTCTACTAAAAATACAAAAAAAAAAAAAATTAGCCGGGCGTGGTGGCGGGCGCCTGTAGTCCCAGCTACTCGGGAGGCTGAGGCAGGAGAATGGCGTGAACCCGGGAGGCGGAGCTTGCAGTGAGCCGAGATCGCGCCACTGCACTCCAGCCTGGGCGACAGAGCAAGACTCTGTCTCAAAAAAAAAAAAAAAAAGTGAAAATGAAAAATTGTAAACCTCATCAGGAAGTTTAGCAGTGTTGGATCCTTGTCTTGACTCTGCCTGTCTTGGCCAAGGGTCTTTACACAAACCATATGAAAGTCATTTGAGTATTTGTTCTCAGTTTCTTCACCTAAAAACTAGGAGGAAAGTTTATGTGGGAGTGAAAATCTGTCATCCATAAGAGAGTGGATTCATAGAAAAATAAAATGAACAAGAGCTGTTAGTAGAAGCAGATTCCTAAGAGAGTGATGGAGAGGAAATGAGTGGAGAAAGGCCGGAAAATTGTGAGTGAAATAATACACATTTTCTACCTCATACTACAACCTAGAAGTTCCCACCTCACACTTTCCCAACCTAATCTTGGGAAAGATTAATTCTTAAAAACAAAGAATGTCCTTGACAGGAACACAACAATTTGCTTCAGTGAGTGAAAACAATAAAAATGCTTGACGATCACACCAGCTTTAAAGGAATAGTGTTAAATGAAGGAAGGTATTTTGAGTACGGATGGTAAGAACCCTAAAATGGACACAATATCAAGATCTTTTTCAGATGTTCTCACCTTTGGATTCATGGACCCATGAACTTCAAGTTTTTCATTAATCTCCTGAAATTGTATGCAAAATCCGTGGATATGTTGCTGGTTTCAGAGAAGCTTTATCTATCTTTTATCAGATTCTCAACTAGTCTGAGTTAGAAATAAAGACTCTCCATAGATTTCTTCAAAGTACTTCAAAGGCAGTGAGTGTAAACATGGAAAGTTTGGGAAAAGCTTGATAAACGGGCCATACCTTTTTTACCGCCATTTCTTATTACAAAAGATTAAAATGTGTAACTTTAAATCATAAACTTGCGTTAAAATGTTGATTTTATAAACAGATTTTTGTACTAAACAGACAAAATGAGAGCCATTGACCAACCTAATTGTATGTCACTTTAGCCTTTCCCCGGAAAGTTAGAGTTTTGATGTAATATCATACTCATTGCTGTACCAGTTGGAATAGCAATGGAGAAAAGCCCCAGTTCAGTGGTGATGGCCTTGCCCAGATGAAAGTGTTGATTGGTTGCAGAGATACATGACCTTAGGAAGTATGCGCCTCCATTTCTTGAGGTGGAGATATGGCTATAAAATTTTGTTGACAAAGTCTGCTGGCAGATCATTTATTGCTAAAATAAATAAGTGGAAAATGCTACAGAAAATGTTAAAGAAAAATATTAATTATAAATTCATTTTTCACCAAGTGTGAGCACTGAACTCTGATTCCAGTGACTGAATGTAGAGTTTAATATTAGGATGCTTTTTACAAGAGAAAATTCATTTGGTAAAAATTAGTGTATTATTTCCAGAAAAGCTGAATAAATTCCAATTTGAGTTATTAGTCTCTTCCCCAAAATAGGAAATTCTTTTTTAATGTATAGCTACAAGGAAGCTTTTTGCAAGGCGTATGGGGGATAACTGTATTATGTGCTCAGATTAAATAGTTATTACATTTTCAGTGAAGATACTGATCCCAGTAGCAGCCAGGCATATGAGTATTTAGTATAAAGAATTACTTGGATATTTTAATAAGCCCATGTTTTTAGATTCAATATTTCTTGTCCCGGCTAAACAGTACAAATACCACTTGGGTACAGATAATTTTAGACCTTTATTGCTTGATTAAAATATAGATAATTTGCCTTATCTATTCTTTTTCGTGTGATCAAATTTTGCTTGTGGGAACATTACATTTACCTCATTTTCTCCCATAACTTCAGAACAAAACCAAAGTTGTTTTGCATGTAATGTTTTCTTGTAAAGTAATATTATTACTCCGTCAGCACTCAGTGGGCAAACATATTTTTCAACATTCCTCTTTTAATTAACTTGTCTTGCAAACAAAGGCTACCAGATGAACACAATTTATCCACAGCATGTATTTTCAGCTAGGAGGCAGATAATTATTGCTCACTGCAGAAATAATGTTCTCCTACTTGCTCATGTAAAACAAACTTTAAATGTCATTTTACAGCGATAAAGATTACACAGTACAGGGCTGTCGTAAGAGAGGACAATTATCCAGAGGAACTTCTCATTAACCTGAAGGTCAGGGGTGAGAGATGATCACCAGCTCTGGCTAACACAAACTTAAATTGCCCTACTCTAAATGTGATGTCCTCATAATCACAAAAGTGGGGACAGTAAAGACTAAACAGTTATTGTGATACATTTCTAAGCGGGATTATACATGGAAACTGAGTTAGTACCTGCAATCTTGCCACGTATGTTTGGGGATCAGAACATGTGGTGTGGAATAAAGAGGCTTTGGGAGAGAATTGCCCTCTTTAATAAACTAGTGGCAGTTCAGCATCATTTAAATGTATTGTTTCAATTAATCACAGCAATTGCAAAGTGATCCTTAAGCATTGAGAGAAAATTGTGCTTTCAAACAGAGTGCCTCAAGTCTGCCAACCTTGCTGAGCTGTTCTGCAGCATTTTAGAAATGCATATGATAGCAGGAAGCACTGGAGAAAATCATGCCTACTCATATTTGAGCTGGAAATTAATTTTCTAAGCTGTGAAGTTCTTCAACTTCTTTTGCAAAGCTAGGTCACCTGTTTTCTTAATCTAATCATCTAACCTTCCCCTAAAGCATAGAAGTTTACTTTTCTTTGCATTAAGTTCTACCCAGATAAGCAGTGCAAGGAAATATCCTACATCTTTAATTCTAACGCTCCATAAATTGTAAGGCAAACAATCATTTTAGTAATAGTTTTCCAGGGGGAACATGAAGAAAGAAATGCTATCATACAACGCACGTGGATTAGTGTTTTACTGAAAGTTTATTGCCAAACAATTCATGCTTTGTGGTAGTTTGGGTGAGCCTTGTCTAGAAACAGTCTAGCCAGAGAGAAAATTCTAAAACTGCCAGCGCAAGCATAACAATAATATCTGTTAGGGTGTTGCATATTGATATGAAAAGGAGATGGTCAGCTCTTGGGTGGGAGACCTCACAATCTGCTAGCCAGAATAAAGGCCACATAGGAAGATAGGAATTGATCTATTTAACTTACAACAGAAAGTAACTATCTCTTGGTGCAATAAGAAATCTCGGAAAATGAAGTTGGTTAGCACAACCTGGAGCAGGTTAATCTTCCTGGTTTAAGAAAGGCAGAGAAAAAAATAATAGAGGCTTCCCAGTTCATGTAAAATTGGCAGCCACCTTGGAAAGGAGATTAAAAGAAGCCCTAACATTGGCTTTGAGCTTGAGAATCTTTTCAATGACAATTCACGTCTCAGGGTTGGAGTTTTTATAATTCTTCTGCAAGAAATAATAACAAGAAAAGCACTTAAAAATAAGCTTCTAGAGAAAATAATTTATTTGGCTGTATTCATAAGGGGAAAGGGTTCAGTTGAGAAAGAAACACATTGCTTAATCATAAACACCTTGTTAAACTGTAAATACAGTATGTTCATAAGCCATAGGAATCTGAGGGTGGGAGGCTGGGAGGCTTTTATCCTTAAGAGTCCTAGGAATAAAAAGAAATGAGGGTAGAAAGCAATAACAGTGGTAGTGTTTGCATCCTAATAAGTTGGTCCTGGGTTCAGAATAATTTCAAATATCAAAGGTATCAGAGATACCTGTCTTTGTTTATTTTAACAACAAATCATACATTTTATAATGTAGTAATCATGTCTGCTATTTTTTAGGCTACATAAAAGGCAGTTAAAGAAAAAAGCTTAGAATACTAACTTCTGGAGGATGAAGTAAGAAAGTAAGAAGTATAAGATGAAGAAAGAGGGACAGATTCTAAAGAAGTGTCATAGAGTATTTGCTCTGGAACTACATATAGGTCAGCTTGAAGTTGAAGTGAAATATAATTTGACCTAGCTCTTTCTTAAAACAAACTCTGATATTCTGGGCCTTTCAGTGTGATGATTAGTTGATGCATACTTAAATCAGTTTGTGCTGGTAAGCTGACAAGAAATCAATACCAGGAAAATCCATCGGCTCTGCTTCACATGTGTGTAGTTTAACCATGATTACCTAGCACCTGATTGATTAACTTAACTGATGGTCATGAACACATGGGGGATTCTACTAGACGGATGCTGGTAGAGGACATGATTTTTGTGCTTTGGGGTCTGTGGCTGCAGCCATACAAGTGCATGAGCCTTCCTCACCAGGCTCCAACCATGATCATGTGCCTTCTTGTGCCGAGGGCGGGAGCTCTCGGAGCCCTCTGGCATGCTCTAACCCTTCCCAAGAGGCAGAGGGACCCCTTCAAAAAGGCACTCTAGACTCTTCTAAATATTTGAATATTCTCTAAATTCTACACATTTTAACTACTGTGTATGAAAAAAATAATTCTTACTTTATATGTTATACATTAAAGCTTTGTTTTTATACAGGAAACTTGAGAAAAGTCCTCTGAGTTGTTACAGAACTTAAAAAATGTGTAGTAAATTAAATATTTTGTAAAAAGTTCCAATATGTTACATTATTTTAACTTATCACAAAAACCACATTCACCTGTTTTTTTAAGCTACCTTTGGAAATAATTTCAATGCAATTAACTTAATAAGAGGCTAAATTTTACAGAAATATCTTATTTAAATTTGAAATAAATAGAACTTGATGGAGAAATAATTATAAAAATATTTCTATTTCTGTCTTCATGTCTTCACACTTTATACATAAAATACCATTATCAATTTTAAAAATAAGGCATATAATTTGATGTGACACTAGAATATGTCCTGGAGTGAAGAAAATTAAATGTAATCCAAGCAAATCTTTGAGCTAGTTTTGCTTAATCACATCTGTACACATCTAATGCAAAATTTTACCCACTTCTTTTATTTAATCTTCCCAAGATGTGTTTGTATGCTATAGAATGAGCTGGGTCTTTAAAATCTGAAATTAAAATACACTGAAACAAGTTTTCCTTTAAGCAAACTTTTTTCTCATACCTAAGGAGGACAGAAGGAAATTAACTAAAGAGTGGATGACATGTAAGACATGAAACAGGACCAGATTGCAACATACCCTGGTCATCCTCTGTAGCTCACACTCAGGATTGTTTGGTAAATTCTTTGCTTCAGTTGTCTGGTGACGAACCGTGCTGTTTCTTCATGTGGGGGAAAAATGACTGAAAGCCAGTACGCACAAAAAAGAGACTTGTTTGCTTGCTTATTGTTTTTGTTTGTTTTTACACAGTGCCTTTTTTTCAAAGAAAATTCCTTATTTAATGACACAATTTGACAGAAACTAAAACATCAAAAATTGATTAATTTGATTAATAATCTGATTAAGACATCCCCACTGTAAATAATGTTTTAGCTAATTATGCTAAGAATAAAATGTATTATTTCTACTTCCATGCTGTTTTCTTTATTTTTTCCTCTAAATCTTTACTTTCTTTCTTTTCTTTTCCCTTTCCTCCCTCCCTTCCTTCCTTCCTTCCTTCCTTCCTTCCTTCCTTCCTTCCTTCCTTCCTTCCTTCCTTCTTTTCTCTCTTTCCTTTTTTCATTCCTCTTTTTATTCTTCAGGAAATATTTCCAATAGCTTAAAAAATTTTTTTTAATTCGTTGGAATAAGATGAAGTCAGCATGCTGCCAAAGGATAGCAGCACAGTATGCATTTAATTTAATTAAACAGAAAAACACATTAGCTTGCCCATAAAGTAAGGATAGAACGTAAAGAAAATTTTTTTTCTCTTATTGAAAAGATAATTTTCAAAATTCATGAACAGTTTAGATGTTAAAGTTCATGGACCGGTTTATTTCATTATTGTGTTTTTATACATTCATTAGGAATCAATGTTTTAAATATGTTTTTTATTATGATTTTATTTGGTATTTTATTATTTTTGACACTTGAAGTAATATAATAGTAAAGAGATGATTAGGGAATCATCAAGCATAGTGTATTATAAACATTCTATCAATTAAATTTACATATTATGTCATTTTGGTCACAAATATTTCCAGGAAATTGGAAATTATACAAAGTATAATTAATAATTGTTTTTCTTTTGCCTCTATTGCATCACTTCCTATTCTTCCAGCAGCAATCTTTATTTTCTTTTGTGCATTTTCTTCTTCCCCAATCCCATATCATACATTCCTGGTGAAGCTCTGCCAGAAGCCGCAGGGATAGCCATATGGTACAGACCCAGATCTATGGACATATCCTAAATTCTTGGCCACAGCCATAGCATCTATAAAGGGGATATACCTAGTGGAGGATATGCAGCCATATATATCTACTTCACTTAGACCTGAGAAGAGGAAAGAGCAGATGTTCCATTTTACCATCATGTGATACCTAAGAGTAGAGCTGGTTCAGAGAAAATGGAAAACAGAAGTGGAGCTAGAGCAACAGGGCTTGATGGTCTTACTGAGCTCCTATCTCATTACCCAAAGTTAGATAATTTATTAGTCCATGTAACTAACTGCTTTCCAGTATATGACCTAATGAATTCTCTAATTGCTAAAACCATTTTGAGTTTTATTTTCAGTCACTTGCAAGTAGCAGGATTATAAATGATCAACTTGTTTATTTACACTATCCAGATCATAACTTTTGGATTAACTCTTGTTTCAGATGAGCCAAGGACTGTGAGATATTAAAAATAGCATTTTCAGACCTTTACAGTGTTCTCTTCTTTGAAGCATTACAAAATATTCTTTTTAGAATGGTTCATTGACAATATTTTAGTACTGTGTTTAGTACTTTGATGTTTAAACTTATACAGAGTTCGGGGGAAATTGTTTTCTAAGGCTTTAAAGAGAGAAGCTTTTGAGTGTTTGATATGTTTTAAAATGCCTCTTGAAATGTGACAAGCAACTGCCACTGGGCTTTTCTTCCTGTGGCCTGTTTATATGGATGGCCTTTCAATGTACATGATGAATCTGATAAGCTTTTCAGAGGCAGGAATAAATCATACATTGCACAAAATTCTTTTATACAAGGCAACTACTAGACCCTTTAAAGATTATCAAAACGTTCTTTCTTAGCCCATTCTTTTTCATTGAGGTCAACACAGAAATTAAAGAAACAGAAATTAAAGAAATTAAATTAATTTTCTGTTTCCAAATATAGTGCCAAATTACTAGATTTACTTTGTTAATTATACTAGTCATTTTCTTCAATTGAATTTAATTATATGACTGGTAAGTTTTGCATTCTCTAGACAAAACCACAATTTTTCTATTTGATTTTTTTTTTTTTTTGGTTTTTGGGAATGTCAGAATCAAATCTCTGTTTTTATCTGTCCTTAAGAAAAAATGAGAGAGAGAACTCTCAGTTTTATCTCTTACTAAAGAATAATTAGCTCAAACCTGTTATGATTTACAAATGAAATTCAAACAGAGAAAACTACAATTTTTTGAAAGTCTCCACTTTTTACAACAATCTTATAGTTTGACAAAAAGTTTTCTTTATTTTATTATTTAGTTGATAATCCGGTAACTGATTGTCATGAGTTGTGAATATACAGAAATATTTTTGCTTTAGACTAGGTTTATTTAGCTGCCTAAGAGATTAATTAAGGACTTATTTACATTTTTATCACTGCCTCTTTAAAACTGATTATTTAATAAGAGCTTTACAACTAATCAACAGTCTTCAGAATAACCTCTTGTTTATACATTTCTCATCAAACTGTATTTTCAACAGCTTTATTCTTATGGTTTCTGATGCTTTTTGCTTTGTTTTTTGAAGTCATAAAGAACAATTTTTCTGCCCCTAGAATTGCTCTGCTTAGCTAAGGGCATGTTTAATAATTTGATTTTACATGGAGATGTCTAAAATTGGCAAAAAAATGTGTATTTTTAAATGCATAATTAAAATAAATTAATATCAGGTAAATATTAAAAGATAAATGCAGAGATAACTAAGGTATAGTTTATTCTAAAATAATCAGATATAAGAATAATAAGATATATTAATATTTTAAAATATAGTTTCCTATATTCCAAAAGTACACACTGCTAGGAGACAAAGACCATATATCTGGTTTCTTATGGAGTGAGGATGGGGTTATAACCAGGTTGTTAGTTCTCTAACCCTGATATTTCAATGATAATTAGTTATGAGAATTCCTTCATTTTACATATTGGACTTCTGTCTATGATTTTGTTTGACTAAAGGGCTCTGTGGAAAAGTAAATAGGTAGACAAAATAAAATGTCTTAATTTATACTGCTAAACAATTTATAAGGCCAGCATTTCTTATTCTAAAACTACTGATGCTAAGGATTCTTAGATTCTCCTCAGCTAATACCAAAAATTGATGCATGCTATAGATGTTTAATTAAGACCAATGAATCCTACAGAAGACAACAAGACATGTAGGCAGGATACTTAGAAGTTAGAAAATTCATGGCCCTACAACTCAAGAGTTAACTCGTCCATAAATGTCTTTCTTGCCACCTTTAGAAGAATTAGACAGGACTCGTTATTTCTGCCTATTGTAACTTTGAAACACTTTTAGTAGTTATGAATGCTGCTTCATTTAACTCATTTATAAAAGCTATTTCCCCTTTGACTGTAAATAGTGGCCAGGTAGGATCAATACCTTTCTGTCTTGCTAGGCCATGTACCTACAGTAGGTGCTCTATACATTCCAGTGGAATGAATGGACACATTTTACCACTCCATTTCCATTATGTGGGTGCATTTGTATACTTATGTACCCTCACTTGGAATAATCCTCTTGTATTTCACACCTATATAACTCTTCCTGTTCATTCTTCAGAATGTGGCTCAAATGTTATTTCCTCAGTAAGAGACTACTCCTGCAAATCCTATGTCTCCCACATATTGTTCTTTTGTGTAGAATTCTTACTGTATAAAACTATCACAATTTGTAAAAATACATGTATTCCTGAATTTGCTTATTTTATGTATTTCCTCCTATCACAATGCAAGCTCCAGATGGAGCAGAAACATGATTTGTCTGTGTGTGTGTGTGTGTGTGTGTGTGTGTGTGTGTGTGTGTTCCTAGGACTTAGCCCCATGTAGAACTTATAGTTGCTCTTAATATGTATTTCATGTGTAAGTGAAATTACTAAAACAATACTACTATTTAAAGTAGTAAATAAGAAACCTTTTGATTTAAGACACATTGTGCTTTAATAGCAACATCTCCAATACTTCTTCATGAAGGAAAACCATTAAGCACAAAACAGGAAAGAAAAGCCTTTGTGCATATAGCTAATGCATCCTCAGAAATGAAAAATCAAGGTCAAAAACAGAAGAGAATGTCTGAATGTAGTATTAAAGATGGTTTTGAAGACCTTTCACAACCTTGCTTTACAAGGAACCAGCTGCCTTACTCAAGAATCACAATACTATTTAAACAATAAAAATAATGCCCACTTAGTTTACCCATTAGTTGCTATGTCAAGGAACACTGTAGCTCAACATCAATGTTTTTATAAAACTCCTTTGTGTCTCTCATCCAAAACTGGATTTCTAACAAAGACTAACATGGTGAGACCTGATTGTCTTACTCTTGGTTTAGAGCTGTGGAAGGGTAAGCCTCACATAGAGCAAATAGGGGATGAAGTGTTTCCTGAGACAGAAACACAATTGCAAAGATCCAATGGGATGAAAGAACTTTGGAAAATCTAATAAAATGAGGGCCCTCATTAGGTATGTGTTCTTTTATCTATATTCTTGCCACAGATATCTAAGTGCAAATGTGGGAGTCCCCCTCTAGGGAAAAGGTGTAATGGTTTCAGATGGGAAGAACTCCTCTTTTGCCCCAGTGCATTTCATCATTTTTTTTTTCATGCCTGCCTACCAGCCCTGAAATGCTACTTTTACAATTATAGGTTTCTTTTATGAGACAGATGAATAAACATCTAACTTATTTATGCACTAAATAAGGGAGAAAGGCAACAGGAGAGAAAGTCTACTACGGTATTTCACTACAGTACATCAAACAATTTATCATTTATTTTCAAAGTTACAGTTGTTAAACTGAGCTTATGTCATTTACTACCTTGCTTTAGCCTTTCACTTCTTTGAAATTTCTTTTCTGACAGATGTCAAGGAACTTTCCTCCTGATTGATTTTCTACATGCTTTATCTCTCATCCATCTAGTCCCCATTTTCTCCTTTCACTGTAAGTCCAAAATATCAAGTTTATTTTCCAAAAGCTAACATATATATTTTTATATCCTTAATAATATTAATCAGATTTTGATTGTATTGTACCAGAAAGTTTGACCTAATTTTAATAGCTAATTGATCATGTTGTGCAACATATAAATGATTCATTTACAATGGTTCAGCCTCAGATTATTACTCTTCACTTTAGCCTTTTTAATAGGAACTGCTCATGAAAATGATAAAATACTGGACAGTTTTCAAACCCTTCTTTCATCTACTCTTTATTTGCTCACGAATACTTCTTTGTCAGTATGTAAATTATGAAAATAATAAACTTTGTGACATGAAGGTGATTAAGTGGCCATGGAAAAGCATCTGCAATTTTGAAATAGCATCAACCTTCCTTTTTTGAATTAGGTATTCACGTATCACCTCACTAAATGCAGTCATGTATTGCTTAATAACAGGGATACATTCTGAGAAATCTGTCATTCAGTGATTTTGCCTTTTATTGAATATCAGAGTATACACAAACCTAGATGGTAGAGCCTACTGTACACCTAGGCTACAAACCTGTATAGCATGTATTGAATACTGGAGGCAATTGTAACACATTGGTAATCACTTGTGTATCTAAACATAGAAATGGTACAGTAAAAATATAAAGATTAAAAATAGTACACCTGTATAGGACACTTACCATGAATAGAGCTTTCAGGCATGGAAGTTGCCCTTGGTGAGTCAGAGAGTGAGTGGTGAGTGAATGTGAAGATCTAGGACATTTCTACACACTTCTGTAGACTTTATAAACACTGTACATCAGGCTAAAGCAAACTTATTTAAAATTTCTTTCTTCAATAATAAATTAACCTTAGCTTACTGTAACATTTTACTTTATGACTGTTTTAATTTTTTTAACTTTTTGACTCTTCTGTAAGAACATATGGTGTAAAAAAACACTTGCACAGTTGTATAAAAATAATTTCTGGGCCGGGCACGGTGGCTCACGCCTGTAATCCCAGCAGTTTGGGAAGCCGAGGTGGGTGGATGACAAGGTTGGGAGTCCAAGACCAGCCCGGCCAAGATGGTGAAACCCCGTCTCTAATAAAAACACAAAAATTAGCCTGGCGTGGTAGTGGGCACCTGTAATCCCAGCTACTCGGGAGGCTGAGGCAGGAGAATCGCTTGAACCCGGGAGGCAGAGGTTGCAGTGAGCCAAGGTCATGCCACTGCACTCCAGCCTGGGTGACAGAGCGAGACTCTGTCTCAAAAAAAAAAAAAAAAAAAAAACAAACTCTTTATATTTTTATACTATAAGCTTTTCACCTTTTAAAAAATATTTATTTTTTATTTATTTTTTGTTAAAAACTAAGACACAGAAACATATTTTGGCCTAGGCCTACACAGGGCCAGGGTTATCAATGTCGCTGTCTTCCACCACCTCCCCATCTTTTCCCATTGGAAGGTCTTCAGGTGCAATAGCACACATGGAGCCGTTATCTCCTATGATAACAATGCCTTCTTCTGGAATACCTACTGAAGGCCCTGCCTGAGGCTGCCTTACAATAGAAGTACACTCTAAAATAGTGATAAAGTGTATATATATATGTAAAGAAGTGATAAAGAGGTCCACTCTAAAAAAGTGATAAAAAGTATATATGTGTATATGTACTTTTTGTATATATACATATGTGTATATATGTATGTGTGTGTGTGTGTATATATATACATACTTTTTATCATTATTTTAGCATAGTCATTTCTTGTGATCAATTATGTCCCATACTCAATTGTATGTGTCATACTTTTATATGACCAGTCACACAGTATGTTTGTTATACCAGTATCACCACAAACATGTGAATAATACGTTATGCTACGATGTTATGAAATCCATGCTGGCACTAGAAAATGAATTATTAAGCTCTATTATAATGTTATAGGACCATTGTCATATGTGGTCCATCCCTGAATGAAACATTATGTGGCAGCACGTGATTATAGTTAGGTAATGGACCCCTTTCTCTATATTTTTATTTTCTAATTGCCATCTGTTTTTATAACTTTATAAGGAAAGTTTTAATTTTCCTTATAAAATTCTTTCTTCCAGTGGTTTCTGTAACATCAACTCCAAGGTGTTTTATTTTAATGTTTTTAAAATAATGCAAATATTATTCTTTCCACAAAGCGGGATAGAAACAAGTACCTCAATGCATAACATATGAATTATTTTATTAGTAAACTATATCACTTACCAGAGGTCAATATTCCTTCTCTCAACCCAAAGATTATCCATTAAGACATCCAGTAAACATGTGATAGGAGCAGGGGCTGGTATGGATTTCTATATCCACCAAGTACACACTAGGAGAGGTGAATACAAAATCAAAAGCAATTCCCACTTTAACAAATGATGTGTTTGTTCACATTATCACCTGAACAGAAAATGCCTTTGGAGAGCCCAGCTGTAGTGGCAGCAGCAGTACTGTAACCATGAAACTCTGAAAAAGTTTCTTCTATATAGTAAAGAAAAATACATCAAGGCTCCACTTTTGTCAAGTATGTTATCGTATGTTTAACTTAGGAGAAAATACAGGAAGACACACTTGCAAAATTTTTGTGGTGTAAAATTTAGTGCTACAAAATCAATATTCACTTGTTCAAAGAACAGATGGATCAAACTTAAGTTGAGTACATCAAGGAAGTGTCTAAGGCAGCATGGGAATGTGATTAAAACTCTGAGAAATGGGTAGATCTTTGAAAAAAGAACTGGGAAGGGACTATAAAGAAGAGAAATGATCAGAATGAATAAAGACTCATATCCAATAAAGTATATATTATTTTAGGAAACATTAACGAGTTGATAAGAATACAGGAAGAACATTTTTAAAGTTTCTATTGTTCTCATCTCCATTACAGTGATCAGTCCTATGGGTTGTATTATTGTTAAAATATTTGCTATCCTTCCCTTGATGTGGAGCATACTTCTCAATTCTGTTGATGTCATCCTTGGACATGTGACTTATTCATTCATATTTTTGACCTCAGAATGAGTCATGTGAATTGCTTTGGTCAGTGACTTGTGAAGTGAAGTACATACATAACTTTCAAGTTAAACGTTAAAAATTAGTTTGCCTTTGCCATATTTCTTTTAAAGCTTTTCTGTAAGACTAGCATGGTGCCAGATATAGGCTGTTTTGTCATCCAGACGACAAGGAGCAGAGCCATAGCTGACCCACAGTGGATATAAAATATAAAAAATAAGCTTTTGTGGTTGTAAGCCACTGAATGTTGGGGTTGTATGTTAGCCTAAACTGACTGGTAGAAATTTATCAAGGAATTATTTAAGAAAGAAGAGACTCATTAGTTAGATCCTGAGCCACAGACAGTATTTCCACAAATAAAAGTTATAAGATATGGTAGATATTATGAAAATTGGCAAAAACAAATGAATGTGGTAATGCAGGAGTCCCCAGCACCCAGGAGCAGACCGGTACCTGTCTGGGGCCTGTTGGGAGCTGGGCCACACAGTAGGAGGTAAGTGGCAGGCGAGCAAGTGAAGCTTCATCTGTATTTACAGCCTCTCCCCATCACTCGCATTACTGCCTGAGCTCTGCTTCCTGTCAGATCATCAGTAGCATTAGATTCTCATAGGAGCACAAACCCTATCATGAACTGCACATGTGAGGGATCTGGGTTGTACACTCCTTATGAGACTGTAATGCCTGGTGATCAGTAATATCTCCCATCTCTCCCAGATGGGACCATCTGGTTTCAGGAAAACAAGCTCAGGGCTCCCACTTATTGTATATTACGGTGAGTTGTATAATTATTTCTTTATAGATTATAATGTAATAATAACAGAAATAAAGTACTCAATAAATGTAATGCACTTGAATCATCCCCAGTGCCCCCCCACTTCCCACTACCAGTCCATGGAAAAATTGACTTCCATGAAACTGGTCCCTGGAGACAAAAAGGTTGGGGACCGCTGCACTTCAGGGCAATGAGTAATAGAGTTTGTTAGAGCCCAACAATTTTTTTCTCAAAATCCTTAAATTATTTTCCTCTGTTTGTTCATCTGTTTTTTCAAATTTTTCATTTTTAACTTTTTTTAAAAAAGGGTTCTCAATGTGTCATTCATGTTGGAGTCCAGTGGCACAATCATAGCTCACTGCAGCACCAAACTCCTGGGCTCAAGTGATCCTCCCACCTCAGCTTTCTAAGTTGCTTGGAATTCAGGCATGCACCATCAGGCTTGGCTAATTTTATTTTATTTTTGTAGATACACAGTCTCACTATGTTGCCCAGGCTGGTATCTAACTCCTGCCCTCAAATAATCCTCCCACTTTGGCCTCCCAAAGTGTTGGTTGAAATTATAAGCCTGAGCCACAATGCCTGGCTCTTTTCCTCTATTTAGAAATAAAGTTTTGAGCTAAAATTTCTTCTTAAAAAGAATGATCTGTATTAATCAAATTTACCTCATCCAATTTTTGATAACCTTAGAATTTTGTAAAACAGTAAGCATTTGTTATCAATAATTATTCACAGTTATTCTAAAACTTGAGGAATGTTATGAAAAAAATGTTTGCAAGTGGCTTAATAAAGATGAGCCGTACATGTGATGATGATAAACATTTTAGCCAGATGAAAAGAACAGAAGATACTTATTTGAGTACAGTTTTGAATAAAATCAATAGTGGTATGAATTGGTAAAAGGGTTACTTCATGTGTTACAGGAAAAATGATTCTAAACTCTGTAAGGTTAAACATCTGCATCTTTTCAAAAATGTTTTTGGTTTTTATTTTCTTTAATTTATACAATCAATATATCCCATGGTAAAATTTTTAAGGGAATTATTGGGAAAGGGTAAAAAGCAAAATTCTTTGAAACTGGAGCACCCTATATTCATCAGATAAGCAAGCCTCTCCATTACCCTTCTGACAATGTAAATGCTGTCACGATCTGACCTGGCCCCAAGTCAGATCAAGCAGTCATAAGAAGAAAGCAGTTTCAGAGGCAAAGCTGGCCCTCAGCTTTGGGCAGGGTTACATGTAACTGAGAAGAGCCCAGAAATAATGATTATCTAAGGCCCAAGACAATGGGTCACATACAGCTCCTTTAAGGACACAAGCAGAGGAGCATTGTTGGGTGGCTGCACCCAGACTATTTTTTGACACAGAATTCATGATAGAATGTATTAGGCAGATATGCATATTAGATCATAAGGTAACATAAATAATTAAAATATTTTCAATTACAGTTTCACTAAACATTTATTAAAAGTATTATGAAGGCCAGGCATGGTGGCTCATGCCTGTAATCCCAGCACTTTGGGAGGCTGAGGCCTGCGGATCACAAGTTCAGGAGTTAGAGACCAGCCTGGCCAATATGGTGAAACCCTGTCTCTACTAAAAATACAAAAATTAGCTGGGTGTGGTGGCGCACGCCTGTAGTCCCAGCTACTAGGGAGGCTGAGGCAGGAGAATCACTTGTACCCAGGAGGCAGAGGTAGCAATGAGCCGAGATTGCGCTACTGCACTCCAGCCTGGGCAACAGAGTGAGATTTTGTCTCAAAAAGAACTATTATGCAAATATGTGACTTATGGTACCTAGACATATTAAATTTTCCATAGTAGAATTATCTTAAAGATTAACATCTGGATGGACAATAAACCAAGAGTATCAGGGAAAGTTATTACAGGATCAATTAGAAATGTTCATTAAATCTTTCCTTCTAGAATTCCCCAGCTAAAGACAGACTCTTCATCTTTTAAATTTTCTGAGTGTTTTCCCTTATGCTTTTATTGATATTGATAATGTCTACATAAGATTCTATATTATTTAATAAAGAGCTAACATTTGAATAGCAGACACCATGTCTTATTACATTTGTCTTCCTCACTATAATTAGCACTGAGTTTTATCCCTAGAAAATACTCCCTCTCTCTCTCTCTCTCTCTCTCTCTCTCTCTATATATATATATATATATATATATATATATATAAAATTTAGAAAAATAGAGGTTGAAACTAGATAAATACATTTGATTCAAATTTCAATAACAATTACATTATAAAATAAGAAATATGGATAAGATTGGCCAGGCATGGTGGGTCATGCCTGTAATCCCAGCACTTTGGGAGGCTGAGGCGGATGGATCACGAGGTCAGGAGTTCAAGACCAGCCTTGCCAAGATGGTGAAACCCCGTCTCTACTAAAAATAGAAAAATTAGCTGGGCATGGTGGTGGATGCCTGTAATCCCAGCTACTCGGGAAGCTGAGGCAGGGAATTGCTTGAACCCAGGAGGTGGAGGTTGCAGTGAGCGGAGATCACACCACTGCACTCCAGCCTGGGTGACAGAGCGAGATTCCATCTAAAAAAAAAAAAAAAAAAAGAGGAAAAAAACAAAAGAAATATGGATAGGATTGTGGTGGGATTTGAGTGTGGGAGTAATCAACAAAGATTTTGAATAGGAGACTAATATAATTAACATTATTTCAGGAGATTTTCTTTTGAAGAGAGAAATATAGAGAGAGAAATTATATGGAGGCTAAGACCAGTAGCAGCGGCAATAGAAAGAAATTGATGCAAAACTGAGGGAAAAGGCAAAATAGGGCTATTCAGCCCATAAAGCCAGGGGATTGCTCTGTACATGTCAATGGCTTAGCACAGTGCTAGGACAGGATAATTTATAAATTCATATTTGTTTAATGTATCAGTAATATAGTTTCTGATAGAAAGCACAGACACAAAAAAATAGAAAAAAGTGATTCCAAGCATCTTATGTTTTACTTAGAAAATAACCCTCCATTAACAAAAATAGAGGAAGAAAGAGAAGTCTTAATTTAGGGATTAAAGAATAACAAGTTTACCTGAGAAATACCCATGAAACAATCCACTGGCAATAGTTAGTAAGCAGGTGAGAGGTGAAACAGAGTTAAGGACAAAGCAGATAGTGGAAATATAGGTCTAGGAAGTTACTCTTAGAATTAACTTCTCTGGATTTTATTTTCTTTACTCATAAGGTCAAAAGGTTGTGTTTAGAAGATTTATAAAAGTTTAGCCATATAACAGTAGAAATAAGATGTGAGGCTTGGTAATTTGGGGGATGTGGTAGTGGAAAGGCATAGACATTGCAACTGGATTATAGTTTTAGAATATTATCACCTATTCTCTTTGAAATATTGAGTAGAAAATTGACATAAAAAGTTTTTCAATGAATTCAGTTTTAAATCTTTAGAAAATTTAACATGAGAGTAACTAGCACAGTTAGTTAATACTAAGAGAAAGTTCTAGTTTTTCAGGACTTGGTGAAAACTCTAGCTGTGAGTTTCATGATTACCTAGATTTCCTTAAATGTCAACTTAGAATTAGACATTCTAGAATGAAGGTTCTATTGGAACATGGGTAAAAAACATAGTCCTTGAATAATAACTAAGTTGGCAAATCGT
Source organism: Homo sapiens (assembly GCF_000001405.40). Lineage (NCBI taxonomy): Eukaryota > Metazoa > Chordata > Mammalia > Primates > Hominidae > Homo > Homo sapiens. The sequence continues at coordinate 104,631,003 of NC_000005.10, read as the reverse complement.
AATTTTAAATAGTATAACAAAATTCAGTAATTACTGATCATGGATGTTTCCTTAAAGTAATAAATATCATTGTCCAAAGATGCTTATAATTGTTTATTTTATGTATCTATAAACTTTGTCTCTGTAGTAAAGTATGGAATTCTCTCTTTTTCTTTGGTCTATAAAGACAGTCACAATTTGAAGTCACATCATTCAGCAGTTTTCTTACCTTTTCCTTTTTACTACCTTTATCTTTTCGGTATATTTTAGATAATTCATAAACTGTTAACGACTAGTTCCCTAATGTGTCAGTTTATAATCTCGACTTACAAAATCAATTTCTAAACATACCACATTTCTTTTTTCAGGAACACAATTATTTCTGGAAAGAGTATTACACTCAGTATTCTGCATTTCATATGGCATTTCAAAGTCCTGAGAATGACTCTCCGTAGTCTTCTATGTACTAATTAAACATGAACATGTGGTAAACAACATGGACTATTCCAGTGGACAGAAAGCGTCAAGTTAAAATGTTTAAGTGCCCCATATTTTTCTAAGTATTCTTATCCAGTTGGTCTGACTGGTCATTATCTGTTTTGTAAAACTTCCCAAACAACTCATCAATATTTAAATAGCTATCCAAATTATAAACTTCAAATAGCAGAATCCAAATGTCATTTATGCATAATTCAAAAGAACTTTGCTGAAAACAATCTTTGGATTACAATTGCTCTCTAATCCACCTCTTGAATTTCTACATAAGAATTCAATGCCAATGCAATTCAAATCAATTCATTCATGGTTGATGTTAAAACTTCCTTTAAGAGGATAGTATGGCAGAAACAAAACTGAATTTGAACAAGAGGGAAACTGCAGAAGATAAACATTTTTTCTGTAGAAAGTTTCCAACTTTTACATTTTTGTGGTAATTTTTAACATTATAGGTATAATTAAATTATCACTAAAGTTATATCTATTAATCCTAAGTGGTTTAAAATAATTTCTCTGTTCAAACTGATGCAGCTCGCTATTACAATTTAATATAATTTTTTCAAACTATAATTGATTTCTAAGACTAGTAAAATTTTTGAGCTACCATTAACCCCAAAATATCTGGAAAAAGAAAATCATCATAGGTAACTCCTGATGACTCCTACCTCTTTCAGTCACATACTTAGCATTATCTGCTGTACAGGTTTAAAGAATGTTGGTCACAGGATTGAAGTGAATATTTCATTTATGTGTAGCCAAAATATTATCATATGAAGCCCAAAAGAAGAGTAAAATACATCCTTGTGATATTATTAACATGACTTTGTGCCAGACAAAGCATAGTTACTCTACAGATGGATTATGAATAGAGAAAAAGTGTGTAGTTGAATTCTTTGGAATTATGGACTATATTCCATAAATCCCAGATGGAGTCACTATGATTAATGTTACCTCAATGAATACAAAATGAATAAATAATTATCCTCCACTTACTGTAAAGTATTACCTTCAGTGTATAATTCACGTGAGTTACATGCAGTTCACAGTAATGTAAAGAGCTTAGTTTGAACTGACAAAGGACAGGAAATTCAGAGTTATAGCTGAAAGTACCTTGGAGTGTTGGTCTTTTTAGCACATATGGTAAAAACTATCTGTAGTGTGAATTCACATATGGTGGGTCTTTTCATAGGTTTCATTTCCCTGAGGAAAGGGAGCTTTCCTGTGAGATAAAAGGAAGAAGCTCCCATACTGGAACTATTTGAAAAATGGCTATGTGTGAAATTTAAATTCATAATGTGTACCATATACATATAAAGATTTCTGTAAACCAATGACATGTGAGCATGAACAGAAGTTAACAATATTCTCTGACCTCAGCTGTCACTTCACAAAAATGTGCCATATTATGCAGAAGTGTATGGATGACTCAGCATAATCTCTTGCAACAGTTTGAAAAACAAATCAAATCTGGGATCTATAGAAAAAGGCAAGTATGTGTTATTTAATTTCCAGTATTAAATGGACTTGAGATATTTCCCAGCCTACAAATTTACTGTGGAGTATAAACTTGTGAATCTTTAAAGAAAGATCAAAATATTGGTACATTTTAGATATTTCATGATTTATTTAAAATATATATAAACTACACTTAAAATACAGAATATGAAATACTTTTTGCAGTTTTTCAGTATCTTCAGTTACCTTAATATTTATTGTTCAGATTTTGTGTGTGAAAGTTTTGGAAAAAATGTGTAAAGTTATCATATAAGGGCTGAGCATACTGAAATATAGAGATGTGCATATATATATGCACACACACAATATTTTAGTGAAAAATAGTTCATTAGTGGATAATGAACATAATAATTTGCAAGATTGTGATATAATTAGAACAACATTCATATCAGTTATAAACATATAACTAATAGAGTTTGAATATTGGCTCAAACTAGAACTAATCTAGTTTAAATATTGAAATAGGAGAATTTCCTGACCTCCCTCACAGGACATGTGACAGGGGTGTGGCTCATCTGTTTGGCCGCTATGCACACTCAAACTCTTATGGGAGGGGGAGCATGCAGAAGGGCAGGTGCAGGAGCCAGGGTGAGCGGCCCTGGGCTCTGGCCCCATGGCAGCATCTAGGGGTGGGTGTCTGAGGCCTCTGAAGCCAGAGTGAGCATGCGTTACAGCTTTGCCATCTGCAGACAGCTTAAGTATTAAACAGCTCATTGGACCCTCTGTCTTTTCACAAGGGCAGAGGGAATGTGTGATAGCTTTCTGTAACTGGAGTTCTTATTTGGCATCCAGAAAAAATCAGGTCACACACAGATTTGAAGGATGGTGAAAGCAGGTGGAGGTGGCTATCAGCAGGATGGATGGGGAGCTGGAAAGGGGATGGAGTGGGAAGATGATCTTCCCCTGGAGTTTGGCCATCCAGCAACTGATCTCTCTGACTGTCCCCAGCCAAACTCCTCTTGACATTCAGCTGTTCCTTATCTTGTCTGCTTCTCTGCTGCTCTTCTCTTTGTCTGCTCATCTGCTTGTGGAGCCTGGGGTTTGAGTTTTATATGGGTACAGGATAGGAGGGTGTGACAGGCCAAAAGGCAACTTTTGGGCATGAAAATAGGAATGACTGTTCCGATTTAGGGCTGAGGGTTTCCAGGCTTCAGGGGGAAGCTTTGCTGGGGAACCTCCCTCTTCTACCCAGTATTTTCCTGTCTCCTGTCCATATCAGTATCAATCAACAATTGAACAATAAATCAAAATACCCAAATGTATAGAAAATAATATAATGTTCCATAATACAACACAATCATACAATGAGAAGAAAAAGTAAGAAAAAGGAATCCTAATACAATGTTCCATAATACAACATTTTGTTCCATAATACAACACAATCATACAATGAGAAGAAAAGGGAAGAAAAAGGAATCTTATACAATGAGGCTAACTGCATTTATTTGGGAATATGGGTGAGAGTAAGGATGAGTGAGTATACAGTGTGTGTGTCTGTGTATTGTATCCATGTGTATAAAGAGGGATACAGAAACACTATTAGAAATTTCCGTATTCATCTCTAGAATATGGTATTGACTGTGATCACAATAAAAAGGAATTATTGGCAGAGGTGTATCCAGCTACTTATGTTGAATGCTGATCCTGGCTGTTTCAGGGCTCAGGTCTGTCATTTGCAGCATTCCTTCCCTAGAAGCAAAGCTACCTAGGCAAGATTTGAGTCATCCTTTTGGAGTGAACAAGTTCTTCCCTGACATCCATTCATTACACTAATCAACAAATTTCCCCATCTTTCCCATTTCTAACAAAACTAAACAAAAGAACCAAAACAGAAAAATTACCTCACTTTCTTAATATAAAATGCTAAAATAAGGGCTTCAGACATCCATCTGTGTGGAATATTTGTTTAAAAATGATTTTATCAAAATTAGGATTATTTGGTCTACTTAGAATCTCCAGGGTTTTTGTTATACATAATTTTTTATGTCATAAATTTTTGAGGCAGTAAATTCCTCTGTGTGTGTGTGTGTGTGTGTGTGTGTGTGTGTGATGTCAATGGGTGATAGAGAGTATGTCTTACATCATTTTTAGCTAGCTGTTGATTTTGATGAAATGAAGTCAATGTCCAGTCTCCACTTGAGCTGACGTGTATATTTCTGCAGATAATACTTGATATATTCTCCTTTGTATTAACTGTGGTCTACTAAAAGTATCTTTAGGCCAGAAGATAATAAATGTGAGTTCCCACCCACTTCCTTGTGTTCAGAATCACAGGTGTGTCTGTCACTGAATAATGGACAATTCTTCTTTTCAAAATCAATATTCCTTGGGGTAGCCAAATTTATTAGGAGACTGCTATTGATGCCATAATGACTAAAATTAACTGATTAGTTTTCCTGTGACAAGTTTATTTGGGAAGTGTAGGAATTGTAACTAGAAAATAGACTAAAACAATTTTTTAACGTGATTAATAAAAACCATATGGTTTTTCATATGGTCATTACACAATATATGTACCCTTCAAGTTAAGAAATTATATCCTTTTCATGCTTTGTATAAAAATGAAGAAAAATATTCTTTCTAGTTTACATTTTTACATCACTGTAAATGTTAAAGGCATTTATTTGAATGTGCTATCACAGAATGACATAAATCCACTCAGTGCATTTATTTGATTGATTGCACATCACACATTCAAATAAACATGTACGGCATGATCTCAGATTCAGATAAACACACTGAATTCATTTAAATGCCTTCACATTCATATTGGATTGAACATTCAAATGCATTTAAATCAGTCTCAGAAGCGACTCACTGATGCATTGTTAAAAGGTGAACATGATGCTTGCTAATACTTGTCTGTTAGAATCTTACAGAGTGCAACATATACCCAAGGCTGTTATATTGTAAATGCACAGAACCATATCTACGCTAAAGATAAGTTTGAGTAGAATGTGCCAGGAGATATCTCAGTGGGACTATGTTTGAAATTTTGTGTAATGCGGAGCAACACATCAGTTTTTTTCTCAAAGAATCTAAAATTAATTTATTAAAATCCCCTCAGAGGATGCAGAGTAAATATTATAATACCAGAATCAAATTTTATAAAAGTATAGCCTTCTTCAAGACATACCTAAGAAGCTTAGGTAACTGTATAATTAGGTAACGTGAGCTCACCTGCTTCATGTAACTCATGAGACAGCTAAATTAATACCTCCCTCTGCTCTTTTTCCCACAGAGTATATATGAGCGGGTCACAAAATAAAATAGACTAAAATAAAGAATATAATGACATGCTTGATACATTACTTCAGCTTTTAATATTTTGGTGATTTTTCAAAAAGTTTTCAGTAGCCAGATATCACGATGGTAGATTTTGCATTGCATACAGATTATTTGATAATCTACAGTGTTTATTTGCTATACTACTATATTCAGAAGAAAAAAAGCCTAGGCTATTTAACTCTTATTCTAAAATTATGTCTATTAAAATACAAGATTTAAGATTAACTTCTACTTTGTATCTAGACTTTTTTTCCAGACTCCAATTAATGCAGTTTAGATGTACAACCATTTTCAAGTTTTTGTAAAGACTCAGTCCACTTGAAGGATATGGCCAAACAGCTCTGTAAATGCAGTAGCTTTCAGTGGGGAAAGCTCTGCCTTCTTAGGAGGTGGAATCAAATTATAGTTTTACAAACGCAACACTAACATACCTCTTCTCTTACTCCTCAAGGAAAGAGAAAACTTTCTTCTTCAGAAGCTAGAGACATTAAGCATCAGTGTTTATCTAAATAGGACAAGGAAAGGCTCCAAGATTCCACTAGGAAAGGTTGGCTAGAAGCCTATATGGGTAATTTTGTCATAAAACCTGTTATTTTCCAAGAATATACAAGTACATTAGGACTTTCAATTGTGTTTTTTTCATGGGAACGTTCAGTGCTGCTCTTAGGGATTAATCCTCTGGTGCTATGGCTTTCTCTGAAGCATTCTCATGGCCCAGTTTCTGTTCAGGCTAGTATGTTTGTGACGGTGGGTGAGACAAGAGGAAGCTACAGACCTTCTTCCCAATTCAACAGCAGCAGATTTCCTTTTAATGCTCGTGGATTTTTGGCACTCCTGCCTTGACACCCCCCAAATTAGGGAAAATACTCACTCTTTTCTCAATTCCCATTATTGGATTATATACCTAGTAATGTTAAGAGAAAAATTCTCCTCCTTCTACAATAATAAACCTTAATTCCCCTCCATGAATGTAAATCAAAATAACTATTAAGAAAATGAATCGGCCAGGCCCGGTGGCTCACGCCTGTAATCCCAGCACTTTGGGAGGTGGAGGTGAGCGGATTTCAAGGTCAGGAGATCAAGACCACTCTGCTAACACGGTGAAACCTCCTCTCTACTAAAAATACAAAAAAATAGCTGGGCATGGTGGCGGGCACCTGTAGTTCCAGCTACTCGGGAGGCTGAGGCAGGAGAATGGTGTGAACCCAGGAGGCAGAGCTTGCAGTGAGCCGAGATCGAGCCACTGCACTCCAGCCTGGGTGACAGAGTGAGACTCCGTCTCAAAAAAAAAAAAAAAGAATGTGAATCAAAATAACTATTAGTTCCCAATCTTCTTTTTTCTTTCAGGTCTACAGGTCCTAGGGAAAAGACTAGATCAACATTCACTTTGAGTAGAATTGCCAGATTTAGCAAATAAAAATACAAGATACCTCATTAAATTTAAATTAAATTGTTATAAGCAATTTTTTTACTATAACTATAGCTCATGCAATATTTTGGAAATACTTATACTAAACATTGTTTGTATTGATCTGTTATTAAAACTCAAATATAACTGGGTACCCTGTATTTTATCTGAAAACTATAAAGTGAAAAAGGAGAAGAAATTATTTTTTTAATTATTTATTTATAATTCTATAGGGGAGATAGAGATTGCTCAAGAGAGCAATTAATTTTTTAAAGACTCAGCTTGTTGCAAGAGATGATGAAATTGGTTGTGTAATTTGCCTCACTTTCCTCTTCCTTTTGGTAAGTGCAAATACAATTTATACTCCAAAGTACCAGTGTGCTAGATAGGATATTTGCTCCCTTTTAAAATTATCTTCCTTGAATTTAAAATATCTGCAAATTAAAATAACAAAACAATGTCTATTCCAGCAGTGTGCTGGAGCCACACACAATAGGGCAAGTGGCTGGCTTGGAGAGTGTGGAAGACTCATTCCAAGTTCCCTCGAATAGATTTTCTTTAGCTATCATCAAATTTAGAGGAGAAACTCAGGTGGTGATTATTTCGGAAGAGAAGGCTTGAGAAGAGAAGTTTGTTTATATAAACATTTTGATACTTGAAAATATTGCTCTTTCTCTTTTTTTCAGAAATGATAAAAAAGAAAAATATTTACATTCCTGTGATCAAAGTTGAATAATAAACAGAGTACTAACTTGATGAGCTAATGTCTAACTTTCCAAATCATTTTATTGTAAAATGCAGGCCCTCTCCAAAATCTGAGGGAAGAGTGAAACAACTTCTCTTTTAACTATATTTTTAAAAATTTAATGTACTGGAAACATTACATTGCAAATGCTTCAATAAATAGAAAGCATATACTTTTCATTCAAGATATAAAATGTGTATATTAAGCAAAATAGAATCTTCACATTTCCACCACAATTGAACTTAATAGGTTCCTATCATCACTATTATGATCACTATTATGTTGGTGTTTTCATTAGCCAGAAAATCGAATAATACCTGGGTTCCACTACCTTGACCAAACTGTTCCAAATAGAGAGTGGCTATTTCAATTGAGATTCAATCATAGGGCAATCTTTATATTTTTATGTAATAGCATTTGCTCTTGAAATGACATTGACAGCCCGTGGAACATGTATTTATCTTTTGTGTGGAAACGCACATAGTTGTTTGTTGTTAAGTAAATAGTCTAAATAGTTGAAATCCATTGTGTGTTCTCTCACCCAACATTTACTCCACACTCCTTCTGTGCCAACCAATATGACCAAGAGTAGAAAGCTAAAATGAGAAATTTCTAAAACTCCTTTGTAGATAGGGCTGGGAATGTAAGCATATCCAGCAAAGTAAATGAATATATATGTAAACAACAATAGCAATAACAGCAGTGTGTGTTCACACCTGTGTGTGTGTGTGTGTGTGTGTGTGTGTGTGTAAGTCAGCTAGAAGAATATGGAAAAAAGCCAGGATATGCTAATACAATCTGCCTCCTTCTTTTGTTCCTGAATGTGCACACTATACCTGGACTGCAGATATGCAGATCCAGCAGATCTTTTTAAGACACTAAGTGAAATTTTTGTAACCCGGCATTCCCAGGTGATAAAGTATCTATTTATCTTTACAATTTTAAAGTATGATAATACACAATACGCACTATACATTTTACAGCATTTTTATCATGTTCTCCTTAGGCTTTTGCTACTGCTGACATCAAAATTGTCTCACTTCCTACCCAGTCAAATTCTTTCTCCTTTGTTCTCCTTTCTCATTTATTTATTCAACCATAATCACTCAGCCTTATATTAACTATGTAATCCATCTGTCTTCATTTGTGAGAAAACCTTAAAACCTTAAATCATGCATATTAGTGGCAAATATATTTTAATTTTAGTTTCTCAAATTTGATTAATTCTCAATTGCTTCTCTAGTGGTTAGCTCAGAGCAAGGGGCACAGCTGTATATTTGTGGGTGTGCTGAGACTCTGTTTGCTGGTGGTGGAAGGAAGTCATTACATTAGGAACAATGACTGGATGCCTAAGAGCAATGGCTGCTCCCTAAACGGAGACTTCCCATCCCAAGCAATCTGTACTTAAATTCTCAGACCACATAAGTGAATGAGAAGAAACTCATCATAAGGGACTTATGAGACAGGCAATAAAGGTGCATTGGAGGGCAAAAAGTAGGGAAAAATCTGATTTTGGAAAACTACATATGGTTCATCTTTCATACACTTCTACTGACATTTATGATTTTGCCTAGCCTCAGAACTCTATACCAGAATTCTTGACAGAGGAGGCTCTCTAATCAAGATGAACACATCAGATAATTTTCTAACCAGAGAAGCTATAGAAAATTGGAGCATACTTTGAAAATGTTTTGAAAAGTCATCTGGATGTGGAAATATGAAGCTGGTTTTCCTCCACTATTTCATGATGACCCTTAAAAGGAGGTAAATGGAGGTGAGGCATAAAATTGACCGGGACATGGGAACAGGTAAGGATGTGGAAGCACATCTAGGGAATTTTTTTAGAATCACCAGCAGCAGCTGTTAGGAGCACTGCACAGAGGCATTCCAAATGTTTCCAAGGGCTGTCAGTTTTCAAACACTTTAGAAAACCCCTGAATAAAGGAAAAAGTACCTGTTTTTGGAGTCTGGAATTTCATTGACTATGGTGCTTGTGGCAGAGCCACAGTTTTTTTTGTGTGTGTGATTTTTATTGTGATCCATCTACTATGGATCTACCATGGTGTGGTCTGGGAACGAGAAACACAATATATCATACTTACATTTACCACACTTGAATAAGCAAGGCTATCATCCTTTACATATTAGCTAATGCAATCTTTACAACAATCCTAGGATATAGGCGTTATTTTTATTCCCATTTTATAGGTATGAAAACCAAATTTAAAATTACTTAGAAGTTTCACATCATACAGGCAAATTAGCTTCTTTCTCTGTCTTTCTCTCCCTCTTTCTTTCTCTCACATTTCTCTGATGTATCCAAGGTAACTATTAATACATACTTTATAGCCCACTTGTGCTGTATCTTTCTCTTCCCCTTGACCTGCAATGTATCTTTACATTATCTTCTCAGAAGCAGGCATGAAATGCAATGTTACTTTTGTTTTTAATACCAAAATAATATAAATCTAATTAGAATTATTATTTGCCTGAGAGACAAATATTCCTTTTTCTGAACTATACTTGCATATTCTTATACTTGCATATTCTTATTGCAAATTCTTATATTTATACTTGCATATGCATATTTGCTGAATTATGGATATGAATCCATATTATCTATATTATCTTTAGCCAGGCCTGGTGGTACATGCCTTAGTCCTAGCTACTTAGGTGAGTGAGGTAGGAACACTTAATCCCGGGAGTTTAAGGTTGCAGTGAGCTATAATCACACCACTACACTCTAGCCTGGGTGACAGAGCAAGAACCCATCTCAAATAAATAAATAAATAAATAAATAAATAAATAAATAAATGGAAAGAAAAAGAAAATAAAAAGAATGTTTTCTCTAGAATCTGGGTCATTTAATGCGTTACTACTGCATCTTTAAATGTGTTCACTTTTACTCCCATTTTTACCGATATTTTTCTCTAAGATGATTTTTATAATCATGAAAATTATTCATCAACATTTACTATTCAAACTTAAAATAGCTTGCACATTTTAATGCAGAAAAATAGACTACTACCCAGACTTATCCCAGAATATATAAACTGAATGGAAATGAATGTAAGTATATTTGTATTAGTTTCCAAGCAAAGCTGCTTATGCAATGGGATTTAAAAAATGAGAACCAATTGTTCAAAACTCAGTTTTCTTCAAGTATAATGTACTAAAAATCATGCAGAACTTTGATGTTGTAAGCTAATTTTTTTTTTTTGTTTCCAGTAGGGGCATAAATAAAGGCAGAAAAGGATTAATGATACTTTTTAAAAGTTATTATTTGTAAAGATTTCAAACCAAGAAAGCACTGAATTTCTGATAAGCACTGAATTACAATAACTTCTCTATTCATTTTAACAAGGAAAATGTGAAAACTGAATACAAGGTACATATAATCCAAACATTCTAAACATTGGAAACCAAAGCAGAGATAACATGGTTGTTTTGGATCTGTGTATCTGACATGAAATAAGTCTAGTCAATTATGTTTGGGCTGTTTTGCTGCAGTGCACACTTCTACCATTTTGTCTTATATTCTCTCTCATCACCTCATTCTTACTTCTATATTGGAAATGACCAGAATAGCTTCTCTTTGTGACCGGAGCTGAAAACATATCAAAGCAGGTTTTTCATGCCAAAAGATATTTTCTGGTGTCTATGCTTGTGTGTGTATGTTTGTTCAGTTTGATTTTATTATTTCTGTATATATAAGGACTTAAAAAATGGTTCAAGGTAGCATTGTTAAAGGGAAAATAAGCAATTAAAAGGTAAAAGTATCTATTTCCTAAACTCCCAAAGGAACATTTTTGATGATGAGAATAAGGTTGCTTTTGAAAGAAAACTGAATCACAACATATGATGAAAATGTCTTTTAAAGAACTATGGGTAGAAACAAGTACTAAAATTTACCATGGCCCAAAAAGGCTTGGAGTTTATTGCAATTCGACAGTTTGATTCCACTTAATTTGCTTCCTTATGTTTACATGCTGAATAACTTTTATTAACTCTGAAGCTAACAAAACAGAGGGTAATATTATAAGACCATGTTTATTCGGACTATTGCCTGCATTTGTGCCATAGAAAGATTTCTCCCTCTTTCTGCCTTGCCTAAGACAAAGATCTTTAATAAACTTGTGTGATTACTGTAAATACACTTCGCACCAGCCTCATTTATTCAGAGATTTCAACCATGTCAAATACATTGTTGCTTATTGGGAGTTGAGCCACATGCCTGAACAATAAATTTGTCAGGATTTTGGAATACATCATTTGGAATTGCATTGCCTGTGTAATTCACAAGAAAAGATTATCTAATAGAGACTCTTGATAAAACAAAAACCTAATTATTATAATTTTCCTGGGAAAGGCTTCATCCAGTAAAACCGAAATTCAGAAATTGAAGAGTGGATTCAACTCATAATATTTATGTATGTTATGGTAAGGACTTCTCTACAATACTGTGACCAAAAAAGTTTAAAAGGAAGTTACTTATAAAATATCTCTGGATCAGATCAAATGTAGCTTGGCTTGTATAATTGCTCTGCCTAGCTTGTGGAAATTAAAAAAAAAAGTTCTGCTTTAAATTCAAGAAATAGGCAATGTGCATTCTACTTTTAATTTCAAAGATGTTTGGTGCATGTTCTGCCAAGGGAAGAGACAATCTTGAGACGATTTTGTATAAAAGTAATTTAGAACATAGTTTAGCAACTACTAAAATACTCCAGATTACATGATGCCTTGATCATGGTGCTTTCTCTTTGCATGTATTGATTTGCTAGAGTCTAGAAAAAAGTCCTACGAGGTAGGAGCTCTTGCTATTATTTTATAGTGAAGAAACAGGGACCCTGAGAGATTAAACTTTTTCAAGCCCATATGGCCAGTAATCAGAAGAGCTAGGATTTGAACCTTCCTAAGTCTTGCTCCTGAGTATCTGCTACTCATCACTAAACTACAAAGCACATAAAAGCAATTAACTCCTGCCATCATGTCTCCTTCAAAAGGCCCAGAGATAGACTTTTCTAGAACCTGCTGTAATTTCAACAATGCTAATGAATGACCCTGAGCTCAAGATATGTCAACTTAGTAGTATATGAATAACCAAGAAAACTGCTTTATTGGACAATTTCTCTTCAGTCTATTTCTCAGAATTTTTCATGGAATAATGCACATCATACATCACTACCACTGTCAATAACACAATGGTTGCTTCCTGGAGAAAGGATTGGATTTTGTCATAAGGTGTTGTGTATAAGCCTCTTAGGAAAGATATAATCACCATTACTAAGTATCTAAGTATCATTTCTAAGAAGTAACTTCTATGACAATACATTCTCAAGAGCTTATGAACATAAGGTTCTGAAAAGGAAAACGAATGCAGTCACATTTGGAAGAAAACCTTGCATCCATAAATATGAAAACAAGGAATAGGAATTTCTTTTTTTTTAGATAGATATGATCAAAATAAATTGCTTATGCTTCTATGGAAATAATATGCCCACTCACATATGATAAACTCTATTAATTTTGCCAGTAATGAAGATTAATGACGTGAAAATCTATGTAGAACTGCAAAGATACCAATATGGTCATGCACTGCGTAACTATGTTTCTCTCAGTCAATAATAGACTGCACATACTATGGTGATCCCATAAGATTTTAATGAAGCTGAAAAATTCCTATTATCTAGTGGTGTCATAGTTGTTTCAATGTCACTGCACGATTTATTAATTTTTTAATAAATTTAATGTAGCCTAAGTGTAGAGTGTTCAGAAAGTCTACGGTAGTGTGCAGTAATGTGCTAGGTCTTCACATTTACTCACCAATCACTCACTCTCCAGAATAACTTCCATTCCTGAAAGTTTCATTCATGGTAAGTGCTCTATACAACTGTATAGAACATTTTTTAAAACAATTTTTTACCTTTTATACTGTATTCTTACTATGCTTTGTCTATGTTTAGATATGTTTAGAAACACAAATACTTAGCATTATTTTGCAGTTGCCTCCAGTAGTAAGTATAGCAACATGCCATACATGTTTGAAGCCTAGGAGCAATAGGCTATGCAATGTAGCCTAGATGTGTATGCAGTAGGCAATACCCTTTAGGTTTGTGTAAGTATACTCCGCGATGTTCACACAATGAACAATGCCTAACGGTGCATTTCTCAGAATATATTTCCATCATTAAATGATGCGTAACGGTACTTATAATATTAACTTTCATGAAACTACTTGTATTTATTGTTCATTAATTTTGTATTAGGAACTGTGCATAGCACCCGTTGAAATATCTCACTTAGTCTTTATTAAAATCATTTGATGTAAGTAGTACTATTATTCCAATTTACAATATGAGAAAACTTAGAAAAGAGAAGTAGGATATCTTGTTCAACACCAAATCGTGAAGTAGCAAAGGTTGTACTAAAGTTCAGGTTTGACTGATCTCAGTCTATACTCTTAACCGTCCTTAAGCGAATGATGAATTATGTACTTAAATTAAACTATTTTAATAAAATATTTTTTCTTCTTGATTGTTTCTTATGAAAATATAACCATTTGTCATTTCATTAAAAATATATCACTGATGATGATATGTCGGGTACATTGAGCACCAATTAATGAAGACCAGTATAGTGTTAAGACTTTCAACTAATATTCTGTGTCCTGGGAATTTAACAGAAGATCTGATAAAGCCATAAAATATGTCTAACTCTAATAATGGGCTAAACATAGAATAACCTTTAGAAAATTTTCAGGAAGTGACATACCACCTCAATACATCAGATTTCTAAGAAACAGGTAGGAATCGGGAAATGAAACTTCCTTCTAAGTTTGTTGTAGCAAAATTTCTAGTATTCAACCCCACAGACTGCTATGTGTGACACACTTGCCTTGAAAATAATGCAAGAAGTTTAATACTTTCTTGTTCTACTGGGTCCTAAAGAGCGTTTTCTTTAAAAAGCAACATTTGCTAATACAAGATTAACGCGTTAAAAAAATAGGAATCCTCTGAGGTGATAAGGATGAACTTGATAATACCAAGAAATTACTGATAGTGATTCCCCATACTGATTAGCCTTACAGTCATCTCTGACCATCATAGTTCTGTACCAGTTATTTGTAGCATATAAATTCCAGACACTACCATTTCTGGTTTTGCATTTACCTGAGTTGAGCTTAAGAAATCTGTAGACAGCAACTTGAACAAAGGTGTCATGACTACACTGTGTCACCCCCAAGCAAACTAAAAAACAAAAAGTTCAGAGTAATAAGTATGCCCTAAAGCTGATTTTTATAAAATACTTGCAAAGTGTTTTGCTAGGATTTTCATCTATCTTAAACACTAGGAGTCCATACTGTGAAAACTGCTAAAGGTGGGACGTCTCAATATTTGCACTGGTTGTCTCCATGGAAGCTTTTAAGAGTTTCTACAAGACGAAAGAGAAAGTGGAATTCTCAGTGCAAAAGAAGTAAAGTGCAACTGCTCTTTAATTAGCCTTGCAGTTGTTCCTCCTAGTGTTACGTGATACTAGAATCAATAGAAGCATAAGCTAGTCCCTGTAGCCACTTTCTCCTCTTCCTCCTTGTCATCCTCTTCTTCCTCTTCGTCTTTCTCTTTTGCCTTTTCCTTCTTTTTTATTCATGCAAATATTACTATCATTGCTTTGCTTTGAGAATTATCATCTTTGCTTTGAGAATATGAGAACTAACCACAAAGGAGACAGTAATCTTCTCTGGCCACTGTATGTGCTAAAGAGGAAACATTTTCTATTTCTCCACTCATTGGTGTAATACAGAGAGATCACTGCAAAACACTTCTTTTCATACTCTCCAAACAATAGTTGGGGCCTTCAGTGGTCTGCTGGAAAGGTGCACTCTACACCATGACAAGAGCTTGAAAACTGCAGCAGATACCAGCCTTCCTAAAAAAAGTAGTTTTCATAGCATTTAGAAACCTTTAGAGCAATTTGGCATTTCTGTGACATCCAAGTATGTGATCATTTTTCTAGTAGTTCACTTTTATTATATCTGACAAAAAATATTAGTCCCTAAGGATGAGAAAAAAATAAAGTGTTCCTTCACTACAGATGGTTTGAGAAGCACTGATCTGGAGCCTCAAAGCCACATACTGACCTACATATTTGGGTCCTTCACAGCTACTAACTGCAGTACATCCCGTGGGAGGATGGAGATAGTCAAGGGGGACAGCTTTTAATTTTATTGGAAGGAAAACTGAGGTTGAACTTACTCATTTCCCTTGTCCAACTTGTCTGTATAGTTTTTCATGGGAATGTGTATTGTAGGGCAGAATAAACTTGTCTTCTGAAAATAGATGGTTAAGTTATATTAGTTTTGTGATTTAAGATGAACCAGCATGATGGGGATAGGTAGCAGGTAACAGGAGATGGGTGATGTTAATGTATAAAGGTAGGAGTGATGCACATTTGATAGTCAGTTCTTGAAATTTAAAAAGGTTTAACTGTTTGCAAATATTCTCCCTAAATTAGTTCTTCCAGAATTATTAGAAGTGACCAGAATAAAAGGAGGAGCTGTTGTGCGAGAGTTACTGACAAAATGTAAGCATTCTGAACTCAGATATATCTCGGATTTTAGTCAAAGTTTATTGCAAGATTTATAGAAAAAATACTAGCTGTTATACAAGTATACATCAACACTAGTGTGACCTCAGAGAATAAACATAAATATTTCAAAATTTATCCTAGAAATCACCAAAGTATTAAATACTTTGTCATTTGGAATCATTATGTCATATATCTTTAGTTCGATTTTAATAGAATCCAGTGTAAAGAAACCAAACGTTTTATAGGTAGATAGATAGATAGATAGATAGATAGATAGGTAGATAGAATATATATATATGTGTATATACATATGTGTATATATATACACACACATATACAACCTCATGGGAGACACTAGCTGTCAAATTTGACATTTGCCACCTGGATGGAGTACAGTAGAGTCAAAGACAAGAGAGTTAAGTCAAAAGACAACTGCCGTCGTGTGTGCCAAAAACTTTGTTTAAACACTTTTGTTCTTTTTTTCCGTATTAGAGATGATAATTTTTTCTTAGAAGTCCTTTTCCTAAGCAAAAGGATTAAAATTGATAGGTGTTTAGTTTCTCATGGGAAATGCTTTTAAAATAACAGGGTCATCTCAGAGGATTGCGTTAGTCAAATATAAAACAATATAAACTTCTTGAATGAAAGTCGCGAAAGTCCTATCAAAGAGAGCTGTTTGTTAGGTCCCCTAAGTCTAAATTAGAAGATGGAACTGATCCTTGTAACTGAGATTAGAAGTAAATTTTTAAAAGCAAACTCTTGTGCTAAAGAAGGAACAATTTTAAAAGAACATCCAGTTCTCTAATTCTTGACAAGTGTGGCTCATTTTCACTTGCTTTAGATGGATGCTTTATAGGTTACAAATGATTTTACTCCTCAGAGACTTTTCAAAATACATGTGGACTCCATTATGCTATAGGCCTCCTCCCCACTCCATTAAAAGAAAAAGAGAATAACTAAAACCTTAACAGTGACACGCTGAAAGGTATGATCAGTTATGAAGCATTTTTGTTTAAAACTATCTAAACTAGCTGCTCAGCCCCAAATGGTAGGTGACTGTTTGTTTGATTGTTTGGTTTTCTTTTTCCTCTCAGCAGGGCATCCCAAGTCTTAATTTGCAAATCTCAGTCTTTGATTTTCAGAGGACATGGTATAACTTACAAGACCTGTTTAGCAGTGGGTCACTAAATATTTTCAAATTAATGTGGATAGATATGTATAAAAAATCAATTTTCAAAGAAAAATTAAAAATGATATGTGAATATGAACTTAAATTTTAAAGCATCATTATGTTATTTTAAAACCTCACATTTATTTCATATTAGTGAGTAAATCTTACGCCAGAAATGGATTTTCTGATCTTGTTTGGAACCTTATTTCTGTTAAGCTTTACACCTTCATAATCCCTTCTTGTCAATTCCCCTTGTTTTGCCAAGAATTTAGGAGCTTATGACATCAAAATAAATAGCCTGCAGAATTGAATAAAACTTAATAAAAATTTGAGTCTGTTTAAGGGCAGACAATGCCACAGCATAGGAAGATGATCCAACAGAACGTTCATAAAGAGGAATAATTTGCCACCTTTGAAAATTAGTTTGAGATTTATTACTTAAAGTCTAATCTAAATAAGAGTATGACATTTTTAACAAAATATTTAAATCACTGTATACAAATCTTCATTACTTCAAATGCTTCCAATCCTCTGGCCATACCACTTAAGCTTCCTTTTGCCACAGAATCTGGTTTGAAGTAGTCTCTCTTGGTTTTCCTTCAGTTCTCCTTGAGAGTAGAAGCAGAAGAAAAAATGACATTAATGAGGAAGGCGAGTAAGTAGTTGGAAAATGATAATCCTGTTAAGAGCAGTTTGACATAGGCTGGAGTGCAGTGGCACAATCTCCACTAACTGCAACCTCTGCCTCCCAGGTTCAAGCGATTCTCCTGCCTCAGCCTCTTGAATAGCTGGGATTACAGGCGCTCACCACGGTGCCCGGCTAATTTTTGTATTTTTAGTAGAGATGGGGTCTCACCGTGTTGACCAGGATGGTCTCGATTTCCTGGCCTCGTGATCCTCCTGCCTCGGCCTCCCAAAGTGCTGGCATCACAGGCGTGAGCCACCGTGCCCAGCCTGTAAGGATAAACATTCAAGTCTTGCTCTACCTTTAGGAAGGGTCCAGAGTAGAGTCAAGGAATAGACTACTTACCGCAGAATCTAACCTCTCATTGGGAAAGTATATGCTATTGTGCTGTGGATACAAGGTTCAGACAGTAAAGGAGGAGACGAAAGCACTAGTGATGGGGAAGATGGAATTATGCAGGTTTATAATCACAATTTCCACAGTCTTGACATGCCTTCAAGGTTTCTACTTGATTTAAACACTAGATCACTCTAGATGGAAAATATTAAATTTTTTGTCAAACTTGCTATGATTTATTTTAGTATGTAGATACAGTCATGCTTCTGCAAGCTCATGTTAAAGATTTATCTTGTTTAAAACATAACAAAATGAACAAAAGAGGGGTTAAACTATACCCATCCGATCAATGCTGAACAAAAACTACAACCACAAACATTCTTATCAGATCATTTTTTTCCTAAGAAAAGACTTATTTATTTACATTACCTTTTAAGCTAGAATAGCCGTCGTAATTCTCGACCAAATATGTTGGTCTTTTTTTCTTAACCTCTTCTCACTGCTATTGTCAAAACTGGCTGTAATCTCATGCAGATGAGATATTGATCTGTTGCCGATGTTCACTGAGCAGCCAAAGGGGAATCACATTACCAGCTACAAACTCCATCAATCATAGTCTCCTTAATAACCGCACTTAAACGATCTCTCTTGGCATTAGCTTATATTGCACCCATGGCTGGCATCCAGACTTGAGAAAGAAAAAGGCTCATTTTGAAGGGCAGATTTGAGGCCACTATAGATGATTTAAATAAAAGGTCTTAGACTTTCCCTAGAACAACAGGGGTTATTACATTAGTTAATTTAATCCAATTAATTTTTTTCGGGTCTACAGAAATGGAGTAAAAGATGTGTGGATTTGTTAATAAATATGGGATTATGTCCTTGACACTCAAATTAAATACTTATAAGTGAAGCTTAAAAGCCTGCATGGAACCTGAGGACATGCATTTGGATTGCATCCTCCGTGTTAAATCTACTTCCTTTTGTCTCTGCTTCTTCCTCCCCCTACACACAGATATTTGAAAAGTCACTACAAAGTAAAAACAGGAAAAAGAGGAGGCAGAAAAAAGATAGGGGTGTAATAAAGCAATAATGATAGCTAAAAACACAATCTATCATAATTACTGCTGCGGGAACTAACAAACTGTTAGCACGTGCTCCTGTCATATTGTCAACTCAGCTGTTCTACTTCACTATTGGCAGCCATGACAGAACAGGAAATCAGACGGAGGGTGTAGCAAACATAAAAAAAGACACCTCGTTTTGACTACATACTTTATTTGGCTCTCTTGTAGTCTAAGGATGCCATGAATTTGGAAACAAGCCCGGTAGGAACAACTATTCTTCCTGTCCAATACCACTCTAACCCCCAACCTAACATTTTTTTTTAAACTGCATTTGTTTCCTTCCAGAATACTTAATTGGGTTCACAAATTAGCCTATTCTCAAACTTCAGTGGACCAAAAGGCTTCTTTGCATAGCTGATTACAATACAGAGTCTTAGGCTTTCTCTCTATGCTGATTCAGCTGGTATTAGTGAGGTGAGGCCCAGGATAGGGCATTTGTAACAAGTTCCAGAGAGGGGTTACTGATGCGTTGTAAAAAAATTATACAAGCAGTTTGGGTCAAGAATGGGCATATTGCATTTTAAATGTTAGTGTGACTTGAATTTCATCCAGAAGCTGTTAAATCTTGATTGCTTCAGCAGAAAAGGAAACAGAATAGTGATTTGATTTTCTCCATGTAAAATCTTATATGATATTAATTGCAACTCAGTAAAAACTAAGCCTAGAACCATAAAAACTATGAATCAATGAAAAAAAAATCAGAACAAATTTCTGATTCTACCCTAAACTAGAGCCTCTTTTTATGTATGTGTGTGTGATGTGGGATGCTAGTGTTTGCATCTAACCTAGCCCAGTGATGAGCGAAGTAGCGTTTCAACTCAACTACCTCCTTCCAAAACACACACAACAAAATATTTATACATTTTTTTAAAACAAGCTTACCAGATGTCAAATATTAGTTAACACCGAATGCCCCAAATTGTGTTTATAGGACACCAATTCACAAAAATCCTTTTCTAATGTTATTTACCCTATATTAAATATCACAAGAAAGTACTTCTCTGGGGAAAAAATTAAGATGTGTTTTTCTAACTTACTGATGTTTACTCATATCGAAACTGAAAAAAGTTTCAAAATGTGTCTTTAGGAGAAAAAAGATATATTTACAAGTATATAATGGTATTAAATTGAAATTTACAATTTAGAACATGAAATTATATAAATGTACCATATATTATATATCAAATACAATTTATATGATAGAATATTTGTAAATTGTTACTCTCTTATTAATACACAAAAAAGGTTAATACTAAGTATTCAAAAATGTTAAATATTAAACCATAAAGGATGTTTAAGGACACGTATTTTTCCTCTTACATTTTCTGGGTACATAATTCATTATAAAAAATGGAAAAGAAAAATATAACAAGGCATCTCTAAATATTTGCTATATCCAGGTTCTTTCTGTAACAACCTCAGTATTGCTATAATGTGCTGTAGCATATTTGGCCACATATTTTCCTCCATGCAGATGATAATGTGAAATTAATGTGCTTTTATTTTAGTTGACAATATGTTTGTCATTATTTCTGGTGTGTGTGTATGTATATGTATGTATATGTGTGTGTGTACATGTGAGTGTACCTTCACTGTCCTTCTTAACATAACCTTGAAAGCCAGCATTGTGTGTATAATCCAAGTCCCTTAACATTGGATTCGATTTGCCCACACTTTCTCACATCAAAAGTTCCTCTCACCTTCTCTGCTGTTTGAATTCTACTGATACTTTGAAGTCTTTATCAATTCTATTCTATTCCAAGAAGATCTCCTCAAGAATTTTACAATCTTCATCCAATTTTATTAGTCTTATTGGTATTTGATTATATTGAAAGTGTTATTTTTGTTTAAATGTGTTCTCTTAATGAAATTATTTATTTTTAAAGAAACATTAAATACTTTCATGCACTTAATATTTGCTTTGTTACATAATTCACACTTGATATATGGCCACCTCTTACCATTTATAATTCAGTATACATATTTAGTGAATAAAAATGAAATTGAAATTTGTAGTGTATAATAAACTTTACAGGCTAGTATTTGGCATGGCCTCATGTTTAAGAACACACACTCTGAAATCATACTTTTGAGTACTAAAACTACGTATTGGATTTACAAGCATCCTGATCTTAGGCTAGTTATTTATCCTCCCTATGCTTTATTTTTCTCATCTGGAAAATCAGATGACGATTGTGTGGAGAAGAAATATGAGGCGAGGCATGATGGCTCGCGCCTGTAATTCTAGCACTTTGGGAGGTCGAGGCGGGTGGATCACCTGAGGTCAGGAGTTTGAGATCAGCCTGACCGACATGGCGAAAACCCATCTCTACTGAAAATACAAAATGAGCCGGGTGTTGTGGCACGTGCCTGTAATCCTAGTTGCTCAGGAGGCTGAGGCAGGAGAATCACTGGAACCCAGGAGGCGGAGGTTGCAGTGAACCAAGATCACACCAGCCTGCACTCCAGCCTGGGCAACAAGAACAAAACGCTGTCTCAAAAAAAAAAAAAAAAAAAGAAAAAAAAAGAAAGAAAAGAAAAGAAAAAAGAAATATGAACCAGGTAAAACACTTAGAAAAATAACTAGTATTCATTGTAGACTGAATCCATGTTATGTGGCATTGCAAGTTAGATTTCTTGGGAGTGAGATTGCAGGAGAAATTAGACTGTAATGGTCTCAATTGGCTACAGGGAACTACAAAGCGAAGATGAATTTTTACAGTTGTCTTGCATTGCAACGAGGGGGTTATGCCTTTTTACTTTCTCATTGATTTGTTATTAGGCTTAGGCTTCCCGGGAAAGGGGACACAACCTTATGGTAGGCAATTCTCTTCTGGCCAGGACAGAGTGCTGCAAGATGGTCATCCAACAGAACTCCCAGGAGCCAAATAAATAGCTCCTTTAGGTGTGAAGAGGAATCTGGTGGGAGTGGGAGGTAGGAAGGGGCCGCATCGTGGCATTCACTTCACCTATTATTATTTTTGTTGCTGTTCAAATTTTTTAAAAAGGTTGTGATCAGTTTTCTAAAGATTTTAGCAGTAACTGTGAACAGTAAGAACAAAAAAAGAGTTCCAATTTTCTTTCCCTGTTTTTATACCCCTTCCATTTGGTACTGATGTTCTCTGTTTCCTCCTTCTATAAATGTTATGAGTGTGTAAGAAATCATACATAGTTTTATTCTGGACTATGGTTTCAGCATATTTACTCAGCAGGGATTTTTTTGTTTTGCATATTATTTAGGGTTACTTTTTTCAGCAATCATAAAAATTATAGTTTGGGGAGTTATTTTGGAGGAATTTGTATTTTTCATATGGAGAGATGGCCATAATTTTTATGAGACCAAAGTCAACATTATCACTTCAAACAAGTTGGCTTTTTATAGAGGTCAAACATATTCAGTGCACTTGAGAATAAAAATTTAACAGGACTTAGAAATGCTCTATTTAAAGTACTATACAACTAAAATACTATCAACTATTTTTGATAATTATGTTATCAAAAATCTGAGATAAAATATCCTATAAAATATTTTGAAGGGTTGATAACTAAAATTTGAATCAGGATTTTATTGTTTACATTCAAGATTATGTGGCATAGCTCATAATAGTATTTCAGTCTCAAGCTGCTATTCAAATCAAGAACTATAATATATAATCCACGTATCTGTGATATTTAGAAATCCAACCTTTCCTTGTTTCTGCTTTAAAAAATTTTTTTTCTAAGCCTAGTTCCTTTTTAAACAATATTTGCACATACACATACATACATCTATACACACCTGTACATTTACACACAAACCTAGAGAAGAGTGACTATCATTTAGTTTTTTAAAAAGGAAGGTGGAAATTTTATTTATTTAATTCTGTTCAGTATTTTAATATCTCTTCATTGTTACAATTAAGTCAATGTTAGTAGATCAGTCTAGTTCTGTTCCTTTCATACATATAAAAATAACAACATACATGACAAATACAGTAAAGATTAAAACCGTTTTCTGAAATAATCAGTTTCTTTCCACCCCTCCCCCACCCCACCCCATTCCCCTATAATAAGTTTGGTAGAAAAGTTAGGCTTACATGACTGACTGTCTTTTGTGTAGAAATTGGTCTTAAAGGTACTTAGGGAATGGTTTTTAAAGAAACAAAGACCTCAGATAAAATTTCAACTGTCACTTCCCAGCTTTTGACTTTAAGGAGGTTAATTCTTTTTGGCATTTGTTTCTTCATCTATAAAATGGGGACAATATCCAGTTTACCAACCTCACAGGGGTTACAAGAGGCTTAAATAAAATGATGTCCATGAAGGACTTGGCACATTTTTTGCTACAGAAATTTTAGAATAAATAATAGAGGATTGGTGGCTTCCATTTTACCAATGCAGATACATAACATTAATACAACTTGAACCCACAGAACTTTCTGTACATTCACTGTTAGAAATAATTGAGTGATATTGACACTCAATTACGTTGGGTAAACATGTTCCATTCTTAGCGTTTCTCCACAGAAACAAGGGATAGGGGAATAGAAGTTTCATGTGATAGGAATTGGACTTTTATTTTATGTTTATATTTCTCTTTAAATACATTAAACAAGGATGAAATACCAAGTATAGCCAGTGAAGTCCATTGGATTATAAATATAAATGTATATAAATATAAATGTCTTACGCACAGTCATAGACATTATCCTAAAATGTATAATTATATAGGTAAATTAAGACATCTGTGGTCACATGTTAAAACAGGTGAAGGACATGAAATTGTGTTGCTTGAATACAAATGCATTTGTGAGAGAAAAGCACTCCATGGAATAATGGACAATTTAATCCAGCATTCTACCTAGGTAAACCCCGTGTTTCACCTCTCGTGAAACCATCAAATCAAAGAAACCTCTTATTGTATAAACTCAAAACCATTTTGAACCCTACAAAATTGAATAACCCACACTTCTTTTTCTTTTAATTTACATACGCGCACAATAGTCTCTTTCGTATTTCAATGTATTGATTTGGTATAATGAAGTTGCCCAGTCATCATTATTAACATTTTATATTTCAAACATCTTCATGTCATATAAGAGAAATAGTCAGGTATTGTTTGAATTCACTTTCCCCCCTTTTCCTTTGCTGGTGAACATTTTAAGTAACATTTTCTACAGCAGTTCTGCAGTAGGAAACTTAATAGATATGCTGTTTCCATAACAACAAATAGGATTTGAGCAAAAACACAATGCTCAGTGGTTATTGTTCCTCACAGCAGGTAAAAGCAGTTATTCAAAATTACAAGCAGCATGATATTGAAAAAAAAATAAATTAAAGCAAGGGGTGCTAAGAGTTCTGTTCCATATTTAGTAAATGTTTAACTCATTAATGTTTGAGGGGGCAGTTGTAGGATCCCACTCTATGCAGTATTTCCCCTCAAATCATGACCTAAAAATGAAGACTAGGCATGGACATTCATTTTTTTGATATTAAGAGTCTTGTGAATCAGGAAGGCACTGATAATGACAAGGTAGAATATTTGCTAAATTGGCTAGCTGATTATATTAAATAAGTATTTATGTATATTTCTAGTTGTTGTGGGTAAAAATATTTACCTATTTCCAAAATTATTCTTCATTTAGTTTATTTAAAATTAAGTATGTATCTATTAAATGGAAAATTTCCTGAAGAAGTACCAAGGCATTGTAGAGTAAGGTAAGAAACATAATGTCATCTAAAGGACTATAGAGTTTTCAGAGATTCCTTCAGGAACCCCTTCCTACTCCAGGATTCTTTATTCTGGCTCCTCTGTTTTATCATTTTTGGAAATGTGCGCCCTTTGAGTATTTGTAGGTTCATTTGCACAGGCAGAAAAATAAGATTTTATATTAAATTTAGAGGAATATTCAAATAAAATATAATTTTAATGTTACATTATAGTAAAAATATTAGAGTAGAATATTTTACAATATAAAATTCACAGGAAAGACTTCACAACGTGTGTAGGAAAGGACTTTATGTGTAGCAAATTGAGACAGCATCTCCTTTAAGAAATCCCTTTGTTTATCATTTCTAAGGAATGGAGATTTAGCCCTATGACTAATTTAAAGAAATCAGATTTACTGCTTCTCAATATGTGCCTTTCCATTTATAGACATCTCTAATTGGCAGTTCTTTCTCACTCGGAATAAGATAGCTAATAAGGAAACTAAAATCTTTTTCCTTATGTAATCTATCTACTAGTAAAGATAGGTATTTTTAGTCCAGGCTCTGTCCCTCGTTCTGCTTACTTACTGGAGCTTAAGGTACAACTGTCTATATGCCAGTTGCTGTGTGTAATTTATGAAGTGATCTATGCATTGTTCAGTTTAATACCACCTCTCTCCTCGTACTTTTCACACTATTTATTTTGGGGCCTGGATAAGGGAGAATTGGTGTGTGTGTGTGTGTGTGTGTGTGTCTGTGTGCACACAAGCACATGCATAGATAGATATTTAGGTTGCCTCCAATCTTGGCTATTGTAAACAACACTGCAACAAACATAGGAGTGCAGATATCTCCTCAATATACTGATTTCCTTTCTTTGGGGCATCTACCCAGCAGTAGGATTGCTGGATCATAAGGTAACTCAATTTTTAGTTTTTTGAGGAAACTTCAAACTGTTATTCATAGCAATAGTTATAATTTATTAAGTAATTATGCACCAGACACTGTTCAGCATTTTTATATGCATTATGTCATTTGAACTTCATGACTACCCTATTGTTAAAGATGAAGCAAGTGAGGCACAGTGGTGAAGTAACACATTTAAGGTCACCGTGCCAGCTGGGAACTGGCAGGTCTGGGGTTCAAATCCAGTTGGGTCTAAGTCCTGAACCTGACCTCTTCACTATCTCACAGGTGGTTGTCCATGTTTGAATCAAAGTCTGAAGGATGGCATTTGTTTTAGATTTCTGAAGCTTTTTTTTTTTTAAATTTATATGGGTACATAGTAGGTATATATATTTATGGGATATATGATATATTTTGATACAGGCATGCAATATTAAATAAGCACATCATGGAGGATAAGGTATCCATCCCCTCAAGCATTTCTCATTTGTATTACAAACAATCTAGTTACACTCTCTAAGTTATTTTTCAATAGTCACCCTATTCTGCTGTCGAATAGTAGGTCTCATTCATTCCTTCTATTTTTTTGTACCCTTTGACTATCCTCACCTTCTCCCCAGGCCCCTACTACCCTTCCCTGCCTCTGGTAACTATCCTTCTACTCTCTATGCCCATGAGTTCAATTGTCATGATTTTTAGACCCCATAAATAAGTGGAGAACATGCGATATTTGTATTTCTGTGCCTGGCTTATTTCACTTAAAATTAACGATCTCCAGTTCCAATCATGTTGCTGCAAATGACTGGATCCCATTCTTTTTCTGTGGCTGAATAGTACTTCATTGTGCATAGGTACCGCATTCTCTTTATCCATTCATCTGTTGATGGACATGTAGGTTACTTCCAAATCTTGGCTATTGTGAACAGTGCTGCAACAAACGTGGGCATGCAGATATCTCTTCAATATGCTGATTTCCTTTCTTTTGGGAATATACCCAGCAGTGGGGTTGCTGAATCACATGGCAGCTCAATTTTTGTTCTCCATAGTTTTGTACTAATTTACATTCCCACTAAGAGTGTACGAGGATTCTCTTTTTGCCGCGTCTTTGTCAGCATTTGTTATTGCCTGTCTTTTGAATATAAGCCATTTTAACTGGGATGAGAGATGATATCTCATTGTAGTTTTGATTTGCATTTTTCTGATGAGCAGTGATGTGCCCGTTTGCCATTGTTTTTCTTCTTTTGAGAAAAGTCTATTCATATCGTTTACCCATTTTTTCATTGGATTATTAGATTTTTTCCCATTGAATTGACCTCCTTATATATTCTGGCTATTAATTCCTTGTCAGATGGGTAGTTTGCAAATATTTTCTTTCACTCTGTGGGTTGTGTCTTCACTTTGTTGACTGTATCCTTTGCTGTGCAAAAACCTTTTAACGTATTGTGATCCCATTTGCCCATTTTTGCATTGGTTGCCTATGCTTATGGGGTATTGCTTAAGAAATTGTTGTCCGTCCATGTCATGGAGATTTTCCCCAATATTTTCTTGTAGTTGTTTCAGAGTTTGAGCTTTTAGATTTAAGTATTTAATCCATTTTGATTTTGTTTTTGTATATGGCAAGGAATGGGGTCTAGTTTTATTCTTTTTCATGTGAACATCCAGTTTTTCCAGCACCATTTTTTTATACATTTACACATTATACATTTACAGAATGTATTTTCCCCAATGTGTGCTCTTGGCACCATTGTCAAAAATTAGTTCACTGTACATGTATGAATTTGTTTCTGGGTTCCTTATTCTGTTCCTGTGGTTTATGTGTCTGTTTTTATGCCAGTACCCTGCTGTTTTGGTTACCATAGCTCTGTAGTATAATTTGAAGTAAGGTAATATAATTCCTCTAGTTTTGCTCTTTGTGCTTGGGATAGCTTTGGCTATAGCTTTAGGTATTTTGTGTTTCCATATACATTTTAGGATTTTTTTCTAGTTCTGTGATGAATGTCATTGGTGTTTTGATAGGGATTGCATCAAATCTGTATATTGCTTTGGGTAGTATGAACATTTTTAAAATATTGATTCTTTCAATCCATGAACATGTAATATTTTTCCATTTTGTGGTGTCCTCTTCAATTTCTTTCATCAGTATTTTATAGTTTTCATTATGAAGAACTTTCACTTCTTTGGTTAAGTTAATTCATAGATATTTAATTTTATGTGTGGCTCTTTTAAATGGGATTACTTTTGAATTTCTTTTCACACTATTCACGTTGGCATGTAGAAATGCTACTGATTTTTGTACATTGATTTTGTGTCTTGCAACTTTATTGAATTCATTTATCAGTTTTAATAGTTTTTTGGTGGAGTTTTCAGGTTTTTTCAAACATAAGATTGTATCACTTGCAAACAATGGTAATTGTACTTATTCCTTTCCAATTTGGATGCACTGTATATCTTTCTCTTTTCTGATTGCCCTAGCTAGGACTTCCAGTACTATGCTGAATTACAGTGGTGACAGTGGGCAATCTTATCGTGTTCCAGATCTTAGTGGAAAAGCTTTCTGTTTTTTCCCATTCAGTATGATACTAGCTGTCGATTTGTCATATATGGCTTTTATCATGTTGAGATATGTTCCTCCTATTTCCAGTTTTTTGAGGGTTCTTATCGTGAATGAATGTTGAATGTTATCAAATGCTTTTTCAGCAGCAATTGACACGATTTTTTTTATCCTTCATTCTGCTGATACGATGTATCACATTGTTTGATGTATATATGTTGAACCATCCTTGCATCCTAGGGATACATTTCATTTGGAGGATAGTGTTTGTTTCCTCTCTTCTTCACTAAACTGATTTCTTTTAAAGTATGGATTGGGATCTTTTTATTTTTACATTTGTGGAGCACACCATTCTCCTTGCTTACCGAAAGCACTCAATGGCTTACTTGCTGTTGAATGCAGTGAGTGGAAAATGATGAGGGATGAGGTCAGAACTCAAGATGAACAGAGAAATGGATCCATTCTAAAACCACTGTGGTTGGGAGAATTCTGAAACTGTCCTCAGGATTTCTATTCCTTGGCATCCACAACTCTGTATAATCTCCTCCCCTTCGGTGCAGACAGAACCTGGCTTCTGACCAATAAAATTTGGCAAAGGTGAAGGAAATTTGCAGAAGTAATTCAGTTCTGTATAGGTCAACTTTGAAGTAATCAAAGAGAGATTATCCTGGGTCAGCCCAGCCTCATAAGGTGAGTCGTATAAAAGA
This sequence comes from Homo sapiens, assembly GCF_000001405.40. Classification (NCBI taxonomy): domain Eukaryota; kingdom Metazoa; phylum Chordata; class Mammalia; order Primates; family Hominidae; genus Homo; species Homo sapiens. Next base: position 104,601,816 of record NC_000005.10, on the reverse strand, counting down.
GGATCCAGACCTCTGTGGCACTTATAAAGAATAAATTATAAAACTGAATTCAATTGACAAATAGCTGTAAATCACTTTGGGAAAAAAGTACATAAGCCATTATAAAATGTAACATGGAAGATTGGTATTTCACATCACTATCAATTCCTAATATTTTTACAAATGTTAAGTACTAATGTTATATATAGGACTTTCATTGAAAACAATTGTATTTCTTTCTCCCCTCCTATTTTTCTATTTCCTACCATGCATTTATCCAAAACTATGTTTGTTCAATAGCCACTTTCTTTCTTTCTTTTTTTTTTTTTTTGAAACGGAGTCTTGCTCTGTAGCCCAGGCTAGAGTACAGTGGTGCAATCTTGGCTCACTGCAACCTCCGCCTCCCAGGTTCAAACAATTCCTCTGCCACAGCCTCCCGAGTAGCTGGGATTACAGGCGCCTGCCACCACAGCTGGCTAATTTTTTGTATTCTTAGTGGAGACAGGTTTTCTCCATATTAGCCGGGATGGTCTCGATCTCCTGACCTCGTGATCTGCCCTCCTTGGCCTCCCAGAGTGCTGGGATTACAGGTGTGAGCCACCATGCCCGGCCTATCGTCACTTTATTTCTTAAAAATTTGCTGGATTTTTGGGCAGTCAAAATGAGTTTTAAAAAGAGGCTATTAATGAATGTAAGTACACAGTTTGATATAAGAAGTAAGACCTCATATTGATAGATCTGTAGGGTGACTATAGTTTACAATAATCTATTGCATACTTTAAAATAGCTAGAAGAGAATAATTTGAATGTCTCTAGCATAAAAAAGACAAATATTTAAGGTAATGGTTATCCCACTTATATAAATTTGATCTTTACAAATTATGTGAATATATTAGATTATCACATGTACCCCCAAAATATGTACATCTAGTATGTTTCAATAAAAATAATATTAAAAATAGAGTTAAAAGATAGCACCACTACAGGATTTAATTGAACCAAATATACAATATTGTAGAGGTATGAATATCCAAAGAATGGCACCCAAACTGAGAATTCACCAATAATCAAGAAGACCCAGACCAAATAAATTATTGTAACTGTTATGGTATCTAAGACTTCATTCTAGTCAACTACACATTGGAGGAAATAAGAACTTTATTTTAAATCTCTAATCAAAAGGCACCTCTTATGTACCCTGTAGCTGTGTAACCCTGAGATATGATGTTATCCACAGTAATTTTTGATAAGCTAATTTTTATAGCAATTACTTTAGTATACTATGAAAATAAGGTTTAAATGATAGTTCGATACAAATTAAAGGGGCAAATTCAATTAGTATTCATTTGAATACATGTGCTAAACTTTGCTTGTTAAATAATGAATTTGTAGTGTCTATTTTTTACTTTTTTTCAAGTGTGGGCAAGGTTATTCACACCAATTTATTCACAGATGGGCTATTCACAGAATATTGTAAGAAAGGGGCACATTGCCAAAACTCAAATAAATTCACATAAAATAAAAATGAAAATTCTTAAATAAGAGGCTAATCTATGATAAAAATTCTGACCAATTCTATCATTTTCTCATTGTGACAAGTCATACACTTTTCGTCAAAACAAGGAACAATGTGGCCTCCAATGGCTATCATCACTTATAAATTCTTTGTGCCTTGTTTATGAAGCAAACTGCTGTATATTCAAGCATTATAACAGTGTGCATACCCCTGAAAACAAGCTCAGTATGGAGGTTTCATAATTGTACCCGAGAAGATAATTAGGCAATTAGAGCTATTAAAAGTTGACAAAGCACCAAGCCTGAATGAATTATATTCCTGCTTTCTAAGAGGAGAAGTAGGGGAAAATAAAAAGACCTCCAGTCAATCTGTTCAATATCCTTCTGAGGAAGAAAGTCGTGCCCAGAGGGCAAAAGATGGGAGGTGTGACTTCTCTACTGCCACCCCCAGGATTCAAGAAGGGATCAGGAGAGGATTTGTTGGAGATGTGAAAGTCTCATATCATTTGCACAGATTATACTGAACACATTAATAAGGTGAAATTAACTTTGCAAAATATGTAATTGGGTAAAAACATGAGATGAAAATAAAACAATGGAACTAATGATTTAATTTCTGAAAAGCAGCTGATGCCTTGGCTCACACCAAACATGCGTCTGAAGCCAGCTAAGAAGATTATTAAAAAGACTGCATTTTAAATATGTGAGAAACACAACAGATTAAATTGAGTTTTGTAAGTGAATAATACAAACTAGGAAGAGGGGCAACCCTAGTAGCCCTTGCTCCCTGATCTACTTGTTAAGTTCCCAGTGATCTTATGTGACGTAAAATTATTGCAGTTTCCCAAATTGACAAACATAATTGCTGAGACTGATGAAAGAGAATATTGGGATGCTGCCTTGGAGTCTGTTGGAAAGTACTTAGAAGTTGACAGATGGTGCATACATTTGGAGGTTGAGAAGGGTGAGAAGGTAATGAGACTGGGGACCAAAAACAATTACAGTGTCTTAAGCCTCAAATGCAGCATAATTGTGGCTGTAGAGTAGGCAAAACAATTGAGTTTAATGTATTCATAATGTTTGTCAGAAGTTCAAGAAACAAAACCTGGAGGTGTAGAGTCTGAAAGCATAAGTCAAATGATTGCAGAACACTCTCCTCATTCAGTCATTAGAAAATTCAGGCAATAAATATTTATTGATGCAAAATGAATGAAAGGGTGCCATTGATGATTTTGTATACATGACATGAACAAACATCAGCATGTATTGAACAAAAGAAAGTGGAAATCACCAAATATTAAGTTCTATTTGAACATGATTTTAGAAGATAATGAAATTGAAATAATAATACTGAAGGTTTGGGTGATAGGATAAAGAATAAACTTGGCCTGGATATGGATGGAGGTCAGTTTTGAAGGCCTGTAAAAATAAGTATCAATAAGACATTGATTAATTGATACTGGAAAACTGTAAAAAGGGTATAATAATTTCTAATACAATATTTGAGCTAATATTGACAGTGGGGAAATTGTAAATGGAGGAAGGTGAAATAATCTGACTTTGACTCTTTACATTCCATTTGTTGGTAAGTTATTTATGTAAGAGTTGAAAAAAGCAGAAAGAAATACGAAAAGTGGCTCAACAGTAAAAAAGAGAGATTTATTTTGGAAAATAAGCCTGAGAGGGGATTCTGGCCTATTTAAATCAGGAGCATTCTCTTTTACAGACTAAGGGTATTTAAAGGGTTAGGGAGGGAGAGCTTATCGTAGGCTCAGAATGTTTCTGGGTGGAGGAGAGTTTTATTGCTGGGTTGAAATATCTCTGGTCAGAGGGGAGGTTATCTCAGGGCTGGCAAGTTTCCAAATGGAAGGGAGGTTATCTCAGGGCTGGCATGTATCTGGTCAGAGTGAGGCTCATCTCAGGGTTGGAATGTTTCTGGTCAGAAGTGTCATTTGTGGTTTAAGTTCATGCTGACATTAGCCATTAGGCTGATGTTTTTGGGGCTGGATTTAGGCAGTTTTTAATCAAGGGGAACTTAGAATGGCAGTGTTTGTCCAAGATGGCAATACTCCTCTTCTGTCAATGCAGACCCTATCATTATAAAAGGACAAGGGGTGTTGTGTTCTTTCTGGCTGTTTCCTGCTGAGGCACGTGTGGAAAGTTCTTTGGTCTCAGATTGACTGTAGGCATAATGCTGTCTATAGATGTTTTTGGGTAGTTGTCTGTGAAATGACAATTATCCTGACAGTTAAAAATCTTTGAAAAAAGCTTACTTAGGCAGGGTAAGAATATTAGTCCTAGGCATATCATTAGGAGAGGGCCCAGGAATGGGATGACCCATGTTATGATTTTGTTCCCAAACCAAGAATCTATTTGGTTGCTTTGGTATTCCCTTAGCTTTTTACCCCTTTCTGTAAGTTTTTCAGTAGTGTCCCTTACTAAGCCCAAATGGTTGAGGTAAAAGCAACATTCCTCACCCAATGAGAGGCAGAGGTCCCTTTTTCAGCCATTATGAGATCTAGTCCCCATCTATTTTGGAGGACTACTCCAGCCAAGGAGCCTAGTTAGTCTTGGACTCTTAAAAGGCTTCAGGCTGTATCTTCTAAAGAACCCTGTAGTTCTGTTGAAAGAGCTTTAAAGTATGTTAAGGAAGTGGCCAATCCACCTGCTCCCAATCCAAGTCCTGAGGTTATACCCAAGGTATCCATCAAGGGAATGGCATGGCTGGCCCTCTTCTTCCTAACATATTGGATGGATGGAATGGGCAGAGGTTGACTAGGAGGAGCTAGTCCAATAGAGGGAGAAAGATAAACTAGGGTATAGGTTGCAGCCCAGATGGTGGGGAGACAAAGATATGTGTTGGTGCCACACAAAAAGAATAAACCTTTGTCATGAATACAGACAGAGATATGGAAAGAAAACAGGTGAATTAAAAATGAGGTGTTTTTTCTTTCCTGTGGTTCATTACTCCAGGTGAACAAGGAGGAGGTTAGGGAGGCACCCACTATAGCAGAGATATAGGAAGAGTTATTTTTCACACATTTAATGTGATCGGATGTTGTACCACTGATATTGAGCTATGTAAAGGTGGGCACTAGGGACAGCATAAGTTAGGCCAGAGGCATCAGTTGAGGGAGATGCTGTAAAATAAGGTGGTTGCAGAAATGCTCTGTTTGCTTCAGGTGATACTTGATAGTCAACTCAGTTAATTTTGACGATCAGAGCGGTGTTTAACAATGATAGTATGGTTGCATTGGTTGAGTGTTAAGGACCCTACAGGGAAATTTCCCTCAGAGGCTGAAAAGCAAAGTGAGGCTTGTTGTAAACGAGGGATGTGTTTAGTTATGAGCCTTTCAATAGGAGGGCCGTGGGGCTTGAGGAGTTGTAATAGGTTTGAAATAATTTGTTGGCCTGATTGGCCCTGGAAGTAGGATAATCACCCACCAGAGTGTCAGCTCTTTCCAAAAAGGAAGCTTCTTTTCTGGAGTTTATAGATTAGGATTATGTTTCCTGTTAAAAGGTAATAAAGGGGTGTAGGAAATGCTGTGAAAGCTGAGGAAGACAGCGATAACACATCCAGTCTTCTGGAGCAAAGGAAGAGTTAGCTTGCTGCACAAGGGATCATGTAAGGTTTATAGAGCATTCCAGTTTGAGAGCAGTGAGGAGTGGTTGTATTGGTGAGGTCAATGTGATTAGAGAATTTATATTGAAAGAAACAAGCAAAAATAGAAAAAGTTATTTGGGTAGGAGTACAGTCCTGGAAAGTTCCTTGAAGCCGTAAGTCCCATGGAATATAGTAAGGAGTTGATCAGAATGTATAATGGGAGTTTTGTAAGGGTACCACTGAAGGTCTGTAACAAGGATGTTTAGGAAGCAATGAAAGTTTGGGAAAGAAAGAGACATAAGCTTCTTAGGTGAATTTCTCTTCCTTTTCCTCTGGGATTCGAGTGAGATGAAGGGAAATGAGTCCTGTGAAGACATAAGAGAAGGCTGAAAGTGTTTTAGATTTGGTTGTTTGGGTGTTTGGTGAAGGGAAGTCTGTTTCCTTGAGAGAAGTATAATGATAGCAGTTGAGGAGTCCCTGGAGTTTTGGTACCCTGGGTGTAGTAAGGATGATCTGGTAAGGCCACTTCCATTTAAGTGTGTGGGGGGGAATTTGAGGTAAGATTAGGATCTTTAACCAGAACCCAGTCTCTTGGCTGTAGGAAGGGATTAGAGGAGTCAGCAACAGGTTGTGGCAGGTATTTGTCAGCATATTCCCAAATGAGATGGCAGATGGTATGTAGAAGAGGGGAAACAAGAGGGGTTGGTAGAGGCGGGGCTTGACCCTGAGGTGGAACAAAAGGGGCAAGTGGTCTCCCATACATGAGTTCAAAGGAGCTGAGCAAGGTTTACATGGCAATGACTGAATTTTTAGAAGGGTCAAATGTAAAAGTGTAACCCAGTCTTTGTGTCTGGAGTGAGTGCCTGGTGAGGGTGTTTTTCAGAATGCCATTCATTTTTTCACCTTTTCCCAAAGATTGAGGTCGATAGGAGATGTGTAGCTTCCAGATGATTTGTAGGAATTGTGCAAGTGGGTGAGTAATTTGAGAAACTAATTCAGGATCATTATTAAATTGAGAAGTAAGAGGCATCCCGTACCCACGGATGATTTCTGTTATTAATTTGGAGGTAACAGTAGAAGCTTGTTTGTTGGTTGTGGGAAAAGCCTCGACCCATCCTGAAAAGGTGTCAACCAGAACCAAAAGAAATCAAACCTTTTTTACTTGTGGCATATGGGTAAAATAAATTTGCCAGTCCTGTCCTGAAAGATGTCCCCTGGCTTGATGGGTTGGGAAAGAAGGGGGTCTAGTGTTGGACTGGGGTGAAGCTTTCTGGCAAATAGAGCATTAATGGGAAACGGTTTTTAACTATTCCTTTATATCTGGGGTTATGTGTATGTGTGAACTTATGAATCGGTGAGGGGAATGGCTAGTGTGGAAGAGGTTATGGATGTCCCATAAAAGAGTTGTTTTTTTCAGGGTCAGGTGAGACTAATTTGTTTTGTATGAATGAGTACAAGGGGTTTGAATTGTGCTCCTGCCACAATTCGTTGTTGTATTTGGTGTTCTGGATAAAAGGAGGGGATATGTTGTGTGAAGGGAAATAGATATTGGGGAATTGGATGATTGGTTGAGGCGTGTTTTGCCCAATAGTCAGCCTCATGGCTCCCTAAAGAAATGTGGCCTTTATCTGATTGATGTCCTTTGCAAAGGATAACTGCAGACTTTTCTGGAAGTAGTATTGCCTTTAGTAGATGATGGATTAGTTTTCCATTAATAATAGGAGTTTCCTTAGCCCTGAGATAGCCCTGCTCACTCCAGATCTGAGCATTAGAATGGATGATGTTACAGGCATATTTAGAATCGGTGTATATATTAACTTGTGTGTTTTGCGCTAGTGCTCTTATTAGGGCAATTAACTCTGCTTGTTGGGAGGATGTGCCCAAAGGCAAGAGGGCAGCCTCTACAACTCTTCTAGGTGGGAGAGAGTGGGTATCATCATAATATCTCTCAATGATGGCATATCCTGCTTGGAGGGGAGGGTTTTTTGATGCGCTACCATCTATAAACAAATCGGGGGCTCCCTTTATGTGAGTGGAAGTAATGTGGTGAAACATGGTGCAAGAACTGTGAATTGGATCAGAACACGAGTGTTTGTCAGGGTCCAAAATCTGTGTTGAAGGTAAAAGAGTAGCAGGATTTTGGAAGAGGAGCATCTATGAAGAGAGATAGGGGCCTGAAGGAGAGTTGAATGTAAGGCTTGTATGTGAGAGGACAAGATGGAAGTGAGTGCCTTATGGCTGAGCATATCTTGTAGACTATGAAAAGAAAATAACTGAAGGGGTCCATAGAAAGTGAGATTTTGTGCCTCAGGGATAATTAAAGAGGGTATGGCAAACATTTTTAAGCAAAGGGGCCAGTTTTTGTAAATGGGGTCTAGTTGTTTTGAAAAATATGCCACTGGTTGAAGGGAATCTCCCATGGGTTGGGCTAATAGTCCAAGGGCCTGATTATCAAAACTGTGTAAATATAGATGAAAAGGTCTTAGGGGGATTGGAAGGCCTAAAGGGGGGGACTGTAATAAGGCACATTTTAGGTGAGAGAAAGCATGATAAAGGTCTCGGTGGGAGTGAGTGGTTGGTCAAGATTTCCTTTTGTGTGTTCATAAGGAGGTTTAGAGATGATGGCAATATTTGCTATTCATAATTGGAAATATCCCTCTAATCCAAAGAAAGAAAGTAAGTCCCTTTTTGTTTTAGGAAATGGGATTTGTTGAATGCCTTGCTTTAATGCTGGTGAATTTTCTCTGGTGTTTGGAGTTATGATTAATCATACATATGAAACTTTTGGAGAGGTTAATTGGGCCTTCTTTTTGGATACCTGGTAGCCAAAAAAATTAAAAGCCTGGTGGTGCGTTGAAGACAATGTTCTAAAGAGGGGCTGCAAAGAAGTAAATTGTCCACATATTGAAGCAAAACGCTAGGTTGTAGAGATAGTTGGGAAAGGTCCAACTGAAGTGCCTGACCAAAATAGTAAGGGCTGCTCCTAAACCCCTGGGGGAGGACAGTCCAGGTGAATTATTGGGAATAGCCTATGTCAGGGTCAGTCCAGGTGAAAGCAAAAAGTTTTTGAGAGGAGGGATGTAGATGGATAGTAAAAAAGGCATGTTTGAGGTCTAATAGAGAGAAATGGCTAGTGTTGGGAGGAATTCATGATAGGAGGGTGTAGGACTTTGGGACAACCAGACAAACAGGAAAAATAGTGGAGTTGATTTGTCGTAAATCCCAGTCTATAGGACCCATCCAGTTTTTTTAATTGGGAGAATAGGAGTATTTCTGGGGAGAATGGTGGGGATTAAAATACTGGCAGCCAAAAGTCGGGAGATGATGGGCTTGAGTCCCTATAATCCATTAGGGTTGAGGGGATATTGTGGGACTGCTATACAGCATTTAGGATCTTTCAGTGAAATTTGAATTGGAGAATGGTGGGTAGCTACCATGGGGGAGTTGGTGTTCCACACTATGGGATTTACTTGGCTGAGTTATTTGGGACTTAAGTCTTTTTGATGCCAAGTGTCTGAGGAAGGGTCCTGTTCTTGAAATAATAAAAAATAAGGGTGGCTTTGTTGTAAGGCCAATAAATGAATGATTCTTCCCAGTTTGTGTAGGATGCCCTTTCCTAGTAAAGGAATAGGACAATGAGGAGTGACCAAGAAAGACTGAAGGAAGGTTACTCTGAAATGAGCAGTACAGAGGTGGTGTTTTGTATGGGGATTCTTGTATACCTTTCATGCCAACAACAGAAATGGATGAACATTCTAATAGGCCTTGATATTCAGTTAATACAGATAGACTCACCCTAGTATCCAAAAGAGAGGAAATAATCTTACCAGATACCTTCCCAATTACTCTGGGTTCCATGGACTGAGTAGATGTGGGAGTGAAAGATCCCAGGCACCCTCAGTCATCAGCTGTCAGCAACAGCGGTGAAGAGGTTTCCTCCTGTGATGGTCAGGGGGCTTCATTATGAGCTGCACCCAAATGCGGAAGGTGTCCCTGTTGGGGGCAGTCTATCTTCCAGGGTCCCCAAAGACCACAAGTTGGACATGGTTTGGTGGGGGACCATCAGAGACAAACTCCCGAAGAGGTCTGGGACTTTCCCTTTGGGTTACTGGGAGGTTTTTGTGCAACTGACTTTTGGACAGCAGAGGCAAGCATCTGGTATTTTACATGGAGATGTTTGTCTTTTTAAATTTTTTGTTCCTCATCTCTGCTGTTAAAGACATGGAAGGCCACATTTAGGAGGTCCCACTGAGATGTCTGGGGACCCTCCTTTAACTTTTACAACTTTTTCTGGATATCTAGGGCAGATTAGGAAATAAATTGGAGGTGTAGAAAAGGGTGACCGTCTCTAGATTCTGGGTCTGAATTGGTATATTTTAACATAGCTTCGGTGAGGCATTATAAGAAAAGGGCAGGATTTTCTAGAACTCTTGTGTAATTTCTCTGAGTTTTTCATAATTAAATGCCTTATAGGTGTTTTTGTCCATGCCTTTGAGGACAGGTACTCTGTGGTCTCTTTGCCTGATGCCATTGTCTCCCTGTTGGTAAGTCCAATCTGGGTCTCTATGGGGGACTGCATCATTGGCCACTGGATTTTGTATAGGGGCTTGATTATGGAGTTCATCTGCGTGTGTTTCAGCTGAATGTCAGATGCACTAGTTTTCATCAGGAGTGAGGGTGGAGTTAGAATTATGTAAATGTCATGCCAAGTTAAATTAAAGGATTGGGTTATGTGCAGGAATTCCTTGCCATGGCAAGAGGGATTTTCAGAGAAAGATCCCAGGCGTTGTTTGATTTGTGACAAATCAGACATGGAGAAAGGGACATGGATGTGAGCAGTGCCTTCAACCCCAGCCACTTCCCAGGAAAGTAGAATGGCAGAAGTGATTTGTCTGGTTGGAGCAGTGTTTGAAAGGGTAGCAGGTGGAGAAGGAGGAGGGGCAGGGTTTGGGGCTAAAGGCTTGGAAGCAGGAGGGGCCACAGGGATGGAGGGTTCAGACAGTCAAGGAATGGATACAGGGGGTTGAGACTACAGAGGTGGTTCATCTGCAGAATCGAAAGGGGCTTCAGAGGAAGGGGTTTTGGAAAAAACAGAGGTTTGGGGAGGGTTTTCATTAAGAAGAAGGATTTCATGAGGGGTGCAAGCTTGACATAGGGAGGGTTGGGATTTAAGGTAGAAGAAAGCCTTAATATAGGAAACCTCTTGCCATTTGCCATTCCTGGTTATAAAGTTGTCAAGATCCCTGAGACTTTGAAAGTCAAAGGTGCTGTTTTTCAGGCCATCAGCTGTCATTATCTAATTTGTATTGGGGCCAGGCCATATTGCAATAAAAAACTAAATGCTTTGGCTTAGGCTCCACTGTAAGCCCAGTTTGGAGAGGTTATGAAGGAGGCAGCCCAGTGGGGAGGACCTAGGAATGTGGGATTGTTTGGCACCCATGTGGACTGGTAAGAAGAGGCCAAGGGTGTCTGTTTTTGTTCTAGGTGTCCCTAGACAAAAAACAAAGACCTGTAATCCTCTTCATAAAGAGGATGGTTAAGCTGAGAAGAAACTGGGCATCCCCAAGATTTCTTCTAACGTACTCCCATTGGTCCTCTGAGGACTGGGATGGCAGACTTGACTTTCCTGGGCACCATGAAAAAACCAGGGGAGGCAAATCTTACCAGGCAGCTGGATTAGTGTCCAATGTTGGATGTTCGGGTTGAAATTGGCAAAGGGCCTCCCAGGCTGGAGTACAATGGCACAATCGCAGCTCACTGCCTCCCAGGTTCAAGCAATTCTCCTGCCTCAGCCTCCCAAGCAAGTGGGATTACAGGCATGTGCCACTACGCTTAGCCAAATTTTTTGTATTATTAGTAGAGACAGGGCTTCACCATGCCAGCCAGGCTGGTCTCGAACTCCTGACCTCAGATGATCCACCTGCCTCGGCCTCCCAAAGTGCTGTGATTACAGGTGTGAGCCACTACGCCCTGCCTCATGTGTTTTCTTTATAATTTGTCTTATTTAGTTACATTAGGTCACAACATCTTTGCATATCAACACATACAAATTATTACCTTATTTGTATTTGACTGGCTTTATTCAATTTCATGTATGTCTCTATTGTTAGATATTTAGTAACTTTTCCCCCAAATATAGTGAAAAACAGTAATATAATGAACATGATGTATATCTTTTTCAACTTATCACATTACAAGAAATTTCTTAAGATGAACACTTAAATGTGTCCCAAGCTGTCATCCTTCTCTTACCTACATTATTTTTCAACCCAGTAGATCATCTCTGTCTTCTGCCAAAATTCTCCATTGGTTCTCCATTTTACCCAGAGTAGAAGCCTTAATATTTAGTTTCATGAAATGTCTAGCACAATCTCCGGTGAGGAATACATCGTCTTCAGAGTTGTTGCCTGGAACACTTTCCCCTGTGATATAGCATAAGTGATGTCTTCATTTACTTATGTCTTTTCTCAGTGCCACTTTATCTGAGAGACTTTACCTGACTAGAAGTGTTCTCCTTGCCCAGTTGTTTTTATTTTCATATGCCCCTACCTAGTATGTTATGTTTTTATTTTCTTCTCATTTGTCTCTCACAGGAATATAATCTGAGGTAATGTGTCTGTTTTGTTTACAGCCATATCCTTGCACACAAAACATGACCCAGCACATGAACAAAAGGATGAACAAATTAAAGAAATGGTAGGTTGGAATCAACTTGCCAAGTTCATTGGGTATCATTTAAGGAATTTGTACAGGTAGTAAACTACACACATTGAAGTGACTTAGAGGTTTAATTTTATTTAAAAGATAGATAATAACACAAACAGTTATTCATTAATTCACTCAACAAATATTGATTGAAGGCTTACCATATGCCAAGCCAGGTGCTTGGTACCAAGCACACTAAAATGAGCATGACTGGCACAGTCCTTGCCAGGACTTTCACTTTAATGGGGAAGAGTTCAGTTGTGGTTTTAGAAAAATCACTGGTGATGGTAGAGGATCATCTGGATGTAGGGGCACCATTCCAGAGCCTTTTGTACTGGGAGTCTAGGTTAGGCCAATAGCAAGAAATATAGAGATAAAGGAGTATCAGAAGAACATTTTTTTTAACTTAACACCAGTTAATAAACAAAGATAATTGCTTTGAGTAAATTAGCTCATTATCTTGAACACGCCCTAATGAAGGGTAGAGGAAACCTATATTGATTCGGGTCCTTGACAGTTTAATTCAAGGCTAGTTAGTGAAAACATCAGCAGCTTGTAGATTCCTTATGTCAAACTCTGCTAGTTTTATTTATCATTGACTAAGGAAAAAAGGTGTGTTGTTTCTGAGATGCTCTGGGCAGACGGTATAGATGATGAGGCTCACCATCTGTGTGTCTCCCTTAAAGTCCACGTTGACTGAATTGTGGACCATGACAACCACAAGTTTGTATCATCCATCCCCAAAGTCAGCCCCTGATGCCTGTATGGATTTCTTAATCTCACCATCTGCATTTTCCTCTATAGTATATTTTGTCTTGCTATTACTATAATATGTATCTTGCAATCATTACACATAACCTTCTATAATCCCATTGTTCTGGTTTTCATAAAGTGAGATTCTGGCCTGAATACTCCTATGCTGTTGCCCATCTACTTACTACTCCTCATGATGGAGAACCTAAACAGGTGTTAAAAGTTAATTTCTGAGTTGCGTTTCATGTATATTGCAAGGCAGTAAATTTAGGATACTCAGTCTCTCACTTCCCTCTCTTCACACCGTGATGTTGGTAACCTGCTGGTTAAATGGGTATGTGCTAATACTCAAATTAATCCTAAGGTAAGATATTTTAAGGCCTAGGCACATGGGCTAGGAGGGGTTAGTATGAATAGTCAGTTCTTATATTAAGCCTCTTCTTCAATATTAACTTTATCAGTAAAATTAAATAATTTTAAAAAAACTTCTATCTGACTAATTCTTAATGTTTTACAAATGGCAGAGAATTCATGCAAAAAAAAAAAATCAAGAACTTATTTGCTGATGGCCTCAAACTTCGATCCTAGCCATACTAATACATAGAATTCCCTAGTCCTGAATTAGGATGGGAATCATCTAGTAAAGGCTGATGTCTCCAGTAGATAAAAAAAATCCTACATTTTACATATATCTTTTATTCCTACCAGTTCACATTATTTCTATTGCCATATAGACAGTTCGTTTTTCTTTTCTTCGTTGCTGTCATTATCATTGCTTCCCCTCACTCACTCATCCAATTCATCCTCCATATAACATGGAGGGGCAGTGTTTAATACGAAAACTGTGCTAGTGAAGAAGTCAAGTGTCTACAGAGAGGTAGTGGCAGTGTTTCTAAGGGGTGTAATAATTTCACCCAGATTTTACAAACGGGTCTTTGAACCCAATTTTTCAAAATTTCATGGACAGTTGAAATCATCATAATATTGAAGTTGCATAATTGTTGTTGAGATTAATAAGTTAATTTAAAAAATGAGACTCATCTTTTGGTCTCAATGGAGAAGAAAGAAAGGGTAAAATATTAATAGAGTCTTCGTCTTTGCAAGGCACTATATTTTAGTATTTTACAGAACTTAAATAACATAATCTATACTATGTGTGTTATAGCATTTTAGTTCATTAATTTTCTTATTCTTGACTTCCAAGTGGGACTTATAAGTGGCTTATATTAATGAATGCTATAAAGCAAGAGCAAAACAAATAAATGAAGAAAAAATATAAAGATAAATAATTTAGAGTAATATTTTCAGCTAGTACTTAATAATACATAATAGGAGTTCAGACTATTGGGTAGTTGGGCTGACAATTTGGCTTTGAGCTGCTTAGCAGCCAAATCAAAGTGTGGGATAAGTTTAGTTACACAATTTGGTTTCTATTAACAAAAAATAAAGAAAAGAAAGTTAACAAGAAATACTACAGCTTTCCCTGGCACTGAGAACAGAAAAAAAATTTCCTCATGGATCATGTTAAGATATGAAAGCATTTTTTAAAATTCCCAACACACAGAGAAAAAAATAAAATTCATATATTGTCATGAACTTGTGGAGGTAACAGAAAGTTTGACATGAAGCTGTTATCTAAGTTTCACAGATTTCAAAAGGTATGTAATTTCCACTGTGCTATGTATGTGGTCAAATTTCCTGATCAGGCAGGAATTAAAACTAAATAAATAAACCTATTTCAGTTAAGTTTCACACTTAAAGCTACTGCCTGAACCAACAGCCTGAATAAGTGATTCCATGTTGTGTGCACCCCTATTAAATACTAGTCTATGGAGATGTATGTCCTGCTTCAATCCTGGCATTCTCAGATAATTAAAGGAGTTTGGCTCCCAAGAGAATTATGAAGGAATTGGAAAAATCTGCTGATAAGAAAAAGTTTAAAAGATGTAAGTACATGAAGCCCAGCAGTTTTGCAATGACTAAGTCAGGGCAAGACTAAGTCTTTGGAAATATTAGAAGGTGCAATTAAAAAAAAAGAAAGTGAGAAGGGATGATTTTTCATATCTGAAGATCACAACTGAAAAAGCAGGACAAATTGTCAAAAAAGTATTTTTGTTACTTTTTGAATTACTTTAAAAATTCCTTTTTAAGTAGATTTTGAATGAGGAAAACATTTGTTGCAAATACTGTACAAAGTGGTAAATTTTTGCTTTGGCAGGTACAGATTTGAAACAAAAGAAACAGAATGTATACGTTTAAGTTTTTAACTTAAATCGAAATTAAATAATGTTTAATTGATTTAAGAAAATTAAAAATATATATATTCTTCAAAATAAAAATTATTACATACAACTAAACATTATGCTGTGTCATTTTGTTGTATCATCCCAAATTCACACATACAGTGTGTCATACCAATTTATTCATTGTGAGAAAGACATAGTTACAGTGTGAATAAAGCATGCTCTCTTCACTGTAATTAATAATTATGGGACTACTGAGACCCTTCATGTCTCTTCTTCTAAAATGTGGTTCTCTTACAGTTTATTAGGTAACCCAAAGAAGAGAAGGCAAAAGGGACATATGACGTATGATCTAGCAGGAATAAAAGACTGTCTTTTACTCCAGCTTTCTCTCTGGCCAAAAAAATAATGTCAATATCTTTTCAGTTCCAATTATTATTTCTTTTGGAAAGGAAAAAGGTGCAGGTAAAATGAAGCAATATAAAATAGTTGTAGGCAGTCAAAATGAAATAATAAAATGATGACAGGAAGATAAGAAATTTCAATTGTTTCAGAAGAAGAAAATGCTTGACTTTCTGGAAAGACAGAAAAGGAAATCCTCAATTAAATTAAAACCCCTCACCTTAATAATGGTGACAGCTTTATCCTTTTATCAAACAAACACAAGAAACATATTTTACCTGCTTTCCCAGTAATGGTTCTGGTTTCCTGATATTCAGAGCTTTAAGTGTCAAGTTGTGGTTTTGTGATGCAAATTTACTGTAATCCTAGGTTTTCTTTTTACTATACCACACTGTGAATTACAAAGTTTCTATGAAATAATTATTAACTAAAGCATTTAAAATAGATAGACCATGCATAAAAGAGGAAATATTCATTTTATTTATTTCTTTATGGTTTGTAAAATGGGGTCTAGATGACCTTTATTTTTAGTAATACCAAATATAAATAATGTATAGGTTATTGACATTTAACAGGTTATGATTTAGTTATGTTTAAAGTTCTCTTTGTATATAAGCATTACCCTAGAAGATAGTTTTTGTGACCAACAATTAATGCACAAGATAATTGAAGTTTCAATGAGCTGTAAGAGTAATTGATGAACTTAATGCAAATGCTTGAAAAAAGTTTAAAAGTTTCCTTTTTTTCTTCAGATATTCTAAATGATTGCTACATAAATATATTTAATGCTCTTATCTATTTTTCCAGATTAATATTCTTTTATATAATCTGTTTTGGCTGCCTTGGTGTCTCTTATTCCTTAAGCATATAGCATCGGGGCTTCAGCCCTTGCCACTGTAGTACAACTACCATCTGCAAAGTCACATAAATTTCCTCATTACTAGTCCCAATGGTCCTATCCTCCCTTGAGTGTATTTATTTATTTATATACTTTATTTCATAACAAATATTTTAGAGTATTTTTAACATGCCAGGCATTCCTTTAGTTAATTCTCATGAAGTAGGCCCTAGTATCCTGATTTTGCATTTTAGGTAATTGAGAAGCAGAGAGGTTATGTAACTCACCCACAGTTGCAAAGCTAGAAAGTGGTAGACTTGTGATTCAAACCAGGAAGTTTTCAGAACCTTACTCTTCATCCCATGCCATGCTTAATTTAATGCATTATTCAACATTGATGCCCCCTAGGGAATTCCCTCCCTTTCCATTGTTGGGACTAGGAGATCGGGATTGTCAGAACAATAATCATTATGCAATATGTGGATATGTTACTATCCTAACATATTCTAGCTTTTTCATCTATCTTATTGATTTTAATAATTAAACCTATTTGATCTTCAAATGCTACACATTGTTCATGGACAATTGTACAAAATTCTAAAACTTCTCTGAATTGCACTAATCCAGAAGTTACCAAAAATCCCAAATAATCACAGTCCCCTGGCTTCCCTTAAGCAGCTGCCTTGATCCACTCTAGAAAAATGTTCAGAGTCTATGTTTCCTGTTGACACCCATATCTTAAGAGAAAAAGGGAAAATGAGGATGATCTACAGGAACCTAATTTCTCCTAATGTTTAGCTATCAGGTTATTTATTTCAATGTCAGGGAGAAGAGTAAAAAGTAAGGCTATAATATTTATAATACTTAGGATAGAAATTTATGTTCATAGAAATCAAAGGAATTGTTTCTTTCAACAATATATAACATAGACATTTAAAAAATGAAATACAAGTGATCCTCAACCCATGGTGTGACTTATGATTTCTTATCTTTATGATGGTACAAAAGTGATACACGTTCAGTAGAAAGCTTACCACGAGGTCCCATATAAGCATTCTGTTTTTTACTTTCAGCATGGTGTTCAATAAATTACACAATATAGTCAACATTTATTTTTTAAGTGGGCTTTGTATTTGATGACTTTGCCCATAATTATAAGCTAATGTAAGAGTTCTGAGCACCTTAAAGGTAGGCTAGGCAAAGCTATGATGTTTGATAGGCTGGATGTATTAAAAGCATTTTCAACTTCGAATATTTTCAATTTGCAATGTGTTTATTGGTACATAACCCCATCATAATTTGAGGAGCATCTGTAACTTCTGTATGACAATCTTGACAATCTCCTGGAAAAAGAAAGAAAAAAGTAAAGAAAACAAGTGGGAAACAAACAACCTGGTTTTGACACAGATCCAGCACCATGGTGCTGGGCTTTGTGCTAGAAAGTTTTGGCTCTCAAATCCATAGTTTCTTAGTAAGTAAAATAAAAGATTTAAATTCCAGAGGACATCTGAGTAACTTTATCATCCACGTATCTATGCTTAAATTCCCAAACATATGATAAATTTCTCAATGGTGAGAAGAATATTACAGAGCCTTTGTATCCTTAGCTACCAGAATAATTTCCTTTACCATTAGGTACTCAATGTTTATACTTTCTTCTTGATATTAAACAAGAAAAACTTGGAAAATGGGAAAAAATAACTAGGCAAACTCTCATAAACCCCTAATTTTCTGATTCTGTGTTATGCTACTGAAAATAGGAGTTGTGTTATTTGCACATAGAAAGGGAAATAAGACATTCATTACTCTCATCCTGGCTCTTTCACATACTTGGCTTGACTTCAGACCTCACTCTGCACTTCTCTAATGACAGGATTATCATTTACAAAACAGTTTTCCCTAAATAATTTAATTTTTATTTAAAGGTAAAAACTTTTATCATAATTTCTCTCCTGAACAACTGTAATTATATACTTTCCAAACCTTTTGGCCAAACTGGCCTAACAACACTAAATATTTTTATTATGTAGCTCTTACCCTGTGGCAGACATTATTCTAGTGTATAGTAATAGCACAGTATACAAAGTTAATATACAAAAGTCAATTGCTTTTCTATCCTATATTTGAAATTCTAAATAATGTAATTTACAAAACCACCAAAAATAAAATGTTATAAATTCAACAAAATATGAACAATATCTGTATGCAGAAAACTATAACACATTGATCAAATAAATAAAATATCAATAAATAGATATTCCATGTGCATGGATGGTGAAAATTAATATCTTAATTATATACAGATTCAAACAAATCCCAATAAAAATCCTAGAAAACACTTTTATAGATATTAAACAAATTTTTCTGAAGTTTATATAGAAAGGAAAAATATCTAGGATAACCAGCCAACACAATACTGAAGAAAGGAAATAAAGTTGAAGAATTCCACCAGTAAATGGGAAATAATGAGTCCAAAATTAGGTCCACACAAATATAGTCAACTGATTTTTAAAATATATATATATAAAGAAAACTTGATGTAGAAAGAATACTGTTTCAAGAAACGGTGCTAAAACAATTGGATATCCATATGCAAAAAAATTAACAAAATGGGTAATAGGCTTAAGTGTAAAATGCAACAATAGAAAACTTTTTTGAAGAAAACACAGGAGAAAAATATATGTGACTTTGATTTTGGTGATGAGTTTTTGACATAACACCCAGAGCATCATACATAAAAGATAACATTGATAAATAGGACTTTATTAAAATTTAAAACCTATTGTCCTAACGTAAGAAAATGCTTTGCAAAAGACACTAAGTGTGTAAAAGACAAGCTACAGACGAGGAGAAAATGTTTGCAAAACATGTCTGATAAAGGACTTTTATTCAAAACATACAAAGAAATGTTAGAACTCAACAATAAGAAAATAAATAACCTAATTAATAATGGGCATAGGAAAACATGCTCAACATAATTTATCATTGGGAAATGCAAGTTAAAACAACAATGATATAATACTCCACACAAATTGGAATGGCTAAAATCTAAAAGATTGACAATATAAATTTTTGGTGATAATGCAGAGCAATAGGAAGTCTCATTCATTGCTAGTGGGATTACAAAATGGAACAACCACTTTGAAAGGAATTTTGGCAGTATCTTATAAAACTAAACATAGTCTTAGGATTCAGCAGTTGTGTTCCTAGCTATTGATTTGAAAGTTTATGCACAAACACAAACCTGCACGCAGCTTTATTTATAATTGCCATAAACTGGAAGTAACCAAGATGTACTTGAATAGGTAAATGGACAAACAATTCTGTTACAAACATAATATAGAATAGTACTCAGCATTAACACAAGTAATGAGCTATTAAATCCAGCAAATATATCGATGAATCTTAAGTGTATATATTTGTAGGTAAAAAAATAAAAATAAAAACAAAAAACAAAAGAAGAGCCAGCCTGAAAAGCCTACATATTGTTTGAGGCCATTTATACAACATTCTAGAAAAAACAAAGCTTATACAGATGATAATTGGATCAGTGGTTGCTAGGAATTTGGGGTAGGGGGCTTGGGGTAGGGGGTAGATCAAGTACAAGATTTCTTTGGCTGGTAAAACTATTCTGTATGATCATGTAATGTTGAATATGTGAAACGATAAATTTGTCAAAACGCGTGAAGCTTTACAACAGAAAAAGAGTGAATTAAATATAAATGTTTGCAAACTAACATAGGCAAGTCAGAGGATTCCATCATAAAATGCAGAATGTGATTAGTCTAACAAACTATCACAAATGCAGTAAACCTCATTGAAGGGCACTGGGAAAAGAGCTCTAACTTAAGTAACTTCGGAAGTGAATGGAGTTTACTAAAGGTGAAAATGACTCTATAGAAATTTAGACCTTAGTTATAAAATTATTCCTATGGGTTTATGGTTTAGAAAATCTAAAGCTACTACACAGATATACTGAATTGCATAATTAAGTAAATAGATGGAGATAGATAGTGACAGCCAGGTTTCCCTACATCAGGGTGAGAGGTTGCAGATAAGCAAGGGGAGAAAGCAAGGATAATACATGTGACAAAGGAATAGGTTTGGGGAAATAGGCAAGAATTTATTTTTAATGAGAAATATATATATACACATATACACAAACATATATATATACATGTATATATACACATGTATTTATACATGTGTATATACACACATGTATTTATACACAGGTAGTTACAGGTAGAAATATAAATACATATATGTATGTACACACATTATATATGTGTGTATATATACAAAGACCAAGAAACATAATGTCCCAGAAGCAATACGCACACCTTGTGCACAGATCTTGGTTTCAAATACCATTCTCCAGTGAAAGAAACCATATATCCTTGGAAATAGGTCTGACTCTAAGACAAGAACTATAAAAGATGAACTTTGAGCATCTTATTGTTCTAAAGTAAGAAAATGCTAAAAATCAAAACAGCAGCAATAGCACATGCACACACACACACACACACACACAGAATAATGGAGACATGTGAAAGGGACACAGGAGGCAATTTATATAGCTCCCAATAGCCAAAGCTGGAACAATTTGAGAAGCTAAATAATAATATAACATTGGATTATGACCCATAGTATAAAATAAGTGTATTTCTCAGTGCATACTAATACAAATAAATTAAAGAACAATAAATTGAAGTTAGAGTCATATCTTCCATACAGAATTACAAATAAATTATGTAGAGCAGGACTCTCCATTCTTTATGTGTGGGCTGCACATAGTGGCCTCCTGCCAAGGAGTGCAGTATGGAAAGGGGTAACAAGAATAACTTTACAGTGGAGAACCCTAACAAACCTTAGCTCAGTTAGGTGACCATGGTGAACATTAACAATGGTAAGTCATGTTAATAGTATGTACCCTTGATGTAATGTGATGAAAATGGTAGTTTACTTCTGTGAGCCTTCTCCCGAAACACATAATCCCAGTATAACAATGAGGGAAGACATCAGAAAATCCCTAATTGAGAGAAATTCTACATCATATCAGATCAGTTTTCCTTACAATTCTAAAGGTCACTAAAAGCAAAGTAAGTCAGAAAACGTGACAGTCTAGAAGAGCCTCAGGAGACATGGTAACCAAATGTGAAAAGTTACCTTGGGTGAGATCCTGGAACAAGGAAAGAACATTGGGTGGAAATTAAGAACTCAATAAAGTTATGAACTTTATTGTAACAAACGTATTATACTAGTATAATATGTTAATAATAGAGAAATCTGTGTGTGAAGTATATGGAAACTTTCTTTACCATCTTTAAATTTAACTTCATGAACTTTTAGTGCTTCTCCACACTGTTGCAAGAGCGTAACATAAAGGATTTGACTAGCTTCTATTTGTGATCACTACAGCGTCCTCCCTCTTTCCCTGTCTCATCACAAACACACATGTATATTCAAAAACACACATTTCAAAATAAGTGGAAGCTTTTTAGGACCTAGGAAAGAGGGGTTTTTGTTTAGGAGTGGGAAATGCAGAATAAAGGGGAAGATGTAGGAAATTTTTTGTTTTCCTAGTAAGATCCAATGAGTCTGTTTTCCTAGTAAGATCCAGTGAGTCAGTTAGGTTAAAGGGTCTTTAGCTCACCTAAATTGTCCAAAGGGTCTAAGAAATTCTGGGCATAAGCAGAATTGCTTTAGAATTCAAGTGGCAAGATTCCACCCTCCACTCAACCTCTGCATGGAAGCCAGACATGCCCCGGAAAATTACAAAGCGTGTAGAAATAGTTTTCTTGGAATGGACAATGGCATAAACCCTGCTTTTTAAGGTTTTTTTCTCAGCATCAGACTGGGGTCAGTGTGAAAAAAAAAGAGGTAAATATAGGAAAGGCAGATAACCAGTGAAGATGTTGATTGGATGTAAAATGAGCATTCTCAGAATTATTTCTGAGTCTGCTTCTGCTGAATCCCTTGTTTATAGTTGCTCCCATTTCTAACAGGGCTTACACAATACTCCATTTTCAATACTGTAGTCTCTAGTGTAGCTCCCTTTGCTCAGCTTCTCATTGTATCTTAGTCAATTTGGACTAATTTAAATTAATGAAATTAGAACAACATTAAGAAATTTCTGTAAGATTTTCCCCCAAAGTAATATCTATTTTAAAGGAAATTATCAATATAAATATTATTCTAACAAAATATGATTTCCAGGTTTTGAAAACCAGAATGAAAATAATGCATTTTCTTTCCATGTTTTTCTAGTAAAGTACTGGTCTCTTTCAGTTATGCATCTTAAAAATTTTATGTGATAAAAATGTTTAAGTAGCACACAATATTTATCTTAATTTCTTTTAACTGTACCACAAAAAGGAGAGATTTTGAAATATGAAACAGACAGAGTCTGATTTTTTTTCTACTGTCTCTATGCTTCATTCACTAAAAGTAATAAAGGTCTTTTTCAGGCTCCTTTTGCCTGCGTGACTACTTGTTAGTGAAAACATAGTACATGAAAATACTATAGTGAATTTAAACAGCTGTATAGGGTACCTGCATGTTACTGATTTAAAATTAAAATATTGCTGTTTTGTAAGTACACATATTTACTATTAAAACAAGACTTAGAAAATATTGGAAACTGTCAAAAGTAAATTTGGCTTTAATTTATCCTGTAGGATTATCCAAAATTTTTTTTAAATTTTATAGTATTTTCTCTTAACAACAGGTAGCAGTTATGTATCCTTCCTAAGCATATTTCTTGTGTAATTCCAGGTATCTTTGATGATTTATTCTTTAATGTATATTATTACTCAGGTTAATTATAGTATCCAAGCATTCATGAAGGCATTTTATCATTGCTCGCTGTGAAACTTTAACAACATTCTTCACAAATTCAAAGAATTTTTTTTAAGTATAGCTCACATCTAAATCTGACCTTCTTTGTGAATGTATGCTCCTTGTCATTAGCAAATTAGCATTGAATTCCAGTAGTTGACCAGAATTGCGATCAACTGAAGCTACTTATTCTTAATGTAAAATTAATTGTTTGTGGCGTTAATATTAATTGGATTCAATGGTCTCATTTGAAAAAAATTAAATAGGCAAAGTAAAGCAATTTGCAAATGATCATACAGAATTGCATCATAAAGAGCACCACCATGTCTTAATGATTGAATGTTAGTAAAGTAACCTGAGAAAATTAGATTACGTTAGTTAAGAGAGTCCCAGATGTTGATCCTGAGCACTCCTCTGTTTTTAAGAGAATATCGAGATTTTAAAATGTTTTGAAAATAAGAAACAAATGAGAACAAAAGATTACAATTTGTCATGTTTGAGATCTCTGAGAAATATCAGGAGTGACTAGAATCAGTTTTAAGATTTAATAGAGTGTGCCTGTGAATATTTCTTTCCAGGATTTATGAATATTTCTGATGCATCTTTTGGAGGAGTCAGAGGTCAGTGTGTTGTTGAATAACACCCTCTTTGCCCGAAGTCTCTAGTAAGAGATACCACATGGAAACAATTTCCTACAATTCAACAAGGGGAGAGAGAAAAAGGAAAAAAAAAAGTTCTCTACCAAAGAACTATCTGGACCTGAGTAAAGATTGTTACTGGAGTGCCTGATGGATGTAAACATATTAAATGCTAAGGGAAGATGTTAAAGAGGATACCTCAGGAAGTTCTTATAGATGATTAAGTTTGCCAAAACTTTATAAATTCAATCAATTATCTAACATTGCCTAAGATCAAAAGGAAAATGAGGGTTTTTTTGTTTGATTTTTAAATAAATAGGGAGTTATGTGTTTTATATATCATACTGTTTAGCATTATCAATTTATAAGTTTAACTAAAATACATTCATCAAACAATACTGTCTTTTTGCACAGAAAGTAATACTCATGATAGGATTCGAGCCACTAGTATTTAGTAATTTTCCAACTTCTTTTAAAAATACTCTTATATTTGCTAGCTCTATATTCAGCCTTGAGTATGTAATAGTGGGCAAAACAAGACAGAAAAAAGTGTATTATTTTATGGTGCATATAGTTTTAGGCAGAGTAAGTCTTGTGAGAAAGAAAAAATAAATGGTCAATTTTTGCGAAAGTACCTCCTCATTAAGCCAAAACTGTGGCTTAAAGGATTATATATCTAAGAAAATAAATTCACACATAAAATGCTGGGTCAGTGAGATCTTGGCAAAATGTGTAATATGAGAAAAGAACGTGTAGAATGTTGCTAGAGAAATGAACTGATAAGTGTGTCTGGTCATATGGATGAATGAGGAACATGATCAGGATGCTGACCTTGCAGGGGAAAGAAAGGCAGGTTCCTAGTGAAGAATGGTTAGGGCAGATATCTCCTAGTATAATTCAAATATTCTTCATTATCTGTTTTGCTGATTAGAGCTGTCCCTCCATACCTATAACATATATATTCTAATCTAAATGTTTCTCTCTACATAATGCTAGATATATAGCTATAAATTGCATATTACTTGTAGCCATTGAAATAATAACCAAATTTAATTTCCTTACTCTTCCTTCTAGTGACAAAAATCACAATTTGGGTTATTAATATAGTGAGGTATTCAAAAGTTCTCAGGTCTAAGTTCTTAAAATCTTAATCACATAACTGGTTATTTGTGTCAGTTGAAGCTATATGTCAAGCCCTCATGGGCATTTTGACTGGATTCTCTTAGTGAATGCTTAGCAATTGAGTCAAAAAAGGAGCAATTTGGAGGTCATAGAGAAGGATTAATAATAAATTCCTGTCGGGTAAGAGGAAGGCGAGGTGAAGAAGAGTTGAAGTGATGAAGGCCAAATAAATCTAGTGGTCCTAAAAATGTTCTCCGTAGTCTGGAGTCACGGATGGAGGAAAGGAGCCCCTTGTGGAAAGCAAAGCAAACTCCTCTAAGCTGAGATATAAGCTGCTTGGACAAGTTTATGTTAACGATGTACCTGACTGTTAAGGAGTGAGACCACCAGCCTTTATACTTTAGGGTGTAAAATTAAGATCATTGTGAAACATAACTGGGTGGTGTGAGGATTTTAGTGTTGAGATATTTTGCTCTCATGGAAGGGTTGTGTGACCAGCTACTTGGGCAGCTGAGGCACAAGAAATGCTTGGACCCGGGAGCCGGAGGTTGCAGCGAGCTGAGATCAGGCCACTGCACTCCAGCCTGGGTGACAGAGTGAGACTCCGTCTAAAAAAAAAAAAATGATTTTTTATACTTCTTTTTATAATGTTTTAATGTATTCTTCAATTGTAACAAATTTAAGATAAAACTTGTAATGGCTATGCCATTGAAAAACTTAATTTCTTATTTTTGAGGCCCATGAGCCAAGGTAATCTCTAAGGGTTTTTCTGAGGCTTCTTGGAGTTTCTTAAATTTGTATGTATTATCAAAACATGTTTAAAATGTTAAGTTGGGCAGAAAGCAGTTGAAGTGAGCTTTCAAGGTATGGGAGGTTTTCTACATTTTATACTATTTCAAGCTAAGGAACAGGGAGAGAGGGAGGAGGGGGACAGAGAGAGAGGGAGGAGGGGGACAGAGGGAGAAGGAGGAGAGAGACAGGGAGAAAGGAAGGAGGGGGCAGGGAGAGAGAGAGGAGGGGGACAGGGAGAGAGGGAGGAGAGGGACAGAGAGAGAGGGAGGAGAGGGACAGGGAGAGAGGGAGGAGAGGGACAGGGAGAGAGGAGAGGGACAGGGGATGTTTTCCTGAGTGTTATCTTTCCTATGTGATTTTTTCTGAGTGGATTCCTGTATGGTTTCCACATGAGCATGTTGTAAGAGTTCAGAGAATGAACAATGAAATTCAGGGAGTGAAAGTGTAAGATACAGGAAAGTCGAATACATATTTAAGCCATGGAGAATGCAAACTAGATGACACCATGGGCTTAGAGAGACTTAAAAAAGTAACTGAATGTTGTTAATATTCTAAATAGACGCACAACTGATGTTTGAAATATGTGAGTGGCTCTGGTGACCAAACTTGGGGCACAGAAGCAGGTCATAGGAGATAATTGGAAGTAAACTCTAGACACCAGTCAGATTTTTGACACTGGAGTGTCCATTTCCTTATGGTATGTGTTTGTTCTTGCTCATTAATGAAGCAGTGAAGATGAGGCTTTAAATATCCATTTTCTTGAGCCTGATAAGTCTGGAGGTTGTTGCCTCTATAACATCAAATTTTGAAGTTCAAAATGGATCTTTAAATTACTTCCTACTCCTCTCTCCTATTTAAATTCTCTTTCATGGTAACAGTCACATAAATAATATATGAAGCATAATTTTAAATATCTTGTGTGAATCAAGCAAATTAGCATTTACCTCCAAATATATAAAAGGAAAAAATTGCTCTGCTTTTATCTACTACAGGTGAAAATATTTTGATTTGCTAAATTATGCAATGTCAAGCATAAAACTTAAATTGAGAATCTTTGTGGCTTCTCCTGGTCATTGACTTCATTAATACTAAATTGAGAAGCCTAATAAACGCAATAGTTGTTGTACAAAATTATTCTAATATATTGTTTGTCTACAAGACACTGATGCATCAAAGTATAAAGATAGCATTAGTCATGTTGAATGAGCTCCTCATTTTATTTTTGGTTTTTGTATAAGTAACTATATTTAATCATTTCAGCTCAAAATGGTAGTCTAACATTGTGAAATTGTAAAATGATTTTGAATACGTGAACATATGTTAAAACTGCAAAATGTTTTTAGTCTTGCCATTTCTTTCAACTAATTCTCTTTTATTATTATACTCTTGATGACCCTGATTCTTTGAATAAAACCTGTCTTTGTGAAATAAAAGATTCAATTAGACTTCCAAAATTATCCCATTTAGGTTTGCTTTTAAAATAATTGCACTACATTATTTTACTTAGTTATTGACTTGTAAACTGATTTAACTTCTGTGAGTGCCAAGTAAAATTTTGTTTTCAAGCTAACTATAACCAAAGTGCACACATATTTTAGTTTTATGAAATTTTAACGTCTTTCCCCTTTAATTAAAATCTCATTTCACTGCTCTATTTCCCTATTTTTCTCTGAGTAGTTAAAACAAGTGTAAATGGGAAATTTCAAAAGAACGGGAACACTTGGCCATATTTCTGGCTGATCAAGAAGCAGAAAATGCAGGAAATCTAATGAGAAAGCTTATTATTATGATTTGCACAGCTCAGCTTTTGCATAATCAAGCATGTCAATGCGCTCACACATTTGTGAATGCCTCTTAGAACCACACATCTGAATCTTTTTAATGTTTCCCCATTACCATTGCTTTTGCTGCCCCACTCAGGAAGCCATCATCCATGACCTCAATTTTCAAAATGGGCCAGCTAAAACAAAGACTGGATGTGTTTCCTAATCCTATCAAACCTTTTTTTTTTTTCCTGAACAGAATGAAAACAGGTGGTGTTCTCAATTTTTAAAGAAGACAAATTATAAACTGTATTCTGAATATGGCTGTGATTACCTAGGTACAATAGACTCACACAAAAGTTGGTAGAATTCTAGAAGAAGCTGTGTAATATTCAGATGGTTTTTTCTTAGCATCTGTGGTGCTTTGGTCCTTTAATATTATGCAATACTTTAGTTAATGTTAGAGGAACATATGTTTCTATTTGTCAATATGATAGAGTAATACATATGCATGAAGGAGGGTGTCATGCCAAGGAAACCGCATCTACATCCTCCCCAAAGAATTGATGTGAATAGTAAATACCTTTCACTCTCTTTCTCACCCATCCTTCATCCCTGCACCTAAGACTCAAATTAATACGTGGTGAAATGGTGAGGGAATGTAAGATTTAGTTTATCGTGACAGTCCAGCAATATTTTAAATCATAGACTAGTGGATACAGATAACTATATGGCTATTTTATAGCTATTTGTTATGATTTTTGTTGTAATTATTGTTTTATTGTATTTATAATTATTGTTAATGTTTAGACCAGTGAATTTCAATGAGAGAGATTAATTTCAAATAAATGTGAGGTTTTTTCATATGCTATTATGTATAATTGGATGAAATAATTTTAAGCAAAATAATGAGTGCTTTCAAAAAATTACGAATAAGAAAAAAATCATGACAGGTATGGTGGCAGAATTCAGTGGATTTGTAGTTTATTGAAACATTTCTTATAAAAGTTGCTGTTTCATGGATTCCTGATGACCCACCTATAAATACTTCAGGTGGTGACATGACATGGGAGCAGGCATCTGTAGTTAATATTCACAGAAAGAAATTGAGGCCTTCCTCATTGAATGTGCAGAGGACACAAAAGACATGAGAGCTAACCATTATTTTACAAAAGAGAGTCGGAATATAAAATGATGTCAATGACATGAAAAGATAAGTAACAATGAGGTGGCATTTCAAAATATTAAATGAAAAGGACTAATCTTGGTCTGATTTTTTTTCCACAAATCTAACAGCATGGGTGTCTTAGTTCTGGCTGCTACAATATGCACCACAGACTGGGTGACTTAAATAACAGACATTTATTTATCATAGTTCTGAAAGCAGGGAAGTCTAAGATCAAGGTGGTGGCCCACACATTTCCTGGTGAGGGGCTTTTTCCTGGTTTACGGGTGGAGGCTTTCTGGCTACATACTCCTACAGCAGGGAGAGAAATCGTCTCCTTGGCTCTTTAAGGATACTAATCCCTGTCGGAAAGGTTTTTACCCCCATTACCTAATTACTTCCCAATACTCCCAAATATTGGAAATTAGAGTTTCAAAATATGCATTTTGGGGGGCACAGTTATTCAGTTCATAGCAATGGGGGAGATGAATCATTAACAAAATTAACGTTATGGATTTGAATTGGTGGCAAGACTAATATGAAATGACTACATCATGAGCAAAAGCCCTCAGAACTGCATAGAATGCATTGCCCTTAAGACAAGCTGCAAAGTGTTCAAAGACAGATTTTAATGGGTCTTTCCACAATCTTATATTTCTAGGCCTAATTTTCAAATTGAATTAATATATTCAAATTTAAAATCTTTTCAGTATCCTAAAAGAAGGAAGAATCAAAGCTTGTTGACCTATTTATCAAAGTTTGTTGATCTACCTCTTAAGATATGATCAAGAACTGTGATCAATACCTTAGGCATGATCTAGTAGGGGTAGACAAAGAAAATTACCTTATATATTCTGGAAATTCAATTCAAACATGTATTTATTTAAAAATATGTATTGGGACACTATTATGGGCCAATCAGTGTACACAGCACACAAATATTAGTCTTTCTCTAAAGAAAGTAATCTAAAAATATTAGAAAGGCTGTCTGCATAAATGTATTTCTCACCATATTGTTTGTCTTAGGAAAAGCAAAAATAATTTTAGTGGACAACAACTGAACAACAGATAGGTAAATTATGTCCTATTTGCAGCCAACAATTAAAATAATATTTCTAAGTGCTTTATAATAATGTGCATTTATTCATGTCAACATGTAAAAAAGAAGGCAGAGGTATATATAATATAATCATAATTATGTGAGGGATTAAAAAACTCTAACCAATATGGATTAAAGTACTTCTAAGAGAACACATTTAAAATTGAATTAGCACTAATAGTCTGCCAACAAATAAAAGCAATGTACATGAAAGAATGGTGCAAAAACAGAGAGAGTTATCTACTAAACAGATAATGAAACAATCCTCAACTTGTTAAAATGATTCAAATAAATGTAATTGAAAATACTAGCACAATTTTATTTCTTTTCATAAGCTAAAGTAATTTTATACATGAATGCATGGTGAGATAAAAATGGCAACAAAAGGTATATGCCTTAATAATTTTTATGAAATATTTTTTAGAATATTTATCAAAGCTATTGAACCACGCACTTTGATTGTACTCATTCTTTAATTCAGTCTTGATTATGAGATTTTTTTAATCTGCAAAAATAAAAGCCAGACAGAAAATCTAACTATGCAAATGATCCTTAAAATATTACATGAAACTTTTGAGGACAGCCAATACATCCAACAATAAAGGAATGGTAAATTATAGTATACTGATTCTCTAAATGGTTTATCATGCTGTTATAATTTATGAAGTTTTTAAAATAGCAAGTAAGTATGATATATTATCAAGTAAACATCAGTCTTTAAACTGTAAATGCATCATTACTTAAACCTATATAATATGTATAAACATATGTTAAAAAATGAAAGGGAACTTTCAAGCACGGATAATAATTTTGTTAGGATGGCAAAATATGGGATGATTTCCACAGTAAATTATGTTTAAAAATATTTTAAAAATAAAATATGCACCCAGAGCCATGAATATGGTTCAGAGACATATCTGTGCTACTTACATATACCTGGAACTAAAGCAAATCATGGATGAGTTAGTTTGGAAATAGGTAAATAAAGATGGGAAACTAAATGAGGAAGATCATCAGAAAATATTGATATTTAAGAAACAGGCAAAGAACGGGGATTCACATTAACCTGATTAGAATGAAAATGCAGGCTGAAAAGTGTTGAGTCAGCTACCGCATTGCCAACAAAGTGAAAAATATTTACTTCTTTCCAAAGGCTGATGGTGAAACTGCTAAGATAGCTTTCTCCTCTTCTCAATTACCCCTGAATATAAGCAACAAACTTTCACTACTCTGAAGTAGCCAGAGTATACTTCCCCATCTCTAGGAACCTATGATGATGTGATTGTTTGCCATTCAGCAAGGGAAAACGTGTCAAAAGTCAGTTTTGAATTGGCTTCAAGGAGGCTGTGTCAAACAGTACAGCAGAAAAAGTGTATAATTGAAGTTTGAGAGATAAGGATGAATTTTTACTTGGCTACTCACCCTAATATTTTGTGAGAATATCTTCACTGAGATATTTTACCATACTGACCAAAATTTCAGGATAAACATGGAATCTTGAACATTACAACAAGTTACAACAATGCCTCGTCATTTATTAAATATTTTAATGACACCCTATCAACCTGGTGTAGGAAATGTGGAGATGAATATTATATTCCTCAAGGTGTTTAACATATGGCAGATTTAAAAATATGAAAATATTTATAATATTTTGATATGTGATAATAACGGCACAGTCATAAAATTATATCACCAATAAATCAGAATCCTAGCTATGTGTAATGGGCATGATAGACAGGTGACAGAAAATAAAGGAGGTATCCTTTGTCTGGAAATTGTCAGACATTCCCCTGGAAAATTACAGGCAGCAGAAAAAGCACAAATGGGGCAGAGAGACATGAAAGGATCAATTATTTCAGAGGAGCTTCCAGTGCTTTTGTTGTTGTCATGCTTATTACTAGAGCAAAGGTCGTATGTCAAAGTGTGCTAGGAAATGGGACCTTTAATAGAGCTGAATGCAGTGTCATTTTGCGATATGTATTAGAAAGGGAAGAGTGGAGTCAGAATGATATTCCTTGAGACTATGAGAGATGTTGAAATTCTAAAAGTAGGATCATGGGAATGAGAGAAAGACTAGATTTGAAAAACAGTTTATAATTGGAATTTACAGAACTTTTACTCATTTCGTGTAGCTTTCCTAAAGCAAAATCATTTCTTTAGCTGAGCTAGCTCAAGAGTGTCTTTATTACAATGTGTTCTTCTAGCTATAGCTAACATATTATTTTATGCTGGTTTCCCACAGAAGCATAACCTGAAATGGGAATAGGGTACAAGCACTTTGTTTGGTAGGTCATCCCAAGAAGTGCTGGTAGGAGCACAGGAATATGAGACAGAAAAAGAAAGGAAGTCAAAACAGGTGCATGAATGAGCAAGTTAACACTGTGAGTAACTGAGATCCAATCCCATTGGGATATGCTTCCAAGTTATTCCACCCAAAGTGTGATCCCCATTCATCAACTCCATCCATCAACTGGTTTTATACTACTCATGAGGGCTTTAAAATGTTTGCACTTTTGCCTTGACCCCTGCCCACAGACTGAGAAAAATGTAATAGCCAAAGAATGCCTTCAGACAGGGAGTCACAGGTGTTTGCAGTAAGAAGCTGTCAAACTGTGAGTGCCAAGGAGATTTGGGCGGGACCACAAGTCATCTGCTACACACATTAAACCAGTATTTCTCAACCTAGAGTTTATGCATGAGCTTCAACAATAAATTTTCTGTTTTTTAAAAAAGTTTTATCATCTTTTTAAACATGATATGTTTAAAAATGTGCTTAAGCATGTTCTAGACATGGATAGTAACTTTACACTTCTTGGCTACCTCATGGTTTCAGTGACTAGGTGACAAATTATACAAAGAGGTGCTAATATAAAGTTGAAAAAAAGAAAATGAGAGAAAAATTTCATGACATAATGTATGAATGAAGGTTTCAGAGAAGTTCATATAAAGTAGGGGAGAATTTATTCACCCGGTCCAAGCTTATAGAGATATATGGTAATCAGTTGAGTTGTATCCCCCTCCCCGACATCCAAGTTGAAGACATAACTCAGTACCCTGGAAATGTGATCTTATCTGGAAACAAAGTCATTAAAGATAGGATTAGTTAAGTTAAGGTAAAGTCATTAAGGTGAGCCCTAATTCAATGTAACAACTGGTATCCTTATAAAAAGCAGAAATTTGGACAAAGAGACACAGACACAGGAAAACACCATGTGAAGATGAAGGCAGAGATCTGTAAGCCAGGGATCACTAAGGATTGCCATAAACTCTTGGAAGCTACAGGAGAGTCCTAGAGCAGAGTCTTCTTTGAAGCCCTCAGAAGGAATCAACCCTATTAGCACCTTGATCTCTGACCTCTAGCGTGAAGAACTGTGAGATTACCAAACCTTATCACTTGTATCTTAGCAGGCAATATCAAATGCCACAGCCATAATGTGACTAAAATTCCTCATTACACATTGTACATCCCATTAGGTTATTTTTAATTTCAACTTAGTTGGTTTTATAGTCGTATTTTTATTTGTTTTGTATTTTTTTTTTTTTTTTTTTTTTGAGACGGAGTCTCGCTGTCGCCCAGGCTGGAGTGCAGTGGCGCAATCTCGGCTCACTGCAGGCTCCGCCCCCTGGGGTTCACGCCATTCTCCTGCCTCAGCCTCCCGAGTAGCTGGGACTACAGGCGCCCGCCACCTCGCCCGGCTAATTTTTTGTATTTTTGGTAGAGACGGGGTTTCACCGTGTTAGCCAGGATGGTCTCGATCTCCTGACCTCGTGATCCGCCCGCCTCGGCCTCCCAAAGTGCTGGAATTACAGGCGTGAGCCACCGCGCCCGGTCTGTTTTGTATTTTTATCATTATGGTTGTATAAAATTTATGAGCATAATGAATTAATAATTATATAATAATTTAAATTTAATTAAGGTTAACTTTTTGTTGTTGTTTGAGACGGAGTTTCACTCTGTCGCCCACACTGGAGTACAGTGGCGCAATCTCGGCTCACTGCAACCTCTGCCTCCTGGGTTCAAGTGATTCTCCTGCCTCAGCCTCCCAAGTAGCTGGGATTACAGGCACCTGCCACCACCATGCCCAGCTGATTTTTTGTACTTTTAGTAGAGATGGAGTTTCACCATGTTGGCCAGGCTGGTCTGGAACTCCTGACTTCAAATGATCCACCCAACTCAGTCTCCCAAAGTGCGGGTATTACAGGTGTGAGCCACCACGCCTGGTCTAAATAAGGTTAACATTTTAAATGAAAATTGCCTAAATCATTCATGGTTAGTAACAGAATATCTTCCTTCAAATGAGTTCCATTTAAAAGAAACCTTGAGAAATGCTGAATTAAACTATCAGCATCTTTTCCTTATTCACATAGTTTGATCGATCAGATTCAGAACATAGTAATTCAGAGAGTTTTATTAAGAAACACTATTACAGAAGTTTAGCCATGTTAGATTTCCGTTGGTAAAGGGAGTAGAAGCTTGATAAGTGACAACAATAACATGGACATCAGGAAAATTAGGAAGGAAAATCACAAGTTCTTAAGGTTGACTTTCTATGCTTACATTTTTTCATGAATTAAGGACCAACAATAAAAACAGCTCCCTTTGCATCTTCTTGTACCCCAGTGCTTCTAGAAATAAAATGATACTACAGAGTAAAGAAAGCTTATTTACTCAACTGAAAAGCCAGATGTGTACTTTCCATAACAAAGAGGTAAAAAATTGGTAATGTATTAGTGGCTTAATTTTATTGCTTGTTTTTCTTTAAGCACATACTACACAAGAAGGCCTTTGACTTTCTTCGTTATTCTTCCTCTCAACCAATTACTCTTACCTCCATTAGTAAATCAGTCAGGAATGCCAAATTGAAATATTTGTAACAAAAACAGATTTATTTGCTTGTTTAATTCAATTGTGGTGTAATAGTGAAACATTTGAGCTTCATGAATAATTGGAAGTGGGGACTTTTCCAGTTGTTCATTTTTACTATTTTGGGGATATCAATTTTTTTTAAATCTCAGAATACCTTATTCATACAACCAAACAAGTACAACCTCTCTTATCTTGGACATCTGAGATGACTAGAGCTTTTCCTCGACCTACGTTCCAGGACTAGAGATCTGTCTAGTCCAGATTGACAAAGGTGTTTTTATGGTTAATTTCATGTGCCAACGTGACTGGACCATGGTGCTCAGATATTGGGTCAGACATTCTTAATTTTCCTTTGAGGGTGTTTTTTTTTTTTGTTTTTTTGTTTTTTTGTTTTTTTGTTTTTTTCTGAATGAGATCAACATTTAAATCAGGAGACTGAGCAAAATAGATTGCCCTCCACAGTGTGAGTGAGCTTCATTCAACCAGTTAAAGGTTTTAATAGAACAAAGACTGATCTACCCTAGAAAATAAATAATTCTGCCAGTGGACAGCCTTCAGGCTTGAACAGCATCAGTTCCTCCCTGGGTCTCCAGCCTGCTGAACTACTTTGCAGACATCAGAGTTGCTAGTCTCCATAACTGCATGAGGCAATTCCTTAAAATAAATCATTCTATCTCCCTCTGTAATGCACGTCTTATTGGTTCTGTTTCCCTGGAAAACTCTGAATAATATACTACCTGTACATAAACAAGTCATCTGTACTAATGTAGGGTGAAAATGGTATCATTGGTTAATTTTGAGTCAAGTTGCCATTTTTGGACCAATCAATGGTGGGACAAAAATGAGTTATGGAAAACGTGACAGTTCCCATAGGATCATTTGATCATACAACTGCAGCAAAAAAAAAATTTTACTTAAGAACAAAGTTTGAAGAGCTGCATGAGGAACACTTCACATGTGTTTAAATACATTTGCTGAAAATGAGTATAACAATATCAGAATTTAAGATGAAAGACAGGCAAAACTAACGTTTGAGTCTGACATACATTTAAAAAAATTAAAAAATACAAAAGAGCTTAATTCATTCAATTTTGCAAAAAGTAACATGTGGTTAAACTTAGTTAAACTGATGATTTTCAAGGTACACCAATTACTCGTACCTCCATTACTAAATCAGTCAAGAATGCCAAATTGAAATATTTGTAGCAAAACCAGACTTACTTGCTCATTTTATTCAATTGTGGTGAAATAGTGAAGCATTTGGGCTTCATGAATAACTGGCTTCACACATCGGCTATTTTTTAAAAGTGACATTTGTAGAGTATCTTAAAAGTTCTTTGAGCCGCATTTATCTTCATTGTTGAATTTAACCTATATTTTATGTGTTGTATTACAGATTACATAATCTACTATGTAAAATATACAATTCATGTGACTCCTTAATTAGATTGAATGTAACTTAATGATCTATTGAAATCTGCTTAAAACTAAGTAAATATTTAAATTTGCGAAATTATTTTGTGCAATAACATTTTATGGCTGGATAATTAAGATTTATAATGTGTAGTAGATATTTGCAGCCTGATGATAGGATCAAAAGAAAGTCCAGATATGAGACAAAGACTCAGGTATCTGTCCCAGAATTCCATTGCAAGCACTGTTTTCACAGATTTTGTCATAGAGTGTTTGGGTGTATGGATATGTGGTCAATTCTGGACAATAAATAAATTTTATTGGAAAGCTTAGGACTTTTCACTTCCATTTTGTACTGATTTTTACTTGTAGCACTTAACAGTAGAACAGAAGTCTTCATTTCTAGCTCTATAATGCGATGAGAGGCTCCTCTTTCTTTCATTTAGCTTCTGATATAAGGTACTACTAGTTTGACAGAGACTTACCAATATGTTGATTTTATGAGGAATGTAATAGTTGTTCAGTAAGTGAATTTATATCTATAGAAAATTGGATGGGAGATAGCTGGCCTTGAAAGCTAGACAACATACACATACTGTTGGAAACTCTGCTGCTCCCTAATTGTCACTTAGAAAATGTGAAATCTCTGGACACCGTTTTCCTCAGCTGGATATTGTAGAACATAGAAGGAAGTTTCTATCTTTCAATTAAATGAGCTAAATTTGATTCTGCTAAAATGCTATTTTTAGAAAAATATCAACAATTCTGGCAGTAATTGCTTTTATTGATCATAGAACAGTCATATCCATTTTATCAAGTGTGTCTAACATCTTTTTACTCTGTCAACAATTTTTTTGGAAACGAGAACTGTGACTCTTAATGTAGCTATTTAACTAATCTGCAAACTTTGAAATTTGTATAATAATGGGATAATTTTTCAGAAAAAAACTAGTGGTGTATGTAACATCTAACTTGCAGATTGAATATTTTAATGTTATATTTTGTGTCTCTGAATCAAAATCCTTCTCAATACTTAACTATTACATATCCTAGATATTTGTTTCAAATCTATGCCTTTAGTTTACTTTCTAAATAGTATATCTTAAAATAGCAGTGAATACTCCGTATTCCATAAAATGTAACCCCAAACTAACATTTGGTTTGCACTTTGCTGTCTCAAGACATTCTATTTTCACATGTCATTTTGACTTGTTTTCATCCTTTTTGATTTAGTATCTGGTTTACTTAACCAATTATTATCAGTTCAGCTGCTGAGCTCTACAGGATATATTGCCTTAATATTGTTGTTGCACTCTGGTTGTTATTCCTGGCGCCCGCGACAAATGATCCTTCAAGTACCATCGCAGAACAAGAGTAGCAGGTACAAATGCAATGCTTCCAGGGACATTCAATCTCCATATTGATTGAGACCCCAGGGACATTGCATAATTGTTATGGCAATAGAACATAAGAGGGTTTATTTGCTTGTTGTTTGATTTGTTTCAAATATACTTATTCATTCATTGGTTTCTTTATTCATTTGCCATGGTGTTATTGGCTTTCGTTTTTTATTGTGTTTTGTTTGGGAGCATTGGGAGGAAAGCAGGTTTCATTTTTAGAGAAATGTTTAAAAAAAGGTGCCATTTTGGATGGTAGGGACGCTCACAAAAATGACGTTTTTGCAAGTTGTTTTATATAGGACCAAATGTTACTTTGTTATTTTAGACAGCGTTGCAATCCAACCATCACAATACAACTGTCAGTGAAAGGGACTGAGTAAAACTAGGTAGGAAAAACATCAAAAAGATTAAACTCATTATAAATCCGAAAATACAATATCAGTAACTGAAAAGACAAAAGCACAAACTATGGAAGAGGGGTTTCAAATTAAGAATAATTTAATGGACCAGATATCATATAAAGAGCCACAAATGCTGTATACAGCTTATGCCAATGCTGCTTGTTCCCACTGATTTTTCTATTGTTCTTTTTCTCCTCTTTTTGTTTTTTTGTTATTTCCTTAACCAATCTAGCTAGTCTTCTATTTTGTTTTTGTTTTTTGTATTGGCATGCTTTGTTCAGTTATAGAATTAATTGAGATTGTTTTACCAACTATCATAATAGATATCACATTCAGGACCTAGGAAGCATTCTTTCCTCAGACAATTTGGGACAACACGAAAGATTTCAATGAAGCTTAGATTGCAGGAGAGACTTTTTTAAACCTGTTTAGTTATTAAGAATAATGACATATGCCCAAGTGTGGTGAGTTGGGTACTCTGGAAACATACACTGAAATAAAGTTTAGAATGTAAGATGTTTATTAGACTCAATGTGAAAAAAAACAAGAGGGGGCTGGAAACAGAAGTACAATAATTCAATTATAATACAGGTCCAGCAAAACTTCACCCAAAACAATAGAGCACTCTGAGGGGAATATTGTCATCTAGAGTGTTTTGCATCTGGTTGAAATGCGCAGGCCTTTATATCTCATTTAGTTCATCAACAAGATTCTGACCTCTTAAAGGCGGGCATGCCCTTGGGCAAGGCAACTCTCTGAATCTGAGGCACCCCTATACCTGGAGGATTTCTGGTGACTGCACTCCCACAGATGGAAATAAATCTTTCTTAAGCAAGGGCCTGGGTGGTGCCTCATTGTGTCTACATCAAAGAGAAATAATTTGGAGTATACCATAGACAGATGTTTTATGCTATTCTCTGCCTCAGTCCCAGGATATTGTTTCAGGTTTCTTGATGAAGGAAACTGTGAAACAAAGTGTAAATTAACTTTGAAGACCTAAAATAAATTATAATGTCTCCCAGGTTAGAATATCTGGGTAGACTCAAGTGTTCCTTGAAAAAAAATTGAATTTTAATTTCAATAAAAATAGAACATTAACACTAGTAACTACATTGGTAGAGAAAAATATCCATTCAACAATAATTTTTGCATGCTTATTACAATGTTAGCGGTGATGTTGGTAATACAGGCAATGTAGAAGTGTAATAAATCTCAACCCAAGATGATAATTGTGTCTGAATTACCTAGCATAAGCTTACTGCTACTACAGTTAAAATTTCAAAAAGTTTTCACTCTAAAACTTGTAAGTATGAGCATGCCTTGTGGTGAGCACGCTTTGTTGCATGAAGCCATTCAGAAACCCACATTTTTCCCGCTATGTTGTTTGAATCCATTGCATTAACAGTGGAGGAAAGGATTGTTTCTAAAGATCAGGTCTAGAAGTAGAGCTAGTAATTTTACTCACATGCCATTAAACACAACTTAAACACCTATACACACTGAATTGTAAAGCAAAGCGTGGCAGAATCCAAGAAAACTAGGACATATTGACCATTGGTGGACGTTCCTAGTCTTGCAACAGCTCCTGAGATGAGTGACAACATCATAGAAAGGCAAGAACTTACAAAAGCAGAGCTGCTGGTAAGGTAATTATATTGACTTAGAATTCAAAGAAAGAAGTGTAATTGTCATTCACAGCATCTGAGGAAG
Source organism: Homo sapiens (assembly GCF_000001405.40). Taxonomy (NCBI): domain Eukaryota; kingdom Metazoa; phylum Chordata; class Mammalia; order Primates; family Hominidae; genus Homo; species Homo sapiens. The sequence continues at coordinate 104,562,564 of NC_000005.10, read as the reverse complement.
TTTGTGGAAGGAAGAACTACAAAATAAGAATAATGGGTTTCACTTTTGCTTTATTGAGAAATTATCCTAGGAATAATTTGAAAGTTACATAAGGGGAAATCTCAACAATTAATCATTCAATTTTTTTTGAAGTATAGAATGCATAAAGATCTATTGTTAAGAATTTGGAATATTTCTACTTATTGAATTATAAGCTTCTTGTACTTAGAGGCAATTAATGTGCATATGATACAATCTTCTATGCAGATTCAACAATTATCGAAGTGTGGGATGATGGATTACAATCATTATTTTACTTGAGGCCCAAATAATTGCTTGCAAACTATTGTAAGTGTCAAGAAAAGTAATAAAATGTGTTGATAGGTTGTTGTAGTTCAGTGGCATTTAAATTTTTATTGGGGTCAAGATGGGAAGGTAGGGAAGCATCCAAATTATCTATCCAATTTTAGTACATAACCACTTGAAAAAACTGTGAGCTTAAGACTAAGTGAAGGAAAGAAATAGCTCATCTATAATAATCAATTTCTCCCAATTTTCTTACTAAAAGATGTGAGATTACTTCATCTTTATGAAAATTCTGTGAAGAACCACACTATTTTCATTTCTTGAAAAAAAGAATGCTAACACTGAGAAAAAATAACTGTGAGTAAAAGAAAAAGAACTCCCACTATGGTTTTATAAACTGCCGTCTAACTGCCACTGCACAGCAAGGCTTTGTAGTGAATATGGGAACAAACTCACACAAGAAAAAGTACATATGGAAATCTGAGGGTGAGTGTCAGTGAAAGGGATTGATTAAGACTAGGTAGAAAAAGCGTCAAAAAAGATTAAATTCATCATAAATCTGAAAATACAATATCAATAACTGAAAAGACAAAAGCACAAACTATGAAGGAGGGGTTTCAAATTAAGAATAATTTAATGGGCCAGATACCATATAAAGAGCCACAAATGCTATACACAGGAACACATTTGGTTTAAATAAGCAAGCATGATTTAAATGGCCAAACTTCTAAAGAAATAGCTTCTCAAGGGGGAAAAAAAAGCAATAATAAAGAAGACAGAAGTACATATTGGCAATTGGGTGATGAACAGGAACAAAGAAGTAGAAGTGAAAATTTTAGAGGCCTGAAAAATGGAAGAAAACTGCAAAATCATGGGACTCACAACTATGTGACTACTGGCAAAACATGAAAATAAAACATCTTGTTATATACCTGAACTTTGATAGATAAGCAAAGGAGAATGCCATAAACAAAAATCAGGAAAATACCCCAATACTATAAAATAAACAAAGGAAAAGTCTGTGGACAACTATTGCAGTAAGTCAGGAAACAAAATTTCCCAAATCAACTGGAGAAAATTTCTCCTTGAAAAATAGGAATGAAACAGAAGAAAAACTGTAATTCTATACTCCAAACAATATTAAATATATTCAAACAAGCATTTGAAGATTTATAAAATCTTAAGAATTTCAAAAAGAACGAACAGAAATACACAATAAAACTGGAAAAAAATTAAAAATTGATTGAACTCTGAAAAGTAATGGAAGGATAAGACAAGATTACTTCAGAAATAAAGAAAATAATTACTCAACTTTTTGGGTGAAAAAAGCACTATAGTAAGGATTGACTTGGATGAAGATTTACTAAGGATTATTGAAAAAGGGCAAGATATCAACCAAGGGAATGTCTATAGTATAAAGATAGAAGAAAAAAATGCAAATGACATAAAGAAACAACACGTTTCATTGAGAAATAGGCACTTAACTCGCACAGATTGTTGTTGGTAATGTAAATTAGCACAGTACTTCTGTGCAGATATTTGACAATGCTTTAACAATACTATTTACACACTTACGTGATTACAAGAAGAAGACTACCCTGAAGAGATAGCTCCAGTTATTTGAAAGTCTATATTAATAAGATTATTCAATATAACAGCATTTGTAAAATATTGTAAACAATCTAAGTATCGCTAAGTACACAGGAGAGTGGTTGAGAATACTATGGTATAGCCACACAGTGGAGCTCTATGCACCTGTGAAAAATGAAACAGGAGGATATCTGCCAGTTGAGAGTGGGATGATTTCTAGTATATAGCACCACATAAAAAAGCCAATGACTGAAATACCTATACTATGTTTCCCTTATTTACAGTAAGAAGAGGGGATATAAGAATATACATATGTATGTTCTAACTGGTTAACTACAGGGAAAGTGTGTCAAAGTGGTGTTAAGAACAGAAGAATGAGAATGGAGCAGCAGAAGTGAAGAACGAGTAATATTTATCTGAGAACTATTTTGTAGCACGGATTCTTGGAAATACAGTAATGTTTTCATACCCTTCACAACCCCTCAGAATAAACTATTAAAACCTCATCAAGGCATGGAGGAAAGCCAAAGTGGAATTCACACACTAACAAATGAAGTTAACAAGATTACACATAATAGCATCATCACAGAAGTTGATTATGGAGAAAGCAACTACCTAAGTAACTTTGGGAAACAATATTTTGATTGGATACTGCAAGGCTAAAGAAAGAAAGAATTATGCATAAATGTTGTATTCTATTTAGTATATGTTGTATTCTATTTAGTAAATATATTTCTTCCAATGATAGTCTTTAGCAATCCTGAAGCTATTTTATATGTATACTAGCATTGAACAAACAAGAATAAATATACTGTAACTATATGTATAATGTTCATGTACATATGTAGAACTATATGTATCATGTTCAAGAAAAGAGTAAGGATAAAATAAACCCCATTGTGTTGGACTGCACTCAAAGTTAACAATATAAACACATACCCACAAGCCTATATAAATACCTATGTATATACAAACATATGTATGACATGTATCTTAAATTTTATAATACATATATACACAGAGAGGTAGAAAAATAAATATAGATGTGAGTATTGTACAGATTAGTTTACATACATAATCTCCTATCCCTGACTACTGAGAGCTTCTAGGAGCAATGAAATCTAGTAGCAATGAGGCGCCTATTTGTTTTGGAAACACCATTCTTCAGTTAAAAGGTATCAGGAATTCTTAGAGAAGTGCTTGCTTTCCAGGGTTGGGTAGAGGCAATACTAGATAAATCTGGAGTTAGAAGGTAAGAAAGTTCTTAAAAAGATGAGGTCTTGTTGAAAGAGTACAGGTACTAACCTGAAGATGTTCCCAGTGGCAGAGTTGGAACAATTTGTACATTAAAATCAACCCAGAGAATAAATATCCGTGTTTGCACATTGTTATAAATAATAATCAGACAAGTAAATAGAGAATAAAGAACAGGTCTTTTTTTTTTTTTACAGAGCAATTCCCAATTATTAACTGTAGAACTATGACTTTAAGCAAACATCATAGCAAGGACTGTTGCAGGCATGATCTATTGATGGATGCGAAAAGTAGTTAGCAAAGTTGGAAGAGAAATAGTATTGTGTACTTTCGAAAAACTTACTCCAAGATATTATTTAACTACTGAGTGAAAGATAATAACTTTACAGTGGATAGCACCATATTCAAACTATCCAGATTAACTTTACCAACGATAAGAAATATCAGCATCACAAACACCCTGACATGGCACACCACAAAGGACATACTGCCATTTCTGTGGTATTCATCCCAAGATGCGTAACTTTATTCTAGTCATGAGAAAACATTGGACAAACCCAAATTTAAAGGAAATTCTATCAAATAGTAGATCAGCACCCTAGAAGAGTGTCAAGGTTTTGAAAGAGAGATAATAGGGAAATGTTAGAGATTACTGGAATCTAAGGTGAAATAAAAACTAAATGAAATGTGGATTCCTGAATAGGGTCCTGGAACAAAAAATAAAAGGAAATTAATATGAAAAATTTTGAAATTTGAACAAAGTCTTAGTATTAAAGCAATGTAAATGTTCTGGTTTCGGTAATTATAGTATGGATATATAAAGGTTAATATTAGGGAAAAATAGTTGAAGAGTATACAGGAATTTTGGTACTAATTTTGCAACTCTAAGTAATTAGTTTAAAATTATTATCTAGTCAAAAACGATGAATTATCTGAAATGTAAAATTTGAATTTCATTTTCTTATCAGTCCAGTTAGAATAAAGTATAGTTCTTGAAATTACGCTCTGTAGATTTTTAAATTTTATAAACAAAACAACTAGTAAATTTAGCATAATACAAAGGAGAATATCTTTAACAAAGGGACAGGTTGATACAGTTAATAAAGGCCCAGAAATGCAAAGAGAACATACTAATTGTTCAATTATTTATACACTACTAAGTCGAACAAAATAAATCAAAATTGAATAGAGAGTATGATTCTTGTGAATAGTTATTCACCAGATGATATGATTTGGCTTCATGTCCCCACCCAAATCTCATCTTGAATTGTAATCCCCACATGTCGACCTGGTGGGAGGTGATTGGATCATGAGATCATGCTGTTCTCTTGATAGTGAGGGGGTTCTCATGAGAGCTGATGGTTTTAAATGTGGCACTTCCTTGCTGTTTCTCTCTCCTGCTGCCTTGTGAATATGTGCCTTGCTTCCCCTTCACTTTCCACTGTGATTGTAAGTTTGTTGAAGCCTCCCCAGCCATATGGAACTGTGAGTCAATTAAAACTCTTATGTTTATAAATTACCCAGTCTCAGGTAGTATGTTTATAGTAATGTGAAAACAGACTAATACAGAGAATTGGTACCAGCAGACATGGGTACTGCTATAAAGTTAACCTGAAAATGTGGAAGTGATGTTGGAACAGGCAGAGGTTGGAACAGTTTGGAGGGCTCAAGGGAACAAAGGAAGATGTGGGAAAGTTTGAAACTTCCTAGGATTTGTTGAATCATTTTGATCAGAATGCTAATAGAGATATGGACAATGAAGTCCAGGTTGAGGTGGTCTCAGATGGAGATAAGGAACTTTTTGGGAACTGGAGTAAAGGTCAATCATGCTATACTTTAGCAAAGAGACTGGCAGGATTTTGCCCTTGCCCTAGAGATCTGTGGAACTTTAAACTTGAGAGAGATTATTTAGGGTATCTGGCAGAAGAAATTTCTAAGCAGCAAAGCATGCTTAGAAGTGACTTGGCTTATTCTCAAAGTATTCAGTTATATGCATTCACAAACAGATGGTTTGAAATTGGAACTCATGCTTAAAAAGGAAGCAGAGCATAAAAGTTTGGAAAATTTGCAGCCCAACAGTGTGGTACAAAAGAAAAACCCATTTTCTGGAGAGGCATTCAACCCAGCTGCAGAAATTTTCATAATTAATGAGGACCTGAAATTTAATAACCAAAACAATGGGGAAAATGTCTCCAAAGCATGTCAGAGACCTTCATGCCAGCCCCTTCCATCACAGGCCCAGAGGCCTAGGAGGGAAAAATGGTTTCGTAAGCCAGTCCCAGGGGTCCACTGCTCCGAGCAGCCTTGGGACTTGGTGCCCTGTGTCCCAGCCACTCCAGGTCCAGTCATGTCTGAAAGGAGCCAAGGTAAAGCTTGGGCTGTGAACTCAGAGGGTGCAAGCAACAAGCCTTGGTGACTTCCACGTGGTGTTAGGCCTGCAGGTGTGCAGAGGGCAAGAGTTGAGGTTTGGGAGCCTCCACCTAGATTTCAGAGGATGTGTGGAAATGTCCAGGCAGAAGTCTGCTGCAGGGGCAGAACCCTCATGGAGAACCTCTGCTAGGGCAGTGCAAAAGGGAAATGTGTGGTTGGAACCATGTGCCTGGAAAAGCCACAGGCACTCAATGCCAGCCCTAGAAAGCACCCACAGGTGCTGTACTCTGCAAAGCTACAGGAGCAGAGCTGCCCAAGGCTGTGGGAGCCCACCCCTTGCATCAGCATTTTCCTGCATATGAGACATGGGGCCAAAGGATATTTTGGAGCTTTAAGATTTAATGACTGCCTGGCCAAGTTTCACACTTGCATGAGGCTTGTGGTCCTTTTGTTTTGGCCAATTTCTCCCATTTGGAATGAGAACATTTACACAATACCTGTATCCCCATTGTATCTAGGAAATAACTAACTTGCTTTTAATTTTACAGACTCATAGGTGGAAGGGACTTCCCTTGTCTCAGATGAGACTTTGTACTTGGACTTTTGCATTAATGCTTGAATGAGTTAAGACTTTGGGGGACTGTTGGGAAGACATGGTTGTGTTTTGAAATGTGAGAAGAACATGAGATTTAGGAGGGGTGAGGGACAGAATGATATAGTTTGGCTCTCTGTCCCCACCCACATCTTATCTTGAATTGTAATCCCCACATGTTGAGGGAGAAACCTGGTAGGAGGTGACTGGATCATGGGGGCAGTTTTCCTCATGCTGTTCTCATGATAGTGAGGGAGTTCTCATGAATGCTGACGGTTTTAAGTGTGGCACTTCCTTGCTCTCTCTCTCCCTCTCTCACCACCTTGTAAAGACGTGCCTTGCTTCCCTTTCACCTTCCATCATGATTGTAAGTTTCCTGAGTAGCCCCCACCCCAGCCAAGGGGAACTGTGAGTGAATTAAACCTCTTTTGTGTGTAAATTGCCCAGTCTCAGGTAGTATCTTTAAAGCAGTGTGAAAACAGACTAATGCACCATGTATCTTGACACATTGCTTGCCAGTGTTAAAATTGTTTCAACTACTGATAGAATATTGTTTTAAAAATGAGCCCTGGTTAATATTAATATACTAGGAATGAGATAAATAAATATAATCATAGAAACAGATTTTTATGGTTATGGTTACATCATGTCTGTGAGTAAGGAGAACAAAGTCAATAATTTTAGTTTTAATAGTACAAAGTTTCAGATCCAGTAAATACAATGTAACAGTTATAAGGGAACTATGTTATATAAACTCATTAAATGTCTTAAACACAATTTTTTTTTACTAATTTACTTTGAAAATTTAATTTCCCTTTCTTGTACGCAGATATCCAGGGAGTATTTCAGTGTGGATTGAGGATTAGTAAAGTTAGTCAGTACTTATTGTATGTACAGTGCCTACACTTAAGAAAATAAAAGCTACATTAGGTGGAAATTGAAAAAGAGAAATTTTAATTAGCAGAGAAGCAACATAATGTTTCAAATCATTTTACACCTTAATTTTACTGAAATATAACCAAAAAAGACTAGAGTACAGAAATGTAATCTTCTTTACACAAGTAAGCTCCCACTAGTTCAAAACAAACAAATAAAATGATTACAAACAGGTAAAACTAAATGTAGAAGCAGCTTTAGGTTATCAGTAAATTGGATGATAGGTACAGAGCTCCCATATATTTCCTGCTGGCCCCCACACATTCATAGCCTCCCCCATTATTAATGTCTCCCACAGAATGGTACATTTGCTACCATACCTGAAACAACACTGACACATTGTTATTACCCAAAGTCCATAGTTTATATTAAGAGTTCAGTCTTGGTATCATACGTTTTACGGGTTTGGACAAATCTACATGACATATATTCACTATTACAGTACCATACCAAGTAGTTTCACTGCCCAAAATAAATCATCTGTGTTTGGCCTATTCTTTTCTTCCTGCTAACCCCTGGCAACCACTAATCTTTTTATGGTCTCTATAGTTTTACCTTTTACAGAATATTATGTTGTTGCAATCACACATTATATATCCATTTTAGATTGGCATCGTTCACTAAGTGCATTTAAATTTCCTCTATGTTATTTCATGCGTGATAGCTCATTTCACTTTTGGTCCTGAGTAATATTCCATCATCTGGATGTACCATAGTGTATTTATTCATTTACCTTTGGAAGGACTTCTTGGCTGCTTCTAAGTATTGGAAATTATGAATAAAGCTACTGGAAATATCTGTGTGCAGGGTTTTTATGGACATAATGTTTCAACTCCTTTGGGTAAATACCAAGGAGCATGATTGCTGTGCTGTATGGTAAGAGTATGTTTAGTTTTGTAAGCACCTGCCAACTTGTTTTTCAAGGTTGCTGTACCATTTTGAATTTCCATCAGAAGTAAATGAGAGTTCTTTTTGCTCCAAATTCTCACCAGCATTTGGTGTTGTCAATGTTCTAGGTTTTGGCTATTCATTAGGTGGGATCATTAAGATGTATTGTTGTGTGAATTTGAACTCCCCTGGTGCCATATGCTATGTACAACATCTTTTAATCCGTTTGCCATTTGTGTGTCTTGTTTGGTGAGGTAGCTTTGACCCATTACAAAATAAGTTGTTTGTTTTCTTATGGTTGAGTTATAAAAGTTCTTTATTAATTTGGATAACAATCCATTATCAGGTATGTCCTTAGCAACTATTCTCTCCCAGTCTCTGGTTCGTCTTTTCATTCTCTTAACATTGTCTTTCACAGAAGAGAATTTTTTTAAATTTTAATGTATTCCAGTTTATCAATTCTTTCACAGATTGTGCCATTGGTGTCATATCTAAAAAGTCCTTATCAAATGCAAGATTATCTACACGTTTTCCTATGTTATCCTCTAGGATTTTTATAGTTTTGCATTTTACATTTAGGTCTGTGATACATTTTGACTTAGTTTTGGTGATGAGTGTAAGGTGTGTGTCCAGATTAATTTTTCTGCATGTGAATATACAGTTGTTCTAGCACCACTTTTTGAAAGACCATGTTTTCTCCATTGTATTGCCTATGTCCAGTGTTAAAAATAAATTGACTATATTTATGTGGGTCTATTTTTGGGATCCTTTTTTTCTGTTTGATTGATCTATTTCTATATTTATATTTTTACCATTTTTAAAAGCAAGCATTTGTATAAAGAAAATAAAAGTGGATTCTGGGTTGTTGCCTTTAATAGATATTAGTCAAATGAAGACTGCATCTTTTTATTCTTTCATACATGCCTAGAAACTAATAATGAACTGTGGATGTATGTAGTAATCGAAAATAAGACTACAGGCTTTTAATGCAGAAACATAATTATTAGAGTTAAAGGAGAGTTCTGTACCCCATACATGCTCATCTTACATTCTGGGACCAGAATTTTAGAAGACATATTCATTTTATTAAAATATTCAAGAATATTACTTAGCATCACTTTTTTAGCACTGATTCTTATTTTATAATTTTAGTCAATATCTGTGCCTTGACAATAATAGTACATCTCATCTGAAAGCTGCTTTTCATTTGTTTTCATGGTTTGGGAGTTCCACTTCCTAAACTCAAATATCTCTCCTTCTGCACGAAATTTTCAATTACTGAAGCTAAAATTTTCCCACAAAAGTGTTGTTGAGGTGGCTGCATCTCTTAGCGGTCTTTTTTACTTATTCTGTTGTAGATAATGACTCCGTTTTCACACAACATGTCCTTACTTCTGCGTAACTTCTTTCATCATGTACTCTTCAGTCTTGCACAGAGCGCACGGCAGAGTCAAAGGCTGCTGGGCGGAGTGAAAGGTTGCTTTGTGTGCTGAGAACATCAGTATCATCCTTGCTTCCTTTTAGACACTGATTTTATCTTGAGAAAAAAAATCAAACACACATATTTCACAGCATCACATGTACACAACCTGCATCTTACACTGTGTGATCCATCCAGCACAATGCGCTTAATAAATAAGACTTTCATTAGCATGTTGAAAACTGAGTTTTATCACTGACTCTCCCTTATATATAATTTGAGTACTTTATATATCTTATTCCTCAGAAAATATTAGAGGTAGAAATTAGACTGGATATTGAAATACTAAAACATTAAACATTTGTAACTAAATGTATTGTGGGCCTCTATCACTTCTCATAAGGTCAAAATAGATTATCCTGATGCATTTGTACACTGCATTTCTAAAGAATAAAATGACTTTAAAATGCAGACAGAACATTACATTTCTTGGCACAATAAACCACCTGAAGATTTGTAGCAAGTCGGATTTATTCTGATCCCCTAATTAGAATAAGATGTTAAATATCCAGTAGTTTAAACAGGACACTTGAATGACATTTTTGTTTGAAAGGCACCAGTATTGGTTGTAAAAATGACAGCCATTTGTCCTTCTACACGAAAATGAAGGCCAAATGTAAGATAAAAAGAATTAAATAAAACAGACCAAAAGACGCCTGAACTAAAATACATTTCCATGAACTGAAATACATTTACTGGATTAAATATTGAGCTTTTGCTTTAAGTAATCTATTTCATATTTGTTAATCCTCAAGCTTAATTCTCAATAAGTAAATTTGTCAGGCAATTATATAAAGTTGGTTTAATTTTCTGCTTACCAAAAGAATTTATCATTAGGTATCTCTCACATCTAAATTTCTAGAACTAATTCTTTTCTCCTCTTATTTCTTGATAATATATTCAAATGTCTTTTGATTCCCATAAAAACTATTTCTAAATATTTAACAAATATAAACTTCTAAGGTTGGAAATAAAATAATTTCTCTCTCTCTCTCTCTAAATATATATATATATATATATATATATACATACATACATACATACATATATTTAGTTTGATAAACAAAAAGAGTACGATTATAGAGGTAATATTTTTCATTTAAAAATAGTTCTGGAGTTTAAATTCAAACCAAAGCATTCATTATTCTAATATGAAACAGTCAGCAAATCCCACCCTTTAAACGTACTCTGTCCAGAAGTTTGCGTAATGACTTACATGTTTTCACATGAAGAAGTTGGAGAAAATAACACAGAGCTGACTTTAGAGGTCTCCAGTTTTCTTTCTTCTCTTCCCCTTGTTTCTCCTTCTACTCTTCCTGACATCACATGATTGATGTGTTTTCCATTCTCGTTTATAAAATGAACTATTTGCTTGACTGGACAGGTATTTTTTCAGGTGATTGGTTCAGAATTCATTTTTGGTACAATCCTTGTCCCTTTACAAATAAAAATGTAAGTATTTTGTAATGTGTAAGGTATTATAAGTTATTAAATTTAATGTATTTTGAATGAACCAAATCTCTAATATTCCAAGTGCATTAAAGTGCCATAAATTTCCATATGCATACTGTATGGTCATCATAGAGAACTGTTTTCGTGAAGTGCAAATGTGCTAGATAATTCTTGAGAGTTATTAGTTAGAAGCAAAGGCTAAAACCCCAAGTATATCTCTACTTCCAAATTAGAGGAAAAAAAATTGATATTTTCTTGACAAAATCCTCCAATAAGTTGCTACTAACTTACAGAGGAAGGAGATGGTATCATGATTTTTACTAATGAATAACTGATTCTCTTTAAACTGATAGTAAAAAAAATTAAGGAATCAAAAACAGTTAAATGAAAAATGCCTTTCCATGAAGACTAAAAACAAGTTATGATGCTGTGCTTTTAAAACCACCTCAGTGATTTTTTCCTTAAAAATATAAATAAAATGTAAAAGTTTACTATAGCCTGAAAATGAAACTATAGGGAATAGATTAAATAAAACTTGTTAAATAAACATAATGGAATATAATTCAGAATTAAAATCATGTCGTGGGAAATTATATAATAACCACAAAATTTTGATATAAAATAATATGAAAAGTATTACAAATATATCAGTGGTATGATCTCAGTGATTTTAAAAGATAAATGTGTATAGAAAAATATTACTAACATTTATTATAGAATATAATATTAATGTGGCTCATCTGTTGATAGAATTATGAGCAATTTTAATTATGTATTTAAATTTTATTTTTATAATTTCTAAAATAATCTACTTTTAGATCAATGTTAATTTGGAATAAAAAAGAGAAATAAAACAAGAAAATAAAGTCACTATTTTATGACTTCCTTTTCTACATTCTCTGTGGAAAACATTTCCATGCTTAAGTGCCTCAGTACATCAGTATGTAAGCAAAGACCCACAAAGCATTTTTTCCCAAATAAATACAATATATTTATTTCAACTACAACAGTAATTTTAAAATAAGACTTCTAATTAGATCTTAATATTTCAGACAGCTCCATGACAAAATCTATCTTTGGAGTAGAAAAAAACTGAAAGGAAAAGAAGTGGTCATTTACTTTCTGTCACTTAAGCAATGCCTTCAATTAACAATACTTTTCAATTCTCTTGTCTGTGTCACTGAAAGGAAGCTGACATTTTCCTGAGCCTTGTTTTTGTCCCCTTCCCCACTCCATCTTAGGAATTTTCTCCAAGGATTGTTTTATTGAAAGACATTTAGTCCAAGTTTTTGTGTCTCTTCTATTGGATCTCTATTTTTAAAGCATACCTTCCCTTTTTGTAAAATTAACATTTACAAATTGAAGACAACTGAGTTCTTTCCTTAACCTCTTTTCCACACACAAAGCTGTGTCAAGCTCCATAGTAAGGAGACCTGGGGTCTGTTGTGGGGTTTGGGACAGTACATGGCATATCACTAATACTTTAATAAATGTGTTGAAAGGAAGAGAATTTAAAAATTTTTTCTTAGATAAGTCACTAGTTTGGGGTGTGATTTTAATAAAATGAGAATATAGGGGAAGATCATACTTAAGTATTGTTTCCAAATCTAAAATTGAGAACTTCTATAAATTTAACAGAAGCCTATGTCGTAGTTCCCTGGAAGAAATTATATGTCACACTCTACCGTGAGGAGGAAAAAACACCTTTCTTTACATTAAAAAAAAAAAAATTCTTACTTCTAAATTAAGGACGGCTTCCTTGACATAAAGTATGTAACCAAAAAGTAGATGGCATAAATTTCCCTAATATAAGGACTTTGTTTGCAAATTTTGTTTTCCTGAGATCAATATCAATTTATGTGTGATAGATCAATATTTTTGTAAATCGATATATAGATTGATAGAATGGTTGATGGCTTTTGTATAGAAATCAGTAAACCCCTCTTCTTGACAAAAAATTGACTTCTTTTTTACCTGTCACCATTACAAGGATTCGGTTTGCTTGTTGGAGGATAATTTTCCTATTTCTTTTGTTATTTCTGCATATCATATGAAGAAGCACTGACAGCTTTTGTTCTAGACTGTTTCATCTCTAGATTATTTGTATAGACAAAAGCATATAGGTTAACCCTTCACTTAGAAGGCTGATATATTTTCCCTGGAAGTAGAAAGTATAGTAGCGGTAGTAATGTTGGTTTGTATATATTCTGGACTTATACATTTTATTCTGGGACATATCCATTTTCTGTAAGGTAGACTGTCTTCCCTTTAGTATAGATGCCACCGTAGTTGCCACAACAACCTTCACTAGTCTGAAGGTAAAGTTAAGCCAGATACAGGAAAAAGAAAAAAATAAGAAAGTTTGATGCCTCATCTAACACAGAGTATATTATAGTGAATATTAAAGTTTATTTTCTCTCAGTCATTGGCATATATTGAAGTTACTTTGTAAGTAGACTGGTCTCTGAGGTTCTATTTTAAGGTATCTTAGGCCCCAATCTATGGGTGAGCAGCAGTGACTCCCAAAGAAACTCATGCAGGAGAGCCTGATTTTGGAATGGAAACGAGTCTACAAAATCCCAGCTATAACTTAATGGCATGCTCTCTGTCTTCATTACAGCCAGTGTATAAATGTAATATTTTAATTGAAGATAATTAGCTGATGTTTTTTCCTTGTATTTCCAGTTCATCAGCAACCTTTCTCTATTTAAATACATAAAACTTGTGATATTCTTTGCTTTATAATAGAAATATTAAAGCAAAAATGCAGAGAGATATAAAGAAGTCAAATTTTGACTTTTGAATTTTGAAAATCATACCAGAAAAAAATGTTTGATAAAAAGAAAGGTAGTAATATGTAGATATTGTAGAAGAGGTACAATAAAAATCCCAGATAGTTTAAGGGATCCAACAGCAGAGAAAGCTTGTGCACCATTTCTCACATCAAACCTAGAATATGAGTTGTACCTCATAGTACCTTACTTAGTCCAATATAGAAATGGCCTGTTTGCCTGAATCAGTATCCCAGAGTTTCCACCCACTCTGTCATGGTCTTGAAGTAGAATGCCTTTGCCTTTTTCTAGACTAGCACAAAGTGGCAAAGTGCCTTACAGATAACTCTGTCAAGTTTTTCTTAGCCATGAAGCAATAGAGAAAGGGGCTCAGAAATGGTAGAGAGAACCAGACTTTAATCTCCCTTGAAAACAATAAGGAACAATATCAAAGTTTCCTGAATGGATTCGTAACTGAGAACAAGATAAAATGATGTATATCCAAAGAATGTTAGTTTTGATACCTGAAGACCAATCATTACGGATACCCATTAACTAATGAAAGCTATGTCATTATATCACTCCAAAGGATCTTCACTGCAACTACAAGGAAGTAAACTTAGACCTTAATCAACTGAAATTTAATATTGCCATAGCATAATGATACCTCAAAAACACATATTGTTTAATTATTACAAAATAAAAGAGTTATATGTCTGGTATATCTGAGATTGTAGCCTAAATTTTTTTATATGTCACATGTATTGTAAAGTGTTTTTGTATTTGTGACAAACCACAGATAAACATAAAAACCATAATTTTATATACTATCTCTTAGCTACAAACTCATTTAATACTTAACTTTGATAAAGATGCATCTTTGAAATCAGTTTGAAGATATACATATCTTTCTTTTGGTTATGGATACCATAAAACCAAATTAGATTATAGCATCAGAGGGTAACATTCATTAACATTAGTCCTTTGTTGGTAATGGAGGTAGAAATGTTGCATATTAAAATCACCTAGGAAGATTGTCTTTTTTTTCTTTCTTTCTTTCTTTTTTGTTGAGACAGAGTTTTGCTTTTGTTGCCCAGGCTGGAGCGCAATGGCGTGATCTTGGCTCACCACAATCTCTGCCTCCTGGGTTCAAGCGATTCTCCTGCCTCAGCCTCCCGAGTAGCAGGGATTATAAGCATGTGCCACCATGCCCAGCTAATTTTGTATTTTTAGTAGAGACGGGGTTTCTCCATGTTGATCAGGCTGGTCTTGAACTCCTGACTTCAGGCTATCAACCCATCTCAGCCTCCTAAAGTGCTGGGATTACAGACATGAGCCACCTTGCCTGGCCCTAGGAAGATTTTCAGATGTTACCCTCTCTGGTTGTTGGAGACTATCAGGGGAACCAGCCCCCAATATTTCAACGTAGGTTCTTTCTATTTTCCCTAAGAAGTGTCGGCTGGTCTGAGAAATAAAGAAAAAGAGTACAAAGAGAGAAAATTTTACAGCTGGGCCTCCGAAGGTGTCATCACATATTGGTAGGACCATGATGACGACCCCGAGCCACAAAACCAGCAAGTTTTTATTAGGGATTTTAAAAGGGTAGGGGGTGTACAAACAGGGAGTAGGTCACAAGGATCACATGCTTCAAAGGCCCATAAAGATCACAAGGCAAAGGCAAAATTACAATTACTGATGAGGGTCTATGTCCCGCTGTGCATGCATTGTCTTGATAAACATCTTAACAGGAAACAGGGTTCGAGGGCAGACAACCAGTCTGACTAGAATTTACCAGGCTGGAATATCCCAATCCTAGTAAGCCTGAGGGTACTGCAGGAGACCAGGGTGTTTTTCAGTCCTTGTCTCAACCGCATAAGACAGACACTCCCAGAGCAGCCGTCTATAGACCTACACCCAGGAATGCATTCCTTCCCCAGGGTTATTCCTTGTTGGGAAAAGAATTCAGTGAAATTTCTCGTACTGGCTTTCTGCAAGAAGAAAACTGTGGCTCTATACTTCCCAACCATGCAGGCAGTAAGACCTTATGGTTATCTTCCCTTGTTCCCCAAAAAACGCTGCTATTCTGTTCTTTTTCAGGATGCACTGATTTCATATTGTTCAAACACACGTTTTACAACAGATTTCATATTGTTCAAACACACATGTTCTACAATCAATTTGTGCAATAGTGGTCCTGAGGTGACATACATTCTCAGCTTATGAAGATAACAGGATTAAGAGATTAAAGTAAAGACAGGCATAAGAAATTATAAGAGTATTGATTGGGGAAGTGATAAATGTCCATGAAATCTTCACAATTTATGTTCAGAGATTGCAGTAAAGACAGGCATAAGAAATTATAGAAGTATTAATTCTGGGAACTGATAAATGTCCCTGAAGTCTTCACAATTTATATTCTTCTGCCTCGGCTCCAGCCGGTCCCTCCAATTGGGGTCCCTGACTTCCCACAACAGGAGACCAAGTATAGTTTGAGAAAGAACTTCACTCTTCACCCCAATGTACTCATTAAATTAGGATCTAGTGCTTTTTCCACTGGATAAAGCATTAGCAATGTTAAATTTTAAGCACTTTCTTATCTGCTTGGAATAAATAATAAATGGATTGTCAAACAAAAATTATTTCCACAAAAGATGGCCTCCTTTCTACATATCCTCCTTAAGCTTCTCATTTCTGGCCTTTTAGCTGATAAAGAACTGTCCATAATGTTCATTTCAGCCTAATTTAATGTGTCTAAATATATCTCAAAAATTTTAAAGCACTTTATGTATTATGAGTGACTGTCATCAGCTTCTTGCAGAAAGTTAGATATTTAAAGTTGCAATTATTTAGAAGCCAATAGCAACATTTATGAGTGTGTGTGTGTGTGTGTGTGTGTGTGTGTGTGATTTCTGTAAATGCAAACAAACAGAACAAGCAAAACAAATCCTGTCCTTGAGCTACATAAGACATCATCTTACTTGACCTTTAACTTTTCCCAAAAGGAAAAAGTTATGCATGAGGACATAGTCCTTTACACTTAAAGGCTCAGATGAAAGGATTTTTGTTCAACTGCAGTCTTTTAACTAGCAGGAAGGTGTTTGTGTATTTCTTTTGTTTTGCATTATTTTGTTGGGTTATATACCTGAGGCTATGACAATTCTCCATTCTTCAACATACAAATTATGTATTTCCTGTCAGTCTATCAATTATCATTCTATACCACTACAAGGCTGTCTCCTCAAATTCATAAAAGAAAGATGGCTTTGATTCCTCTTGATGTTGTTGTTTTTGAAGGATTGGTGAAAAACAATTAACTTTGTTTTCTGTAAGAATAATATAAAACTCATTAACTGGAAAGTATCATTTTGTGAATTACTCCAATACTTTGCATCAATGTTAGACTGTTCCAACTAGAAAATTCTAACATTTTGATTTATACTTACCCTTCAAACATTTACAGGATATATTTCATAGAATTTTAAACAAAGGAAATTTTAGTGTACATAATAATGTGATTCTAGACAAAGTAGGTCTCATATACAAAAGGGTGATCAGCACAGAATTTAGTGAAAATGTGACTCCCCTCCAAAATACACACTTTGCCACTGACTGATATTTTAATTTTAGCAATTAAGTGTAAAAGACGAAACTTTCAGAGTGTTCCATATCACTTTCCCCAACTTATGTATTCATTATGTTTTAGATATTTTATAATTATCCTACAATTTAATGCATATGATGTGGAAAAAGTACATTCTGCAAAATACAGATTAGTTTGTTTGATGTTTTGGTTCCCAGGAAGGATTCCAAAGATGTTTATTGAAAGCATTAATTATGTATATTAAAATAATTAGCATATTGATACTAAAACAAACATTTTTAGACAAATGTGTGTGAATTTTTTAAAATAGGTTGGCTTTCTAGGACACCATTTTAACTAGTTTAACTATAGTTCGGCGAGGCATTGTGTATGCCATACCATCTTTGTTTCCTGGTATAAGCCTAATATTTTTCTTGGACCTTTTCAACAGCTTTCAAACTGCATTTGCTGCCATCAGATTGCCCCCTATGTAATCCATTTTATTATTGATAAGACAAATATTCTTAAATATCAATGTGGTACCTTAAATATTTAGTTTAAATGCTATTTCTTTGATGTGTAATTTTCACATTTCTATAATCTCTCAAGAGGGGAAAATTCTCTTTTTACTATAAATTCTTGCATTTTTCTTTCTAACATTTCTAACATATACATTTTAATTATATATAAAATAGTAATATAACTATCAGCATCAATATAGTAATGATAGCTAATAGTTATTGAATAACTGCCTAATATGTGATAGGCTAATACCTTCACATATAGCTCATATTTAATATTCTAAGCCTTCTTATTAGATATGTGTTCTTGCTGATCTTTAAAGATGAGAACTTAAAAACTTATATGTAAGTCAAAGTCAAATCACTAGAAAGTGGTGGACATGGGTTCTAAATGTACATGAATTTACTTCAGCATTTGCCACCTTAATACCTATGCTCTATTTCTTGGAACTGAGGGAGAAATACCTAAATAAAAGGAATTTGAGAGTAAATTAGCTTTTCGATATAACTCTAGCAGAGCATAAGTATCCACAATGAATTTCACTACAACAAATCAGAGTTTAAAATATTTATAAAATAGAAACACACATAAAAAGTGGTGAAATATTTGCAGAATTTTAGTAAAATCTAATGAATTTACAAGTGTTTGCATAATCACATTCAAAGAGTGCTATTTTGGGTCTTTTGAGAAGGATTTTAGTACTTTCCTCTAGAATCCTTCTCTTAGCTTGGTCCTAATAATTTTTTCATGGATTTGGGTAAAGATGGTGTAAATTATTAGCAAATTTTCAGATAATATAAAACTAAGAGAATAGCAAAAATGACGAGTTATAGAACCAAGATGCTAAAAAGTCTTAACAGCATGAGGTAATTTTATTATAATATATTGTATGATAAATATAAGGTAGGGACAAATATAGTGTAAAGTTAATGTACCATAAATATTTGGGCATCTCAATTAAATTAGTTCTTTGTGAAACCTATTACCTAATTGTGTATTTGTAATTATGTATTTGTCTTTGTCAAGAAGACTCTGTAAAATCCTATAAGCTTATGAGAAACTTGGCTGTAAAATCATATAAGCTTATGAGAAACTTGGATCTGCCTCTATGTAAGACTCTACAAAATAGTTCTTGATTGATTTAAAGAGCTCATAAAACAAGTCCAAGATGGAAAAAAAGTTATTAGCATTTCTTGTTAAAAATTAATGACATGATTTGATGGTCTTTGAGGTGTGTCAGTGTGGCTGGGGTATAGTCCTCAATTATTTAGTTAAACACTAATCCATATGTTGCTTGGAAGGTATTTTGTACAAGTGATGTATTAGTCTGTCCTCACAGTGCTATAAGGAAATACTGAAACTGGGTAATTCACAAAGCAATAATGGACTCACAGTTCTGCCTGGCTGGAAAGGCCTCAGGAATCTTACAATCATGGTGAAAGGGTAAGAGGCATGTCTTACATGGTAACAGATAAGAGAGAATGAGTGTGTAGAAGGAACTGTCAAAGACTTTGTAAACCATCAGATCTTGTGGGAACTCACTCACTATCACAAGAAGAGCATGGAGGAAACCATCCCCATGATCCAATCACCTCCCACCAGCTCCTGCTCTCAACACGTGAGGATTATGAGGATTACAATTCAAAATGAGATTTGGGTGGGGACACAGAACCTAACCGTATCATGTAATTAAGTTTATAATCAGTTAAATTTAAGTAAGGGAGATTATCCTAAATAATTTTTGTGGGCCTGATTCAATCAGGTGAAAGCTGATTTATTTTTCATGAGAGAAAAATAAATTCCACATGTGGTCCACAGCTTTAGCCAGTACCTGGCAGTTCTAGACTACCCTTCTTGAAGATCTGCCCTTCTTGAAGACTTACCCTATGGATTTAGAAATTGCCTAGCCAGCTCCTATAATCAAGTAAGCTAATTCCTTGCAATTATCATACTATATATCTCCTACTGGTTCTGCTTCTTTGGTTGAATCTTGATAACAAGCATTAGTTAACAATTAGCTCAATGAGTGTCAACAATGAGATGTAGTTATTTCAAAAGTTAATTCGCTCTTGTGTTGCTGATGATAGAGTCAGTGAGAGCTCAGTGATGCATTATCAGATCACACTGGAGTGTAGATTATTAGCCTGCAGACTTAATTTCCCATGCTTCTGGAGAGACAAGTTAAAATAAAACATGCATTCTTAAAGAAGGATTGCTGAACCACTGATCTGAAAGAAGTGTGGATTCCAAGGCTTTACACAGATATCTTAGTGAGGTAAAATTTAGGACTAATCATTATCCCTAGCAGATATTCAATATGATAAGTTTATTCATGTAACAAGTGCAGATTGAATTATAATCTTACTTATCTGTGCAAGGCAGCTTTAATTAGAAGCACCATCAGGAGAAAGATTGTTGTAGTTGTAGAGAGTGAGGTTTCTGGATTTACACTAAGTGGGTGAGAAATTGTGTTTCATCAACTACTAGCTCTGTAATTGGAAAAATTTATTTTGTTTATTTTATTTAAAAGCATTTATAAGAGCTTACTATGCACTAGGACTTGTTTTAAATACTTTACAGTTATTGAGTCATTTGATATTTAGAAAAGAGGCAGGGTTTTTATTATACTCATTTATCAGTTAAAGAAACAGGTATTAACAAAAGGCACCATAGAGTACCAATTAAGCACATAGACACTTGAGGGTGATTACTTGGGTATGAAGCCTATCTCCACCACTTTCTACTGATGTGACTCAGATGATCTATTTAAGCTACCTGCATCCATTTCCTCAACTGTACCATGTGATAACAATAGTATTT
The DNA here is from genome assembly GCF_000001405.40 of Homo sapiens. Lineage (NCBI taxonomy): Eukaryota > Metazoa > Chordata > Mammalia > Primates > Hominidae > Homo > Homo sapiens. The sequence continues at coordinate 104,542,024 of NC_000005.10, read as the reverse complement.
GCCTCAAAGAGTTATGGTATAATTAAATTGGAAAACATGTCAAGAAATTAGAACGATGTCTAGCACATAGTAGGTGTTCACATTATGTTAAGTATTAACATTGTCACCATTATTAAGATCATTGTTAATATTATTGTTATTACAGATGGGGAATCCAAGTCTCCAAGAAAATTAGTCACTAAGCAGAGGTGAAAGGACCAATAAGTGAAACAAGCTGAAATTAAATCTCAGTTTATCTGTCCCCAGATCTTGGGCTTTTCCAATTATATCCTGCCTTTTTATGGAGGATCACTGGCCTCTCTCCATGGATGACAACTCATAGCTTGTCAACTTCACATTGTTAGATGCAATTAGAAGCGGAGTGACTCCAGGAGTCTGAAAAGCAAAGTAGATGAGTTCCAAGCATTGATCATGTCTTGCAACAGATGTCTTCATTATGTAATTCCAGAGCAACAGAATCATGTCACACACAAATTTTCCAATTCAGCTTATTCCAACATTAGCTTAGCCTCAATTTTGTACACACACCCAGTTGGCTTCCCATTTGCTGATCAATGCCATAATACAGATTATGAAGACAAAGTACTTTGAGTCATGAAGAGAGTAAAATGACAGTTTTGGAAACACAGTATGGATATCCTTAGTCTCAGCCTTGCTGAGTTCCTGTATGTCACATTGTTTTATCACTGTTTTAAAATCTGTTCAAAATGTTCACACAGTTTTATGATGATCACTTCCAGGTCCTGTTTGCCTGTTCCTTATTCTCCTGCCTATTTTTTTTTTACAATGACCTATGTCTTCATGTTGACAAAAGATGATAGTGTGATACATTTTTCACTTGCACATAACTACATCTGTGACTTTTTAAAAATAAGATTTTCTGTAAACATCTTCTGTTCACAGAGAAAATTGTCCTTCTGGGAACTGTAAAAATGGGAAAATAAATAGAAAATGTACCAAACAGAAACAGAATTAACACTAATCCGACCGCTTTGCAAAGTTTCAGCAACTTCAGACTTGATTTCAAAAACTTCCTACTTGATTTCAGAATGAAGTATTAATTATGTGACGAAGTGAATAAAACCCAAAGTATCCCTTTAGAGAAGTTTCCCAAGGCCATCACTTTCTCAGCTGAATACACTTCTAATGTCATCATCCAGGGAAATGAGAGTTTCAGCATAAGCATTGTGCCCCCTGGAATCACAGTTATTAAGTCTGCCCTTCTCCTGTAGGAACTCCCTACTTCACCATGTTCTTTCTCTCCAGCAATCATGCAATGTTATTAAACTACAAGCAAATCTCAAATTACAAATACAAATTATCCAGCTACAAGCATTCTCTCTCACAGTATTCAGTTCAGGTTGGCACATTTCCACACATAATAGAAAGAATGTTGGAAGAAAATCAAAAGAGCTTGGCAAAAGTCCCAGTGCTAGCACTTTCCAGTTCTGTGACCTTGGGCAAGTCATTTGGTCTCACTGGTTTACAGTTTCCACATCTTTAAAACAGAAGATGATAATCCCCTCTGTGGCCGGTGTGAGGATCAAGTACAATATCTGTGTTTAAGCAATTTGGAACTTAATTCCATATAAAACAGAGGTATCATTTCAGTTGGCTTCCTTCCTCCTTTAGTTTCAAAACCCAAGAAAGCACAGTAAAATTTTAGAGTATACAATGAATGAATATATGAAGGGATGATTTGGGGTTAAATTTTGTTGTTGTTGTTTTTGTAGGTTAATTAACTGATCTATATATTTAACCAATAACTATTGAGCACCTACTGTGTCATCCCTACAATAATACTGGACCCAGAGAAGGCAGAAGGTCTCAGAAATAAGTAAGTTAACCATGCCAGTTTTCAGTGTACTTACTGTGTGCCATGGTAGGATGCACAGAATGGAATAGGATGCAACTAAAACATAATTGATTTGGATGGAGAAAATGAGGAAAGAAAGAAATAAGTGAGAATAATGAGACTGGACAAGTTAGTTGGGGCTTGGATCACTTTATAAAACACTTTATTCTTTTAATAAATTTTTTATGCTGATGTTCAGAATGTAAATATATTTGAAAAATCATTCTCTTCTGAGTTCCCCAATGATCACAATGCACTTAGGAGACTATGTAATATGTTTTATGTAATGCATCTGCCAAGAATCAACAAGCTAGTTTGTTGGAAGACATCTTTACTATTTAATGTCCTCAAAATTTGGAATTCCTTGCTTTATACTGTGAGCACAATTGCACAATTGGTATGACTATTACTTTCCAATTAGTCCAACTGAGATAAAGGTTTTATTGTTTTGCCAGGCTCATTAAATATAGATCTCCATATCTAACTTCTCACAGGGCTAGAACTTTGTTGTGGTCACTATAGCTACTTCCTGCCAGCTGCAGATAATCTGCAAGATCACATTTACATTTATTTTATACCACACCAAAATTTACAAATGCTGTATGTTTCTCCCAATAAGGAGGGCTGCCTTAGTTTTTATTCCAATATTTGGATTAGTTTACCATTTACTCACTTGACAGTAATTTTCTATTTACTCATTATTTTCATTGCTTCTATGTAACTTCTTCAAAATCAGAAGGTTGTTTCCGAACACTACCCACTCCCAAGTCCTTATTAATGAACACCTCATCTTCCAAGTTACTGTTCCAAGCATTTCAGGTTCTAAGCTCAGATAATGGTTAAAACCCCCAACTCGCAGAACCAGGAGAGACCCATCAAATTCTTCACAATGCACCTTTACCTCTGAGGCACTTGGAAGTTGCAGGTTGGTTAGGTGGGGTTCTCCCCACTCCTCCGGTTCTACGCAACCACATTTTTATATTATCTAACAATTGCTCCAACTGCAGGGAGATCAGAGTGTGCTAATTTGGATGTCATATAGCCAGGGATTCTGTAGTTCACCCTGAGGTCTGAACCAGATCTGTGACAGATGAACATCTCTCAATTAGAACAGCTCTGCCAGGTCCACAGCTGACCCGCTCCCACATGACTGGAGAGATATGAACTCTCCTTTGTTGCATTTCTACCCTCCTCTAGGGAAGTGGTCAGAAAACTTTTTAACATACGAACAATATCTAGTTTTTTTAATAGAAAACTTTTTCTGGTCCTGTACGTAGTAAATAATTTACATTTTGTAAGCCAATCCCCGTCACAATTATCCAACTCTGCTGTTGCACAAAATCACTCATAGACAATACCTAAACGTGAACTTCAGCAACGTGTCCAAGACCTCACAAGTAGTGAGTGACTGTGGCAGGATGAGAATCTACTGCTAATATTGAGTAATAATCACTTTACTGAATTATTTTGCTCAATATATATGAATTGAGGACCTGCTTGTGCCAAGAACTCTTCTGGACACAGATAAACCTCATCATATAGCTTATGATTTAATTAAATCAGCTCCTTCATATGGTTAAAATAATACCTGACAGCTTAAAATTAAAAACCTATTGTCTTTAAACACTCATTCACATCACCAGAGGCAGCTTCTTTTACCTACTTTTGTTTCAGGCCTTCAGTTAATCACCTCAATATCACTAAATACGCTTGTTTATGCATCTCTGTCATGATTGGTCAATTTTAGTGTGGATCTCTACTTCACTGAAGATGAAGATATTATTCCTTTTTCATTTCTTCTTATTATTTATGCTTTCTTCGAAATTTCAAGTATTTTGTTTTGTTCTGTTTTATTTTGAGACAGGATCTTGAGACTGGATCTCGCTCTGTTGCCCAGGCTGGAGTGCAGTGGCACAATCATGGCTCACTGAAGCCTTGACCTCCTGGGCTCAAGCGATCCTCCCACCTCAGGCTCCTGAGTAGCTGTGACTAAGGCGCATGCCACCACACTGGGCTATTTTTGTTTATTTTTTGTCATTATGTTGCCCAGGCTGATTTCGAACTCCTGGACTCAAGCAATCTGCCTGCCTCAGCCTTCCAAAGTGCTGGGATTACAGGCATGAGCCACTGCGCAAGGTCCCAAGCTTTTCCAGTGAGCTCTTTACTTTTATTTGTTGAAGTTTTCATATTTACATTTTGCTCTGTAATTCTAATTATATGTTCAGCTTTGGTAACTAGCTGATTTTAAATATTAAAAATGAAAGAACATATCATTATAATTTGTATAAGTTTGGAGCAAGTTCAGTACTATTCTACCATTTATTTTCTCCATGGGAGGAATATAACGTTTAATGGGTTCTCATTTATTATATACTGTAGGTAGTCTTTTAATTTAGTACTTAAACATAGACCATATCATTATATAGCAATCTTCTGAATATTCAATCTGAACTGAATGAATATTATTAATATTTAAATATATAAATAGGTAAATACATATGTATATTGACCAAAAGTTAGAAATGAACACTTTACAGAATCTTTGCATACTGTTCTAGGAATTGCAGTAATGAGATATATAGGCACTATATTTGAGACATGCAAAAGCTCTGCTATTTCTAAACTTCTATTTCTCACCACCATTTAAAAAATGTGATATGCACAATGTATTTTCTCTCTGTGACTACATTAGGAATAAAAGAGAAAAACACCCAGCAATATGAATTACATGTATTCATAATTTATTTTCAAAAACTAAGAATGTATAATAGAAATTATGATCTCTTGGTCAAACAAAATGTTATTATTATTTTAGTATGTTCTTTAATGAAAATAGATAAAAATAAGGTCTGTTTTCTAAATGGTGGTTTGTAGAAAAGACCCTAACTGAAGTTTGTTGTTATATTCTTTGGTTTTGTTTTTGAGATGACTTTTATTCTTTTCTATTATGAAGTTGTCATGTTCACCTTCACACTTGATGAGGAAGGATACCTCTGAAACCTGAGTGGTTATCGTCTTAGCACTTTCTGTCTTGTCTTGAGTCATAGGACAGCCTTCTATTTTAAAGAATAAATGACAATTATGCATTTCTAGCTACTTGGAAAACAATGTATTCATGATTTTTAAAATTACTAACAAAACTGCTTTTTGATATACCTGACTGTATCACCTACAAGTATTATCTCATTTGAAATTTAAAAAGAATCCATAAATAAGGATTTTCTTAGCATTTATTAATTATGTATTTTTATACTATTTCCATGAAAGTTATGATTTAAAGATGGTCAAGTGTTCATTTTAGCTCAATAGTTAATGGACTGATAATTTTTCTAGTTTAATTAAGGTATTTTGTTTTTACATAAGCATCTATAGGTTGACTCCTATCAAAATGACATTCTTTCAAAGTAACTTTCTTATATTTGAGGAAAAGTCACTTTTACCTAAACATTATGTGTTTGCTCACTAAAATGCCAACTTCAATAATTTTTTTATTAAAAATCATCACATAATAAATTAATCACATTCAATGTGCAGGTCTTTGAAAAGGACTTTGTATGGCATGGGGAATTTTTTTTAAAAGAAAAGAGCTAGAAAAAATGTTAGTGCCAAGGAGATTTCTTTAAAAACAGAAGATGACAGCCTATTTCTTGACTTTCTATTTGCCTTTATTAATTTTCTTCAGGCTCAAGAAGACAACACAGAATAGACGGCTGGAGAAAAGGATTCCTTGCTATTTTTCTGTTCTTAGTCTAACTAACACACTTCAAAACAATCCTGATATGGGCCTGTTAAACATTTTGCTAGTAGCCCTACGAAAAATTGTTGTAAAAATGCATGGTGCTACATGATGAAATGAGTTTGTTGACAATTTTAGTACATTGTGATTAAGTTTCAATAGAAGGAGAATGTGCCTGGAAGATCTCATTGTCAAGTCTTGTAAAGAGATAAGTAATTTAGAGATTCTTGCATTTTAAAAAGTGACATTGGGAAATTACTATCCCTTGAGAGACAAGTCAGATGTAATAAACAAAAGCAGCAAACTTTTGAGTTATCTGTTTATATTGACGATGATATGCAATTTTTTAGCATTTCTTTTTAACAAAAACTTCCATGCATTTCTTTCCCTAAAGAAAGGTATTAAAATGCCAGTACCTTAGTATGCACATATAACCTTACAATAATACTCCCCAGAAAATATTAAGAAAATCAATAAAGAAATCAATATTAGTCTGGAGTCTGAAAGAGTTGCAAACTACATTGATGGCTTCCCTTTTATGTGTTTGGAAAAATTGATTTCAATTGCCTTGTTACTGATTCTTAGAATTTCATTTAAAACTTTTTCTTTCTCTCTTTCTTCAAGACTCAGCAGGGACACGATACTGTGAATTAAAATTCAGACAGTGTGAATTAGAAAAAAAGTCAGTGTTTTTTCTTAAGATGGAAGAAAGATATTTTTCAATGCTTTATTAGTAAGTTAGACATCAAAAGATGAAAACACATGATATTATCATGAAAAGAGAGAAAGAATGCTGTATGAAATAAAACAAACAAAATCTAAATATCCACTAAGACTTTCAGTATTTTCAGTTAAAACATTAAAATATTTCTCTTCTCATTTGCAACACTTTTGTGTTAATCTGTAAACTTTTTTAAGTGCTCAATTTAGGAGTCATAAATAGGCCTTCTTTGACCCTATTAATCTTGCATTTCTTGACCCAATTCTGTGCTCTCTTTTCCAACACAACTTAATGAGTTTTCTATACCTACAATTTCCAGTTCCTCTCCTTTATGCTCTTTGCAACTTCTCCAATCAGTGTTTGTTTTCTGTCATTCCACAGAAACTGCATTCAATAAAGACAGCAAAGACCTCCAGTTTGTGAAAACCAGTGATTAATTTTAGTCCTCATCTTTTGAGGACATCTGAGGGAAAGAAAAAAGAAAAATCTGAAGCAAAGGCCTTAAGATAGAAACATTTTTGGAGTTTTTGAGAAATATAAAAAAAAGGCCAGAGAAGCTGGAATTAACTGGATATAGAAATAGTGCAAGAAACATAGACATAGAGTTAATGGGGACAAATAGCCTTGTAAATTGCCTTGCAGTCCATTCTAAGATGTGCCTTTTTCTTTTCATGATATGTATAACCACTGCGGGTAAAGGATTGACATGAACTGACTTGTGTTTTAAAAGAACTAGTTTCACTGATGAGTTGATAATAGAATGGTAGTGAAGAGGGTGGCAGTTCAGATAAGAGTATGATAGGATGCAAGGAGAAATGTTAGAATAAAATCTATCAAGGAGAAGGAAGTAATAAAATTAGTAAAATGATGTGATGCTGAAAAGTTAAAATGCTCAACATTGCAGGCTATTGGGAAACACAAACCACTAGAATTACTATAATCAAAAAGACAGACAATAGTAAGTGTTGACATGGATGTGGAAAAATTGGAATGAAAAATGGTACAGTCATTTTACAGTCCTTTCAAGTTGGTAGTCCTTCAAGATGTTATCAATAGTAATACCACATTACCCCAAAATTCAACTCATAGATATATGCCCAAGAAAACTGAAAACACAGGTACACACAAAAACGTGTACACTAATGTTGACAGCTAAATTATTCATAATATAAAAGAAGAAAACTGCCCAAATGCCCATAAACTGGTAAGTGAATAAACACATTGTGATATATTATTCAGCAATTTAAAAAAATACAGTTCTCAAACATACCTCAATGTGGATGAACCTTAAATACCTTATGCTAAATGAAATAACCCAACTAAGAAGAGGATGTGTTCTTTAATTCCATTTATGTGGCATGTCCAGAATAGTCATATCTATAGAGACAGAGAGGAAATATTTGGCTGGGGTGTGCATTAGAAGAGAGAATGACTGCTATTGATTTCAGGGTTTCTTTTTGAAGTGATAAAAATTTTCTAAACAGATTTTGCCAAAGGTTGCACAACTCTGTGAGTATACTAAAATTATTGAATTATACACATTAAATGGGTTGATTTTAGAGTATCTGAATTATTCCTCAATAAATATGTTAAAATATCCATACATAATTAATAAATAGAGAAGTTATAACATAATCTTACTAAGTCAACCCAGGATAAAGTAAACCTGAAAGTTGGCAATTTTCTAGTTAACTTGGAAAGAGTAGAGTCAACCTGGAGTTTTTGGACAGCTATTCCTATATTTATATCATTTTCTATATATTATACAGTGACTTGTGTAGGAAGAGGACACAGAAGTGGAAGTTCGTGTGATTTCACTTATCTTTTTTTTCAGAACTTATGATTTCTTCTGATTAGCAATGTTTATGTCTTTACAATAACAGATTCTAGACAATATTAGAAACATGTATTCTTGTTTATTTAGCCTGTGACTATCTATGCTGAGGAAGGAGAACAAACAAAAGAGAGAGGCCAAATCACTCACATTTGCCTTGAAAATGATGTAACTTCTATTCTAAGAATTTCCAGTGTTATAAACAAGCTGTTAAAACCTCCCAAACCTGCCTGTTCAGAATCTTCTGCCTGCCCTTTAGTTTGGTTCACCCACACCCACTGTTTCCTACTCCAGACAAAATTAAGCAGGAAGATTAACAAATAATGTGAAATAAATTATTTAAAGAAGCTCAGTTTATAATCCATAAAATTAATTTCAATTCATGATTCTTTTTATCCTCTTTATTTTATTATCTTTATCTTATCATTGGCCTTGGTAGCATAAATAGACAGACCTAATACTAAAGCTTTTCTAGCAAGAAGTTATTCAGGGACTGCTGTGTAAATTAAGCTGTTTTTCTTAAAGCAAAAATGAAAAACAAAAAACAAAACCTTTCAAATAGAGTCATATTCCTTTAGCTTGAGAATAGGAGCCCTAAAGGCAAAAAAAAAAAAAAAGACTTCTTAATACTTGATTTTAGCCAAAAATAATCTTTTTCCTTTCTTCCGTAGATAGATATTTAGTTCATTCACACATGGGCCCTCGGTGGTGCTCCATAGTAATGTTAGAATCTGCTCTTTCTCTCACCCCAGTCCAAAACCCATGCTATGTGTCCTCCCCAAGCAAATCTCCCAGGGGCAGATGCTTCAGTCAGCAGCCTCACTTTCACGGAGGCAAGAGAGATCTTAAGTGACCTGGCTGTTCTTTGGATGGTCTGAGTTTCTGTCCCTGACTTCTGCCTTAAAGTCCTCTCCTGCTCCCCGCTCTGCCTTCCTCCAAGTTTGAATTTGTTTCTGGGTTCTGTTGGGTTCTATCAAGTCCACTGGTTTCCACCTCTGCTGTGAAATGTCTTCCTTCAATATTTGTGTATTGAGTTTTTTTCTGCTTTCATTTGTGAATATTATCCCATCTGCTTTGAGTCTTTCAAAAAATCCATGGAAATACTCTCTTTTTCATGATGTTTTTTCAGTGCTGCAATGGCCTCCTCCTCCTCCTTTTTCTTCTCCTTTTGTATCGTTGTGGTAGATTTTTTACTGACCTAAATGGGACAAAGATGAAGGGAGAGGCAGATAGCTGTGATCTTTTCACCTCTTGAACTGGAACTCCTTGGTGGTATTGTATGTATACATCTAATTTCATATATACTTCTGCAAAGTTGATGCAAGTACATAAGGATTGCGATAGGAATATTTTCTTCATTGCCATCTGCTTATTATACTTTCTACAATCTCACTCTCTTGACATTAAATCTGAGCACTTGGTCTTACCCCTGTATTTTCTTGTGTGTTGCAGTGTTAGAAATAGGAATTATTAGCCTTTTTAATTGTTTCAAGAAGGGTAAGTTCCTGTATGTGGTCATTTTGAAGATAAATTTCTTATTTGAAGTGAAAATATAATCCATGATAAATCATATGTAATATAATCCCCATTCTTGGCTGATGGCAAGAGTTAAGGGTTTTACTCTTTCACCACATCATGTTCAGTATACTGTTTACATGGGTAAGAACATATTTTGTAAATAGACACTATTCCTGTATAACCCATATATCCTGTATCTTTTTCTTATTGTCAATCACTGTTACTCTCCCTTAGGCTCTTTTTTTTTCTTTATAAATGACACAACAAAACAAGTCTCTGCATGCAAAAACCAGTGACTGTGTGTCCATATATTCTTTATTAGCTCAAAAAAGTTATTGGTATACTCTATGTATATTCTTCCCCTTTCTTTTCCCCTTTCTAAACCTCTTTATCTGTATACAACCACATATTAAAAAATAAGTAACTAGGAGGCACATTTGCCTTATACCCATGTACCAGATAATGATATATTTCCTTATCAATGATCATATGTACACAATAAGCAAAAAGGATAAACCACAAACTATCTCATCTTCTTCTCTCCCCTTCTGTCTGATATTCTACCTAATTGGTACCTCTGTAAGCAAGTAAATAAATCAAGAAAAATTGTAGAGCATTTGTCATTATAATTGAAGCTGAGCATGAGTATTAGACATCAAGAAGCGTAATTTTTTAAAAATCCATAGCCTTGTATGTTAATTGCCTAAAAACAAGTATATATGCTCACTTTGTCTGAACAAGGGCCTGGAGGAAGAGATGGTTAGTTTAAACAAAAAAAAAAATGACTTTATAAATCTCAATAGGAATGATGAAATAAATGCAATAAGGTCTATGTGACCTCACAATTTACATGTTGAATGGAAGAGAAAGGGGTATCATTATATTTTATTTGCCACGTCTACTAGAAAGATCTGATAATTTACCAGATTTTTCTATAGCTGGAGACGTTTGCATAATGAGAAGATCTAGAATAGTACACAAACATGAAGTTACTTTTCCTATAATCACTTGAAATTATTAAGACGTTGTGTTATTTGTTATTCCACTAAAAGAAGATAACTTTCTAGTTGAAGCCAATTGATTTGTTATAAAAATGTTAGAATAAAATGGCAATGTCATGTTTTAAAATTGTGCATGGATGATTTCTTGGGGGGTGTTTAATGGAGAAATTATATTTCTGAAAGATAGAAAATAAACTTGAATGATGGTATGAATTATATTTTGAAACATATCAAGTAAGTGTAAGTACAGAATATACTTGCCAAGCATGGGTTTTCCTAAATATCTGAGTTGACTCTACTTTGTAAATATATTATTGAAGCAAGTTGAAAATAAAATATATTTTCTATCAATAAACAATTATTTGGCATTGGTTAACACACTACTGTAGGATATAGGTGAAGAAGGCAAAAAAATGAGAATATTATTAAATATTATCAACCCATATTGAAAATTTGCCTTTATTGTTTTTGTAAATCATGAATTGTAATTTTTTAAATTATAAATTTGCTTCAGTCTTAAAAACAACATGATTGCAAGGAAAAGCAATTCATTTCAAATTATTACTTAACATGTTTTTTTATTATACAGCTAATATATCTCATATGTAAGACAAAATTTAGAAAAATAATCATAATGAAAAAATTATCACATACTGTTTAAATATTTATAGGTAAACATTGGAAGATTATGTCATTAGTGTTTTCTAATGTATCATATCTCTTAGTATCTGCTAACTCACATGGGCTTGGCTCTCAGACTTGCTTTGGCTATTAGGCATCAGCAAAAATAACACAAGTTGAGGCTTGGTAAGCACTGTGCATTGGTGACTGCTTCCTGAAAGATTGCCATCACTGTGTAAAAAATCTGGATGACTCTTCAAAAGAGGTCAGGTGGAAGAGAAATAAGGTACCCTGACCCATGGCCCCAGCTAATATCCAGCCATGTGGCTCTGGCCTTTTTGGACCACTTAGCCCTAGGAGAATAGCCAGAGGACTAAATATTTGCAAGTGACCCCAGGAAAGACCAGCTGATAAACTGTCCAACTGAGCTTGACCCAGATTGTAGAAGAGCATGCAAATAAATGATTGTTGTTTTAAGCATAGGAAACTGAAACAAAAATTGGAACCTATATCTGGGGTGCAACCCTTCAAAAAATTAAACAAATGACATTGGGTGACGGCATTGAATGAAAAATGGAAGAATGGTGAACAAATTGTTAATGAAAGTTGAAAAGACAGTGAAGAAATTATCACTGGAGACTGGAAGAATTATGAGATGTTTTGTAGTGACAAAGTAATAGGAGAATATGAAAAGTGCCAATTGGCTTCTTTTAGCTGCAAAAGATGACAGAGATAGAGATACAGAAGGAGAGAGAGAAAGAGTTTTAGCTTACAAAGCAGAATTTTGTTAAGCTTGTAAGCAGAATTTAAAGGAAACTTAGAGCCTCCAGGGATTGTTGGGTTGACAAATAAAGATTAATAAAATCCATTATACCTAACAAAAACAAAAGATTTTCAAAGAAATTGCTTCAGAGTAAGGATCATGCAAATGTGTTGCTGTCAATACTCTGTTAAGACCTCTGCACTTTAAAGGTATTGCCGAGTGGACCCTCTAAGCAAGAAACAAAATGGCTTCTAACTTTGTGGATATAATTCCATGGAAGTCCAACAAGCCTAGAGAGAATTATGCATGTGTTTTTTTAGAACACATGTTATAATCCATGATCAGATTTATACAAACTAAGAATTTATCAAGATTCTACTAGCTAGATAAAAAGAGTCAAAAAAGAAGTCAAAATAAAAAGAGGCTATGGAACATCAATGTTTTACAGAGATCAGGCTGAAAAAACTATTCAGCTTCAAGTGTACCCATTTGTTGAGGAAAAAGAAGTAACTTTCAGAAAGCAGAGCTAAAAATCCCAGAGGCCATACTCAGTCACAGGAGACAACAACAGATTATAAACCGCTATCTGGGAACAGAACCAGGCACTAATCCTGAAAAATTTCCTGCCCCTACAATAGGTACCCCTGACAATCGGTACCCCTGACAATCTATTTGGCTACATTTTAAAATCACTTATTAACAAATATCAGCTAAGGTCTCCCACTTGATCCCTTTTTGGATGAAAGCAACTATTGTGATTATCCTGTCTTTGTACATTATAGAGTGTTTGCTCTTTCCTTTCTTCCTTCCTTCCTTCTGTTCATTTCTGTCTCTCTCTTTTTCTTTCTGGTTTTGATGTCTTGAGATCAAGAGCAGCTACAGCCGAGGAGTCTCATCTTAATTCAGACTTGATGAAATGAGAACATCATGAAATTTAGCATAATACTGCCAATGTTATCCAGCCAAAGAACACCAGAACACACCTTTGAGGAAGGAAGACTCGAGTGAGGCTAAAGCTGCAATTGGCTTGCCAATTTTAGCCAGGAGAAGGGCTGTTTATTTTTGCTAATTCCATAATTGTCTGTGTTTAGTTAAAATTATGTATTGGTCTTGTTTCTTGTCTCACTTCATTATGTTTTTAAAATGAACTTGTCATGTGTTAGTTGCTGTAAGATTGTTTATTCTGGGAAAATAACAGTACCTAGCTGAGAATACCAAGCCAGCTTGTAACAACTCTATGACCTAGGTGTTAGTTTTGGGTCAGTTCCTTCATGTCAAGGGATGATTTTCTCTTTCTTCTCTAGTCTCCTGTCCTTTTTCACTTTAGTCTTTCCTCCTCCTAGACAATATTAATATGCCCGTTCTTAAAATCACTCCTAGTTCCTCACAAAACCAAATTCAAAGCAAAACCCCATTTTCTTGAATATCATGAGAAGAGATATTTGGGGAGTCTTGGGAGAGTGAGAGTGCATTTTGCATATAAAAAGTCTTTAATCATTGAGCCTAGAGAGCAGGTTGTAGTGGATTATTAATCTAGGGAGCAGATTGTAGTGGATTATTACATTAATATGCAACTCAATAAATCACAGTAAATCATACCCCTGGGTATCCATGGCCTTCTGTAGTCCACTTTCACAGTGACTCTGGGCATGGTCATATGCCTTACTTTGACCCAAAGGACATGCTGGCATTAATAACATTCTAACCCAAAATATACTACTGGCATGTTGACTATTTTGAGTTAAAGGCACTTGGAAAACAGCAAGTACAGGAAGATCACTCTGATCTTCTTTTTGCTTCTTAAAAGTGAGAGATGGAATTCCCATGTAGAAGGTATTCTGCCTGTACCAGAAAGAAAATATGATTTTTATCAAGGATGGGAAGTTGAGGCTGAGGGAAATATGTGAAAACAAACCTTGTCACATGAACCCTTATCTCCCTAGCCACTTTCCCACTCAATTAACCACCCTAGCCCAGATCCCTTTGCCTTGTCACATTTTTACAAAATCTTTGTCTGATTTAGCCTATAAGTGTTCAACTCTAAGTGCATCTTTGGGTCTTCATTTCCTTATGAAAGCTCCCATGCCATGTAAAACTTTTACAGATGATTCCCAGAATAAAATTGCCAACTCACATTTTTTTGACTTTATGATAGCATGAAAGTGGTACACATGGAATACAAACTGTACATTGAATTTGGAATTGTTATCTTTTCCTAGGTAAGCCATATGTAATCCACATTCCCTCTGTATGCTGGGAAACAGCAGTGAGCCCCAGTTCCCAGTCAGCCACACAATCACAAGTTTGCTCTACAGTGTATTATGTTGCCAGTGTTTTTTGGATATTGTTTTCTGTGTTTTTGCATCTGATCACATCTACAAAACTTCCATCTGTGTCTCCTACTTCTTGTGAGAAGAGGAAGGCAAATACTCTTGAGATGAAACTTAAGATAATTGCTCAGGATAAAGGGGGCAAACCAGTAATGGCCATTGCAGTGAGTTAGGACATTTGCAGTCCGTGAAGATAGAATGAAATTGTCAGCTAAAGCAAGAAGTCTTTTCAGTACACTCAAAAAAAGCGTGCAGATGATTCTACTTATATGCAAGTCTTGTGTAGTTCCAGTGCTTCAAAAGGTGTCATAATTTTCATGACGTGAAGGTCAATAGTGAAGCAGCAAGTGCCAATACTGAAGGTGCCAAAGCTTTTAAGGAAGAGCAGCATAAGATAATTGTGGATGAGCAATATTTTCCAGAACAAATATTTAATGCTGATGAAATAAGCTTGTTCTGAAATCATATTCTGGAGCATACATACATATATCAAGAGTCCAGGACCATGCCAGGATTCAAGACATTCAAAGACTGTGTAACGCTGTTGGGTGGTGAAAATTTTGCAGTTTAATTTAAAGCCTTTCCTAAGCTTCCACTGGGGGAATGCTAGAGCATTCAAAATGTGAGCAAGCATACACTTCTCATTTATTATCACTATGACAAGAAAGCATGAATGATGTCAGCATTCTTTGAAAGCTGGGTTTTGAACTGTTTTATTCTGAAAGTAAGAGAATATTGTAGGCAAAATAACATCCCATTCCAGATTCCTCTGATCTTAGACAATGCTCCAGCATATTGGTGACATGCATTCTGGTGTAAAAGTCATGCATTTGCCACTGAACAAGACAGCACTTATTCAGGCAATGGACCAAGATGCAATAGCTTATTCAAAGCACATTATTTATGGCAAACATTTATGCAGGGTGTTGAAGTAACTGAATCTGGTCATAGGCTCTGAGAGTTTTGGAACATTTTTAACATTTTGAATGCTATCTGTAACATCATTGCAGCATGGGAAAAGGTCACACAACAATGCTATTTGGAAGAAAGTTTGATGACATACGTGAACACATTCAAAAGCTTTAACAAAGATTCTTCTGTTGACAAAAATAGTAAGTAACAAGATATTAGTATATGGTGAACAGCCAGAATCTCACATGGATGAAGAGGATATTCATGACCTTGTTGGCATTGAGGCTGAAAAGTTACCAAAGAGAAGCTGATCAACCTGGAGAAAGAAAGTAGTAAAGAAGTTGAGGCAAAGGAAAAAGAATTTATAACTGAGACACCAAGAAAGTTCACAGTGAAAGAACTGGTGGCAGCATTAGCTATTGTCAGCAGTGGCTTACGGATGTTAGAAAAAAAAATTCATTTTTTGCCAATTATAAGAGATTGGTAAGAGCTGACAGGCAAATATAGGATGCTCTTGCTTGCAAAAGAGAAATAAATAATGAAAAGAATAAACTTTACAGTCAAAACTTGATATCTTCTTGAAAAACACTATGCTTGCTAAACCATCAGTAAGTGCCAATCGCTGAATTCTACCAGCGATTTTTTACCTTCATCAGAAGAAAGAGAAATTGATGACCCTGTTGCAGTAGCATCCCCGTCACCCAGTAATTAATTTTAGTTCAATGTTTCAAACATTCTTCATGCCCTGTGTACTTTCAGCTGTGTATGTTAATGGTATCATTACAACCATTATGTTCTTCACATTCTGTACAGTATTCAATAAGTTACATAAAATAGTCAACACTTTATTATAAAATAGGCTTTGTATCAGATGGTTTTTCCCCACTGTAGACTAATGTATGTGTTCTAAACATGTTTAATGTAAGTTAGGCTAAGTTATGATGTTTTGTAGGTTACGTGTATTAAATGCATTTTTGGCTTACAGTATTTTCAATTTAGGATGGGTTTAATCATGACATAACCCTATCACAAAGGGAAAAGCATCTGTATGAAATAAATTTGTATATTTTTCTCCTGTAGGTTTGTTTTATACCAAATTAATTATCTGGCCAAAAAAGGTAGAGGTAAAATTTTATATTCTCTGCAAATATCATCAAACATAATTCAAGCACAGATGTAATAAGCATTTGAACAATGGGACTTTTCTTCCTGGAATGCTGTCATTGCTTTGAGAGTCCATTGTAAAGAGTCCAGGCGGAGATGAAACTAGATGTCTCAGACAAGAGTCCTAAATAACCATTTAGGTTATCATTTTGGTTCACCTGGCCCCAGTTGAACTACCAGAGCTATATTCATGAATATGGGGAACACCAACAGGAGAACCATACGTCTGAGGCCAGCCCAAATTGTGAGCAAATTCAAAACCAACACTAAGTTGCTTTGATTATTTAACAAAAATTAAAAACACTTTTAATTTTTGATAATATAATTAGACTTAAACTATTAAAAGTCACAATATTTATAACAAAAGAATTATGCTATAAATGTACATGTTATACCACTCTTTATTTTCACCACTTAACATGCTGAAAAGCACTTGTAACAATTAAGAAAATTAATCTTGAGAAAGAAAGTTAGTTTAATTAAGAAAACTAACCTAAACTGTATCACTTAGGTTACAATTCTACTAAGAATCATTCTGGATTGGTTAACCAAATAGTGCACTTTTTGGAAAAGTTTTTCATATAATCAGTTCTTTTAAAAATTTTTAAATAGAAGTATTTTAAGGCAGAATGATTTATAATATTGTTGTAAATATTAAACCATGACTCAGATAGCTGTGTTATTAACCACTGGACATCCTTCTAAGGAAATGGTGCCACATAGGAAATGTAAATGTGAGACTTTCATGTACTGAAAAGTATAGGCTAAAGATCAATTAGATACTGCTTTAACCTTAGTCAGGTTTTATATTATTGTTAGAATATCAAAGAGAGTATTATAATTATAAAATTGACAATCCTCCTTGAATAGATAAACATTACTAAATATGTAATAACATCTCCGGTATGGGGCTTTAAAAGTTAAGTATATTTAATAATTTTATTTTATTATTATTTTTTTTTTTTATTATACTCTAAGTTTTAGGGTACATGTGCACATTGTGCAGGTTAGTTACATATGTATACATGTGCCATGCTGGTGCGCTGCACCCACTAATGTGTCATCTAGCATTAGGTATATCTCCCAATGCTATCCCTCCCCCCTCCCCCGACCCCACCACAGTCCCCAGAGTGTGATATTCCCCTTCCTGTGTCCATGTGATCTCATTGTTCAATTCCCACCTATGAGTGAGAATATGCGGTGTTTGGTTTTTTGTTCTTGCGATAGTTTACTCAGAATGATGGTTTCCAATTTCATCCATGTCCCTACAAAGGATATGAACTCATCATTTTTTATGGCTGCATAGTATTCCATGGTGTATATGTGCCACATTTTCTTAATCCAGTCTATCATTGTTGGACATTTGGGTTGGTTCCAAGTCTTTGCTATTGTGAATAGTGCCGCAATAAACATACGTGTGCATGTGTCTTTATAGCAGCATGATTTATACTCATTTGGGTATATACCCAGTAATGGGATGGCTGGGTCAAATGGTATTTCTAGTTCTAGATCCCTGAGGAATCGCCACACTGACTTCCACAATGGTTGAACTAGTTTACAGTCCCACCAACAGTGTAAAAGTGTTCCTATTTCTCCGCATCCTCTCCAGCACCTGTTGTTTCCTGACTTTTTAATGATTGCCATTCTAACTGGTGTGAGATGATATCTCATAGTGGTTTTGATTTGCATTTCTCTGATGGCCAGTGATGATGAGCATTTCTTCATGTGTTTTTTGGCTGCATAAATGTCTTCTTTTGAGAAGTGTCTGTTCATGTCCTTCGCCCACTTTTTGATGGGGTTGTTTGTTTTTTTCTTGTAAATTTGTTTGAGTTCATTGTAGATTCTGGATATTAGCCCTTTGTCAGATGAGTAGGTTGCAAAAATTTTCTCCCATGTTGTAGGTTGCCTGTTCACTCTGATGGTAGTTTCTTTTGCTGTGCAGAAGCTCTTTAGTTTAATTAGATCCCATTTGTCAATTTTGTCTTTTGTTGCCATTGCTTTTGGTGTTTTGGACATGAAGTCCTTGCCCACGCCTATGTCCTGAATGGTAATGCCTAGGTTTTCTTCTAGGGGTTTTATGGTTTTAGGTTTAACGTTTAAATCTTTAATCCATCTTGAATTGATTTTTGTATAAGGTGTAAGGAAGGGATCCAGTTTCAGCTTTCTACATATGGCTAGCCAGTTTTCCCAGCACCATTTATTAAATAGGGAATCCTTTCCCCATTGCTTGTTTTTCTCAGGTTTGTCAAAGATCAGATAGTTGTAGATATGCGGCATTATTTCTGAGGGCTCTGTTCTGTTCCATTGATCTATATCTCTGTTTTGGTACCAGTACCATGCTGTTTTGGTTACTGTAGCCTTGTAGTATAGTTTGAAGTCAGGTAGTGTGATGCCTCCAGCTTTGTTCTTTTGGCTTAGGATTGACTTGGCAATGCGGGCTCTTTTTTGGTTCCATATGAACTTTAAAGTAGTTTTTTCCAATTCTGTGAAGAAAGTCATTGGTAGCTTGATGGGGATGGCATTGAATCTGTAAATTACCTTGGGCAGTATGGCCATTTTCACGATATTGATTCTTCCTACCCATGAGCATGGAATGTTCTTCCATTTGTTTGTCTCCTCTTTTATTTCCTTGAGCAGTGGTTTGTAGTTCTCCTTGAAGAGGTCCTTCACATCCCTTGTAAGTTGGATTCCTAGGTATTTTATTCTCTTTGAAGCAATTGTGAATGGGAGTTCACCCATGATTTGGCTCTCTGTTTGTCTGTTGTTGGTGTATAAGAATGCTTGTGATTTTTGTACATTGATTTTGTATCCTGAGACTTTGCTGAAGTTGCTTATCAGCTTAAGGAGATTTTGGGCTGAGACGATGGGGTTTTCTAGATAAACAATCATGTCGTCTGCAAACAGGGACAATTTGACTTCCTCTTTTCCTAATTGAATACCCTTTATTTCCTTCTCCTGCCTGATTGCCCTGGCCAGAACTTCCAACACTATGTTGAATAGGAGCGGTGAGAGAGGGCATCCCTGTCTTGTGCCGGTTTTCAAAGGGAATGCTTCCAGTTTTTGCCCATTCAGTATGATATTGGCTGTGGGTTTGTCATAGATAGCTCTTATTATTTTGAAATACGTCCCATCAATACCTAATTTATTGAGAGTTTTTAGCATGAAGGGTTGTTGAATTTTGTCCAAGGCTTTTTCTGCATCTATTGAGATAATCATGTGGTTTTTGTCTTTGGCTCTGTTTATATGCTGGATTACATTTATTGATTTGCGTATATTGAACCAGCCTTGCATCCCAGGGATGAAGCCCACTTGATCATGGTGGATAAGCTTTTTGATGTGCTGCTGGATTCGGTTTGCCAGTATTTTATTGAGGATTTTTGCATCAATGTTCATGAAGGATATTGGTCTAAAATTCTCTTTTTTGGTTGTGTCTCTGCCCGGCTTTGGTATCAGAATGATGCTGGCCTCATAAAATGAGTTAGGGAGGATTCCCTCTTTTTCTATTGATTGGAATAGTTTCAGAAGGAATGGTACCAGTTCCTCCTTGTACCTCTGGTAGAATTCGGCTGTGAATCCATCTGGTCCTGGACTCTTTTTGGTTGGTAAACTATTGATTACTGCCACAATTTCAGAGCCTGTTATTGGTCGATTCAGAGATTCAACTTCTTCCTGGTTTAGTCTTGGGAGAGTGTATGTGTCGAGGAATGTATCCATTTCTTCTAGATTTTCTAGTTTATTTGCGTAGAGGTGTTTGTAGTATTCTCTGATGGTAGTTTGTATTTCTGTGGGATCGGTGGTGATATCCCCTTTATCATTTTTTATTGTGTCTATTTGATTCTTCTCTCTTTTTTTCTTTATTAGTCTTGCTAGCGGTCTATCAATTTTGTTGATCCTTTCAAAAAACCAGCTCCTGGATTCATTGATTTTTTGAAGGGTTTTTTGTGTCTCTATTTCCTTCAGTTCTGCTCTGATTTTAGTTATTTCTTGCCTTCTGCTAGCTTTTGAATGTGTTTGCTCTTGCTTTTCTAGTTCTTTTAATTGTGATGTTAGGGTGTCAATTTTGGATCTTTCCTGCTTTCTCTTGTAGGCATTTAGTGCTATAAATTTCCCTCTACACACTGCTTTGAATGCGTCCCAGAGATTCTGGTATGTGGTGTCTTTGTTCTCGTTGGTTTCAAAGAACATCTTTATTTCTGCCTTCATTTCGTTATGTACCCAGTAGTCATTCAGGAGCAGGTTGTTCAGTTTCCATGTAGTTGAGCGGCTTTGAGTGAGATTCTTAATCCTGAGTTCTAGTTTGATTGCACTGTGGTCTGAGAGATAGTTTGTTATAATTTCTGTTCTTTTACATTTGCTGAGGAGAGCTTTACTTCCAACTATGTGGTCAATTTTGGAATAGGTGTGGTGTGGTGCTGAAAAAAATGTATATTCTGTTGATTTGGGGTGGAGAGTTCTGTAGATGTCTATTAGGTCTGCTTGGTGCAGAGCTGAGTTCAATTCCTGGGTATCCTTGTTGACTTTCTGTCTCGTTGATCTGTCTAATGTTGACAGTGGGGTGTTAAAGTCTCCCATTATTAATGTGTGGGAGTCTAAGTCTCTTTGTAGGTCACTGAGGACTTGCTTTATGAATCTGGGTGCTCCTGTATTGGGTGCATAAATATTTAGGATAGTTAGCTCCTCTTGTTGAATTGATCCCTTTACCATTATGTAATGGCCTTCTTTGTCTCTTTTGATCTTTGTTGGTTTAAAGTCTGTTTTATCAGAGACTAGGATTGCAACCCCTGCCTTTTTTTGTTTTCCATTGGCTTGGTAGATCTTCCTCCATCCTTTTATTTTGAGCCTATGTGTGTCTCTGCACGTGAGATGGGTTTCCTGAATACAGCACACTGATGGGTCTTGACTCTTTATCCAACTTGCCAGTCTGTGTCTTTTAATTGCAGAATTTAGTCCATTTATATTTAAAGTTAATATTGTTATGTGTGAATTTGATCCTGTCATTATGATGTTAGCTGGTGATTTTGCTCATTAGTTGATGCAGTTTCTTCCTAGTCTCGATGGTCTTTACATTTTGGCATGATTTTGCAGCGGCTGGTACCGGTTGTTCCTTTCCATGTTTAGCGCTTCCTTCAGGAGCTCTTTTAGGGCAGGCCTGGTGGTGACAAAATCTCTCAACATTTGCTTGTCTATAAAGTATTTTATTTCTCCTTCACTTATGAAGCTTAGTTTGGCTGGATATGAAATTCTGGGTTGAAAATTCTTTTCTTTAAGAATGTTGAATATTGGCCCCCACTCTCTTCTGGCTTGTAGGGTTTCTGCCGAGAGATCCGCTGTTAGTCTGATGGGCTTTCCTTTGAGGGTAACCCGACCTTTCTCTCTGGCTGCCCTTAACATTTTTTCCTTCATTTCAACTTTGGTGAATCTGACAATTATGTGTCTTGGAGTTGCTCTTCTCGAGGAGTATCTTTGTGGCGTTCTCTGTATTTCCTGAATCTGAACGTTGGCCTGCCTTGCTAGATTGGGGAAGTTCTCCTGGATAATATCCTGCAGAGTGTTTTCCAACTTGGTTCCATTCTCCACATCACTTTCAGGTACACCAATCAGACGTAGATTTGGTCTTTTCACATAGTCCCATATTTCTTGGAGGCTTTGCTCATTTCTTTTTATTCTTTTTTCTCTAAACTTCCCTTCTCGCTTCATTTCATTCATTTCATCTTCCATTGCTGATACCCTTTCTTCCAGTTGATCGCATCGGCTCCTGAGGCTTCTGCATTCTTCACGTAGTTCTCGAGCCTTGGTTTTCAGCTCCATCAGCTCCTTTAAGCACTTCTCTGTATTGGTTATTCTAGTTATACATTCTTCTAAATTTTTTTCAAAGTTTTCAACTTCTTTGCCTTTGGTTTGAATGTCCTCCCGTAGCTCAGAGTAATTTGATCGTCTGAAGCCTTCTTCTCTCAGCTCATCAAAATCATTCTCCATCCAGCTTTGTTCTGTTGCTGGTGAGGAACTGCGTTCCTTTGGAGGAGGAGAGGCGCTCTGCGTTTTAGAGTTTCCAGTTTTTCTGTTCTGTTTTTTCCCCATCTTTGTGGTTTTATCTACTTTTGGTCTTTGATGATGGTGATGTACAGATGGGTTTTCGGTGTAGATGTCCTTTCTGGTTGTTAGTTTTCCTTCTAACAGACAGGACCCTCAGCTGCAGGTCTGTTGGAATACCCTGCCGTGTGAGGTGTCAGTGTGCCCCTGCTGGGGGGTGCCTCCCAGTTAGGCTGCTCGGGGGTCAGGAGTCAGGGACCCACTTGAGGAGGCAGTCTGCCCGTTCTCAGATCTCCAGCTGCGTGCTGGGAGAACCACTGCTCTCTTCAAAGCTGTCAGACAGGGACACTTAAGTCTGCAGAGGTTACTGCTGTCTTTTTGTTTGTCTGTGCCCTGCCCCCAGAGGTGGAGCCTACAGAGGCAGGCAGGCCTCCTTGAGCTGTGGTGGGCTCCACCCAGTTCGAGCTTCCCGGCTGCTTTGTTTACCTAAGCAAGCCTGGGCAATGGCGGGCGCCCCTCCCCCAGCCTCGTTGCCGCCTTGCAGTTTGATCTCAGACTGCTGTGCTAGCAATCAGCGAGATTCCGTGGGCGTAGGACCCTCCGAGCCAGGTGTGGGATATAGTCTCGTGGTGCGCCGTTTCTTAAGCCGGTCTGAAAAGCGCAATATTCGGGTGGGAGTGACCCGATTTTCCAGGTGCGTCCGTCACCCCTTTCTTTGACTCGGAAAGGGAACTCCCTGACCCCTTGCGCTTCCCAGGTGAGGCAATGCCTCGCCCTGCTTCGGCTCGCGCATGGTGCGCACACACACTGGCCTGCGCCCACTGTCTGGCACTCCCTAGTGAGATGAACCCGGTACCTCAGATGGAAATGCAGAAATCACCGTCTTCTGCGTCGCTCACGCTGGGAGCTGTAGACTGGAGCTGTTCCTATTCGGCCATCTTGGCTCCTCCCCTTAATAATTTTATTAAAGGGGACTTGCAACTTGTTTGACCTTGGAGAAAGCAACATAATTCTTCTTGCCAATCAGTGTGGATTTTAAATCATATTAAGTAAATATAGTTAGAAAAAATAACCACACATTTGGAAAACAAAATTGGATTCTTTAGATAATTGGCAAAACTCAAATCTAGAAAGATTAATGACAAATAAGTAAAACAAATTTGACTACTTTGGTAGAATATATGTTTGAAAATTGTTTAGACCTTGAGGTAGAGAAGAATTTTGAATACATGACAGAGACTATAATGTAAAATATATTATTTGTAACTTTTACTATATATTAAATTTAAAACTTCTGTTCATCAAGGGATACATAGCAATAGTACCCAAACTGCATATATATTATATATATTATATATTCATAAAAAGTATATATATATTATATATATATGACCCAATATAAAAATGAGCAAATAACTTCAATAAGCTTTTCATGGAAGAGGAATCACATTTGTTCCAATGAGTATTTGAAGTAATAATGTCGTCCAAGAAATGCATAATGAAGATTTTAAAAATAAGATAATTTTGCAATCAATGTACAAATTTGGAGTCACAATATTAATAAATTGAAAACAATGTGGATTATTTGAACCTTATTTTTAAATAAGATTTATTGATATAATTTCAAAAATATTTAGTTTAAATGAACGGCTATTGTAAATGAACAGTTCAATGAGTTTTGTTTGACAAATATAAACAGCTGCATAATCACTACTAAAATTAAGGTTTAGAGTACTTCCATCACTCCAGAAAGTTCTTTCATTCTATTCTGCAGTCAATTCACAGCTCTATCCTACACTTGAAAAAAATTATTTATTTTCAGTCATTATAATTTTGCCTATTCCTGAATTTCCTGCAATCAGATACATAGTCTTTATATCTGGATTTCTTCCCATAGCCTAATGATTTTGAGACTTATCCATGATATTGCTACTGGATTTAAAAATTGGAAAATCACTTTGGAAAATAGTTTATATTGTGAATTGAAACGTCATGTATGTATATTGAACAGGACGCATACATAAAATCTCAGTTACAATGTTACTAATGTTAAAAGCATATTGATGTATAGATAATGAATAAAGAATTCAGTATTTCACTCAATGGATTTTACAATAGTAAAAATGAATGAACTATAGCTATGTGCGATAATAAGAAATAAACCTTACTTATAATACCATAACACTAATTAAAAGATTAATCTAGTTACAGACTATAACATAAGGCATGATACTTTATTACACATTTCAAAATTATCTGAAATTTAAAATACATTGTTTAGGTTTATATATGTGGTAAAAAGGAAAAGAAAGCAAAAATTATAAAATTTAGGACAATGTTTACCCTGGGTGGTGATGGAAAAGAGAGAAATATATGAAAGGAGCCCATAGTTAGCTTTAATTTGTTATAAATATTCTAATTCTCAGATTGGGTAATATGTTCATGAGTTCATTACAAACAAAGGAAAAAAACAACAAATAAATAAAAGCCTAGTATGCCACTAACTAAAATAAATTAGTTTAATTATATACACCTGCGTTTCAAGAACAAACAGCAAAACAAAACCAAAAAACAACAAAAAAGTGGGAAAACATATCCAGAACAACTGTTTTGTTGTTGTTGTTTTAAAAATACTAGTTCAGAAGAGTAATTGCAAATAACATTGACATGACTGTCATAAAAATAAGTTCTTAGGGCTCAAAGAATCTGAAATTTTGTTATAGAAGAAATAGTTTTCATAAACTACCCTCTATCCAGCATTTTAAGAAATTAAGAAGCAGGTTCTTCCTTTATGACTTTATCACAGATTGATCTGTATAGGGTATAACTTAAAAAATGATTTTTATCTCGCTCTAGCTTTAAGTGAAGTAGAGAACTTGGAATTTGTGGAGCTTGGAATATTGGTTGACTCGGAGGAAATAAGCCTTCTCTAGTCATTGAGGCTTTAAATCTTCAGACAATCTCCTTAGCATTAGATATCTGCATTTCCCATGGCTTCCACCTGAGCAACCTGACTTTGTCATGACTGGTTTGGAAGAATATTTGGTCAAAAATTATGGAAGACTTTTTTCCTCCAATAACTGAAAACAAGAAACAGATCTCAAACAGAAGTTGGTTTAGCAAATAAAAAAAAGTTTTGTTTTTAATAAGTTAAAGTAAAATATTACCTGTATTTGTTTCTTAGTACTATGTTGGTAAAACATATCTTTATTGATCTAGAGTTTATTTACTTGTTGTAAACTCTCGGTTATTTTCTAGAGTTCTAACAAAGGCAATAGTGACTGTTTTGCTCATTTTTGTGGTGTTTCAGTGACAAGATGAGCCCTTGGAGATCCCTATTTCACCATTTTTCAGCTGACATCATTCCAGTTCATTTATTTTATGAAATGGATATTACAAAGTAGCAAGCCTGCACAGAATTTCTATTTAATTTAGGAATTTTAAAGAAACTTCATTGTTCTTTTTTGTTATTGTAATTTAAATTAACTATTTTGCGGGAACTATACCCTTGGTAACAGGATATCCATATGCTCATGCCAGAAGGAAACATTATAACAGGGTAGAAAATATCTGTGGTTTGCTTTTATAAGATCATCCAAGTGTCTCAAGCACTTGTTAAATCTACTTTACATGTTCATTCTCTTCCTAACTGTACAAATCCCTATTAAGTATTCATTACATATATAGGATTTTGCTTGCCAACATCCTAGGAATACAGAATTATAATTTATTAAATATGCTTTTAACAAATGCCCAACCTATTAATAAATGCCAGTCAACAAAACAAAGCAGGGCATGTAATTTAGTTGTTTTTTTCTCATCTAATCCTACCTGGCATATTTATTTGCTCCCTTTTGAGCATGCTAATTCATAAATGAAAGTGCAGCTTATTTTATATCCAGACCTTTGTGCTGAGAAGCTCTTTTTTACCCATTTGTTTTATTGTCATCCTTTGGTAGTTGAATCTTGATCATTTTTGAATCCTTTCTATATCTAGGTCTCCTATTTCTGAAACATGATTAGAAAACTCTGAATTCTAAAATTTTGAATGACTGTTCCATATTGGATCTACGAGCACTCCATTTTAATACAGCAATATCAAGGATGAATTTTCCAATGGCATGTTCTAGGTTTTGCTTACCTCAAGATCTGCTGACCTTGGTTAGTGCCCCCAAAGAGAGACAGAGTGACCAGAAAAAGAAAATTATTTTATGAGGTAGCATATGAATAAGGTTTCAAAGTTAGAAAGTAGTGAAATTGTGTGGGTTTGATCTCAGAGTCTTATCTTTGTATATGTAAACAAACTCCTGTTTGTGAAATTGGTAATAATAAATAATATTATTCACATATTTTACTGTAAGGCTAAATCATATAATACGTGCAAAACTTGAGACATCTTACATTTATAGAACTAAAAATGCATTATCATTATTATGAAGAATGGGTAGGATCCGAAAAGGCAAGAAGTGGGTATGAATTCTAGGCAGGGATAGGGACATAAGCATAAATGCAGGAGAGTCTATAGCCTATAAAGAGGCCAATCTGTTTGAAACCAGAACTTACAGAGTGAGCCATAATAGCAAACTTGATTAGAATTATTAAACTTATCTAAAATTTGAAAGGTAGTGAATGTTAATTTAAAGATCTGGATCATTCTTTTCTAGGAATGTAATTTTAACTAGGTAACATATGTGAAATATTTAGGCTAGAGAAGCAAGTACATGGTGAACAAGTTTCATTTTCTAATATAAGAAGGACCATCAGGTGGAAGAGCTTGTTCTGTGTTGCTCAAGATTGCAAACCTAGAGCTATGAGTTTAGTTTATATGTAGGCATATTTATACTCACAGGAATAAATTATTTAGAACAAATAGATATCTGTCAAAAGAAGACTGCCA
Source organism: Homo sapiens (assembly GCF_000001405.40). Classification (NCBI taxonomy): domain Eukaryota; kingdom Metazoa; phylum Chordata; class Mammalia; order Primates; family Hominidae; genus Homo; species Homo sapiens. Next base: position 104,514,642 of record NC_000005.10, on the reverse strand, counting down.
CATATAATAATAAAATGTTACTCACTAGAATTAAAATAGCAAAGGCTAGAAGACAAACCACAGATGCTCTAAAAGGTGTCAATATAGAATAGGAATTAGGAATTTATGTATGTATGTGAGTGTATTATTTATTTTTTAAGGAAAGACACTGTATGATTTAATCACGATCTGAAAGTGATACATAACTTAATAAAGGTGAAGACCTATAGAAACACAACAACGGACTTAGATGCCTTAAAAGGATTTTAAGATCCCAGTGAAAAGTCAGTATTCATAGAGAAACATGTAGATGTTGCAATTTTGGCATAACAACTAGCCTTGATTTTCATTAATTGCTCACTCTGATGGCTTTCTCCCTTTTTATTTTGATACCTATTGCTGTGCTTGCTTCATCCAGTTCCTAAGGTTTCATGCCTATTCTGGTAAATTGAGCTACTCTTTAGCATTTTTATTTTGTGAAGTTCAGCATTTATCTCCAGACTCTTAACTCACAATATTCTTTAAACTGAAAACACCAAAAGTCTCCTAAACCTTTTCCCAACTCCCCACATTGCCACACCTGGAGACCTTTTTTCACAATCTTTTTTATTACTTTCACTGACAGGTTTTACTTTTGTTGTTATTCTTTTGTGAAGGATATTTTTCAAGCCTGGCTATTGTTAAGTCATGAACCTTATCTGTAAGTCAAAGTCTGTTTAGAGAAAGAAAATATTATGAAACACAAAGCAAGGTTAGGGGAGCAGAACTGTGACTCTTTCATTTGCAAGCTATCTTAACTTTGTAGGCATGGACTTTTATTGTCATTTTATTCAGTAAATTTAAAGGCATAAAAAACAAGCTGTAAATCCAAACCACAAAATAATATACTGAATGAGGCAGACCCAGTGGTACATTTTTGGAAAGGCTACTGTGTTAGAATTCTCCTAGGATGTTAGCATATCTCCAGTACTGTAAGTCACTCCTTAAGCAATCAAGTTTTAGAACTATTGGGTATGGCTTAATAATCTATAATAAATTTGCAGTGTTCTGTAATTCTTTTAGAGATCTGAGAGCATTCACATCCCCTGCCCGTATATTCCTCTTGACCTTTAAAATGACCAATCCTTAGCTCATTCTTGCGGATTCAGGACAAGTCAGACACCAGGCTGTCTTCTGTGAGTCAGAGTGACAAACATTTTATCAAGGTTTAATTAGATTTTTCCTTTTACAACCAATGACTCAGTAGCCCTTTCATAAAACAGTGCTGAAAGAATTTGTACATGCAACTTCAAGGGGAAAAGAGTGGATTCCCTAACCCATTTGTCAACATTGTGGAATCAAAGAGAAACTGCTCAAAGATAGGGCTAAGAAGCTGATTTTACATGAAGTAGATAGTGTTTCATTTGCAACACAACATTTGATATATAGGTTCATGGCATTATGTTTTTATCTTGTAATACTGACACTGCTGGCAGCTCAACCTGCTATTCCATTAGAACATCCCGTAGGAATTCTGGAATTTATCAGCTGCCCACATAAAAAGAGATAAAGCAAAGGAAAAAAATATTAGGGCTTATTTTTATCAATAAAACAGGGCTGCGCGTTCAGAATCAAAGCTTTTAAACCTCTATCATGAGCAGTCCGAAAGAAGCAAGTTGAGAGGCAGTGGCAAAAAAATGTATATGAACAATATCTTTTTATGTCAGCACATACATTCTATTCAGCTTATTTTTTCCTTGAAAATCACAGAATAGCAAAGAGTCTTACTTTATTTTTCATTCCAAATTTATAACTATAATCATGACTTGCCAAGAAAGTGGTGAAGATGTAAGTTGTGAAGATGCTTTAGTCAAAGCTTCTGCGTTGCTATGAGAGAGCATAAGAAGGTATAAAAACACAGAAACACACTTTTTAGACGAGATTTATTTAACATGCAGACTACAGTTCCTATGTGGCCAATAGTATCTTGAGGAAGAGCTTTACTTAGTGTAAGTAAAAAGAAAGTTTAAGTAGCCAAAATATGAGCCACTAAGGTCTAGAACAACACGGTCCAATATAAATTTATGAGATAATGGAAATACTCAACATCTGCACTGTTCTTAATAGTGGCCACAAGCCAAGTGCAACAATTGAGCACTTAAAATATGGCTAGTTGGACGAAGGAACTAAATTTCAAATTTTATTTGATTTTAATTAATTTAATTTTAAACTAAATATATCTATAAAACTTTAATTTGTGAAATTAAAGGGGAAAATGTTCAAATAATGTAGGTAACTTACAGAGTTCACTGAAACCACATTTCATTGTATCCCTTTCCAAGTCAGTTTTATTGAATGATGTTTGTTTTGTGTATTTAAGCATATCTTGCTTAGGAAATATTCAAAGAATTTGATGCAGAGAGAGACTTTTTCAACTTTAATTTGAAATAATTCATATGATTGGTAAAAGGAGGCTGTGGAAGAAATTGATTGACCTACTTTCTAAGATCTTCAAACAAATACTCTCCTCATCCCAACTTTGTGATTGTCAGTGCTTTATGTTAACTTTTTATTGATATGTCACAGTGATAAATTAAACATGATGCCTAAAGAAAAAAAATGTGAGAAGAGCAAGAAGGCTGGAATTCAAACACAAACTAATATGGACTAAAGAGATGCAAAAGATACTACCTTTATTTATGTTATTAAAATGCTTTGAGCTCTGTGGAATGCCAAAGAAGAAAATAAGATTTTTCAAAAAAAATGAGCAAATGGTCAGGAGTTCAATACCATCCTGGCCAATAGAGTGAAACCCCGTCTCTACTAAAAATACAAAAATTAGCCGGGCATGGTGGCACAAGCCTGTAGCCCCAGCTACTTGGGAGGCTGAGGCAAGAGAATCATTTGAACCTGGGAGGTGGAGGTTGCAGTGAGCCAAGCTTGCACCACTGCACTCCAGCTTGGGCAACAGAGTGAGACTTCATCTCAAAAAAAAAAGAAAAAGAAAACAACAACAACAACAAAACAGATGTTAATAAGATGAACCATATTTTGGTTTCTATAGATCCTTTTAGATGTATCTTCTTATGGCTGTGCTTCAATGAAAGCATTTAATTTCTTTTCTTACTTACCTTTTTCCCCATTCCTTTCACAATTATTTATTGAAAAACTGGTGTTTAACAGGTTCTATATTATGTTCTAAATTAATAGTGACTTGTGCTTATCAAAAACGTTGTGTTGGCTGGGCTCAGTGGCTCAAGCCTGTAATCTCAACACTTTGGGAGGCTGAGGTGAGCAGATAGCTTGAGCCCAGGAGTTCGAGAATAGCCTGATCAACATGGTGAAGCCTTGTCTCTACAAAAATACAAAAATTAGCTGGGCATGATGGTGCATGTCTATAGTCCCAGCCACTCGGGAGGCTGAGGTGGGAGGATCATTTGAGCCTGGGGAGGTTGAGGCTGCAGTGAGCCATAATTGGGCCACTGCATGCACTCAAGCCTGGGATATAGAATTAGACCTTCAAAGAAAAAAAAAGAACAAAAAAGGTTCTACAGCCATGACTGTGCAGAAGATCCTGGTTTCCACCAGCTCTGTAAATTGTACTTTTCATCTTGAGAAACAATAAGCATTGAAATAATGATATAAACCTGTATTTGGAAATATGCCTAAGTTCTTAAAAATAGTTATTTGTTAAATATTCTTACATCAATTGTTTGAATAATACTAAAAAGTGTACATTTTTTAAAAATACATAAGATGCCAGAAAATGAATAATCTAAATGAAATGAAAAATATCTAGAAACACACAAATTAGCAAGACTTAAGTACAATAAGGTAGAAAATGTGACAAGGGTGACAACTAGTAGGGAAAATTAAATCAATAACCAGAGACCTCCCACAAATAAAAGTCCAAATCCAGATGAATTTACTGATAAATTCTACCAAACATTTTAATTAATATCAATCTTCCTCAAATTCCTCCAAAAAAAAATTGAAGAAGAAACGACAATTGCAAACTCATTGCATAAGGCCAGCAATTCCCTAATACAAAAGCCACTACAAGAAAAGAAAACTAAAAATATTCTTAAAAAATATTAGTGCAAAAATGCACAATAAAATACCAGGAAACAAAATTTAACCATATAATAAATGGATCATATACCATGAGCAAGTGAAATTATTTATGGAATGCAAGGATGGTTCAATACAGATGAATAAATCAATGTAATACACCACATTAACAGAATGAAAGGAAAAAAATCCCAAATAATCATTTAAGTTGATGCAGAAAAAGCATTTGATAAAATTTAATGTACTTTCATGATATAAACACTCAACACACTAGGAATAGAGATATCTCAACATAAGAAAAACCATAGGTGAAAAATCAGCAGCTAACTTCATACTCAATGGAAAAAGACAAAAGATTTTTCTTCCAAGATCAGAAATAGGCAGAGATTCTCACTTTTACCACTTCTGTTCAACATAGTATTGGAAGTTCCAGCCAAAACTATTAGGCAAGCAAAGGAAATAAAATTTCAGATGACATCATTTTATACGAAAAAAAGATTCCACACCAAAACAAACAACTATTAGAACTGATAAACAAATTCTGTAAAGTTGCAGAATACAAAATTAACATGCACAAATAAATTACATTTTTATACACTAACAATGAACAAACAAAACAAAATTGAGAAAACAATTCCATTTACAGTAGCATCAAAAAGAATAAACTACTTAGTAATAAATTTAACCAAGAGGGTAAGAGACATGTACATTGAAACCACAAAATGTTGCTAAAATAAATTGAAGAAGATAAATGAAAAAAAAATCCAGTGTTCCTTAATTAGAAGACTCATGTTTAAGATTCAAAAAGATATTTATACACTAGTATTCATAGCAGGACTATTAACAATAATCAAAAGGTGAAGCAGCCCAAATATCCATTGGTAGATGAATGGATACATGAAATGTGGTATATACATACAAAAGAATATTCTTTAACCTTAAAAATGAAGGAAATTCTGACACAAGCTACAACATAGCCTAACCTGGAAGACATTATGCCACATGTCTTCCAGAAATAAGCCAGATATAAAAGAATGCATGATTCTAATTATATGAAGTACCTACAGTAGTCAAAGTCATAGCAACAGAAAGTAAAATGGTGGTTACCAGAGGCTGGGGGATGGGAGAATGGAGAATTCTTGTTTAATAGGCACAGAGTTTGAGTTTGGAAAGATGAAAAAGTTCTATAGTTGAAGGGTGGTGATATTTGTGTAACAATGTGAAAGTACTTAATACTACTGAACTATACACTTAATGGCTAAATGGTAAATTTTTTATTAGGCCTAATTACCATAATTTAAAAATGTCAACAAAATGCAATATGGTATCCTGGATTGGATATTCTCCACTTGTTTTCTGGAACAGAAAGTGGACATCAGTTAAAGAAAAAAAAAACAGCAGTGAAATCAGAACAGAATCTCCAGTTTAGTAAATATTATTGAACCAGTGTTAATGTCTTAGTCTTGGCAAAAGTACCATGGTGATGTAAGAGGTTAACATTAGAGGAAGCTGAGTCAAAAAACTCTTTGAAACTTTGCAACTTTTCTATAAATCTAAAAGTGTTGCAAAATAAAAATTGGTACTTATTAAATAAAAGAAACTTTAAACGAAAATATTTACTATACATATTTACAATGCATCTAACATTAACCAACAAATTTAGTCAATAACTCTAAACCATCTCAACAATTTAAGAATTTAAAAATGCTGTAACTCCAATCATTCCCCGTCTTAGACATTGTTATTTTCTGATATTTTCACTCTACATTGGTTTTGACAATGATGATAAAAATGATTTCTATGTTTTACTTTAGTGTTTAGATTTACCCATATGTTTACCAATGACACACTGATCATTTTTACTTACAAATAATATTTCATAACTAGGATATTTGACTTCTTTCTGAGGTTCACCCTTTGAGATTTCTTTCCTTGACGGTCTATTAGTAGTACATTCTCAATATTTCTCTCTCTCATTCTCTCTCTCTTGCCCCCTCCTTCCCTCCCTCCTTCTCTTTGTCCCTATCCCTCTCTCTTTCTCTTCCATATTTACTAATATTGCTTTACAATAATTTTGTTTCAGCACTTTGAACATATTATTCTACCTTTGAGACTTAATTTTTGATGTTAAGAAATTTGCTGCTTTGTAATTCAATTTTAGACAGTCTTTGGAAGTCCTCCCATCCAAATTCTATCTTCTTTTAGGATCTCATTTTTCTGCTGATGTTTCTCAAGTCCATTGAAATAAGTTCTGATTCGATTAGTTTTATGTGCTGTATTAGTCTTTTTTGTGCTTAAAAGGTCTCAAGATTTGTGTTGATAATAAATGTAGCCCCACCCTAAACAACAGAATTTCCTAACAGTCTAACTATATAAACAAATTGTTTTTATGATATTATTTCGAAAAGCATTATGGCCCTTTAGCATATATTCAATTTCATATTTATCTTTGAATATAAGTGCCTTTTATTCAATTGCATATTTAATCTGTTTCAAAATGTATATCTGGTTCATTTCAAGGGTTTAATATAAGTGTTTCCTTCAAATACCTGTCTTAGTAAATTTGAGCTGCTATTAAAAAAATTACCATAGACTGTGCAGCTTCTAAACTGCAGAAATTTATTTCTTATAGTTCTAGAAATTGGGAAGACCAAGAATAATGTGTCAGAAGATTCAGTATCTGGTGAGCACCTGTTTTCTCCTAGATGACCCCTTCATTACTGTGTCCTCACATGGTAGAAGGAGTAGGTAGCTCTCTAGAACATCTTTTACAAGGGCACTAATCTCATTCATAAGGGCTCTGCCCTTGTGACTTAACCACACCTCAAAAGACACCACATCCTAATACTATCACCTTGGGGGAGAAGATTACAATGTATGTATTTTGCAGGAATACATTCGAATCAAAGTAAGATTTTTTGAAGTTGTTACTTATAATAAAATCTACCCTCCCTTGATGAAATATTTTATCTTCTCTGTGTTTCAGTGGACTTCTCATCCACTTATTTCCACAAGCCAAATCTTAGAAGAGGTCTTAGATATATTTGCATTTTGAAAAAAAAAGTATAAAATTTTGAATAAAAGTGTTCTTTCCCACATATTATTTCATTTAACAAATTAATAGAATAGATAATATCAAAATTCATAATATTCATGTAACAATACTGACAGGGAAAATGTTGTCTGTAAATAGTAAACATTAAAAATAATGAATAAATTAAAGTTGTCAGTTAAGTATCCAGTGAAGAAGCTTGTGGAGATTTCTGTTTCCAGCCAAGATGGAATTAGAGGGACCAAATTTATCCTTTTACCTGAAATCATAAAAAAATACTGGAAAACTATATCAGATAGTAGTTTTCAACACATTAGAAATCAAGTAAATGAAAATCATCTATGAAAGATAAGAAAAAGTTGAAGAAAGTTGAAGCGAGCATATAGCTGTCCCAGGTTACTACCTTAAGAGAATGACCAGACTTAATGCAGGGAGGAAAACCCACTGATAATATGATAGTCTCTAAGTTTTGGAAACAAAATGGAGGGTCCAGGAAGAAAAAGGTATCTTGAGTCAATAGGACAGATTTCTGAGAAGGAGAAAGCTATACAGAAACTAAACTACAAGAAGCGCACAGAATCTTTTTGAGTATTCATAGAATACTAACTAACACGTGTTGTGAGGAAACTACCTGAGACCAGGAAAAACACTACCCGAAATGATTAGTGGTATGCCTACCACTCATGCAAGAATGGGAATAGTGTCAGTTCCTAGTCTTCATGTTAGAAACCATCAGAGGCATTGGGTAGAGTATTCAAAGCGCCTTTCGATAATGATAATCCTAAACATCACTCTGAACTCACATAAGTAATCTTAACCCAAGACCCAAATGGGCCACACGATTTATAGGTAACTTGATTGTGTCACAAAGCAAAACACACAAAAATTTTAGGAATCAAAAATATGCCACATGCAACAGTTAAAATGTACAATGTCTTGGATCCAATAAAATATTAAGAGGAATGCAAAGAATCAGTAAAGCACAATTAATAAGAAAGAGAAAAATAAATCAGTAGATAACCAATCTAGAATTAACACCAACAATAGAGTTTTTAAAATAAACATGGAAACAGTTATTATACATGTTTTCTGCATATTCAATAAGTAAAGTGAAGACATAGAAAATATTTTTAAAAATCAAAATCAAATGTCTGAAAGGAACTTTGAAAAGACATGTTTACCTATAAGAAATAAAGAATAACAGCAGATTTATTATAAGAAACAACATGAGAGAAGACAGTGTTTCAATATCCTTAAAATCCTGAAACAAAAAATTCTATACCCTGCAAAAATTATAATTGATAAGACATTCTGGAAAAGGCAAAACTATAGATACAACAGACAATCAACAATTGCCAAAGTTTGAGAGTGAGGAGTCAGTTGAATGGTAAAATACAGAGGATATTTTAAGGCAGTGAAACTATTCTTTATGATATTTTAATGATGAATTTTAACACTGTGAGTTTGTTAAAACCCATATAACTATATAGAAAAGTTTAACCTTAATTTATGTGCATTAAAATACTTTAAGATATTCTGGGATATAAAAATAAAATGCAGATTGTGACAAATCAATGTAGTTAATGTAATTGTACTAAACAGCCTCACTGAAGGAGGTAAATGAAGATGATGATCTAAAGAAATTTGGAAATGGGTGGAGTGTGTAGAACTAAACACAACATACATTGCATATAAACAACAAACTCTAGTGGATAAAGCATGCCCTGTAAAGCTACTGGTTTGAATTATAAAACCACTATACATGGACACTGAAATTGAAAAATTAAGTAAATAGATGGCAGATGGTGAGAACTGGATTCTCACTGCTAGAGTGGTATTTTATAGATAGTCAAAGGGAGAAGGCTAAAATGATGTAGGAATGGATTAAATTTTGAATTATCAAGCTTATCTTTACATGCACAAAGACACACAAAGATGGAGTAAGTCAAGGGACACAACTGTCAAATGAAAAAGCTTCTAATGGCCAAAGACAAAACAAATAGAAGGTCAAAAGGAGGTGGAGTATAAGGTGAAATATAAATTTCTGCACCTTAAATGTGGCCTGTGCATAGTGATTTCCTTCCAATTAGTACAGTATATAAAGAGGGGGAAAAGAATAACTTTACAGTGGAGAAACTTGACAGACTCTAACTCAGCCCGGTGATTAAGGTTAATATGAACTGTGGTTAAGTCATGTTGATGACATGTACTTTATATAATGTGATGAAAATGATACATTACGTATGTGGTCTTACTCCTCAAAACATATAACCTCAGTCTAATTATGATAAAATCATCAAACAAATCACAACTGAGGGACATTCTACAAATTACTTGACCAGCACTTCTTAAAATCCTCAAGGACATAAAAAACAAGAATGTATGAGAAACTGTCACATCTAAGAGGCATTTAAAGAGACATGGTGAATAAATGCATCATGGTGTCTTGGATGGGATCCTGGAATAGAAAAAGTGCATTAAGTAAAATCTAAAACAGTCTAACTAAAGGATGAACTTTAATCAATAATATGTCAATATTGATTTATTAATTGTGATTAATGCACCATATTAGTGCAACATGTAAATAATGGAGGAAACTGGTGCAAAGTTTCCTCTGGAATGTAGGCATTCTCTGTACTGTATTTGCAACTTTTCTGTAAATCTAAATCTATTCTAAAATGAAAAGTTGATTGTTTTTAAAGTATCAAATTGTATATTCCTAATATGTGAACTTTATTGCAGGTTAACTATACCTTAATAAAGCTGACTTTTAAAAAAGTATCCAACAAAGAAGCCAAAACCTAACAATGGAATTAAAGTAAAAGAAGTGCAAGAGAAGAAACAATTTAAAAAATGAGCAGACATTAATGAGATAAAACATAAAATAGAGTCAACAGAAACAGATGCTGATTATTTGAAAAGACAAAAAATTGGCAGGCCTCAGGAATAACAGATTAAGGGGGAAAATAAAGAATTAAGAAAAAAATTATGAAATGGGAAAAGTCTTTATGCCAGCAGTGCAAAAAGTTACACAAAGTAGCAGCCTCCAAAAACTATTGTTTACTTAAATGAACAAAAAATGAAATGGAAAACATAAGTAAAACATTATTAAGTACAATGAATTAATACTTAAAATCTGTCTATTGGATTTAAAATTGATTTAGCCCCTTAGGAAAACTGTTTGACAGAATCTATGATCCAGCAATTCCTTCCCTGTATACACCCCACAAAAATAAATGTGCACACAAAAAGTATTGCAAGGTTATTTACAGCAGCATTATTTATAATAGTCAGAAAATTGAAAAATCCAAGTGCTTATCTCCAGTGGAAGGGACAATAAATTGTGGCACATTCATACAATGCCCTTATACTGAACCGAGACACTATTGTAAAACACAAGAAGAAAGAATATTACAAACCTAATGTTAGGTTTTAAATGTATTAGTTCATTCATACGAAGCTTAAAAACAGAATAAAATAAAAACAGCTAACCAATCTATTTTGTTTTAGGTTAGAATAGTGGTTATCCTCGAGGAAGAGAGAAACTAAGAGCTAGAAATGGGATCTGGATGGAGTTCTGAATACTGGTAATATTTTATCTACTTGGCAGTTCCTGTTTGGATTTGTTCTCTTGGTGAAAATTCAAACAACTACCTACTTATAAAAGTACTCATATCAAGACAGATGTTCCAGTCTTCCGAGTAAGAGATTTCCACCCCAATACGAAATTCATCAAAGACATTATGAAGAACATTTACAGACCAATCTTATTTTTCACACAGATGTAAAAAGCCTAAACAAAATATTAGTAATTACCTAGCAATATATATATTTTCCATATTTTTACATACATAGTAAAACTTTTAAAGATAGTGCTTAACTCAGTAGGGAATGGGGAGAGAGAGGGAATGTATTTGAAAATGGGTTAACAAATGGCTTTTTAAAAAATCGAGATGAGTGGGAGATGTGTTAAATGACATTTTAGACAATACTAAAGGCAGAGACTTGATTAAATAGAGAGGTACCTAAAAACTTACCCAGAATGCAACAGAGTAGCCAACTGGTTGAAATAATGAATTCATGAAACATGGAGGATAAGATGAGAAGGTCTAACATTCATATCTCAAAAGAGAATATATAGAATAAGAGAGAAACAATATTGTAGAACTTTATTAGCATAAAGTTTGTTTTACAGTAACTTTTGTGCATTTATTCGGCTCAATAACAAAATTGTTTTTTTTGTATCTTCACAAGTAAAAGGAAGACCCAGGGATACATTGATCCAATCATTGGTGTAATATTGAGAAGCAAGCCATGTTTGTGAGTCCTGAGACACCCTCAGGTGACACTAATACCTCTATGCATCTTCAAACTATGCAATAATGTTCTTTAATTTGTACTTAGGAAAAACATGTTGGGAAATCATGCAAATAATTGAATAATATGAAGAAAGTTAATGCTACTATAACAGTTTCCTCTATTAAACCAAACAAGTTTTCACCTGATAGATTATAAGTTTCCTATAAACCCTCTCATTTTAGAGATAAGAATGACATTTTAATAAATGAAATACATATATATATATATATATATATATACACATATATATGGCTTTTAAGTATCATCCCTAGTGTTTGTATTCCTAGTTTAATTTGTTCTAACAATGTCTTTAAAGTATATTAAATAAAGAAATTTTAGGACTTTATATTTTTTCCTTGTATTAGACACCTTCCATGTGAGAAAGAAACATTACTTGGAAACAATTTTTACAGTATATGTAACCACAGAGTGCAAAATCAATTTTGTCATCATCCAAATGCCTTGGTGCTTAAAAATATGGTTTGTTTCGGTTTGGTTGTGTAGAGCCATTACCTGCATTAGGACAAGAAAGCCAATCTAGTGGAATTGGGGATAAAGAAGATTTATAAAAGTAGCATTAGGGGTCAAGTGTTAGAACTAAAGTTGTACTATTTGTTTAACAAACTGGGGAAGACTTAACCAATGAGTAATAGTGAAGCCACAGCCTGGCCAACATGGTGAAACCCCATCTCTACTAAAAATTCAAACATTAGCTGGTCATAGTGGTGTGTGTCTGTAATCCCAGCTACTTGGGTGGCTGAGGCAGAAGATTTGCTTGAACCCAAGAGGCAAAGTTGCAGTGAGCCAAGGTAGCACCACTGCACTCTAGCTTGGGCAGCAGAGTGAGAGCCTGTCTCAAAAAAGAAAGAAAGAGAGAAAGAAAGAAAGAAAGAAAGAAGAGAGAAAGAGAGAAAGAGAGAAAGAGAGAGAGAGAGAGAAAGAAAAGAAGGAAGGAAGGAAAGAAAGGAAGAAAGAAGGAAAGAAAGAAAGAAAGAAAGAAAGAAAGAAAGAAAGAAAGAAAGAAAGAAAGAAAGAGAAAGAAAGAAAGAAAGAAAGAAAGAAAGAAAGAAAGAAAGAAAGAAAGAAGGAAGGAAGGAAGGAAGGAAGGAAGGAAGGAAAAAGAAAAGAAGAAACAAGTGAAGTCAACTTTACATACGTAGTAAAATTAGTCTTGCCTGAGAATCATCAGTCTTTCAGTTAGGAAGAGAACAGCAGCAGAAGGGGCACACAGTTATTCCCAGACAGAAGATACCCAATTAAAAAAAATCAAAGGAAAGATTATCCTCATTTGATGATTAACACACCAGCAATCTGTAATAACATCAAATACATGTAGATAGTCATTCGTTGAAGTCAGCAACAGCAGGTTCGTCAGTCCAAAACATAAATCATGTTGCTTGGAGCAAAGGCTTTCAAAAAGTATGCTCCCTGTTCATGGAATTTATTACTAATTCCATCCATGGTACATGTTTGGAAATTCAGAAAACTGTGTTTTAAGATATACATTGTATTTGTTAAACGCACATGTGTTTCTCTCTCTGTGAGCGTGTATGTGTGTGGAGAGAGAGAGAACACTACCAATATAAAATACTTAGTGATTTATAGGTAAAAGGCACATTTTAGAGGTACATCATCACATTATTTGTTAATTTTACATTTTCCTTTGTCAACCATAACTTCCACTGGCAAAAACAAGACAAATTGAAAAATCAGCATTTTCAATTATTTTGAATCTTGTTTTCTCTCAGAATTTAATAAGTTTTCAAGAGCAAACAACCTACACTATCACACTTTTCCTCCCTGTTGAGTTCTCATTTTTGATTCCCCAAAGGTGAGATGAGGAAGAATTACACTTCAGTTGAAAACACAGATCAGGAAAAAAAACAAAAAACAAAAAAAAAAGCATACATTTCCTTCTTACGAGTCTTTATTCTCTTAGTACTTAGGAATGCTTTTATTTATTTTGAGCTTTTCAAGCCAGATAACCTTTTGATTTCGTTACATGTAATGATGATTTCCATTTTAGATGAATGAATTTGAAATTAGCATATCAGAATAAGCTGCCTGGGTAAACAATTTTGGTCACATACATTAAAATTGTTTTTTAATTAAAGAGACACTTAATTGTGGTATTCATTAGTCAGTGAAGTTGAAACAACAGAAAACCTGAGTTTTCCCAATTAAACTAAAAGCTTAATAGAAATTTGTTATTAAATGTTTTTCATATTTGACATTTCAGGTAAATACATATATAATTACATAAATCAATTTTTTTCAACAAAAACAATTAACCAATAAATAAGCAAAAATCTCTGAGACTGATAAGTGCTATAAAGAAAAATTAAAGCTGTTTATTGTAGTGTGAAGTGGGGTGATCTTTCAGATGAGGAAGTAAGAGAAGTCTTCTCTCAGGAATTGACTTTGAACCAATTGAGTTAGGAGCAAGTCACGTAGGTACTGGGCAAAAAGCATTATAGCACAAGGGTAGTATATACAGAGCCCTGAGACTAGTGAATGCACGATGTGTTTGAGGATTAGAAAAGAAGCAAGGTTGTCTTACACATACTAAGAAAAAGCAAGAATGGTAATAAATGTGTTTGGAGAGGAAGCCAGGAGCTAAATCTTGTTGGATTGTATGAGCATTATAAAGAATTTAAATTCAATTTTAAGTGTGCTGGCAAGTGTTTCATGGTTTCTAGAGTATGGTGACTGACAGTTTTGGAAAACAATGGAGTTCAATTCTTCAGCCCTCAGTTAAGAAAAGATAGATTAGGCTTCCAGGTAAAAAGTCTGAAGATGAAAAATGATAATTTCATTTATACCTGAGAATTACATACTATCTCCTATCACATATACTCTACGCCTCTAAGATGAAAGTGGTGGCTCTGGCCCAGATGAGCAAATACAGATAAATACCCTACATGATTATACATTAGACTGCTCCAACTGCATTTAGCTATGAGTCTGATAGAAGATGAACTTCCAAGAGGTATGATGTGACTCTAAATCTTATTAACATTTGAAATTTTAACATGGTGAACACTTCTATCACCCTAAAGCTCACAGCCAGATCTCTTGTACAATGGTTCTGATCTCTCTACTCTGAATCATGACTCTGTTAATTTCTCTGTGAATCATTTAAACAAGAAAACCTTATTTAATTTGGCTAAATTATGCTGTGTCTGTTCTATTCATCAACATCTACTTACCAAATACTTCAATGTGGAGGTCATTTATGGCACTGACAAGAGTAATTTCAGTAGCATCAAATTGAGTGGTCTTCAAGAGAGGAAAGACTGAGAAAGTCAGTCCACTGTATTTAATTTTTTTTTTTTTGTAATCTAAAACTAAATGAAATTCTGAATACTGTTTAGGGCAATAGTTTGAGTGAGAGGAGTGTTAATTAACAAAGGAGGCAGGAAAAATACACTTTTTAGGGAAATATAGTAGAATTAAATGTGTCCTGAGGAAATTATTGAGATTTGTGGTCATATTTAAAGTTAAATCAAGTAGATTGTTTATATTTTTCCCATCCTGCTTAACTTTCCTGGTGCATGTTGATAGTAAGTAGATAATGAGATTAAGCCAACATTGGGGTTTAGCTAGTTGATATGGTTTGGCTGTGTCCCCACCCAAATCTCATCTTGAATTGTAGCTCCCACAATTCCCATGTGTTGTGAGAGGGACCAGGTGGGAGGTAATGGAATCATGGAGGCAGTTCTTGTGATAGTAAATAAGTCTTACCAGATCTGAGATCTGATGGTTTTATAAATGGGAGTTTCGCTGCACAAGTTCTCTCTCGTCTGCCACCGTGTAAAACGTGTCTTTTGCTGTCTTCCATGATTGTGAGGCCTCTCCAACCACATGGAACTGTGAGTCTTTAAACCTCTTTTTCTTTATAAATTACCCAGTGTTGGGTACGTCTTTATCAACAGTGTGAGAACAGACTAATACACTAGCCTAGTCAAAGAAAGCAAGAAAAAAAGGTAAAGAAATTGAAGATTGGTAACAAAGAGATGGCTTTAATGACAGCCCAAAGGAATCTAATCTTGTGAGAAGGGGAGAAACTACCAAAGTGGAGAGATCAACAATGAATTATTGGTGGTTTCAGTGGATGAGGTTTTGTTTGGGGAGTTGGGATTCTGGAAGAGTTTATAGTTTAATATGAAAATATGAATATTACAATAAGGGTATGATCATTAAAATTTTTGAAGTGGTATAGATATTGATAGTGACAATGTCTGGAGGGAATGATGATTGAAATAGGTGATCATGGTGAAGTGTAGAAAAAAATTACTGGCGTAAGAAGAGTATGAAAAAGATTAAAATGTGTTGCATAGATTACCTGTATTGATAGTGACATTACCAAGAATAATAATATTCCTATTGGTGGAAAAAAAGATAATAAGCAAGGTGATAATATTGTCAATGATACTTTTAGTAGGTGTTTACAACCATTAGGAAAACATACACATATCTTTCTGGTTCATTTGAAACAGATTGCTCTTCATTTGTTTGTTTAAGGATAGAAACCTGTTCTAATTCCAGGACTGTTGCAACTTGGGATGTGTGTGAAAGATTATTTGGGAGCACTGCTGGGGAAAACAGTGTCCCTAGGTGATATCTAGATTTTAGTTAGAACAGGAAGTGGAAGAAACATTGAGACCAAAGGAGGGTATACACGACTTTGTATATTCAGTGGTCACATAGGAGGAGTTTACATTGTGAAAGAATGAGTCACTTCAGATATATACAGAGCCTTGAATCTTTAAGAGTCCAGATGATAAGGAAGCACAGCATAGCTTAAACTACTTAGGATGCTGACAGACACAAGGACACAGGAAGCATTTGGATAAATTCTGAAGATTCACTATATGAATGTGTTAACTTGTTCAAATTAGGCTGTGCTAAAGGAAGATCTTTTAGACAGTTTATAGTGCTTGGACAGAAAAGGTTGGGGATCAGAAAAAGTGGTGGTTTCACCATATGCGTGAGGAATTTTCAGATGCTCTACCTTCATCCTTGATGTGAGTAATGTAAAAGCTGGGAAGAGGTGGTTTTACCAGGAACATGGATACTCTGTTGGGCCATTTTAGTCCCAAATTGGACTCCACCTCTCTATAATATGTTTCTCCTTATATTATGTTAGAAATTAGACATAAATAAAAGCTTATTTTCCTCCATTTTGTAAGGGGGAAAAAGAGCTTTGCTTCATATTATGAGGCTGAAGTATGATAAAGGGAGAAAGCTCTCATAATAAATTAGAATTTTGGTGGATTGTCTAGAAAATGGTCATTTGTTTCCTCCTGTGAATGGAAAAATACAGATGAGAAGGAAAGCACAAGATGCTAGAAGCCAATATTGAAGTGCTCAAAAATGATAAATTCTAATGAGAGTTTAAAGGGACATGTAGTTTTAAAGTGCCAGTTTGATTTAGTGTCAATAAAACAAAAATCTTTATGTTGTTTCTTTAAGAATTGCAGACAATTATATTACTTTGTGATAGCCCATGAAAAATGTTTCATATGGTTAATGTATTTTGTAATATCTTTCCTATTGTATGCACATGTTTGATTCAGACACTTTATTTTTGTATAGTCTCTGAGAAGTCGTACAGTGAAGAAGTTCATTTACCTTTGTTTAATGAAGACCTTTTCAATATTTTTGACCACAAAATTGTGTGTGGTGTGTTGCATGTATTTACTTTTGTATGTGTACCTGGGCATGTGTTCAAGTAAACACCTAGTGAAATTTTGCAGTAATGCTGTCCCTATGATTAAGTTCTAGGAAACATTGATCTGGGAGACTTTTGTTCTTCTATTAACCACCAAAAGTTCAAACCTATTGTAAGTGATACACTTCGTTTTTGACCCACTTATGCACAATGTTGTGCATAGAGCCTTTCACCCAAAACATTTGTGAGGTCATCTAGCAAAAGTAAAGTTTAGTTAAACCTTAATTATCTACTTAAGAGGACATTGCTAATTGATATCTGACAACGCAAACACCTGACTATGTTATGGAATATAGCATATAATACCCATGTGAACTCAAGACTTTCAAAACAAAAAGCATCAACACTACTTTCAATCTAAACGTAAATGTATAATGTCTCGTGATAATATGTATAGAATCATGTTAAATTCTCATCTGCAAGTTTCTAGCCTTTTGATGGCAGTATTACTGAAATAATTAGCATATAATTTGTTGTCTTCCTAATCTCCTGGCATTGAGAAATGAAGTCATTGGTTTTTGAATTTTCTACTAATCACAAAACATATCTATTAATGTAGTTATATGTTTTACTTTACTTTTGAAAATTGCATTTCCTTTGAAACCAAAATAAAATCCCAAATGCAGTGATAGTAAGACACAATTTTATACTTCAGTGATATATATCACTTGGGAATACCAATCTCTTTGCATATCCTTCAAACAAAAATAATCAAACTTTTTCTTTAGGTCATCCATTGGAAAATTCTCATAATGATATCCTCCATTCAGGGATGGAAATGATAGGATAATATCCACTTATTATAATAATGACTTTCAACAAGACAGCATTCACAAAACTTAATGGCTCAAGCAAACATTAAATGTATAATTTTAACAAGCAAGTGTATGGCATCAGAAGAACAAGTACATACAAATTACCCAAATTAACTATTGCATTTACAATGCATAAAACAAAGGAAGGATTAGGTCTTCAAAAACCTATAAAACATGCACAATAGCACAACATAGTGAAGACAAAATGATATAAAAATGAACATTAAATATTAATAAGTTTTGTAATAGCTTAGACATTCCGAGTGGCCTATTATTACACACAAACACACATATATATACCATATGTATATATTATGTGTATATAGCATATAGTATAGTAATACATATTCTATGTTCTGTAGTATACTAGAGATATATAGACACATACGTATTACATATATAGATATTACTGATAAATTTTAAGCGGGTGAAAAAAATTATTACATTCTGAAGACTTTTGAATGCCATGGTTAGCACATTCATAGTCAATTAGATGACCTTTGAACTCAACATACTATAATTATATCAATTCAATTATTTTAGTTTGTTGTTTTTAAAAGGTAAGCAGTTCTCCAAGCCGTACACTTGTTTACTCGGGGGGAATATAACCTGTATTAATCTGGACCAAATGCATAATTATCAACCAGAGACAAGCATTTAGTAACTTTTCAAGTCTTATAATCTTTACTATTTTTAATGGCCTTCAAATTAAATAAATATAAGGGCAAAACTACTACATTTTATATAAAAAAACTATCAGCCCTGCTTGTATTCACTATACAATTCACTTATTTTTCACTATATAATCTTTTCATAGTATGCATAATTTTGACATTGTGTTGCCTATCAATTTGACATGTTTGTTAGAAATGAGAGAAAGATTTTTTTTTTTGCTCTAACTTCTATTAAGTTTTGTATTTCTTGGAGACACACTCATTGAGAGCTAAATTTATATTACAACAGATAACTTACATGTCCCCTTTATCCATATCATTCAGAAGTTTATATTTAGTCAATATTAAAGAAAAATGCAATAAAAATTTTAGTCTGGATTGATGTTAGGAAATACAATATCTAAGCAATTTGATGTTAAGTTCATCTTGACAGCTTTTAAGACAGAAAATATATGTTTACTTAGAAAATCAACAGAAAAAAATTGCTCTGTTTCTTATCTGACATGAGTCAAAACACGGAATTTTTATTTACATTAAGCTGTGAAATAAAACTGCCATTGTTTGCTAATAATAATACGTAAGTTAATATACAGGATATATTTTATACAATTATAAAATATTAGTTGATCAATCTTCCTAGCTCTCTGTATTAACATCCACATTTGACATAAAATATTTCATAAAATTGATATATTCTTCTCCTAAATACTCTGTTACTCTGAAGAGATACATATATTTAAAGCATAAATCTTCTTTTAATGTAATAATATCAATTTTTACTCAGCTTACAATTTTTCCCTCAGGTGCTCAAAATCCCCAAATCCTATTGTGCTGTCAATACCTGGAGGGAGGAGAGAATGTTGTCTGGATACACACTATGTTACAGATTTATGTCTAAAAATACAAAGAGACAAATGGATACAAAACACAGAGGTTTTCTGATAAAGCCTCTGCTCCCTGCCATCACTCTTCGAAGGTGTAATTGATTTGTGAAACTTGATTATTGCCTCCAGTGCTGAGTAAATGATCAAGCACAGCCACTTTTATTTCCATGATTCACACTTAAAATCAAAATTGTTCATCCCAGTATCCTCTACTCTCTCCTTTAAAGAGGTATTCTAGTTTAATTATATTTAAACATATTTCAAGTGTTTTAAATGTCCCGATCATTTAAGATTTATTCACGAAGTAATTAAGAAAACTGGCCCCTTGGCATTTTCATCTTTTAACCATTTTTCAGACTACAGCATTTGTAAATAAATATAAAAGCAGAAGGCCAGAATTGACTTTGAAGGGTTATTCATTTTAGCTATTTTACATTTGAACTACTGCAAACAGACAAGGTACTTAACAATTCTATGCAAAATAAATTGGGTTCACAATCAGAAACAAATAATAGAAATAAGAAACAAAATTTACATCAGGGAACAGAGTAAAAAATAAAATTCCAGAGAAAAATAGAGCATTGTTCAAAGGGCTCAACTTTTCATCATCAAAGTGCAGTGACAATTTTATGTTTCAGGTTCAAGTGTAACATGCAATTTATATTTCCTTTCCAGATATTTAAAGTTAGAACAGTCAGTTCTATCTATGGGGTGTGAAAGTAAGTCTACACATTTACACTCTAATGTTTATGAGTGAGTCAATAAAAATGAAAGCGGTTTTCATCAATATTACTTTCACTTTATTTGACTGAATTACTTCAACAGCATCTTACAATTTTACAATGTAACTGACTGCAAGATAAAATATGATGCAATCTGAGGCACATTTATGTCCTTTCATATTTAGGTATGACTCTGCTTTTGTGTGAAACCTTCTTGCCTATTGTTTTGTTTTTGTTTTTGCATTTCTATAAAAATAAGATATGCATAGATTTTCGAAGAATGTATCTAACTCTGCAAAGACTTTCCATCCATATTCAGTTTAGTTGAAACGTATGCCCAATTAGTTTATATGGCCAAACTGAGAATTGCATATTCAGATTAATTTAGTTCTCTATTTTTAAAACACTGAGATTGAATAGAATGCCTTTTTCTTACAGTGTCCCGAATTTGTTCCACCTTCCTACAATGGAAGAATCTCATTTTGCCCTTTATTCCAACCTAGAGGGTAGTAAGTCACTCCCTTAGGTGTAATAATCATGGCACTGTGATTCAGTTAGCAAGATGGTGATAATGATAACAATATCTCAGAGTCTTTTCCCCTAGAGACTCTCAAAGACATCACTAGTACTCACTCTCCCACATTATGAGTTTCATAAACTGTACCTGAAGGTTTAAATGTAGCCCTAAGCTGAAAAGTATTTTTTAAAAGTGGCATCTTGTTACTATGATAGCATACATCTGTTCCCTGTATGCCTTTGGAGTTGTCTCTGCATATAACAACAACAAGTTTTTACAACTGTCAGCAAATGCCAGCACAACCGGGGAAAAAAAGGGAGAATGTCTTGTACTTCATGTATCAACAATATTACTACCCGTATTTCTTTGCTGTGGATAGTTACGAAGTAAATATATACTTAGTAGAGTCAATTGGTACCAAGAAAAATTAACAGGGTCGTGAAAGGGGTAGAGAGTACTGAATGCTGTCAAGCTGTTTCAATTTATAGGATATATCTGGCATGTCACTTTTGCTCAAAGCAATATGTCTTTTAATGTCTCAAAGGAATTTCTGGATTTTTATTTACTGGGTATATTTGTGTAGTGATTACAGTCAAAAGCATCTCTTTAATATTTCTTCTCTCATTCATTTACTCCATGGAATAAAGAGGCATGACAAAAATTAAAAGAAGATAATCTGAGTTTTTAAAATAATTTATTTTTGATCAAAACTTGATTCCAGAATGATTGAATGAATATGTGATATAAGATGAAGAGAAAAGCAGAGGTTAAGATAAGGTATTTGGAGGGCAGTAAAACATTAATTTATCTCAGAAATCTGTGCTGATGTTGGATATAATGAACGAAGATGTACTGGAGAATATAAAAGTTTCAACAGGGTGGCTATCAAGCTGAACTGTCAGAGTATAATTAGGACATTTTTATTATTAGTTTATTTTTTCTGTCATTATAGATTTTTTTAAAGGATAGCAGTGAAAGCAATTTTAAAATAATAATTTTCCTTTAATGCAGTATTTGAACTGGATACCTTGCACATGCATGTCTATGGGCAGGTAACTGTATGCAATATATAGACTAACATATTCATGATATATGCATGAACAAAAGGTGGCGACCTAGAAGGAGGTAAGAGAATGAATATTGAGAGCTACTGAAATCTGAAGTAGTCCTGGGCATCATACCTTAAATATTTGATTCCTTTTAAGCCAAGAAAAAAGGTGTAAGTCCATTTCTGACAAGGTCAGTACCTTCGTTTTCAATAGTAATGGAACTGCGAGTGCAAGGCAGCATTCTATATGGCTCTCCACCTCTCCTTCACAGGACGGGAAGCACAATAACAGATGCACCAATGTTTTTATTACTTCAGATCATCTCAGCTATTCATGACCAATTTTCCCCCCCATGAACTTTATCTTCCATCCTCTTCATGAAATGCATTATCAAGCTTTTTCAACAAATTGGCTCTGAAATCATTTCTAGATTTTTAGCACAAATAAGGGATGTATATATAGAGAGGCAGTATGTTTTTAAAATTTGTACATATATATGTATATATATTTTCTTCAAAAAACCTATGGGTTGGCAAGCAATAAGAAACATTTATTAAATGTTTAGAATATAAAACTTTTCCCTACCACAGTTTCTTAATTTTAAGCAGCAACAGTTATTATTATGGAAGATGATACATAGGAAGCACTCATTTGCATAAACTGTTACTCAAAAAAACTTTTGTGTTGTAATTTAGTCACATTCTACATACAGAAGAAACTACTGCCTGGAGATGTCAGATCACCCAGGTAACTTCACCAAATTACATTGTAACTTTAAAACTCGTCAATCAGTTACCGAAGTATACCCATAGAAATTGTAGTCTTGATTCAAGAGTGAAAACCTATAAAATTGAAGATTTTTGAAAAGTAGGGTATATTTGCTTCAAATTATGTTTTCACAAATAAAGTCTCAAGTAAAATAGTACAGTTTTCTTGGGACAGTGGAACCGGAGTGAAATCTACAGTTTGGGGCTTATTAACTGACAGCTCACCGTTAGGAACAAACTTGCTTTCATCTGCCTTGTCCAACCATATGTAGGTCACTACTGAAAAAGGAATTTTAACCTAACTGACTGTAACAGCTCCAAATGAGTTATTATGAACTATCAATCATTGAAGTCATCCTTCTTTCACAGTTTACTGACCTGGAATACTAGAAGTCCCTGAGCATTTCACATCCATCCATCTGTTGTTATTACTCAGGCCACCTTTTTTTTTTCTTTTTTTTGGAAATTCTTTTTTATTTTATTTTATTTTATTATTATTATACTTTAAGTTTTAGGGTACATGTGCACAATGTGCAGGTTTGTTACATATGTATACATGTGCCATGTTTGTGTGCTGCACCCATTAACTCGTCATTTAGCATTAGGTATATCTCCTAATGCTATCCCTCCCCCCTCCCCCCACCCCACAACAGTCCCCGTTGTGTGATGTTCCCCTTCCTGTGTCCATGTGATCTCATTGTTCAATTCCCACCTATGAGTGAGAATATGCGGTGTTTGGTTTTTTGTCCTTGCGATAGTTTAGTTTACTGAGAATGATGATTTTCAAAATCATCCATGTCCCTACAAAGGACATGGACTCATCATTTCTTATGGCTGCATAGTATTCCATAGTGTATATGTGCCACATTTTCTTAATCCAGTCTATCACTGTTGGACATTCGGGTTGGTTCCAAGTCTTTGCTATTGTGAATAGTGCCACAATAAACATACGTGTGCATGTGTCTTTATAGCAGCATGATTTATAGTCCTTTGGGTATATACCCAGTAATGGGATGGCTGGGTCAAATGGTATTTCTAGTTCTAGATCCCTGAGGAATCGCCACACTGACTTCCACAATGGTTGAACTCGTTTACAGTCCTACCAACAGTGTAAAAGTGTTCCTATTTCTCCACATCCTCTCCAGCACCTGTTGTTTCCTGACTTTTTAATGATTGCTATTCTAACTGGTGTGAGATGGTATCTCATTGTGGTTTTGATTTGCATTTCTCTGATGGCCAGTGATGATGAGCATTTTTTCATGTGTTTTTTGGCTGCATAAATGTCTTCTTTTGAGAAGTGTCTGTTCATGTCCTTCGCCTACTTTTTGATGGGTTTTTTTTTTTTTCTTGTAAATTTGTTTGAGTTCATTGTAGATTCTGGATATTAGCCCTTTGTCAGATGAGTAGGTTGCGAAAATTTTCTCCCATTTCATAGGTTGCCTGTTCACCCTGATGGTAGTTTCTTTTACTGTGCAGAAGCTCTTTAGTTTAATTAGATCCCATTTGTCAATTTTGGCTTGTGTTGCCGTTGCTTTTGGTGTTTTAGACATGAAGTCCTTGCCCATGCCTATGTCCTGAATGATAATGCCTAGGTTTTCTTCTAGGGTTTTTATGGTTTTAGGTCTAACGTTTAAGTCTTTAATCCATCTTGAATTGATTTTTGTATAAGGTGTAAAGAAGGGATCCAGCTTCAGCTTTCTACATATGGCTAGCCAGTTTTCCCAGCACCATTTATTAAATAGGGAATCCTTTCCCCAGTGCTTGTTTTTCTCAGGTGTGTCAAAGATCAGATAGTTGTAGATAAGCGGCATTATTTCTGAGGGCTCTGTTCTGTTCCATTGATCTATATCTCTGTTTTGGTACCAGTATCATGCTGTTTTGGTTACTGTAGCCTTGTAGTATAGTTTGAAGTCAGGTAGCATGATGCCTCCAGCTTTGTTCTTTTGGCTTAGGATTGACTTGGTGATGCAGGCTCTTTTTTGGTTCCATATGAACTTTAGTTTTTTCCAATTCTGTGAAGAAAGTCATTGGTAGCTTGATGGGGATGCAGGCTACCATTTTTTATAAGTCTGAAGCCCATATGTAATCTTCAGTAAGTAAATCAGGAAGATTTAGTCTTCAATGATTATACCTTATAGAGCATTCATTTGTAATACACTTTCTCAGACAATTTTAAAAAGGGATTTTGAATTTATGAATAACTTCCCGTATCCTCATTTGTAAGACAGTTCCCTTAAGGGTGCCTTTCTGCAAAGATTAGTTGGCAAAACTCCAAACTAAATAATCTCTTGTTTTGTATTTTTTTGTTTTAGAAGTAGAGGGGAAAAAAAACAAAATTTACCCTCATGGCTGACTCAGGTTGTCACTGGCTTTGAATTTATTTAAATACTTATTTTCTAAAAATTAAGCTTATTTAAAAATATATTTCAACATTTTAATTTCTTAGCAGTGTTAAGAATCTGACCTCCAGTGTTTCTAAGGCATTTTAATTTAAAGATTTCTGCTTAATTTAAAATGTTTAAGATATTTTAAGTTAATAAAAGTTAATGTAATTAACTTTTAAATTTCTAAATTTACTTAAGTTGAAAGGTAGTATATCTTAAACCGTATAAAGAGTAATTTTTATTTTTATATTTTGGAATTGACCATCTGGTAATTACATTATTTGGAAACTCAACACCTCCTTTTCAGACAGTGCCTCAGGGATGTAGATAGAAAAGTGGGTTGAATCCTGATGGGTGGGACTTTGGTCTTCTGCCATTTCTAACAAAAACTGTTCAATACGGTGAGTTTACATGTAAGGTATCATTTAGAGAAAAATATGTCCCACTGAAATCCTTCATGAAAATTTTGTTCTAAAACATGAATCTATACGGAGTCAGCTCTCTGTGTTGGCGGATTCAACCAACTTTGGTTTGAATAATTTGGAAAAAAAAAATAAAAATAATACAACAATAAAAATACAGCATAGGCCGGGCACGGAGGCTCATGCCTGTAATCCCAGCACTTTGGGAGGCCTAGGCAGGCGGACCACCTGAGGTCAGGAGTTCGAGACCAACCTCAACATGGAGAAACCCCATCTCTACTAAAAATACCAAATTAGCTGGGCGTGGTGGTGCATGCCTGTAATCCCAGCTACTTGGGAGGCTGAGGCAGGAGAATTGCTTGAATCTTGGAGGTGGAGGTTGCGGTTAGCCGAGATCGTGCCATTGCACTCCAGCCTGGGCAACAAGAGAGAAACTCTGTCTCAAAAAAAAAAAAAGAAAAGAAAAAAAATACAGCATAATAACTATTTACATAATATATACATTGTATTAGGTGTTATAAGTAATCTATAGGTGATACAAAGCATGTGGGACGATGTGTATAAGTCATATGAAATATAATGTTAAAACGAGGCTTGAGCATCTGCTTTGGCATGGGAGGAGGTAGGAATCCATTTTTCACAGATACCAAGGGACAACTGTACATTCATTCAAGAGTTTATTTTAATTGTAAGTACCTTTTAAGAACTGGAGAAAATGCTTTATGTTCACAATTTATAGGTGGAAATGGAATGAACTTCAGTTAAAGAATTGTAATTTCATGGATACTATGCTAAGTTAGGTCATAAGTGTAACAACAGACTACTTTTTTTTCCCTAAATTCAGTCTTATTGTGTGTTTTTAAAAAATTTATCGCTACTTGGTAAGACTGTCATCATATGTCTCTTTATAATTTTATTAATATATAAATATTTCCTTTAAAAAACACCATATGTAAGACACTCAGATAAACAGTGGAAGAGACCTAAAATTATTTCATATATCTTGCCTTGATAGACCTTGTAATCTTGTATGGTCTGAGCTACATTCATGTAAACACAAATAACACAGGAGTATATTTCACAGGGCTCAAATGAATGCTGTAGGGAGAATGTGTTTTATGTACTATCTGCATCATAAGCTTGATAAAGATACAAATGTCCAGTCCCACCCTAGACCTGTTGAAAAAAGAGTAATTTTCAAGGCCTAGGAACAATGAAATCATGGGTGCCCTTGTTCAAAAAAGCAGAAAATATTGTCATTAAATATTAAAATTTTATTTTTTCTTGTAGGACTTCTCTTTCACCTTGTCATGGTGCTTATTATTTGATATTTAATATTGTTATAAGTGAGGAAAAATTAAAAATTTAAATTAATAACATGAATTTTACATTTATTTTTATATTGTGTAATGCCAGTTTGAGATGCACATATTAAGAACATTTAACATGTTCACAAATGCTATATGTAAATAATGTGACAAAGAATAGTGGGCAAACATTGCATGTTTCTCCTCACCTCATGCACGTGCTGAATGGTCTGATTTGACTTCACTCACTTATAAAATACCAGTTCAAAAAAAATTAATAAAGAATTTCAAGATGATGAAAATATGACATAAAACCAAGTGTGGAAGCCCTCCTGAGCACGGGGCCCTGTGCTACTGCATATATCACATCCTCTAGATGACATCGCTGAATACGGTCATGGATTTTGCTTTTCAAAGAAGCACCTTGGGCGATTCTTCTGGATTCTAAAATTTGAGAACTGTACCTTTTTTTTTTTTTTGAGACAGAATCTCACTCTATCACCCAGGCTGGAATGCAGTGGTGCCATCTCAGCTCACTGCAACCTCCACCTCCTGGGTTCAAGCAATTCTCTTACCTCAGCCTCCCAAGCAGCTGGGTTTACAGTCGCCCGCTACCATGCCCAGTTAATTTTTTTGTTTGTTTTGTTTTTTGTTTTTTTGTATTTTTAGTCGAGATGGGGTTTCACCATGTTGGCCAGGCTGGTCTCAAACTCCTGACCTCAGGTGATCGATCCTCCTCGGCCTCCCAAAGTGCTGGGATTACAGGCACTAGCCACCACGCCTGGACGAGAACTGTATAGCTCTTATACAGTATTACTGATTAGGAGAAATTAATTATTTTACCTGACTAGGAAAAGGCTCATAGGCTCAGATGAACTTGAGCTAGTTTGTTTGAGAAGATTCCTTATGTTCTTACCACCATTTTTATGCATCTGAATACTCCGGTATTAGAATTCAAGCATTCCACCTCTAATTTCAAAAAGTGGTAGTGATAAGGAGAAAGGCTTGGGTACTTGAACTGGCCATAGGTTTTCACAGAAAGGCTCTACATTAATCAAAGCATTAATATCATCCATATGACGTTCTCTCTCTTCACAGACATTTCAAAGGTTGCATACGACACTTCATAGAAATGTATGTGGCCTAGAATATTTGGTAAACTGCCTTTGTATTATACCATTTTCAACTACTTTTAAAATAATACAAATTTTTCCACATTTAGAATATAAAATTATTGTATAGGAAGCAGATTTGAAAACCAAATATACAAGATCAAACATTTTTCAATATAACATTTAAAAAAACTAGTTGTACTTCATACTGAACAATTGCTAGTAAACAATCATTTTTCAGTATTAAAAAATACGATTCTCTAGGATTCTTAAAATCAAGAACGTCAATGAAAATGCTCTTTTCACTATGAATATATCAATCAATGTAAAGCTATAACTTGATTATATGTGAATATGCTGTTTTCATCTTTTCTTCTAAGAACTTAGTATCATATAGCTAGAAACTCTTTTTTTTTTTTTTTTTTTTTTTTTTTTTGAGATGGAGTCTCTCTCTGTTGCCCAGGCTGGAGTGTGGTGGCGCGATCCCTGCTCACTGCAAGCTCTGTCTCCCGGGTTCACACCATTCTCCTGCCTCAGCCTCCCGAGTGGCTGTAGCTGGGACTACAGGCGGCCGCCACCACACCCGGCTAATTTTTTGTATTTTTAGTAGAGATGGGGTTTCACTGTGTTAGCCAGGATGGTCTGGATCTCCTGACCTCGTGATCCGCCGGCCTTGGCCTCCCAAAGTGCTGGGATTACAGGCGTGAGCCACTGTGCCCGGCCGAAACTCTTAAATATTTAAATGAACAGGAGAAATAAATAAAAGTGGTGACACAATGGGTATAATTTAGTAATGATGAAAAATATTCTCAGCCAAAATAATTATTTGTTTGGCTATGAATATTGACTATTATTAATTTCACTCTAATTTATCATTGATAAATGGAAATTGGCCTTAATGCTAAAAATATTATTTTGGAAATGACACTTGAAATTTATAGAAAGGGGCAAAGTATATGTTTGAAGTAGATACAGGGATGTAGCTTTTCACTCAATATGTAGAAGAAAATAAATACAAAACCTGAGTTAAGAATTGAAGAGGCAACTTCATGAAGAATTAGATCACCTTAATCAGAAGCATACAGCCAAGGCTAAATCAGTGTTCCCTCTACCCTCATTCAGAAGAAGTTAGGACTGGATGCTCTCTAAGGGAATCTGCATCCATTTCAACATATTTAGGAAAATCGCTTGCTGTGTAGCCTCTGTCTTGATTCTCTGCATCTCCTTTCTGTCTCAAAATGAAAAGGTTATTATTATTTTCTTTGAAATAGACAACAGACATGTCTACATCATATCACACATGAAGTACATACTTCACTTCTGGTCTCTCTTCAGTTGAAACGTGCTATTACTCCACTGAAGGAAAATTTGGTAAGTTTCTTTGACAAATTGAGTTACTTTTACCAAGTGAATTACTTTCACATTGAAGTTCTCATTAAAGTATAATTTACCAAAAAACATTACTTATATGACTCATGCTAAGTCATGTTGTTTTCAAGTTGACCTATACTTCTAAAAGCTATGTAATTAAAAATCTTCCTGATTTTTAAATTTTTTGTAGTCTTCGTGGTGATTTAAAATCATTCTGAACTTATTTAATAAACGATATTGTTATGAATCCAAGGAATCCACTTGTGGTAGATAGCCTTGGTTGAGAGTCAATATTCACTATTCCCACAGTTGTCTACCTAAGACCTTAATTTATTTTTTACTAAACATTTCTTGTTATTCTTTTGAGTAAAAGCTACTAACACTTTTTTTTTAGATATAAAAGGTGACATGTTGAGAAAAAGTAAATAATATTGAGATATTTAGGTTCCTTGTGATTTAAAATTGTTTAGTGAGTCCTTAATGTTAAAGCCTGTTATCTATTTAACTCAGTTATATCAGAAGATTCACTAGGATCTGAGCAAGGTTTGATGAACGTAGGTATTAAAGAAACAAGGGGACACATAGCCCTAATAGAAGTGCAGTGTGCAGCTGCATTGCTGAAATATTGAATTTAGAA